>NC_000012.12:34850001-36050001 GCF_000001405.40 Homo sapiens
AGAATACTGAGTAAGTTCTTTGTGTTGCCTCTATTCAACTCACAGAGGTGAACTGTCCTTTATTTTTTTTTTTTTTTTTTTTTTTTTTTTATTTTTTTTATTATACTCTCAGTTTTAGGGTACATGTGCACATTGTGCAGGTTAGTTACATATGTATACATGTGCCATACTGGTGCACTGCACCCACTAATGTGTCATCTAGCATTAGGTATATCTCCCAATGCTATCCCTCCCCCCTCCCCCGACCCCACCGCAGTCCCCAAAGTGTGATATTCCCCTTCCTGTGTCCATGTGATCTCATTGTTCAATTCCCACCTATGAGTGAGAATATGCAGTGTTTGGTTTTTTGTTCTTGCGATAGTTTACTGAGAATGATGGTTTCCAATTTCATCCATGTCCCTACAAAGGATATGAACTCATCATTTTTTATGGCAGAATTTTCAGTAACTTATTTGTGGTGTGTGTATTCAACTCACAGAGTTGAGCCTTCCTTTAGACAGAGCAGATTTGAAACACCCTATTTGTGCAGTTTCCAGTTGGAGATTTCAATCGCTTTGAGACCAAATGTAGAAAAGGAAACATCTTCGTATAAAAACTAGACAGAATCATTATCAGAAACTACTTTGTGATGTGTGCCTTCAACTCAAGGAGTTTAAGCTTTCTCTTCATACAGTAGTTTGGAAACACTCTGTCTGTAAAGTCTGCAAGCAGATATTTGGACCTCTTTGGGGTCTTCGTTGGAAACGGGATTTCTTCATAGAACGCTAGAAAGAAGAATACTCAGTAACTTCTTTGTGTTGCCTCTATTCAACTCACAGAGGTGAACTGTCCTTTAGACAGAGCAGATGTGAAACCCTCTTTTTGTGACATCTGTAGGTGGAGATTTCAAGTGCTTTTAGGCCAAATGTAGAAAAGGAAATATCTTCGTATAAAAACTAGACAGAATCATTCTCAGAAACTACTTTGTGATGTGTGCGTTCAATTCACAGAGTATAACCTTTCTTTTGATGGAGGAGTTTGGAGACACTGTCTTTGTAAAGTCTGCAAGTGGATATTTGGACCTCTTTGAGGCCTTCGTTGGAAACGGGATTTCCTCATATAATGTTACCCAGAAGAATTCTCAGTAACTTATTTGTGGTGTGTTTATTCAACTCACAGAGGTGAACCTTCCTTCAGAAAGAGCAGATTTGAAACACTCTTTTTGTGGAGTTTCCATGTGGAGATTTCAATCGCTTTGAGACCAAAGGTAGAAAAGGAAACATCTTCGTATAAAAACTAGACAGAATCATTCACAGAAACTACTTTGTGATGTGTGTGTTTAACTCAAGGAATTTAACATTTCTTTTGATGGAGCAGTTTGGAAACACTCTGTCTGAAAAGTCTGCAAGCAGATATTTGGACCTCTTTGAGGCCTTCGTTGGAAACGGGATTTCTTCATATAATGTTTGATAGGAGAAGTCTCAGTAACTTCTTTGTGCTGTGTGTATTCAACTCATAGAGTTGAACTTTCCTTTAGAAGAGCAGATTTTAAACACCCTTTTTGTGGAATTTGCAGCTGGAGATTTCAAGCGCTTTGAGGCCTACGGTAGAAAAGGAAACATCTTCTTATAAAATCTAGACAGAATCATTCACAGAAACTTCTTTTCGATGTGTGTGTTCAGCTCACAGAGTTTAACCTTTCTTTTGATGGAGCAGTTTGGAAACACTCTGTTTGTAATGTCTGCAAGTGGATATTTGGACCTCTTTGAGGCCTTCGTTGGAAACGGGATTTCATCAAGTAATGGTCGACAGAAGAATTCTCAGTAACTTATTTGTGGTGTGTGTATTCAACTCACAGAGTTGAACCTTCCTTCAGAAAGAGCAGATTTGAAACACCCTATTTGTGCAGTTTCCAGTTGGAGATTTCAATCGCTTTGAGACCAAATGTAGAAAAGGAAACATCTTCGTATAAAAACTAGACAGAATCATTCTCAGAAACTACTTTGTGATGTGTGCGTTCAACTCAAGGAGTTTAAGCTTTCTTTTCATAGAGTAGTTTGGAAACACTCTGTCTGTAAAGTCTGCAAGCAGATATTTGGACCTCTTTGAGGCCTTCGTTGGAAACGGGATTTCTTCATAGAACGGTAGAAAGAAGACTACTGAGTAAGTTCTTTGTGTTGCCTCTATTCAACTCACAGAGGTGAACTGTCCTTTAGACAGAGCAGATGTGAAAACCTCTTTTTGTGATATTTGCAGGTGGAGATTTCAAGCGCTTTTAGGCCAAATGTAGAAAAGGAAATATCTTCGTATAAAAACTAGACAGAATCATTCTCAGAAACTACTTTGTGATGTGTGCGTTCAATTCAAAGAGTATAACCTTTCTTTTGATGGAGGAGTTTGGAGACACTGTCTTTGTAAAGTCTGCAAGTGGATATTTGGACCTCTTTGAGGCCTTCGTTGGAAACGGGATTTCCTCATATAATGTTACACAGAAGAATTCTCAGTAACTTATTTGTGGTGTGTGTATTCAACTCACAGAGATGAACCTTCCTTCAGAAAGAGCAGATTTGAAACACTCTTTTTGTGGAGTTTCCATGTGGAGATTTCAATCGATTTGAGACCAAAGGTAGAAAAGGAAACATCTTCGTATAACAACTAGACAGAATCTTTCACAGAAACTACTTTGTGATGTGTGTGTTCAACTCATGGAGGTTAACCTTTCTTTTTACGGAGCAGTTTGGAAACACTCTGTCTGTAAAGTCTGCAAGCAGATATTTGGACCTCTTTGAGGACTTCGTTGGAAACGGGATTTCTTCATATAACGCTAGAAAGAAGAAGTCTCAGTAACTTATTTGTGCTGTGTGTATTCAACTCACAGATTGGAAATTTCCTTTAGAAGAGCAGACGTTAAACACCCTTTCTGTGGAATTTGCAGCTGGAGATTTAAAGCTCTTTGAGGCCAATGGTAGAAAAGGAAACATCTTTGTATAACATCTAGACAGCATCATTCACAGAAACTTCTTTTTGATGTGTGTGTTCAGCTCACAGAGTTTAACCTTTCTTTTGATGGAGCAGTTTGGAAACACTCTGTTTGTAATGTCTGCAAGTGGATATTTGGACCTGTTTGAGGCCTTCGTTGGAAACGGGATTTCTTCATGTAATGTTCGACAGAAGAATTCTCAGTAACTTATTTGTGGTGTGTGTATTCAACTCACAGAGTTGAACCTTCCTTTAGACAGAGCAGATTTGAAACACCCTATTTGGGCAGTTTCCAGTTGGAGATTTCAATTGCTTTGAGGCCATAGAAACGGTAATACATTTGTATAAAAACAAGACAGAATCATTCTCAGAAACTACTTTGTGATGTGTGCGTTCAACTCAAGGAGTTTAAGCTTTCTTTTCATAGAGTAGTTTGGAAACACTCTGTCTGTAAATTCTGCAAGCCGATATTTGGACCTCATTGAGGCCTTCGTTGGAAACGGCATTTCTTCATATAACGCTAGAAAGAAGAATACTGAGTAAGTTCTTTGTGTTGCCTCTATTCAACTCACAGAGCTGAACTGTCCTTTAGACAGAGCAGATGTGAAACCCTCTTTTTGTGATATTTGCAGGTGGAGATTTCAAGCGCTTTTAGGCCAAATGTAGAAAAGGAAATATCTTCGTATAAAAACTAGACAGAATCATTCTCAGAAACTACATTGTGATGTGTGCTCAATTCACAGAGTATAACCTTTCTTTTGATGGAGGAGTTTGGAGACACTGTCTTTGTAAAGTCTGCAAGTGGACATTTGGACCTCTTTCAGGCCTTCGTTGGAAACGGGATTTCCTCATATAATGTTACACAGAAGAATTCTCAGTAACTTATTTGTCGTGTGTGTATTCAACTCACAGAGATGAACCTTCCTTCAGAAAGAGCAGATTTGAAACACTCTTTTTGTGGAGTTTCCATGTGGAGATTTCAATCGCTTTGAGACCAAAGGTAGAAAAGGAAACATCTTCGTATAACAACTAGACAGAATCATTCACAGAAACTACTTTGTGATGTGTGTGTTCAACTCAAGGAGGTTAACCTTTCTTTTGATGGAGCAGTTTGGAAACACTCTGTCTGTAAAGTCTGCAAGCAGATATTTGGACCTCTTTGAGGCCTTCGTTGGAAACGGGGTTTCTTCATATAATGTTTGATAGGAGAAGTCTCAGTAACTTCTTTGTGCTGTGTGTATTCAACTCATAGAGTTGAACTTTCCTTTAGAAGAGCAGATGTTAAACACCCTTTTTGTGGAATTTGCAGCTGGAGATTTCAAGCGCTTTGAGGCCTACGGTAGAAAAGGAAACATCCTCTTAGAAAATCTAGACAGAATCATTCACAGAAACTTCTTTTTGATGTGTGTGTTCAGCTCACAGAGTTTAACCTTTCTTTTGATGGAGCAGTTTGGAAACACTCTGTTTGTAATGTCTGCAAGTGGATATTTGGACCTCTTTGAGGCCTTCGTTGGAAACGGGATTTCGTCAAGTAATGTTCGACAGAAGAATTCTCAGTAACTTATTTGTGGTGTGTGTATTCAACTCACAGAGTTGAACCTTCCTTTAGACAGAGCAGATTTGAAACACCCTATTTGTGCAGTTTCCACTTGGAGATTTCAATCGCTTTGAGGCCAATCGTAGAAACGGAAATATCTTCGTATAAAAACAAGACAGAATCATTCTCAGAAAGTACTTTGTGATGTGCGCGTTCAAGTCACGGAGTTTAAGCTTTCTTTTCATAGAGTAGTTTGGAAACACTCTGTCTGTAAGTCTACAAGCAGATATTTGGACCTCTTTGAGGCCGTCGTTGTAAACGGGATTTCTTCATATAACGCTAGAAAGAAGAATACTGAGTAAGTTCTTTGTGTTGCCTCTATTCAACTCACAGAGGTGAACTGTTCTTTAGACAGAGCAGATGTGAAACCCTCTTTTTGTGATATTTGCAGGTGGAGATTTCAAGCGCTTTTAGGCCAAATGTAGAAAAGGAAATATCTTCGTATAAAAACTAGACAGAATCATTCTCAGAAACTACTTTGTGATGTGTGCGTTCAATTCACAGAGTATAACCTTTCTTTTGATGAAGGAGTTTGGAGACACTGTCTTTGTAAAGACTGCAAGTGGATATTTGGACCTCTTTGAGGCCTTCGTTGGAAACGGGATTTCCTCATATAATGTTACACAGAAGAATTCTCAGTAACTTATTTGTGGTGTGTGTATTCAACTCACGGAGTTGAACCTTCCTTCAGAAAGAGCAGATTTGAAACACACTTTTTGTGGAGTTTCCATGTGGAGATTTCAATCGCTTTGAGACCAAAGGTAGAAAAGGAAACATCTTCGTATAAAAACTAGACAGAATCATTCACAGAAACTACTTTGTGATGTGTGTGTTCAACTCAAGGAGTTTAACCTTTCTTTTGATGGAGCAGTTTGGAAACACTCTGTCTGTAAAGTCTGCAAGCAGATATTTGGACCTCTTTGAGGCCTTCGTTGGAAACGGGATTTCTTCATATAATGTATGATAGGAGAAGTCTCAGTAACTTCTTTGTGCTGTGTGTATTCAACTCACAGAGTTGAACTTTCCTTTAGAAGAGCAGATGTTAATCACCCTTTTTGTGGAATTTGCAGCTGGAGATTTCAAGCCTTTTGAGGCCTACGGTAGAAAAGGAAACATCTTCTTATAAAATCTAGACAGAATCATTCACAGAAACTTCTTTTTGATGTGTGTGTTCAGCTCACAGAGTTTAACCTTTCTTTTGATGGAGCAGGTTGGAAACAATCTGTTTGTAATGTCTGCAAGTGGATATTTGGACCTCTTTGAGGCCTTCGTTGGAAACGGGATTTCTTCAAGTAATGTTCGACAGAAGAATTCTCAGTAACTTATTTGTGGTGTGTGTATTCAACTCACAGAGTTGAACCTTCCTTTAGACACAGCAGATTTGAAACACCCTATTTGTGCAGTTTCCAGTTGGAGATTTCAATCGCTTTGAGACCAAACGTAGAAAAGGAAACATCTTCGTATAAAAACTAGACAGAATCATTCTCAGAAACTACTTTGTGATGTGTGCGTTCAACTCACGGAGTTTAAGCTTTCTTTTCATAGAGTAGTTTGGAAACACTCTGTCTTTAAAGTCTGCAAGCAGATATTTGGACCTCTTTGAGGCCTTCGTTGTTAACGGGATTTCTTCATATAACGCTAGAAAGAAGAATACTCAGTAACTTCTTTGTGTTGCCTCTATTCAACTCACAGAGGTGAACTGTCCTTTAGACAGAGCAGATGTGAAACCCTCTTTTTGTGATATTTGCAGGTGGAGATTTCAAGCGCTTTTAGGCCAAATGTAGAAAAGGAAATATCTTCGCATAAAAACTAGACAGAATCATTCTCAGAAACTACTTTGTGATGTGTGCGTTCAATTCACAGAGTATAACCTTTCTTTTGATGGAGGAGTTTGGAGACACTGTCTTTGTAAAGTCTGCAAGTGGATATTTGGACCTCTTTGAGGCCTTCGTTGGAAACGGGATTTCCTCATATAATGTTACCCAGAAGAATTCTCAGTAACTTATTTGTGGTGTGTGTATTCAACTCACAGAGTTGAACCTTCCTTCAGAAAGAGCAGATTTGAAACACTCTTTTTGTGGAGTTTCCATGTGGAGATTTCAATCGCATTGAGACCAAAGGTAGAAAAGGAAACATCTTCGTATAAAAACTAGACAGAATCATTCTAAGAAACTACTTTGTGATGTGTGCGTTCAACTCAAGGAGTTTAAACTTTCTTTTCATAGAGTAGTTTGGAAACACTCTGTCTGTAAAGTCTGCAAGCAGATATTTGCACCTCTTTGAGGCCTTCGTTGGAAACGGGATTTCTTCATATAATGTTTGATAGGAGAAGTCTCAGTAACTTCTTTTTGCTGTGTGTATTCAACTCACAGAGCTGAACATTACTTTAGACAGAGCGGATGTTAAACACAATTTTGTGGAATTTGCAGCTGGAGATTTCTAGCGCTTTGAGGCCTATGGTAGAAAAGGAAACATCTTCTTATAAAATCCAGACAGAATCATTCACAGAAACTTCTTTTCGATGTGTGTGTTCAGCTCACAGAGTTTAACCTTTCTTTTGATGGAGCAGTTTGGAAACACTCTGTTTGTAATGTCTGCAAGTGGATATTTGGACCTCTTTGAGGCCTTCGTTGGAAACGGGATTTCTTCAAGTAATGTTCGACAGAAGAATTCTCAGTAACTTATTTGTGGTGTGTGTATTCAACTCACAGAGTTGAACCTTCCTTTAGACAGAGCAGATTTGAAACACCCTATTTGTGCAGTTTCCAGTTGGAGATTTCAATCGCTTTGAGGCCAATCATAGAAACGGAAATATCTTCGTATAAAAACAAGAAAGAATCATTCTCAGAAACTACTTTGTGATGTGTGCGTTCAACTCAAGGAGTTTAAGCTTTCTTTTCATAGAGTAGTTTGGAAACACTCTGTCTGTAAAGTCTGCAAGCAGATATTTGGACCTCTTTGGGGCCTTCGTTGGAAACGGGATTTCTTCATAGAACGCTAGAAGAAGAATACTCAGTAAGTTCTTTGTGTTGCCTCTATCCAACTCACAGAGGTGAACTGTCCTTTAGACAGAGCAGATGTAAAACCCTCTTTTTGTGATATTTGCAGGTGGAGATTTCAAGCACTTTCAGGCCAATTGTAGAAAAGGAAATATCTTCGTATAAAAACCAGACAGAATCATTCTCAGAAACTAATTTGTGATGTGTGCGTTCAATTCACAGAGTATAACCTTTCTTTTGATGGAGGAGTTTGGAGACACTGTCTTTGTAAAGTCTGCAAGTGGATATTTGGACCTCTTTGAGGCCTTCGTTGGAAACGGGATTTCCTCAGATAATGTTACACAGAAGAATTCTCAGTAACTTATTTGTGGTGTGTGTATTCAACTCACAGAGTTGAACCTTCCTTCAGAAAGAGCAGATTTGAAACACCCTATTTGTGCAGTTTCCAGTTAGAGATTTCAATCGCTTTGAGACCAAATGTAGAAAAGGAAACATCTTCGTATAAAAACTAGACTGAATCATTCACAGAAACTACTTTGTGATGTGTGTGTTCAACTCAAGGAGTTTAACCTTTCTTTTGATGGAGCAGTTTGGAAACACTCTGTCTGTAAAGTCTGCAAGCAGATATTTGGACCTCTTTGAGGTCTTCGTTGGAAACGGGATTTCTTCATATAACGCTAGAAAGAAGAAGTCTCAGTAACTTCTTTGTGCTGTGTGTATTCAACTCATAGAGTTCAACTTTCCTTTAGAAGAGCAGATGTTAAACACCCTTTTTGTGGAATTTGCACCTGGAGATTTCAAGCGCTTTGAGGCCTATGGTAGAAAAGGAAACATCTTCTTATAAAATCTAGACAGAATCATTCACAGAAACTTCTTTTTGATGTGTGTGTTCAGCTCACAGAGTTTAACCTTTCTTTTGATGGAGCAGTTTGGAAACACTCTGTTTGTAATGTCTGCAAGTGGATATTTGGACGTCTTTGAGGCCTTCGTTGGAAACGGGATTTCTTCATGTAATGTTCGACAGAAGAATTCTCAGTAACTTATTTGTGGTGTGTGTATTCAACTCAAAGAGTTGAACCTTCCTTTAGACAGAGCAGATTTGAAACACCCTATTTGTGCAGTTTCCAGTTGGAGATTTCAATCGCTTTGAGACCAAATGTAGAAAAGGAAACATCTTCGTATAAAAACTAGACAGAATCATTCTCCGAAACTACTTTGTGAGGTGTGCGTTCAGCTCAAGGAGTTTAAGCTTTCTTTTCATAGAGTAGTTTGGAAACACTCTGTCTGTAAAGTCTGCAAGCAGATATTTGGACCTCTTTGGGGCCTTCGTTGGAAACGGGATTTCTTCATAGAACGCTAGAAAGAAGAATACTGAGTAAGTTCTTTGTGTTGCCTCTATTCAACTCACAGAGGTGAACTGTCCTTTAGACAGAGCAGATGTGAAACCCTCTTTTTGTGATATTTGCACGTGGAGATTTCAAGCGCTTTTAGGCCAAATGTAGAAAAGGAAATATCTTCGTATAAAAACTAGACAGAATCATTCTCAGAAACTACTTTGTGATGTGTGCGTTCAATTCACAGAGTATAACCTTTCTTTTGATGGAGGAATTTGGAGACACTGTCTTTGTAAAGTCTGCAAGTGGATATTTGGACCTCTTTGAGGCCTTCGTTGGAAACGGGATTTCCTCATATAATGTTACACAGAAGAATTCTCAGTAACTTATTTGTGGTGTGTGTATTCAACTCACAGAGTTGAACCTTCCTTCAGAAAGAGCAGATTTGCAACACTCTTTTTGTGGAGTTTCCATGTGGAGATTTCAATCGCTTTGAGACCAAAGGTAGAAAAGGAAACATCTTCGTATAAAAACTAGACAGAATCATTCACAGAAACTACTTTGTGATGTGTGTGTTCGACTCACAGAGTTTAACCTTTCTTTTGATGGAGCAGTTTGGAAACACTCTGTTTGTTACGTCTGCAAGTGGATATTTGGACCTCTTTGAGGCCTTCGTTGGAAACGGGATTTCTTCATATAATGTTTGATAGGAGAAGTCTCAGTAACTTCTTTGTGCTGTGTGTATTCAACTCATGGAGTTCAACTTTCCTTTAGAAGAGCAGAGGTTAAAGACCCTTTTTGTGGAATTTGCAGCTGGAGATTTCAAGCGCTTTGAGGCCTACGGTAGAAAAGGAAACATCTTCTTCTGAAGAATAGACAGAATCATTCACAGAAACTTCTTTTTGATGTGTGTGTTCAGCTCACAGAGTTTAACCTTTCTTTTGATGGAGCAGTTTGGAAACACTCTGTTTGTAATGTCTGCAAGTGGATATTTGGACCTCTTTGAGGCCTTCGTTGGAAACGGGATTTCTTCATGTAATGTTCGACAGAAGAATTCTCAGTAACTTATTTGTGGTGTGTGTATTCAACTCACAGAGTTGAACCTTCCTTTAGACAGAGCAGATTTGAAACACACTATTTGTGCAGTTTCCAGTTGGAGATTTCAATCGCTTTGAGGCCTATCGTAGAAACGGAAATATCTTCGTATAAAAACAAGACAGAATCATTCTCAGAAACTACTTTGGGATGTGTGCGTTCAACTCAAGGAGTTTAAGCTTTCTTTTCATAGAGTAGTTTGGAAACACTCTGTCTGTAAAGTCTGCAAGCAGATATTTGGACCTCTTTGGGGCCTTCGTTGGAAACGGGATTTCTTCATAGAACGCTAGAAAGAAGAATACTGAGTAAGTTCTTTGTGTTGCCTCTATTCAACTCACAGAGGTGAACTGTCCTTTAGACAGAGCTGATGTGAAACCCTCTTTTTGTGATATTTGCAGGTGGAGATTTCAAGCGCTTTTAGGCCAAATGTAGAAAAGGAAATATCTTCGTATAAAAACTAGACAGAATCATTCTCAGAAACTACTTTGTGATGTGTGCATTCAATTCACAGAGTAAAACCTTTCTTTTGAGGGAGGAGTTTGGAGACACGGTCTTTGAAAAGTCTGCAAGTGGATATTTGGACCTCTTTGAGGCCTTCGTTGGAAACGGGATTTCCTCATAGAATGTTACACAGAAGAATTCTCAGTAACTTATTTGTGGTGTGTGTATTCAACTCACAGAGTTGAACCTTCCTTCAGAAAGAGCAGATTTGAAACACTCTTTTTGTGGAGTTTCCATGTGGAGATTTCAATCGCATTGAGACCAAAGGTAGAAAAGGAAACATCTTCGTATAAAAACTAGACAGAATCATTCACAGAAACTACTTTGTGATGTGTGTGTTCAACTCAAGGAGTTTAACCTTTCTTTTGATGGAGCAGTTTGGAAAAACTCTGTCTGTAAAGTCTGCAAGCAGATATTTGGACCTCTTTGAGGCCTTCGTTGGAAACGGGATTTCTTCATATAATGTTTGATAGGAGAAGTCTCAGTAACATTTTTGTGCTGTGTGTATTCAACTCATAGAGTTGAACTTTCCTTTAGAAGATCAGATGTTAAACACCCTTTTTGTGGAATTTGCAGCTGGAGATTTCAAGCGCTTTGAGGCCTACGGTAGAAAAGGAAACATCTTCTTATAAAATCTAGACAGAATCATTCACAGAAACTTCTTTTTGATGTGTGTGTTCAGCTCACCGAGTTTAACCTTTCTTTTGATGGAGCAGTTTGGAAACACTCTGTTTGTAATGTCTGCAAGTGGATATTTGGACCTCTTTGAGGCCTTCGTTGGAAACGGGATTTCTTCATGTAATGTACGACAGAAGAATTCTCAGTAACTTATTTGTGGTGTATGTATTCAACTCACACAGTTGAACTTCCTTTAGACAGAGCAGATTTGAAACACCCTATTTGTGCAGTTTCCAGTTGGAGATTTCAATCGCTTTGAGGCCAATCGTAGAAACGGAACTATCTTCCTTTAAAAACAAGACAGAATCATTCCCCAAAACTACTTTGTGATGTGTGCGTTCAACTCACGGAGTTTAACCTTTCTTTTCATAGAGCAGTTTGGAAACACTCTGTCTGTAAAGTCTGCAAGCAGATATTTGGACCTCTTTGAGGCCTTCGTTGGAAACGGGATTTCTTCATATAACGCTAGAAAGAAGAATACTCAGTAACTTCCTTGAGTTGCCTCTATTCAAATCACAGAGGTGAACTGTCCTTTAGACAGAGCAGAAGTGAAACCCTCTTTTTGTGATATTTCCAGGTGGAGATTTCAAGCGCTTTTAGGTCAAATGTGGAAAAGGAAATATCTTCGTAGAAAAACTAGACAGATTCATTCTCAGAAACTACTTTGTGATGTGTGCGTTCAATTCACAGAGTATAACCTTTCTTTTGATGGAGGAGTTTGGAGACACTGTCTTTGTAAAAGTCTGCAAGTGGATATTTGGACCTCTTTGAGGCCTTCGTTGGAAACGGGATTTCCGCATATAATGTTACACAGAAGAATTCTCAGTAACTTATTTGTGGTGTGTGTATTCAACTCACAGAGTTGAACCTTCCTTCAGAAAGAGCAGATTTGAAACACTCTTTTTGTGGAGTTTCCATGTGGAGATTTCAATCGCTTTGAGACCAAAGGTAGAAAAGGAAACATCTTCAGTATAGAAACTAGACAGAATCATTCACAAAAACTACTTTGTGATGTGTGTGTTCAACTCAAGGAGTTTAACCTTTCTTTTGATGGAGCAGATTGGAAACACTCTGTCTGTAAAGTCTGCAAGCAGATATTTGGACCTCTTTGAGGCCTTCGTTGGAAACGGGATTTCTTCAAGTAATGTTCGACAGAAGAAGTCTCAGTAACGTCTTTGCGCTGTGTGTATTCAACTCATAGGGTTGAACTTTCCTTTAGAAGAGCAGATGTTAAACACCCTTTTTGTGGAATTTGCAGCTGGAGATTTCAAGCGCTTTGAGGCCTACGGTAGAAAAGGAAACATCTTCTTATAAAATCTAGACAGAATCATTCACAGAAACTTCTTTTTGATGTGTGTGTTCAGCTCACAGAGTTTAACCTTTCTTTTGATGGAGCAGTCTGGAAACACTCTGTTTGTAATGTCTGCAAGTAGATATTTGGACCTCTTTGAGGCCTTCGTTGGAAACGGGATTTCTTCAAGTAATGTTCGACAGAAGAATTCTCAGTAACTTATTTGTGGTGTGTGTATTCACCTCACAGAGTTGAACCTTCCTTTAGACAGAGCAGATTTGAAACACCCTATTTGTGCAGTTTCCAGTTGGAGATTTCAATCGCTTTGAGACCAAATGTAGAAAAGGAAACATCTTCGTATAAAAACTAGACAGAATCATTCTCAGAAACTACTTTGTGATGTGTGCGTTCAACTCAAGGAGTTTAAGCTTTCTTTTCATAGAGTAGTTTGGAAACACTCTGTCTGTAAAGTCTGCAAGCAGATATTTGGACCTCTTTGAGGCCTTCCTTGGAAACGGGATTTCTTCATGTAACGCTAGAAAGAAGAATACTGAGTAAGTTCTTTGTGTTGCCTCTATTCAACTCACAGAGGTGAACTGTCCTTTAGACAGAGCAGATGTGAAACCCTCTTTTTGTGATATTTGCAGGTGGAGATTTCAAGAGCTTTTAGGCCAAATGTAGAAAAGGAAATATCTTCGTATAAAAACTAGACAGAATCATTCTCAGAAACTACTTTGTGATGTGTGCGTTCTATTCACAGAGTATAACCTTTCTTTTGATGGAGGAGTTTGGAGACACTGTCTTTGTATAGTCTTCAAGTGGATATTTGGACCTCTTTGAGGCCATCGTTGGAAACGGGATTTCCTCATATAATGTTACACAGAAGAATTCTCAGTAACTTATTTGTGGTGTGTGTATTCAACTCACAGAGTTGAACCTTCCTTCAGAAAGAGCAGATTTGAAACACTCTTTTTGTGGAGTTTCCATGTTGAGATTTCAATCGCTTTGAGACCATAGGTAGAAAAGGAAACATCTTCGTTTAAAAACTAGACAGAATCATTCACAGAAACTACTTTGTGATGTGTGTGTTCAACTCAAGGAGTTTAACCTTTCTTTTGATGGAGCAGTTTGGAAACACTCTGTCTGTAAAGTCTGCAAGCAGACATTTGGACCTCTTTGAGGCCTTCGTTGGAAACGGGATTTCTTCATATAATGTTTGATAGGAGAAGTCTCAGTAACTTCTTTGTGCTGTGTGAATTCAACTCACAAAGCTGAACTTTACTTTAGACAGAGCAGATGTTAAACACACTTTTTGTGGAATTTGCAGCTGGAGATTTCTAGCGCTTTGAGGCCTATGGTAGAAAAGGAAACATCTTCTTATAAAATCTAGACAGAATCATTCACAGAAACTTCTTTTTGATGTGTGTGTTCAGCTCACGGAGTTTAACCTTTCTTTTGATGGAGCAGTTTGGAAACACTCTGTTTGTAATGTCTGCAAGTGGATATTTGGACCCCTTGAGGCCTTCGTTGGAAACGGGATTTCTTCATGTAATGTTCGACAGAAGAATTCTCAGTAACTTATTTGTGGTGTGTGTATTCAACTCACAGAGCTGAACCTTCCTTTAGACAGAGCAGATTTGAAACAGCCTATTTGTGCAGTTTCCAGTTGGAGATTTCAATCGCTTTGAGACCAAATGTAGAAAAGGAAACATCTTCGTATAAAAACTAGACAGAATCATTCTCAGAAACTACTTTGTGATGTGTGCGTTCAACTCAAGGAGTTTAAGCTTTCTTTTCATAGAGTAGTTTGGAACCACTCTGTCTGTAATGTCTGCAAGCAGATATTTGGACCTCTTTGAGGCCTTCGTTGGAAACGGGATTTCTTCATATAAAGCTAGAAAGAAGAATACTGAGTAAGTTCTTGGTGTTGCCTCTATTCAACTCACAGAGGTGAACAGTCCTTTAGACAGAGCAGATGTGAAACCCTCTTTTTGTGATATTTGCAGGTGGAGATTTCAAGCGCTTTTAGGCCAAATGTGGAAAAGGAAATATCTTCTTATAAAAAGTAGACAGAATCATTCTCAGAAACTACTTTGTGATGTGTGCGTTCAATTCACAGAGTATAACCTTTCTTTTGATGGAGGAGTTTGGAGACACTGTCTTTGTAAAGTCTGCAAGTGGATATTTGGACCTCTTTGAGGCCTTCGTTGGAAACGGGATTTCCTCATATAATGTTACCCAGAAGAATTCTCACTAACTTATTTGTGGTGTGTGTATTCAACTCACAGAGATGAACCTTCCTTCAGAAAGAGCAGATTTGAAACACTCTTTTTGTGGAGTTTCCATGTGGAGATTTCAATCGCTTTGAGACCAAAGGTAGAAAAGGAAACATCTTCGTATAACAACTAGACAGAATCATTCACAGAAACTACTTTGTGATGTGTGTGTTCAACTCAAGGAGTTTAACCTTTCTTTTGATGGAGGAGTTTGGAAACACTCTGTCTGTAAAGTCTGCAAGCAGATATTTGGACCTCTTTGAGGCCTTCATTGGAAACGGGATTTCTTCATATAATGTTTGATAGGTGAATTCTCAGTAACTTACTTGTGCTGTGTGTATTCATCTCAGAGAATTGAACCTTCCTTCAGAAAGAGCAGATATGAAACACTCTTTTTGTGGAGTTTCCATGTGGAGATTTCAATCGCTTTGAGACAAAAAGTAGAAAAGGAAACATCTTCGTATAAAAACTAGACAGAATCATTCACAGAAACTACTTTGTGATGTGTCTGTTCAACTCACAGAGTTTAACCTTTCTTTTGATGGAGCAGTTTGGAAACACTCTGTTTGTCACGTCTGCAAGTGGATATTTGGACCTCTTTGAGTCCTCCGTTGGAAACGGGATTTCTTCATATAATGTTAGACAGAAGAATTCTCAGTAACTTATTTGTGGTGTGTGTATTCAACTCACAGAGTTGAACCATCCTTTAGACAGAGCAGATTTGAAACACCCTATTTGTGCAGTTTCCAGTTGGAGATTTCAATCCCTTTGAGACCAAATGTAGAAAAGGAAACATCTTCGTATAAAAACTAGACAGAATCATTCTCAGAAACAATTTTGTGATGTGTGCGTTCAACTCAAGGAGTTTAAGCTTTCTTTTCATAGAGTAGTTTGGAAACACTCTGTCTGTAAAGTCTGCAAGCAGATATTTGGACCTCTTTGAGGCCTTCGTTGGAAACGGGATTTCTTCATATAACGCTAGAAAGAAGAATACTGTGTAAGTTCTTTGTGTTGCCTCTATTCAACTCACAGAGGTGAACTGTCCTTTAGACAGAGCAGATGTGAAACCCTCTTTTTGTGATATTTGCAGGTGGAGATTTCAAGCGCTTTTAGGCCAAATGTAGAAAAGGAAATATCTTCGTATAAAAACTAGACAGAATCATTCTCAGAAACTACTTTGTGATGTGTGCGTTCAATTCACAGAGTATAACCTTTCTTTTGATGGAAGAGTTTGGAGACACTGTCTTTGTAAGTCTGCAAGTGGATATTTGGAACTCTTTGAGGCCTTCGTTGGAAACGGGATTTCCTCATATAAAGTTACACAGAAGAATTCTCAGTAACTTATTTGTGGTGTGTGTATTCAACTCACAGAGTTGAACCTTCCTTCAGAAAGAGCAGATTTGAAACACTCTTTTTGTGGAGTTTCCATGTGGAGATTTCAATCGCATTGAGACCAATGGTAAAAAAGGAAACATCTTCGTATAAAAACTAGACAGAATCATTCACAGAAACTACTTTGTGATGTGTGTGTTCAACTCAAGGAGTTTAACCTTTCTTTTGATGGAGCAGTTTGGAAACACTCTGTCTGTAAAGTCTGCAAGTAGATATTTGGACCTCTTTGAGGCCTTCGTTGGAAACGGGATTTCTTCATATAATGTTTGATAGGAGAAGTCTCAGTAACTTCTTTGTGCTGTGTGTATTCAACTCATAGAGTTGAACTTTCCTTTAGAAGAGCAGATGTTAAACACCCTTTTTGTGGAATTTGCAGCTGGAGATTTCAAGCGCTTTGAGGCCTACGGTAGAAAAGGAAACATCTTCTTATAAAATCTAGACAGAATCATTCACAGAAACTTCTTTTCGATGTGTGTGTTCAGCTCACCGAGTTTAACCTTTCTTTTGATGGAGCAGCTTGGAAACACTCTGTTTGTAATGTCTGCAAGTGGATATTTGGACCTCTTTGAGGCCTTCGTTGGAAACGGGATTTCATCAAGTAATGGTCGACAGAAGAATTCTCAGTAACTTATTTGTGGTGTGTGTATTCAACTCACAGAGTTGAACCTTCCTTTAGACAGAGCAGATTTGAAACACCCTATTTGTGCAGTTTCCAGTTGGAGATTTCAATCGCTTTGAGACCAAATGCAGAAAAGGAAACATCTTCGTATAAAAACTAGACAGAATCATTCTCAGAAACTACTTTGTGATGTGTGCGTTCAACTCAAGGAGTTTAAGCTTTCTTTTCATAGAGTAGTTTGGAAATACTCTGTCTGTAAAGTCTGCAAGCAGATATTTGAACCTCTTTGAGGCCTTCGTTGGAAACGGGATTTCTTCATAGAACGCTAGAAAGAAGAATACTGAGTAAGTTCTTTGTGTTGCCTCTATTCAACTCACAGAGGTGAACTGTCCTTTAGACAGAGCAGATGTGAAACCCTCTTTTTGTGATATTTGCAGGTGGAGATTTCAATCGCTTTGAGACCAAAGGTAGAAAAGGAAACATCTTCGTATAACAACTAGACAGAATCATTCTCAGAAACTACTTTGTGATGTGTGCGTTCAATTCACAGAGTATAACCTTTCTTTTGATGGAGGAGTTTGGAGACACTGTCTTTGTAAAGTCTGCAAGTGGATATTTGGACCTCTTTGAGGCCTTCGTTGGAAACGGGATTTCCTCATATAATGTTACCCAGAAGAATTCTCAGTAACTTATTTGTGGTGTGTGTATTCAACTCACAGAGATGAACCTTCCTTCAGAAAGAGCAGATTTGAAACACTCTTTTTGTGGAGTTTCCATGTGGAGATTTCAATCGCTTTGAGACCAAAGGTAGAAAAGGAAACATCTTCGTATAACAACTAGACAGAATCATTCACAGAAACTACTTTGTTTTGTGTGTGTTCAACTCAAGGAGTTTAACCTTTCTTTTGATGGAGCAGTTTGGAAACACTCTGTCTGTAAAGTCTGCAAGCAGATATTTGGACCTCTGTGAGGCCTTCGTTGGAAACGGGATTTCTTCATATAATGTTTGATAGGAGAAGTCTCAGTAACTTCTTTGTGCTGTGTGTATTCAACTCATAGAGTTGAACTTTCCTTTAGAAGAGCAGATGTTAAACACCCTTTTTGTGGAATTTGCAGCTGGAGATTTCAAGCGCTTTGAGGCCTACGGGTAGAAAAGGAAACATCTTCTTATAAAATCTAGACAGAATCATTCACAGAAACTTCTTTTTGGTGTGTGTGTTCAGCTCACAGAGTTTAACCTTTCTTTTGATGGAGCAGTTTGGAAACACTCTGTTTGTAATGTCTGCAAGTGGATATTTGGACCTCTTTGAGGCCTTCGTTGGAAACGGGATTTCTTCAAGTAATGTTCGACAGAAGAATTCTCAGTAACTTATTTGTGGTGTGTGTATTCAACTCACAGAGTTGAACCTTCCTTTAGACAGAGCAGATTTGAAACACCCTATTTGTGCAGTTTCCAGTTGGAGATTTCAATCGCTTTGAGACCAAATGTAGAAAAGGAAACATCTTCGTATAAAAACTAGACAGAATCATTCTCAGAAACTACTTTGTGATGTGTGCGTTCAACTCAAGGAGTTTAAGCTTTCTTTTCATAGAGTAGTTTGGAAACACTCTGTCTGTAAAGTCTGCAAGCAGATATTTGGACCTCTTTTGGGCCTTCGTTGGAAACGGGATTTCTTCATAGAACGCTAGAAAGAAGAATACTGAGTAAGTTCATTGTGTTGCCTCTATTCAACTCACAGAGGTGAACTGTCCTTTAGACAGAGCAGATGTGAAACCCTCTTTTTGTGATATTTGCAGGTGGAGATTTCAAGCGCTTTTAGGCCAAATGTAGAAAAGGAAATATCTTCTTATAAAAACTAGACAGAATCATTCTCAGAAACCACGTTGTGATGTGTGCGTTCAATTCACAGAGTATAACCTTTCTTTTGATGGAGGAGTTTGGAGACACTGTCTTTGTAAAGTCTGCAAGTGGATATTTGGACCTCTTTGAGGCCTTCGTTGGAAACGGGATTTCCTCATATAATGTTACACAGAAGAATTCTCACTAACTTATTTGTGGTGTGTGTATTCAACTCACAGAGATGAACCTTCCTTCAGAAAGAGCAGATTTGAAACACTCTTTTTGTGGAGTTTCCATGTGGAGATTTCAATCGCTTTGAGACCAAAGGTAGAAAAGGAAACATCTTCGTATAACAACTAGACAGAATCATTCACAGAAACTACTTTGTGATGTGTGTGTTCAACTCACAGAGTTTAACCTTTTTTTGGATGGAGCAGTTTGGAAACACTCTGTTTGTCACGTCTGCAAGTGGATATTTGGACCTCTTTGAGGCCTTCGTTGGAAACGGGATTTCTTCATATAATGTTTGATAGGAGAAGTCTCAGTAACTTCTTTGTGCTGTGTGTATTCAACTCATAGAGTTGAACTTTCCTTTAGAAGAGCAGATGTTAAACACCCTTTTTGAGGAATTTGCAGCTGGAGATTTCAAGCGCTTTGAGGCCTACGGTAGAAAAGGAAACATCTTCTTATAAAATCTAGACAGAATCATTCACAGAAACTTCTTTTCGATGTGTGTGTTCAGCTCACAGAGTTTAACCTTTCTTTTGATGGAGCAGTTTGGAAACACTCTGTTTGTAATGTCTGCAAGTGGATATTTGGACCTCTTTGAGGCCTTCGTTGGAAACGGGATTTCTTCAAGTAATGTTCGACAGAAGAATTCTCAGTAACTTATTTGTGGTGTGTGTATTCAACTCACAGAGTTGAACCTTCCTTTAGACAGAGCAGATTTGAAACACCCTATTTGTGCAGTTTCCAGTTGGAGATTTCAATCGCTTTGAGACCAAATGTAGAAAAGGAAACATCTTCGTATAAAAACTAGACAGAATCATTCTCCGAAACTACTTTGTGATGTGTGCGTTCAACTCAAGGAGTTTAAGCTTTCTTTTCATAGAGTAGTTTGGAAACACTCTGTCTGTAAAGTCTGCAAGCAGATATTTGGACCTCTTTGGGGCCTTCGTTGGAAACGGGATTTCTTCATAGAACGCTAGAAAGAAGAATACTGAGTAAGTTCTTTGTGTTGCCTCTATTCAACTCACAGAGGTGAACTGTCCTTTAGACAGAGCAGATGTGAAACCCTCTTTTTGTGATATTTGCAGGTGGAGATTTCAAGCACTTTTAGGCCAAATGTAGAAAAGGAAATATCTTCGTATAAAAACTAGACAGAATCATTCTCAGAAACTACTTTGTGATGTGTGCGTTCAATTCACAGAGTATAACCTTTCTTTTGATGGAGGAGTTTGGAGACACTGTCTTTGTAAAGTCTGCAAGTGGATATTTGGACCTCTTTGAGGCCTTCGTTGGAAACGGGATTTCCTCATATAATGTTACCCAGAAGAATTCTCAGTAACTTATTTGTGGTGTGTGTATTCAACTCACAGAGTTGAAACTTCCTTCAGAAAGAGCAGATTTGAAACACTCTTTTTGTGGAGTTTCCATGTGGAGATTTCAATCGCTTTGAGACCAAAGGTAGAAAAGGAAACATTCTTCGTATAAAAACTAGACAGAATCATTCACAGAAACTACTTTGTGATGTGTGTGTTCAACTCAAGGAGTTTAACCTTTCTTT
Source organism: Homo sapiens (assembly GCF_000001405.40). Classification (NCBI taxonomy): domain Eukaryota; kingdom Metazoa; phylum Chordata; class Mammalia; order Primates; family Hominidae; genus Homo; species Homo sapiens. Next base: position 34,870,368 of record NC_000012.12, read on the forward strand.
TGATGGAGCAGTTTGGAAAAACTCTGTCTGTAAAGTCTGCAAGCAGATATTTGTACCTCTTTGAGGCCCTCGTTGGAAACGGGATTTCTTCATCTAATGTTTGATAGGAGAAGTCTCAGTAACTTCTTTGTGCTGTGTGTATTCAACTCATAGAGTTGAACTTTCCTTTAGAAGAGCAGATGTTAAACACCCTTTTTGTGGAATTTGCAGCTGGAGATTTCAAGCGCTTTGAGGCCTACGGTAGAAAAGGAAACATCTTCTTATAAAATCTAGACAGTATCATTCACAGAAACTTCTTTTTGATGTGTGTGTTCAGCTCACAGAGTTTAACCTTTCTTTTGATGGAGCAGTTGGGAAACACACTGTTTGTAATGTCTGCAAGTGGATATTTGGACCTCTTTGAGGCCTTCGTTGGAAACGGGATTTCTTCATGTAATGTTCGACAGAAGAATTCTCATTAACTTATTTGTGGTGTGTGTATTCAACTCACAGAGTTGAACCTTCCTTTAGACAGAGCAGATTTGAAACAGCCTATTTGTGCAGTTTCCAGTTGGAGATTTCAATCGCTTCGATACCAAATGTAGAAAAGGAAACATCTTCGTATAAAAACTAGACAGAATCATTCTCAGAAACTACTTTGTGATGTGTGCGTTCAACTCAAGGAGTTTAAGCTTTCTTTTCATAGAGTAGTTTGGAAACACTCTGTCTGTAAAGTCTGCAAGCAGATATTTGGACCTCTTTGAGGCCTTCGTTGGAAACGGGATTTCTTCATATAATGTTTGATAGGAGAAGTCTCAGTAACTTCTTGGTGCTGTGTGAATTCAACTCATAGACTTGAACTTTCCTTTAGAAGAGCAGATGTTAAACACCCTTTTTGTGGAATTTGCAGCTGGAGATTTCAAGCGCTTTGAGGCCTACGGTAGAAAAGGAAACATTTTCTTATAAAATCTAGACAGAATCATTCTCAGAAACTACTTTGTGATGTGTGCGTTCAATTCACAGAGTATAAGCTTTCTTTTGATGGAGGAGTTTGGAGACACTGTGTTTGTAAAGTCTGCAAGTGGATATTTGGACCTCTTTGAGGCCTTCGTTGGAAACGGGATTTCCTCATATAATGTTACACAGAAGAATTCTCAGTAACTTATTTGTGGTGTGTGTATTCACCTCACAGAGTTGAACCTTCCTTCAGAAAGAGCAGATTTGAAACACTCTTTTTGTGGAGTTTCCATGTGGAGATTTCAATCGCTTTGAGACCAAAGGTAGAAAAGGAAACATCTTCGTATAAAAACTAGACAGAATAATTCACAGAAACTACTTTGTGATGTGTGTGTTCAACTCAAGGAGTTTAACCTTTCTTTTGATGGAGCAGTTTGGAAACACTCTGTCTGTAAAGTCTGCAAGCAGATATTTGGACCCCTTTGAGGCCTTCGTTGGAAACGGGATTTCTTCATGTAATGTTTGATAGGAGAAGTCTCAGTAACTTCTTTGTGCTGTGTGTATTCAACTCATAGAGTTGAACTTTCCTTTAGAAGAGCAGATGTTAAACACCCTTTTTGTGGAATTTGCAGCTGGAGATTTCAAGCGCTTTGAGGCCTACGGTAGAAAAGGAAACATCTTCTTATAAAATCTAGACAGAATCATTCACAGAAACTTCTTTTTGATGTGTGTGTTCAGCTCACAGAGTTTAACCTTTGTTTTGATGGAGCAGTTTGGAAACACACTGTTTGTAATGTCTGCAAGTGGATATTTGGACCTCTTTGAGGCCTTCGTTGGAAACGGGATTTCTTCCTGTAATGTTCGACAGAAGAATTCTCAGTAACTTATTTGTGGTGTGTGTATTCAACTCACAGAGCTGACCCTTCCTTTAGACAGAGCAGATTTGAAACAGCCTATTTGTGCAGTTTCCAGTTGGAGATTTCAATCGCTTTGAGACCAAATGTAGAAAAGGAAACATCTTCGTATAAAAACTAGACAGAATCATTCTCAGAAACTACATTGTGATGTGTGCGTTCAACTCAAGGAGTTTAAGCTTTCTTTTCATAGAGTAGTTTGGAAACACTGTGTCTGTAAAGTCTGCAAGCAGATATTTGACTTCTTTGAGGCCTTCGTTGGAAACGGGATTTCTTCATAGAACGCTAGAAAGAAGAATACTGAGTAAGTTCTTTGTGTTGCCTCTATTCAACTCACAGACGTGAACTGTACTTTAGACAGAGCAGATGTGAAACCCTCTTTTTGTGATATTTGCAGGTGGAGATTTCAAGCGCTTTTAGGCCAAATGTAGAAAAGGAAATATCTTCGTATAAAAACTAGACAGAATCATTCTCAGAAACTTCTTTGTGATGTGTGCGTTCAATTCACAGAGTATAACCTTTCTTTTGAGGGAGGAGTTTGGAGACACTGTCTTTGTAAAGTCTGCAAGTGGATATTTGGACCTCTTTGAGGCCTTCGTTGGAAACGGGATTTCCTCATATAATGTTACACAGAAGAATTCTCAGTAACTTATTTGTGGTGTGTGTATTCAACTCACAGAGTTGAACCTTCCTTCAGAAAGAGCAGATTTGAAACACTCTTTTGGTGGAGTTTCCATGTGGAGATTTCAATCGCTTTGAGACCAAAGGTAGAAAAGGAAACATCTTCGTATAAAAACTAGACAGAATCATTCACGGAAACTGCTTTGTGATGTGTGTGTTCAACTCAAGGAGTTTAACCTTTCTTTTGATGGAGCAGTTTGGAAAAACTCTGTCTGTAAAGTCTGCAAGCAGATATTTGGACCTCTTTGAGGCCTTCGTTGGAGAAGGGATTTCTTCATATAATGTTTGATAGGAGAATTCTCAGTAACTTATTTGTGGTGTGTGTATTCAACTCACAGAGTTGAACCTTCCTTCAGAAAGAGCAGATTTGAAACACACTTTTTGTGGAGTTTCCATGTGGAGATTTCAATCGCATTGAGACCAAAGGTAGAAAAGGAAACATCTTCGTGTAAAATCTAGACAGAATCATTCACAGAAACTTCTTTTTCATGTGTGTGTTCAGCTCACAGAGTTTAACCTTTCTTTTGATGGAACAGTTTGGAAACACTCTGTTTGTAATGTCTGCAAGTGGATATTAGGACTTCTTTGAGGCTTTCGTTGGAAACGCGATTTCTTCATATAATGTTTGATAGGAGAATTCTCAGTAACTTATTTGTAGTTTGTGTATTCATCTCACAGAATTGAACCTTCCTTTAGACAGAGCAGATTTGAAACACCCTATTTGTGCAGTTTCCAGTTGGAGATTTCAATCGCTTTGAGACCAAATGTAGAAAAGGAAACATCTTCGTATAAAAACTAGACAGAATTATTCTCAGAAACTACTTTGTGATGTGTGCGTTCAACTCAAGGAGTTTAAGCTTTCTTTTCATAGAGTAGTTTGGAAACACTCTGTCTGTAAAGTCTGCAAGCAGATATTTGGACCTCTTTGGGGCCTTCGTTGGAAACGGGATTTCTTCATAGAACGCTAGAAAGAAGACTACTGAGTAAGTTCTTTGTGTTGCCTCTATTCAACTCACAGAGGTGAACTGTCCTTTAGACAGAGCAGATGTGAAACCCTCTTTTTGTGATATTTGCAGGTGGAGATTTCAAGCGCTTTTAGGCCAAATGTAGAAAAGGAAATATCTTTGTATAAAAACTAGACAGTATCATTCTCAGAAACTACTTTGTGATGTGTGCATTCAATTCACAGAGTATAACCTTTCTTTTGATGGAGGAGTTTGGAGACACTGTCTTTGTAAAGTCTGCAAGTGGATATTTGGACCTCTTTGAGGCCTTCGTTGGAAACGGGAATTCCTCATATAATGTTACACAGAAAGAATTCTCAGTAACTTATTTGTGGTGTGTGTATTCAACTCACAGAGTTGAACCTTCCTTCAGAAAGAGCATATTTGAAACACTCTTTTTGTGGAGTTTCCATGTGGAGATTTCAATCGCTTTGAGACCAAAGGTAGAAAAGGAAACATCTTCGTATAAAAACTAGACAGAATCATTCACAGAAACTACTTTGTGATGTGTGTGTTCAACTCAAGGAGTTTAACCTTTCTTTTGATGGAGCAGTTTGGAAACACTCTGTCTGTAAAGTCTGCAAGTAGATATTTGGACCTCTTTGAGGCCTTCGTTGGAAACGGGATTTCTTCATATAATGTTTGATAGGAGAAGTCTCAGTAACTTCTTTGTGCTGTGTGTATTCAACTCATAGAGTTGAACTTTCCTTTAGAAGAGCAGATGTTAAACACCCTTTTTGTGGAATTTGCAGCTGGAGATTTCAAGCGCTTTGAGGCCTACGGTAGAAAAGGAAACATCTTCTTATAAAATCTAGACAGAATCATTCACAGAAACTTCTTTTTGATGTGTGTGTTCAGCTCACAGAGTTTAACCTTTCTTTTGATGGAGCAGTTGGGAAACACACTGTTTGTAATGTCCGCAAGTGGATATTTGGACCTCTTTGAGGCCTTCGTTGGAAACGGGATTTCCTCATATAATGTTACACAGAAGAATTCTCAGTAACTTATTTGTGGTGTGTGTATTCAACTCACAGAGTTGAACCTTCCTTCAGAAAGAACAGATTTGAAACACTCTTTTTGTGGAGTTTCCATGTGGAGATTTCAATCGCTTTGAGACCAAAGGTAGAAAAGGAAACATCTTCGTATAAAAACTAGACAGAATCATTCACAGAAACTACTTTGTGATGTGTGTGTTCAACTCACAGAGTTTAAACTTTCTTTTGATGCAGCAGTTTGGAAACACTCTGTTTGTCACGTCTGCAAGTGGATATTTGGACCTCTTTGAGGCCTTCGTTGGAAACGGGATTTCTTCATATAATGTTTGATAGGAGAAGTCTCAGTAACTTCTTTGTGCTGTGTGTATTCAACTCACAGAGTTGAACTTTCCTTTAGAAGAGCAGATGTTAAACACCGTTTTTGTGGAATTTGCACCTGGAGATTTCAAGCGCTTTGAGGCCTACTGTAGAAAAGGAAACATCTTCTTATAAAATCTAGACAGAATCATTCACAGAAACTTCTTTTTGATGTGTGTGTTCAGCTCACAGAGTTTAACCTTTCTTTTGATGGAGCAGTTTGGAAACACTCTGTTTGTAATGTCTGCAAGTGGATATTTGGACCTCTTTGAGGCCTTCGTTGGAAACGGGATTTCTTCATGTAATGTTCGACAGAAGAATTCTCAGTAACTTATTTGTGGTGTGTGTATTCAACTCACAGAGTTGAACCTTCCTTTAGACAGAGCAGATTTGAAACACCCTATTTGTGCAGTTTCCAGTTGGAGATTTCAATCGCTTTGAGACCAAATGTAGAAAAGGAAACATCTTCGTATAAAAACTAGACAGAATCATTCTCAGAAACTACTTTGTGATGTGTGCGTTCAACTCACGGAGTTTAAGCTTTCTTATCTTAGAGAAGTTTGGAAACACTCTGTCTGTAAAGTCTGCAAGCAGATATTTGGACCTCTTTGAGGCCTTCGTTGGAAAAGGGATTTCTTCATATAACGCTAGAAAGAATACTCAGTAACTTCTTTGTGTTAAATCTATTCAACTCACAGAGGTGAACTGTCCTTTAGACAGAGCAGATGTGAAACCCTCTTTTTGTGATATTTGCAGGTGGAGATTTCAAGCGCTTTTGGGCCAAATGTAGAAAAGGAAATATCTTCGTATAAAAACTAGACAGAATCATTCTCAGAAACTACATTGTGATGTGTGCTCAATTCACAGAGTATAACCTTTCTTTGATGGAGGAGTTTGGAGACACTGTCTTTGTAAAGTCTGCAAGTGGACATTTGGACCTCTTTGAGGCCTTCGTTGCAAACGGGATTTCTTCATGTAATGTTCGAGAGAAGAATTCTCAGTAACTTATTTGTGGTGTGTGTATTCAACTCACAAAGATGAACCTTCCTTCAGAAAGAGCAGATTTGAAACACTCTTTTTGTGGAGTTTCCATGTGGAGATTTCAATCGCTTTGAGACCAAAGGTAGAAAAGGAAACATCTTCGTATAAAAACTAGACAGAATCATTCACAGAAACTACTTTGTGATGTGTGTGTTCAACTCAGGAGGTTAACCTTTCTTTTGATGGAGCAGTTTGGAAACACTCTGTCTGTAAAGTCTGCAAGCAGATATTTGGACCTCTTTGAGGCCTTCGTTGGAAATGGGATTTTTTCATATAATGTTTGATAGGAGAAGTCTCAGTAACTTCTTTATGCTGTGTGTATTCAACTCATAGAGTTGAACTTTCCTTTAGAAGAGCAGATGTTAAACACCCTTTTTGTGGAATTTGCAGCTGGAGATTTCAAGCGCTTTGAGGCCTACGGTAGAAAAGGAAACATCTTCTTATAAAATCTAGACAGAATCATTCACAGAAACTTCTTTTTGATGTGTGTGTTCAGCTCACAGAGTTTAACCTTTCTTTTGATGGAGCAGTTGGGAAACACTCTGTTTGTAATGTCTGCAAGTGGATATTTGGACCTCTTTGAGGCCTTCGTTGGAAACGGGATTTCTTCAAGTAATGTTCGACAGAAGAATTCTCAGTAACTTATTTGTGGTGTGTGTATTCAACTCACAGAGTTGAACCTTCCTTTAGACAGAGCAGATTTGAAACACTCTTTTTGTGGAGTTTCCAGTTGGAGATTTCAATCGCTTTGAGACCAAATGTAGAAAAGGAAACATCTTCGTATAAAAACTAGACAGAATCATTCTCAGAAACTACTTTTTGATGTGTGCGTTCAACTCACGGAGTTTAAGCTTTCTTTTCATAGAGTAGTTTGGAAACACTCTGTCTGTAAAGTCTGCAAGCAGATATTTGGACCTCTTTGAGGCCTTCATTGGAAACGGGATTTCTTCATATAACGCTAGAAAGAAGAATACTGAGTAAGTTCTTTGTGTTGCCTCTATTCAACTCACAGAGGTGAACTGTCCTTCAGACAGAGCAGATGTGAAACCCTCTTTTTGTGATATTTGCAGGTGGAGATTTCAAGCGCTTTTAGGCCAAATGTAGAAAAGGAAATATCTTCGTATAAAAACTAGACAGAATCATTCTCAGAAACTACTTTGTGATGTGTGCGTTCAATTCACAGAGTATAACCTTTCTTTTGACGGAGGAGTTTGGAGACACTGTCTTTGCAAAGTCTGCAAGTGGATATTTGGACCTCTTTGAGGCCTTCGTTGGAAACGGGATTTCCTCATATAATGTTACACAGAAGAATTCTCAGTAACTTATTTGTGGTGTGTGTATTCAACTCACAGAGTTGAACGTTCTTTCAGAAAGATCAGATTTGAAACACTCTTTTTGTGGTGTTTCCATGTGGAGATTTCAATCGCTTTGGGACCAAAGGTAGAAAAGGAAACATCTTCTTATAAAAAGTAGACAGAATCATTCACAGAAACTACTTTGTGATGTGTGTGTTCAACTCAAGGAGGTTAACCTTTCTTTTGATGGAGCAGTTTGGAAACACTCTGTCTGTAAAGTCTGCAAGCAGATATTTGGACCTCTTTGAGGCCTTCGTTGGAAACGGGATTTCTTCATATAATGTTTGATAGGAGAAGTCTCAGTAACTTCTTTGTGCTGTGTGTATTCAACTCATAGAGTTGAACTTTCCTTTAGAAGAGCAGATGTTAAACACCCTTTTTGTGGAATTTGCAGCTGGAGATTTCAAGCGCTTTGAGGCCTACGGTAGAAAAGGAAACATCTTCTTATAAAATCTAGACAGAATCATTCACAGAAACTTCTTTTTGATGTGTGTGTTCAGCTCACAGAGTTTAACCTTTCTTTTGATGGAGCAGTTTGGAAACACTCTGTTTGTAATGTCTGCAAGTGGATATTTGGACGTCTTTGAGGCCTTCGTTGGAAACGGGATTTCTTCATGTAATGTTCGACAGAAGAATTCTCAGTAACTTATTTGTGGTGTGTGTATTCAACTCACAGAGTTGAACCTTCCTTTAGACAGAGCAGATTTGAAACACCCTATTTGTGCAGTTTCCAGTTGGAGATTTCAATCGCTTTGAGACCAAAGGTAGAAAAGGAAACATCTTCGTATAAAAACTAGACAGAATCATTCTCAGAAACTACTTTGTGATGTGTGCGTTCAACTCACGGAGTTTAAGCTTTCTTTTCATAGAGCAGTTTGGAAACACTCTGTCTGTAAAGTCTGCAAGCAGATATTTGGACCTCTTTGAGGCCTTCGTTGTAAACGGGATTTCTTCATAGAACGCTAGAAAGAAGAATACTGAGTAAGTTCTTTGTGTTGCCTCTATTCAACTCACAGAGGTGAACTGTCCTTTAGACAGAGCAGATGTGAAACCCTCTTTTTGTGATATTTGCAGGTGGAGATTTCAAGCGCATTTAGGCCAAATGTAGAAAAGGAAATATCTTCGTATAAAAACTAGACAGAATCATTCTCAGAAACTACTTTGTGATGTGTGCGTTCAATTCACAGAGTATAACCTTTCTTTTGATGGAGTAGTTTGGAGACACTGTCTTTGTAAAGTCTGCAAGTGGATATTTGGACCTCTTTGAGGCCTTCATTGGAAACGGGATTTCTTCCTGTAATGTTCGACAGAAGAATTCTCAGTAACTTATTTGTGGTGTGTGTTTTCAACTCACAGAGTTGAACCTTCCTTCAGAGAGAGCAGATTTGAAACACTCTTTTTGTGGAGTTTCCATGTGGAGATTTCAATCGCTTTGAGACCAAAGGTAGAAAAGGAAATATCTTCGTATAAAAACTAGACAGAATCATTCTCAGAAACTACTTTGTGATGTGTGCATTCAACTCAAGGAGTTTAAGCTTTCTTTTCATAGAGTAGTTTGGAAACACTATGTCTGTAAAGTCTGCAAGCAGATATTTGGACCTCTTTGAGGCCTTCGTTGGAAACGGGACTTCTTCATGTAACGCTAGAAAGAAGAATACTCAGTAAGTTCTTGGTGTTGCCTCTATTCAACTCACAGAGGTGAACTGTCCTTTAGACAGAGCAGATGTGAAACCCTCTTTTTGTGATATTTGCAGGTGGAGATTTCAAGCGCTTTTAGGCCAAATGTAGAAAAGGAAATATCTTCGTATAAAAACTAGACAGAATCATTCTCAGAAACTACTTTGTGATGTGTGCGTACAATTCACAGAGTATAACCTTTCTTTTGATGGAGGAGTTTGGAGACACTGTCTTTGTAAAGTCTGCGTGTGGAAATTTGGACCTCTTTGAGGCCTTCGTTGGAAACGGGATTTCCTCATATAATGTTACACAGAAGAATTCTCAGTAACTTATTTGTGGTGTGTGTATTCAACTCACAGAGTTGAACCTTCCTTCAGAAAGAGCAGATTTGAAACCCTCTTTTTGTGGAGTTTCCATGTGGAGATTTCAATGGCTTTGAGACCAAAGGTAGAAAACGAAACATCTTCGTATGAAAACTAGACAGAATCATTCACAGAAACTACTTTGTGATGTGTGTGTTCAACTCACAGAGTTTAACCTTTCTTTTGATGGAGCAGTTTGGAAACACTCTGTTTGTCACGTCTGCAAGTGGATATTTGGACCTCTTTGAGGCCTTCGTTGGAAACGGGATTTCTTCATATAATGTTTGATAGGAGAAGTCTCTGTAACTTCTTTGTGCTGTGTGTATTCAACTCATGGAGTTGAACTTTCCTTTAGAAGAGCAGATGTTAAACACCCTTTTTGTGGAATTTGCAGCTGGAGATTTCAAGCGCTTTGAGGCCTACGGTAGAAAAGGAAACATCTTCTTCTAAAGTCTAGACAGAATCATTCACAGAAACTTCTTTTTGATGTGTGTGTTCAGCTCACAGAGTTTAACCTTTCTTTTGATGGAGCAGTTTGGAAACACTCTGTTTGTAATGTCTGCAAGTGGATATTTGGACCTCTTTGAGGCCGTCGTTGGAAACGGGATCTCTTCATGTAATGTTCGACAGAAGAATTCTCAGTAAGTTATTTGTGGTGTGTGTATTCAACTCACAGAGTTCAACCTTCCTTTAGACAGAGCAGATTTGAAACACCCTATTTGTGCAGTTTCCAGTTGGAGATTTCAATCGCTTGGAGGCCAATCATAGAAACGGAAATATCTTCTTATAAAAACAAGACAGAATCATTCTCAGAAACTACTTTGTGATGTGTGCGTTCAACTCAAGGAGTTTAAGCTTTCTTTTCATAGAGTAGTTTGGAAACACTCTGTCTGTAAAGTCTGCAAGCAGATATTTGGACCTCTTTGAGGCCTTCGTTGGAAACGGGATTTCCTCCTATAATGTTACACAGAAGAATTCTCAGTAACTTATTTGTGGTGTGTGTATTCAACTCACAGGGTTGAACCTTCCTTCAGAAAGAGCAGATTTGTAACACTCTTTTTGTGGAGTTTCCATGTGGAGATTTCAATGGCTTTGAGACCAAATGTAGAAAAGGAAACATCTTCGTATAAAAACTAGACAGAATCATTCACAGAAACTACTTTGTGATGTGTGTGTTCAACTCAAGGAGGTTAACCTTTCTTTTGATGGAGCAGTTTGGAAACACTCTGTCTGTAAAGTCTGCAAGCAGATATTTGGACCTCTTTGAGGCCTTCGATGGAAACGGGATTTCTTCATATAATGTTTGATAGGACAAGTCTCAGTAACTTCTTTGTGCTGTGTGTATTCAACTCATAGGGTTGAACTTTCCTTTAGAAGAGCAGATGTTAAACACCCTTTTTGTGGAATTTGCAGCTGGAGATTTCAAGCGCTTTGAGGCCTACGGTAGAAAAGGAAACATCTTCTTATAAAATCTAGACAGAATCATTCACAGAAACTTCTTTTTGATGTGTGTGTTCAGCTCACAGAGTTTAACCTTTCTTTTGATGGAGCAGTTTGGAAACACTCTGTTTGTAATGTCTGCAAGTGGATATTTGGACCTCTTTGAGGCCTTCGTTGGAAACGGGATTTCTTCATATAATGTTTGATAGGAGAAGTCTCAGTAACTTCTTTGTGCTGTGTGTATTCAACTCATAGAGTTGAACTTTCCTTTAGAAGAGCAGATGTTAAACACCCTTTTTGTGGAATTTGCAGCTGGAGATTACAAGCGCTTTGAGGCCTACGGTAGAAAAGGAAACATCTTCTTATAAAATCTAGACAGAATCATTCACAGAAACTTCTTTTTGATGTGTGTGTTCAGCTCACAGAGTTTAACCTTTCTTTTGATGGAGCAGTTTGGAAACACTCTGTTTGTAATGTCTGCAAGTGGATATTTGGACCTCTTTGAGGCCTTCGTTGGAAACGGGATTTCTTCCTGTAATGTTTGACAGAAGAATTCTCAGTAACTTATTTATGGTGTGTGTATTCAACTCACAGAGTTGAACCTTCCTTTAGACAGAGCAGATTTGAAACACCCTATTTGTGCAGTTTCCAGTTGGAGATTTCAATGGCTTTGAGACCAAATGTAGAAAAGGAAACATCTTCGTACAAAAACTAGACAGCATCATTCTCAGAAACTACTTGGTGATGTGTGCGTTCAACTCAAGGAGTTTAAGCTTTCTTTTCATAGAGTAGTTTGGAAACACTCTGTCTGTAAAGTCTGCAAGCAGATATTTGGACCTCATTGGGGTCTTCATTGGAAACAGGATTTCTTCATAGAACGCTAGAAAGAAGAATACTGAGTAAGTTCTTTGTGTTGCCTCTATTCAACTCACAGAGGTGAACTGTCCTTTAGACAGAGCAGATGTGAAACCCTCTTTTTGTGATATTTGCAGGTGGAGATTTCAAGCGCTTTTAGGCCAAATGTAGAAAAGGAAATATCTTCTTATAAAAACTAGACAGAATCATTCTCAGAAACTACTTTGTGATGTGTGCGTTCAACTCAAGGAGTTTAAGCTTTCTTTTCATAGAGTAGTTTGGAAACACTCTGTCTGTAAAGTCTGCAAGCAGATATTTGGACCTCTTTGAGGCCTTCGTTGGAAACGGGATTTCTTCATAGAACGCTAGAAAGAAGAATACTGAGTAAGTTCTTTGTGTTGCCTCTATTCAACTCACAGAGGTGAACTGTCCTTTAGACAGAGCAGATGTGAAACCCTCTTTTTGTGATATTTGCACGTGCAGATTTCAAGCGCTTTTAGGCCAAATGTAGAAAAGGAAATATCTTCGTATAAAAACTAGACAGAATCATTCTCAGAAACTACTTTGTGATGTGTGTGTTCAATTCACAGAGTATAACCTTTCTTTTGATGGAGGAGTTTGGAGACACTGTCTTTGTAAAGTCTGCAAGTGGATATTTGGACCTCTTTGAGGCCTTCGTTGGAAACGGGATTTCCTCATATAATATTACACAGAAGAATTCTCAGTAACTTATTTGTGGTGTGTGTATTCAACTCACAGAGATGAACCTTCCTTCAGAAAGAGCAGATTGGAAACACTCTTTTTGTGGAGTTTCCATGTGGAGATTTCAATCGCTTTGAGACCAAAGGTAGAAAAGGAAACATCTTCGTATAACAACTAGACAGAATCATTCACAGAAACTACTTTGTGATGTGTGTGTTCAACTCAAGGAGTTTAACCTTTCTTTTGATGGAGCAGTTTGGAAACACTCTGTCTGTAAAGTCTGCAAGCAGATATTTGGACCTCCTTTGAGGCCTTCGTTGGAAACGGGATTTCTTCATATAATGTTTGATAGGAGAAGTCTCAGTAACTTCTTTGTGCTGTGTGTATTCAACTCATAGAGTTGAGCTTTCCTTTAGAAGAGCAGATGTTAAACACCCTTTTTGTGGAATTTGCAGCTGGAGATTTCAAGTGCTTTGAGGCCTACGGTAGAAAAGGAAACATCTTCTTATAAAATCTAGACAGAATCATTCACAGAATCTTCTTTTTGATGTGTGTGTTCAGCTCACAGAGTTTAACCTTTCTTTTGATGGAGCAGTTTGGAAACACACTGTTTGTAATGTCTGCAAGTGGATATTTGAACCTCTTTGAGGCCTTCGTTGGAAACGGGATTTCTTCATGTAATGTTCGACAGAAGAATTCTCAGTAACTTATTTGTGGTGTGTGTATTCAACTCACAGAGTTGAACCTTCCTTTAGAAAGAGCAGATTTGAAACACCCTATTTGTGCAGTTTCCAGTTGGAGATTTCAATCGCTTTGAGACCAAATGTAGAAAAGGAAACATCTTCGTATAAAAACTAGACAGAATCATTCTCAGAAACTACTTTGTTATGTGTGCCTTCAACTCAAGGAGTTTAAGCTTTCTTTTCATAGAGTAGTTTGGAAACACTCTGTCTGTGAAGTCTGCAAGCAGATATTTGGACCTCTTTGAGGCCTTCGTTGTAAACGGGATTTCTTCATAGAACGCTAGAAAGAAGAATACTGAGTAAGTTCTTTGTGTTGCCTCTATTCAACTCACAGAGGTGAACTGTCCTTTAGACAGAGCAGATGTGAAACCCTCTTTTTGTGATATTTGCACGTGGAGATTTCAAGCGCTTTTAGGCCAAATGTAGAAAAGGAAATATCTTCGTATAAAAACTAGACAGAATCATTCTCAGAAACTACTTTGTGATGTGTGCGTTCAATTCACAGAGTATAACCTTTGTTTTGATGGAGGAGTTTGGAGACACTGTCTTTCTAAGTCTGCAAGTGGATATTTGGACCTCTTTGAGGCCTTCGTTGGAAACGGGATTTCCTCATATAATGTTACAGAGAAGAATTCTCAGGAACTTATTTGTGGTGTGTGTATTCAACTCACAGAGTTGGACCTTCCTTCAGAAAGAGCAGATTTGAAACACTCTTTTTGTGGAGTTTCCATGTGGAGATTTCAATCGCTTTGAGACCAAAGGTAGAAAAGGAAACATCTTCGTATAAAAACTAGACAGAATCATTCACAGAAACTACTTTGTGATGTGTGTGTTCAACTCAAGGAGTTTAACCTTTCTTTTGATGGAGCAGTTTGGAAACACTCTGTCTGTAAAGTCTGCAAGCAGATATTTGGACCTCTTTGAGGCCTTCGTTGGAAACGGGATTTCTTCATATAATGTTTGATAGGAGAAGTCTCAGTAACTTCTTTGTGCTGTGTGTATTCAACCCATAGAGTTGAACTTTCCTTTAGAAGAGCAGATGTTAAACACCCTTTTTGTGGAATTTGCAGCCGTAGATTTGAAGCGCTTTGAGGCCTACGGTAGAAAAGGAAACATCTTCTTATAAAATCTAGACAGAATCATTCACAGAAACTTCTTTTTGATGTGTGTGTTCAGCTCACAGAGTTTAACCTTTCTTTTGATGGAGCAGTTTGGAAACACTCTGTTTGTAATGTCTGCAAGTGGATATTTGGACTTCTTTGAGGCCTTCGTTGGAAACGGGATTTCTTCATGTAATGTTCGACAGAAGAATTCTCAGTAACTTATTTTTGGTGTGTGTATTCAACTCACAGAGTTGAACCTTCCTTTAGACAGAGCAGATTTGAAACACCCTATTTGTGCAGTTTCCAGTTGGAGATTTCAATCGCTTGGAGGCCAATCATAGAAACGGAAATATCTTCGTATAAAAACAAGACAGAATCATTCTCAGAAACTACTTTGTGATGTGTGCGTTCAACTCAAGGAGTTTAAGCTTTCTTTTCATAGAGTAGTTTGGAAACACTCTGTCTGTAAAGTCTGCAAGCAGATATTTGGACCTCTTTGAGGCCTTCGTTGGAAACGGGATTTCTTCATGTAACGCTAGAAAGAAGAATACTCAGTAAGTTCTTTGTGTTGCCTCTATTCAACTCACAGGGGTGAACTGTCCTTTAGACAGAGCAGATGTGAAACCCTCTTTTTGTGATATTTGCAGGTGGAGATTTCAAGCGCTTTTAGGCCAAATGTAGAAAAGGAAATATTCTTCGTATAAAAACTAGACAGAATCATTCTCAGAAACTACTTTGTGATGTGTGCGTTCAATTCACAGAGTATAACCTTTCTTTTGATGGAGGAGTTTGGAGACACTGTCTTTGTAAAGTCTGCAAGTGGATATTTCGACCTCTTTGAGGCCTTCTTTGGAAACGGGATTTCCTCATATAATGTTACACAGAAGAATTCTCAGTAGCTTATTTGTGGTGTGTGTATTCAACTCACAGAGATGAACCTTCCTTCAGAAAGAGCAGATTTGAAACACTCTTTTTGTGGAGTTTCCATGTGGAGATTTCAATCGCTTTGAGACCAAAGATAGAAAAGGAAACATCTTCGTATAACAACTAGACAGAATCATTCACAGAAACTACTTTGTGATGTGTGTGTTCAACTCAAGGAGTTTAACCTTTCTTTTGATGGAGCAGTTTGGAAACACTCTGTCTGTAAAGTCTGCAAGCAGATATTTGGACCTCTTTGAGGCCTTCGTTGGAAACGGGATTTCTTCATATAATGTTTGATAGGAGAAGTCTCAGTAACTTCTTTGTGCTGTGTGTATTCAACTCATAGAGTTGAACTTTCCTTTAGAAGAGCAGATGTTAAACACCCTTTTTGTGGAATTTGCAGCTGGAGATTTCAAGCGCTTTGAGGCCTACGGTAGAAAAGGAAACATCTTCTTATAAAATCTAGACAGAATCATTCACAGAAACTTCTTTTTGATGTGTGTGTTCAGCTCACAGAGCTTAACCTTTCTTTTGATGGAGCAGTTTGGAAACACTCTGTTTGTAATGTCTGCAAGTGGATATTTGGACCTCTTTGAGGCCTTCGTTGGAAACGGGATTTCTTCAAGTAATGTTCGACAGAAGAATTCTCAGTAACTTATTTGTGGTGTGTGTATTCAACTCACAGAGTTGAACCTTCCTTTAGACAGAGCAGATTTGAAACACCCTATTTGTGCAGTTTCCAGTTGGAGATTTCAATCGCTTTGAGACCAAATGTAGAAAAGGAAACATCTTCGTATAAAAACTAGACAGAATCATTCTCAGAAACTACTTTGTGATGTGTGCGTTCAACTCAAGGAGTTTAAGCTTTCTTTTCATAGAGTAGTTTGGAAACACTCTGTCTGTAAAGTCTGCAAGCAGATATTTGGACCTCTTTGGGGCCTTCGTTGGAAACGGGATTTCTTCATAGAATGCTAGAAAGAAGAATACTGAGTAAGTTCTTTGTGTTGCCTCTATTCAACTCACAGAGGTGAACTGTCCTTTAGACAGAGCAGATGTGAAACCCTCTTTTTGTGATATTTGCAGGTGGAGATTTCAATCGCTTTTAGGCCAAATGTATAAAAGGAAATATCTTCGTATAAAAACTAGACAGAATCATTCTCAGAAACTACTTTGTGATGTGTGCGTTCAATTCACAGAGTATAACCTTTCTTTTGATGGAGGAGTTTGGAGACACTGTCTTTGTAAAGCCTGCAAGTGGATATTTGGACCTCTTTGAGGCCTTCGTTGGAAACGGGATTTCCTCATATAATGTTTGATAGGAGAATTCCCAGTAACTTATTTGTGGTGTGTGTATTCAACTCACAGAGTTGAACCTTCCTTCAGAGAGAGCAGATTTGAAACACTCTTTTTGTGGAGTTTCCATGTGGAGATTTCAATCGCTTTGAGACCAAAGGTAGAAAAGGAAACATCTTCGTATAAAAACTAGACAGAATCATTCACAGAAACTACTTTGTGATGTGTGTGTTCAACTCAAGGAGTTTAACCTTTCTTTTGATGGAGCAGTTTGGAAAAACTCTGTGTGTAAAGTCTGCAGGCAGATATTTGGACCTCTTTGGGGCCTTCGTTGGAAATGGGATTTCTTCATAGAATGCTAGAAAGAAGAATACTGAGTAAGTTCTTTGTGTTGCCTCTATTCAACTCACAGAGGTGAACTGTCCTTTAGACAGAGCAGATGTGAAACCCTCTTTTTGTGATATTTGCAGGTGGAGATTTCAAGCGCTTTTAGGCCTAATGTAGAAAAGGAAATATCTTCGTATAAAAACTAGACAGAATCATTCTCAGAAACTACTTTGTGATATGTGCGTTCTATTCACAGAGTATAACCTTTCTTTTGATGGAGGAGTTTGGAGACACTGTCTTTGAAAAGTCTGCAAGTGGATATTTGGACCTCTTTGAGGCCTTCGTTGGAAACGGGATTTCCTCATATAATGTTACACAGAAGAATTCTCAGTAACTTATTTGTGGTGTGTGTATTCAACTCACAGAGTTGAACCTTCCTTCAGAAAGAGCAGATTTGAAACACTCTTTTTGTGGAGTTTCCATGTGGAGATTTCAATCGCTTTGAGACCAAAGGTAGAAAAGGAAACATCTTCGTATAAAAACTAGACAGAATCATTCACAAAAACTACTTTGTGATGTGTGTGTTCAACTCAAGGAGTTTGACCTTTCTTTTGATGGAGCAGTTTGGAAACACTCTGTCTGTAAAGTCTGCAAGCAGATATTTGGACCTTTTCGAGGCCTTCGTTGGAAACGGGATTTCTTCATATAATGTTTGATAGGAGAAGTCTCAGTAACTTCTTTGTCCTGTGTGTATTCAACGCATAGAGTTGAACTTTCCTTTAGAAGAGCAGATGTTAAACACCCTTTTTGTGGAATTTGCAGCTGGAGATTTCAAGCGCTTTGAGGCCTACGGTAGAAAAGGAAACATCTTCTTACAAAATCTAGACAGAATCATTCACAGAAACTTCTTTTTGATGTGTGTGTTCAGCTCACAGAGTTTAACCTTTCTTTTGATGGAGCAGTTTGGAAACACTCTGTTTGTAATGTCTGCAAGTGGATATTTGGACGTCTTTGAGGCCTTCGTTGGAAACGGGATTTCTTCAAGTAATGTTCGACAGAAGAATTCTCAGTAACTTATTTGTGGTGTGTGTATTCAACTCAAAGAGTTGAACCTTCCTTTAGACAGAGCAGATTTGAAACACCCTATTTGTGCAGTTTCCAGTTGGAGATTTCAATCGCTTTGAGACCAAATGTAGAAAAGGAAACATCTTCGTATAAAAACTAGACAGAATCATTCTCAGAAACTACTTTGTGATGTATGCGTTCAACTCAAGGAGTTTAAGCTTTCTTTTCATAGAGTAGTTTGGAAACACTCTGTCTGTAAAGTCTGCAAGCAGATATTTAGACCTCTTTGAGGCCTTCGTTGGAAACGGGATTTCTTCATGTAACGCTAGAAAGAAGAATACTCAGTAACTTCTTTGTGCTGCCTCTATTCAACTCACAGAGGTGAACTGTCCTTTCGACAGAGCAGATGTGAAATCCTGTTTTTGTGATATTTGCAGGTGGAGATTTCAAGCGCTTTTAGGCCAAATGTAGAAAAGGAAATATCTTCGTATAAAAACTAGACAGAGATCATTCTCAGAAACTACTTTGTGATGTGTGCGTTCAATTCACAGAGTATAACCTTTCTTTTGATGGAGGAGTTTGGAGACACTGTCTTTGTAAAGTCTGCAAGTGGATATTTGGACCTCTTTGAGGCCTTCGTTGGAAACGGGATTTCCTCATATAATGTTACCCAGAAGAATTCTCAGTAACTTATTTGTGGTGTGTTTATTCAACTCACAGAGTTGAACCTTCCTTCAGAAAGAGCAGATTTGAAACACCCTTTTTGTGGAGTTTCCAGGTGGAGATTTCAATCGCATTGAGAACAAAGGTAGAAAAGGAAACATCTTCGTATAAAATCTAGACAGAATCATTCACAGAAACTTCTTTTTCATGTGTGTGTTCAGCTCACAGAGTTTAATCTTTCTTTTGATGGAACAGTTTGGAAACACTCTGTTTGTAATGTCTGCAAGTGGATATTTGGACCTCTTTGAGGCCTTCGTTGGAAACGGGATTTCTTCATATAATGTTTGATAGGAGAAGTCTCAGAAACTTCTTTGTGCTGTGTGTATTCAACTCATAGAGTTGAACTTTCCTTTAGAAGAGCAGATGTTAAACACCCTTTTTGTTGAATTTGCAGCTGGAGATTTCAAGCGCTTTGAGGCCTACGGTAGAAAAGGAAACATCTTCTTATAAAATCTAGACAGAATCATTCACAGAAACTTCTTTTTGATGTGTGTGTTCAGCTCACAGAGTTTAACCTTTCTTTTGATGGAGCATTTTGGAAAAACTCTGTTTGTAATGTCTGCAAGTGGATATTTGGACCTCTTTGAAGCCTTCGTTGGAAACGGGATTTCTTCCTCTAATGTTCGACAGAAGAATTCTCAGTAACTTATCTGTGGTGTGTGTATTGAACTCACAGAGTTGAACCTTCCTTTAGACAGAGCAGATTTGAAACACCCTATTTGTGCAGTTTCCAGTTGGAGATTTCAATCGCTTTGAGACCAAATGTAGAAAAGGAAACATCTTCGTATAAAAACTAGACAGAATCATTCTCAGAATCTACTTTGTGATGTGTGCGTTCAACTCAAGGAGTTTAAGCTTTCTTTTCATAGAGTAGTTTGGAAACACTCTGTCTGTAAAGTCTGCAAGCAGATATTTGACCTCTTTGAGGCCTTCGTTGGAAACGGGATTTCTTCATAGAACGCTAGAAAGAAGAATACTGAGTAAGTTCTTTGTGTTGCCTCTATTCAACTCACAAAGGTGAACTGTCCTTTAGACAGAGCAGATGTGAAACCCTCTTTTTGTGATATTTGCAGGTGGAGACTTCAAGCGCTTTTAGGCCAAATGTAGAAAAGGAAATATCTTCGTATAAAAACGAGACAGAATCATTCTCAGAAACTACTTTGTGATGTGTGCGTTCAATTCACAGAGTATAACCTTTCTTTTGATGGAGGAGTTTGGAGACACTGTCTTTGTAAAGTCTGCAAGCAGATATTTGGACCTCTTTGAGGCCTTCGTTGGAAACGGGATTTCTTCATATAATGTTTGATAGGAGAAGTCTCAGTAACTTCTTTGGGCTGTGTGTATTCAACTCATTGAGTTGAACTTTCCTTTAGAAGAGCAGATGTTAAACACCCTTTTTGTGGAATTTGCAGCTGGAGATTTCAAGCACTTTGAGGCCTACGGTAGAAAAGGAAACATCTTCTTATAAAATCTAGACAGAATCATTCACAGAAACTTCTTTTTGATGTGTGTGTTCAGCTCACAGAGTTTAACCTTTCTTTTGATGGAGCAGTTTGGAAACACTCTGTTTGTAATGTCTGCAAGTGGATATTTGGACCACTTTGAGGCCTTCGTTGGAAACGGGATTTCTTCAAGTAATGTTCGACAGAAGAATTCTCAGTAACTTATTTGTGGTGTGTGTATTCAACTCAAAGAGTTGAACCTTCCTTTAGACAGAGCAGATTTGAAACACCCTATTTGTGCAGTTTCCAGTTGGAGATTTCAATCGCTTTGAGACCAAATGTAGAAAAGGAAACATCTTCGTATAAAAACTAGACAGAATCATTCTCAGAAACTACTTTGTGATGTGTGCGTTCAACTCAAGAAGTTTAAGCTTTCTTTTCATAGAGTAGTTTGGAAACACTCTGTCTGTAAAGTCTGCAAGCAGATATTTGGACCTCTTTGGGGCCTTCGTTGGAAACGTGATTTCTTCATAGAACGCTAGAAAGAAGAATACTGAGTAAGTTCTTTGTGTTGCCTCTATTCAACTCACAGAGGTGAACTGTCCTTTAGACAGAGCAGATGTGAAACCCTCTTTTTGTGATATTTGCA
Source organism: Homo sapiens (assembly GCF_000001405.40). NCBI lineage: Eukaryota > Metazoa > Chordata > Mammalia > Primates > Hominidae > Homo > Homo sapiens. The sequence goes on from NC_000012.12 coordinate 34,890,956, forward strand.
CGTGGAGATTTCAAGCACTTTTAGGCCAAATGTAGAAAAGGAAATATCTTCGTATAAAAACTAGACAGAATCATTCTCAGAAACTACTTTGTGATGTGTGTGTTCAACTCAAGGAGTTTAACCTTTCTTTTGATGGAGCAGTTTAAAAACACTCTGTCTGTAAAGTCTGCAAGCAGATATTTGGACCTCTTTGAGGCCTTCGTTGGAAACGGGATTTCTTCATAGAACGCTAGAAAGAAGAATACTCAGTAACTTCTTTGTGTTGCCTCTGTTCAACTCACAGAGGTGAACTGTCCTTTAGACAGAGCAGATGTGAAACCCTCTTTTTGTGATATTTGCAGGTGGAGATTTCAAGCGCTTTTAGGCCAAATGTAGAAAAGGAAATATCTTCGTATAAACAATAGACAGAATCATTCTCAGAAACTACTTTGTGATGTGTGCATTCAATTCACAGAGTATAACCTTTCTTTTGATGGAGGAGTTTGGAGACCCTGTCTTTGTAAAGTCTGCAAGTGGATATTTGGACCTCTTTGAGGCCTTCGTTGGAAACGGGATTTCCTCATATAATGTTACACAGAAGAATTCTCAGTAACTTATTTGTGGTGTGTGTATTCAACTCACAGAGTTGAACCTTCCTTCAGAAAGAGCAGATTTGAAACACTCTTTTTGTGGAGTTTCCATGTGGAGATTTCAATCGCTTTGAGACCAAAGGTAGAAAAGGAAACATCTTCGTATAAAAACTAGACAGAATCATTCACAGAAACTACTTTGTGATGTGTGTGTTCAACTCAAGGAGTTTAACCTTTCTTTTGATGGAGCAGTTTGGAAAAACTCTGTCTGTAAAGTCTGCAAGCAGATATTTGGACCTCTCTGAGGCCTTCGTTGGAAACGGGATTTCTTCATATAATGTTTGATAGGAGAAGTCTCAGTAACTTCTTTGTGCTGTGTGTATTCAACTCATATAGTTGAACTTTCCTTTAGAAGAGCAGATGTTAAACACCCTTTTTGTGGAATTTGCAGCTGGAGATTTCAAGCGCTTTGAGGCCTACGGTAGAAAAGGAAACATCTTCTTATAAAATCTAGACAGAATCATTCACAGAAACTTCTTTTTGATGTGTGTGTTCAGCTCACAGAGTTTAACCTTTCTTTTGTTGGAGCAGTTTGGAAACACTCTGTTTGTAATATCTGCAAGTGGATATTTGGACCTCTTTGAGGCCTTCGTTGGAAACGGGATTTCTTCAAGTAATGTTCGACAGAAGAATTCTCAGTAACTTCTTTGTGGTGTGTGTATTCAACTCACAGAGTTGAACCTTCCTTTAGACAGAGCAGATTTGAAACAGCCTATTTGTGCAGTTTCCAGTTGGAGATTTCAATCGCTTTGAGACCAAATGTAGAAAAGGAAACATCTTCGTATAAAAACTAGACAGAATCATTCTCCGAAACTACTTTGTGATGTGTGCGTTCAACTCAAGGAGTTTAAGCTTTCTTTTCATAGAGTAGTTTGGAAACACTCTGTCTGTAAAGTCTGCAAGCAGATATTTGGACCTCTTTGGGGCCTTCGTTGGAAACGGGATTTCTTCATAGAACGCTAGAAAGAAGAATACTGAGTAAGTTCTTTGTGTTGCCTCTATTCAACTCACAGAGGTGAAATGTCCTTTAGGCAGAGCAGATGTGAAACCCTCTTTTTGTGATATTTGCAGGTGGAGATTTCAAGCGCTTTTAGGCCAAATGTAGAAAAGGAAATATCTTCGTATAAAAACTAGACAGAATCATTCTCAGAAACTACTTTGTGACGTGTGTGTTCAATTCACAGAGTATAACCTTTCTTTTGATGGAGGAGTTTGGAGACACTGTCTTTGTAAAGTCTGCAAGTGGATATTTGGACCTCTTTGAGGCCTTCGTTGGAAACGGGATTTCCTCATATAATGTTACACAGAAGAATTCTCAGTAACTTATTTGTGGTGTGTGTATTCAACTCACAGAGTATGAACCTTCCTTCAGAAAGAGCAGATTTGAAACACTCTTTTTGTGGAGTTTCCATGTGGAGATTTCAATCGCATTGAGAGCAAAGGTAGAAAAGGAAACATCTTCGTATAAAAACTAGACAGAATCATTCACAGAAACTACTTTGTGATGTGTGTGTTCAACTCAAGGAGTTTAACCTTTCTTTTGATGGAGCAGTTTGGAAACACTCTGTCTGTAAAGTCTGCAAGCAGATATTTGGACCTCTTTGAGGCCTTCATTGGAAAAGGGATTTCTTAATATAATGTTTGATAGGAGAAGTCTCAGTAACTTCTTTGTGCTGTGTGTATTCAACTCATAGAGTTGAACTTTCCTTTAGAAGAGCAGATGTTAAACACCCTTTTTGTGGAATTTGCAGCTGGAGATTTCAAGCGCTTTGAGGCCTACGGTAGAAAAGGAAACATCTTCTTATAAAATCTAGACAGCATCATTCACAGAAACTTCTTTTTGATGTGTGTGTTCAGCTCACAGAGTTTAACCTTTCTTTTGATGGAGCAGTTTGGAAACACTCTGTTTGTAATGTCTGCAAGTGGATATTTGGACCTCTTTGAGGCCTTCGTTGGAAACGGGATTTCTTCATGTAATGTTCGACAGAAGAATTCTCAGTAACTTATTTGTGGTGTGTGTATTCAACTCACAGAGTTGAACCTTCCTTTAGACAGAGCAGATTTGAAACACCCTATTTGTGCAGTTTCCAGTTGGAGATTTCAATCGCTTTGAGACCAAATGTAGAAAAGGAAACATCTTCGTATAAAAACTAGACAGAATCATTCTCAGAAACTACTTTGTGATGTGTGCGTTCAACTCAAGGAGTTTACGCTTTCTTTTCATAGAGTAGTTTGGAAACACTCTGTCTGTAAAGTCTGCAAGCAGATCTTTGACCTCTTTGAGGCCTTCGTTGGAAACGGGATTTCTTCATAGAACGCTAGAAAGAAGAATACTGAGTAAGTTCTTTGTGTTGCCTCTATTCAACTCACAGAGGTGAACTGTCCTTTAGACAGAGCAGATGTGAAAACCTCTTTTTGTGATATTTGCAGGTGGAGATTTCAAGCGCTTTTAGGCCAAATGTAGAAAAGGAAATATCTTCGTATAAAAACTAGACAGAATCATTCTCAGAAACTACTTTGTGATGTGTGCGTTCAATTCACAGAGTATAACCTTTCTTTTGATGGAGGAGTTTGGATACACTGTCTTTGTAAAGTCTGCAAGTGGATATTTGGACCTCTTTGAGGCCTTCGTTGGAAACGGGATTTCCTCATATAATGTTACACAGAAGAATTGTCAGTAACTTATTTGTGGTGTGTGTATTCAACTCACAGAGTTGAACCTTCCTTCAGAAAGAGCAGATTTGAAACACTCTTTTTGTGGAGTTTCCATGTGGAGATTTCAATCGCTTTGAGACCAAAGGTAGAAAAGGAAACATCTTCGTATAAAAACTAGACAGAATCATTCACAGAAACTACTTTGTGATGTGTGTGTTCAACTCAAGGAGGTTAACCTTTCTTTTGATGGAGCAGTTTGGAAACACTCTGTCTGTAAAGTCTGCAAGCAGATATTTGGACCTCTTTGAGGCCTTCGTTGGAAACGGGATTTCTTCATATAATGTTTGATAGGAGAAGTCTCAGTAACTTCTTTGTGCTGTGTGTATTCAACTCATAGATTTGAACTTTCCTTTAGAAGAGCAGATGTTAAACACCCTTTTTGTGGAATTTGCAGCTGGAGATTTCAAGCGCTTTGAGGCCTATGGTAGAAAAGGAAACATCTTCTTATAAAATCTAGACAGAATCATTCACAGAAACTTCTTTTTGATGTGTGTGTTCAGCTCACAGAGTTTAACCTTTCTTTTGATGGAGCAGTTTGGAAACACACTGTTTATAATGTCTGCAAGTGGATATTTGGACGTCTTTGAGGCCTTCGTTGGAAACGGGATTTCTTCATATAATGTTTGATAGGAGAAGTCTCAGTAACTTCTTTGTGCTGTGTGTATTCAACTCATAGAGTTGAACTTTCCTTTAGAAGAGCAGATGTTAAACCCCCTTTTTGTGGAATTTGCAGCTGGAGATTTCAAGCGCTTTGAGGCCTGCGGTAGAAAAGGAAACATCTTCGTATAAAATCTAGACAGAATCACTCACAGAAACTTCTTTTTGATGTGTGTGTTCAGCTCACAGACTTTAACCTTTCTTTTGATGGAGCAGTTTGGAAACACTCTGTAATGTCTGCAAGTGGATATTTGGACCTCTTTGAGGCCTTCGTTGGAAACGGGATTTCTTCATGTAATGTTCGACAGAAGAATTCTCAGTAACTTATTTGTGGTGTGTGTATTCAACTCACAGAGTTGAACCTTCCTTTAGACAGAGCAGATTTGAAACACCCTATTTGTGCAGTTTCCAGTTGGAGATTTCAATCGCTTTGAGACGAAATGTAGAAAAGGAAACATCTTCGTATAAAAACTAGACAGAATCATTCTCAGAAACTACTTTGTGATATGTGCGTTCAACTCAAGGAGTTTAAGCTTTCTTTTCATAAAGTTGTTTGGAAACACTCTGTCTGTAAAGTCTGCAAGCAGATATTTGGACCTCTTTGAGGCCTTCGTTGGAAACGGGTTTTCTTCATGGAACGCTAGAAAGAAGAATACTGAGTAAGTTCTATGTGTTGCCTCTATTCAAATCACAGAGGTGAACTGTCCTTTAGACAGAGCAGATGTGAAACCCTCTTTTTGTGATATTTGCAGGTGGAGATTTCAAGTGCTTTTAGGCCAAATGTAGAAAAGGAAATATCTTCGTATAAAAAGTAGTCAGAATCATTCTCAGAAACTACTTTGTGATGTGTGCGTTCAATTCACAGAGTATAACCTTTCTTTTGATGGAGGAGTTTGGAGACACTGTCTTTGTAAAGTCTGCAAGTGGATATTTGGAACTCTTTGAGGCCTTCGTTGGAAACGGGATTTCCTCATATAATGTTACACAGAAGAATTCTCAGTAACTTATTTGTGGTGTGTGTATTCAACTCACAGATTTGAACCTTCCTTCAGAAAGAGCAGATTTGAAACACTCTTTTTGTGGAGTTTCCATGTGGAGATTTCAATCGCATTGAGACCAAAGGTAGAAAAGGAAACATCTTCGTATAAAAACTAGAAAGAATCACTCACAGAAACTACTTTGTGATGTGTGTGTTCAACTCAAGGAGGTTAACCTTTCTTTTGATGGAGCAGTTTGGAAACACTCTGTCTGTAAAGTTTGTGAGCAGATATTTGGACTTCTTTGAGGCCTTCGTTGGAAGCGGGATTTCTTCATATAATGTTTGATAGGAGAAGTCTCAGTAACTTCTTTGTGCTGTGTGTATTCAACTCATAGAGTTGAACATTCCTTTAGAAGAGCAGATGTTAAACACCCTTTTTGTGGAATTTGCAGCTGGAGATTTCAAGCGCTTTGAGGCCTACGGTAGAAAAGGAAACATCTTCTTATAAAATCTAGACAGAATCACTCACAGAAACTTCTTTTTGATGTGTGTGTTCAGCTCACAGACTTTAACCTTTCTTTTGATGGAGCAGTTTGGAAACACTCTGTAATGTCTGCAAGTGGATATTTGGACCTCTTTGAGGCCTTCGTTGGAAACGGGATTTCTTCATGTAATGTTCGACAGAAGAATTCTCAGTAACTTATTTGTGGTGTGTGTATTCAACTCACAGAGTTGAACCTTCCTTTAGACAGAGCAGATTTGAAACACCCTATTTGTGCAGTTTCCAGTTGGAGATTTCAATCGCTTTGAGACGAAATGTAGAAAAGGAAACATCTTCGTATAAAAACTAGACAGAATCATTCTCAGAAACTACTTTGTGATGTGTGCGTTCAACTCAAGGAGTTTAAGCTTTCTTTTCATAAAGTTGTTTGGAAACACTCTGTCTGTAAAGTCTGCAAGCAGATATTTGGACCTCTTTGAGGCCTTCGTTGGAAACGGGTTTTCTTCATGGAACGCTAGAAAGAAGAATACTGAGTAAGTTCTATGTGTTGCCTCTATTCAAATCACAGAGGTGAACTGTCCTTTAGACAGAGCAGATGTGAAACCCTCTTTTTGTGATATTTGCAGGTGGAGATTTCAAGTGCTTTTAGGCCAAATGTAGAAAAGGAAATATCTTCGTATAAAAAGTAGTCAGAATCATTCTCAGAAACTACTTTGTGATGTGTGCGTTCAATTCACAGAGTATAACCTTTCTTTTGATGGAGGAGTTTGGAGACACTGTCTTTGTAAAGTCTGCAAGTGGATATTTGGACCTCTTTGAGGCCTTCGTTGGAAACGGGATTTCCTCATATAATGTTACACAGAAGAATTCTCAGTAACTTATTTGTGGTGTGTGTATTCAACTCACAGAGTTGAACCTTCCTTCAGAAAGAGCAGATTTGAAACACTCTTTTGGTGGAGTTTCCATGTGGAGATTTCAATCGCTTTGAGAACAAAGGTAGAAAAGGAAACATCTTCGTATAAAAACTAGACAGAATCATTCACAGAAACTACTTTGTGATGTGTGTGTTCAACTCAAGGAGTTTAACTTTTCTTTTGATGGAGCAGTTTGGAAACACTCTGTCTGTAAAGTCTGCAAGCAGATATTTGGACCTCTTTGAGGCCTTCGTTGGAAACGGGATTTCTTCATATAATGTTTGATAGGAGAAGTCTCAGTAACTTCTTTGTGCTGTGTGTATTCAACTCATAGAGTTGAACTTTCCTTTAGAAGAGCAGATGTTAAACACCCTTTTTGTGGAATTTGCAGTTGGAGATTTCAAGCGCTTTGAGGACTACAGTAGAAAAGGAAACATCTTCTTATAAAATCTGGACAGAATAATTCACAGAAACTTCTTTTTGATGTGTGTGTTCAGCTCACCGAGTTTAACCTTTCTTTTGATGGAGCAGTTTGGAAACACTCTGTTTGTAATATCTGCAAGTGGATATTTGGACCTCTTTGGGGCCTTCGTTGGAAACGGGATTTCTTCAAGTAATGTTCGACAGAAGAATTCTCAGTAACTTATTTGTGGTGTGTGTATTCAACTCACAGAGTTGAACCTTCCTTTAGACAGAGCAGATTTGAAACACCCTATTTGTGCAGTATCCAGTTGGAGATTTCAATCGCTTTGAGACCAAATGTAGAAAAGGAAACATCTTCGTATAAAAAGTAGACAGAATCATTCTCAGAAACTACTTTGTGATGTGTGCGTTCAACTCAAGGAGTTTAAGCTTTCTTTTCATAGAGTAGTTTGGAAACATTCTGTCTGTAAAGTCTGCAGGCAGATATTTGGACCTCTTTGGGCCTTCGTTGGAAACGGGATTTCTTCATAGAACGCCAGAAAGAAGAATACTGAGTAAGTTCTTTGTGTTGCCTCTATTCAACTCACAGAGGTGAACTGTCCTTTAGACAGAGCAGATGTGAAACCCTCTTTTTGGGATATTTGCAGGTGGAGATTTCAAGCGCTTTTAGGCCAAATGTAGAAAAGGAAATATCTTCGTATAAAAACTAGACAGAATCATTCTCAGAAACTACTTTGTGATGTGTGCGTTCAATTCACAGAGTATAACTTTTCTTTTGATGGAGGAGTTTGGAGACACTGTCTTTGTAAAGTCTGCAAGTGGATATTTGGACCTCTTTGAGGCCTTCGTTGGAAACGGGATTTCCTCGTATAATGTTACACAGAAGAATTCTCAGTAACTTATTTGTGGTGTGTGTATTCAACTCACAGAGTTGAACCTTCCTTCAGAAAGAGCAGATTTGAAACACTCTTTTTGTGGAGTTTCCATGTGGACATTTCAATCGCTTTGAGACCAAAGGTAGAAAAGGAAACATCTTCGTATAAAAACTAGACAGAATCACTCACAGAAACTACTTTGTGATGTGTGTGTTCAACTCAAGGAGTTTAACCTTTCTTTTGATGGAGCAGTTTGGAAAAACTCTGTCTTTAAAGTCTGCAAGCAGATATTTGGACCTCTTTGAGGCCTTCGTTGGAAACGGGATTTCTTCATATAATGTTTGATAGGAGAAGTCTCAGTAACTTCTTTGTGCTGTGTGTATTCAACTCATAGAGTTGAACTTTCCTTTAGAAGACCAGATGTTAAACACCCTTTTGGTGGAATTTGCAGCTGGAGATTTCAAGCGCTTTGAGGCCGACGGTAGAAAAGGAAACATCTTCTTATAAAATCTAGACAGAATCATTCACAGAAACTTCTTTTTGATGTGTGTGTTCAGCTCACAGAGTTTAACCTTTCTTTTGATGGAGCAGTTGGGAAACACACTGTTTGTAATGTCTGCAAGTGGATATTTGGACCTCTTTGAGGCCTTCGTTGGAAACGGGATTTCTTCCTGTAATGTTCGACAGAAGAATTCTCAGTAACTTATTTGTGGTGTGTGTATTCAACTCACAGAGTTGAACCTTCCTTTAGACAGAGCAGATTTGAAACACCCTATTTGTGCAGTTTCCAGTTGGAGATTTCAATCGCTTTGAGACCAAATGTAGAAAAGGAAACATCTTCGTATAAAAACTAGACAGAATCATTCTCAGAAACTACTTTGTGATGTGTGCGTTCAACTCAAGGAGTTTAAGCTTTCTTTTCATAGAGTAGTTTGGAAACACTCTGTCTGTAAAGTCTGCAAGCAGATATTTGAACCTCTTTGAGGCCTTCGTTGGAAACGGGATTTCTTCATAGAACGCTAGAAAGAAGAATACTAAGTTCTTTGTGTTGCCTCTATTCTACTCACAGAGGAGAACTGTCCTTTAGACAGAGCAGATGTGAAACCCTCTTTTTGGGATATTTGCAGGTGGAGATTTCAAGTGCTTTTAGGCCAAATGTAGAAAAGGAAATATCTTCGTATAAAAACTAGACAGAATCATTCTCAGAAACTACTTTGTGATGTGTGCGTTCAATTCACAGAGTATAACCTTTCTTTGATGGAGGAGTTTGGAGACACTGTCTTTGTAAAGTCTGCAAGTGGATATTTGGACCTCTTTGAGGCCTTCTTTGGAAACGGGATTTCTTCATAGAACGCTAGAAAGAAGAATACTGAGTAAGTTCTTTTTGTTGCCTCTATTCAACTCACAGAGGTGAACTGTCCTTTAGACAGAGCAGATTTGAAACAGCCTATTTGTGCAGTTTCCAGTTGGAGATTTCAATCGCTTTGAGACAAATGTAGAAAAGGAAACATCTTCGTATAAAAACTAGACAGAATCATTCTCAGAAACTACTTTGTGATGTGTGCGTTCAACTCAAGGAGTTTAAGCTTTCTTTTCATAGAGTAGTTTGGAAACACTCTGTCTGTAAAGTCTGCAAGCAGATATTTGGACCTCTTTGAGGCCTTCGTTGGAAACGGGATTTCTTCATAGAACGCTAGAAAGAAGAATACTGAGTAAGTTCTTTGTGTTGCCTCTTTTCAACTCACAGAGGTGAACTGTCCTTTAGACAGAGCAGATGTGAAACCCTCTTTTTGTGATATTTGCAGGTGGAGATTTCAAGCGCTTTTAGGCCAAATGTAGAAAAGGAAATATCTTCGTATAAAAACTAGACAGAATCATTCTCAGAAACTACTTTGTGATGTGTGCGTTCAATTCACAGAGTATAACCTTTCTTTTGATGGAGGAGTTTGGAGACACTGTCTTTGTAAAGTCTGCAAGTGGATATTTGGACCTCTTTGAGGCCTTCGTTGGAAACGGGATTTCCTCATATAATGTTACACAGAAGAATTCTCAGTAACTTATTTGTGGTGTGTGTATTCAACTCACAGAGTTGAACCTTCCTTCAGAAAGAGCAGATTTGAAACACTCTTTTTGTGGAGTTTCCATGTGGAGATTTCAATCGCTTTGAGACCAAAGGTAGAAAAGGAAACATCTTCGTATACAAACTAGACAGAATCATTCACAGAAACTACTTTGTGATGTGTGTGTTCAACTCAAGGAGTTTAACCTTTCTTTTGATGGAGCAGTTTGGAAACACTCTGTCTGTAAAGTCTGCAAGCAGATATTTGGACCTCTTTGAGGCCTTCGTTGGAAACGGGATTTCTTCATATAATGTTTGATAGGAGAAGTCTCAGTAACTTCTTTGTGCTGTGTGTATTCAACTCATAGAGTTGAACTTTCCTTTAGAAGAGCAGATGTTAAACACCCTTTTTGTGGAATTTGCAGCTGGAGATTTCAAGCGCTTTGAGGCCTACGGTAGAAAAGGAAACATCTTCTTATAAAATCTAGACAGAATCATTCACAGAAACTTCTTTTTGATGTGTGTGTTCAGCTCACAGAGTTTAAACTTTCTTTTGATGGAGCAGTTGGGAAACACACTGTTTGTAATGTCTGCAAGTGGATATTTGGAGCTCTTTGAGGCCTTCGTTGGAAACGGGATTTCTTCCTGTAATGTTCGACAGAAGAATTCTCAGTAACTTATTTGTGGTGTGTGTATTCAACTCACAGAGTTGAACCTTCCTTTAGACAGAGCAGATTTGAAACACCCTATTTGTGCAGTTTCCAGTTGGAGATTTCAATCGCTTTGAGAACAAATGTAGAAAAGGAAACATCTTCGTATAAAAACTAGACAGAATCATTCTCAGAAACTACTTTGTGATGTGTGCGTTCAACTCAAGGAGTTTAAGCTTTCTTTTCATAGAGTAGTTTGGAAACACTCTGTCTGTAAAGTCTGCAAGCAGATATTTGGACCTCTTTGAGGCCTTCTTTGGAAACGGGATTTCTTCATATAACGCTAGAAAGAAGAATACTGAGTACGTTCTTTGTGTTGCCTCTATTCAACTCACAGAGGTGAACTGTCCTTTAGACAGAGCAGATGTGAAACCCTCTTTTTGTGATATTTGCAGGTGGAGATTTCAAGCGCTTTTAGGCCAAATGTAGAAAAGGAAATATCTTCGTATAAAAACTAGACAGAATCATTCTCAGAAACTACTTTGTGATGTGTGCGTTCAATTCACAGAGTATAACCTTTCTTTTGATGGAGGAGTTTGGAGACACTGTCTTTGTAAAGTCTGCAAGTGGATATTTGGACCTCTTTGAGGCCTTCGTTGGAAACGGGATTTCCTCATATAATGTTACACAGAAGAATTCTCAGTAACTTATTTGTGGTGTGTGTATTCAACTCACAGAGATGAACCTTCCTTCAGAAAGAGCAGATTTGAAACACTCTTTTTGTGGAGTTTCCATGTGGAGATTTCAATCGCTTTGAGACCAAAGGTAGAAAAGGAAACATCTTCGTATAACAACTAGACAGAATCATTCACAGAAACTACTTTGTGATGTGTGTGTTCAACTCAAGGAGTTTAACCTTTCTTTTGATGGAGCAGTTTGGAAACACTCTGTCTGTAAAGTCTGCAAGCAGATATTTGGACCTCTTTGAGGCCTTCGTTGGAAACGGGATTTCTTCATATAATGTTTGATCGGAGAAGTCTCAGTAACTTCTTTGTGCTGTGTGTATTCAACTCATAGAGTTGAACTTTCCTTTAGAAGAGCAGATGTTAAACACCCTTTTTGTGGAATTTGCAGCTGGAGATTTCAAGCGCTTTGAGGCCTACGGTAGAAAAGGAAACATCTTCTTATAAAATCTAGACAGAATCATTCACAGAAACTTCTTTTTGATGTGTGTGTTCAGCTCACAGAGTTTAACCTTTCTTTTGATGGAGCAGTTTGGAAACACTCTGTTTGTAATGTCTGCAAGTGGATATTTGGACCTCTTTGAGGCCTTCGTTGGAAACGGGATTTCTTCATGTAATGTTCGACAGAAGAATTCTCAGTAACTTATTTGTGGTGTGTGTATTCAACTCACAGAGTTGAACCTTCCTTTAGACAGAGCAGATTTGAAACAGCCTATTTGTGCAGTTTCCAGTTGGAGATTTCAATCGCTTTGAGACCAAATGTAGAAAAGGAAACATCTTCGTATAAAAACTAGACAGAATCATTCTCAGAAACTACTTTGTGATGTGTGCGTTCAACTCAAGGAGTTTAAGCTTTCTTTTCATAGAGTAGTTTGGAAACACTCTGTCTGTAAAGTCTGCAAGCAGATATTTGACCTCTTTGAGGCCTTCGTTGGAAACGGGATTTCTTCATAGAACGCTAGAAAGAAGAATACTGAGTAAGTTCTTTGTGTTGCCTCTATTCAACTCACAGAGGTGAACTCTCCTTTAGATAGAGCAGATGTGAAACCCTCTTTTTGTGATATTTGCAGGTGGAGATTTCAAGCGCTTTTAGGCCAAATGTAGAAAAGGAAATATCTTCATATAAAAACTAGACAGAATCATTCTCAGAAACTACTTTGTGATGTGTGCGTTCAATTCACAGAGTATAACCTTTCTTTTGATGGAGGAGTTTGGAGACACTGTCTTTGTAAAGTCTGCAAGTGGATATTTGGACCTCTTTGAGGCCTTCGTTGGAAACGGGATTTCCTCATATAATGTTACACAGAAGAATTCTCAGTAACTTATTTGTGGTGTGTGTATTCAACTCACAGAGTTGAACCTTCCTTCAGAAAGAGCAGATTTGAAACACTCTTTTTGTGGAGTTTCCATGTGGAGATTTCAATCGCATTGAGACCAAAGGTAGAAAAGGAAACATCTTCGTATAAAAACTAGACAGAATCATTCACAGAAACTTCTTTTTGATGTGTGTGTTCAGCTCACAGAGTTTAACCTTTCTTTTGATGGAGCAGTTTGGAAACACTCTGTTTGTAATGTCTGCAAGTGGATATTTGGACCTCTTTGAGGCCTTCGTTGGAAACGGGATTTCTTCATATAATGTTTGATAGGAGAAGTCTCAGTAACTTCTTTGTGCTGTGTGTATTCAACTCATAGAGTTGAACTTTCCTTTAGAAGAGCAGATGTTAAACACCCTTTTTGTGGAATTTGCAGCTGGAGATTTCAAGCGCTTTGAGGCCTACGGTAGAAAAGGAAACATCTTCTTATAAAATCTAGACAGAATCATTCACAGAAACTTCTTTTCGATGTGTGTGTTCAGCTCACAGAGTTTAACCTTTCTTTTGATGGAGCAGTTTGGAAACACTCTGTTTGTAATGTCTGCAAGTGGATATTTGGACCTCTTTGAGGCCTTCGTTGGAAACGGGATTTCTTCAAGTAATGGTCGACAGAAGAATTCTCAGTAACTTATTTGTAGTTTGTGTATTCAACTCACAGAATTGAACCTTCCTTTAGACAGAGCAGATTTGAAACACCCTATTTGTGCAGTTTCCAGTTGGAGATTTCAATCGCTTTGAGACCAAATGTAGAAAAGGAAACATACTTCGTATAAAAACTAGACAGAGAATCATTCTCAGAAAACTACTTTGTGATGTGTGCGTTCAACTCAAGGAGTTTAAGCTTTCTTTTCATAGAGTAGTTTGGAAACACTCTGTCTGTAAAGTCTGCAAGCAGATATTTGGACCTCTTTGGGGCCTTCGTTGGAAACGGCGTTTCTTCATAGAACCCTAGAAAGAAGAATACTGAGTAAGTTCTTTGTGTTGCCTCTATTCAACTCACAGAGGTGAACTGTCCTTTAAACAGAGCAGATGTGAAACCCTCTTTTTGTGATATTTGCAGGTGGAGATTTCAAGTGTTTTTAGGCCAAATGTAGAAAAGGAAATATCTTCGTATAAAAACTAGACAGAATCATTCTCAGAAACTACTTTGTGATGTGTGCGTTCAATTCACAGAGTATAACCTTTCTTTTGATGGAGGAGTTTGGAGACACTGTCTTTGTAAAGTCTGCAAGTGGATATTTGGACCTCTTTGAGGCCTTCGTTGGAAACGGGATTTCCTCATATAATGTTACACAGAAGAATTCTCAGTAACTTATTTGTGGTGTGTGTATTCAACTCACAGAGTTGAACCTTCCTTCAGAAAGAGCAGATTTGAAACACTCTTTTTGTGGAGTTTCCATGTGGAGATTTCAATCGCTTTGAGACCAAAGGTAGAAAAGGAAACATCTTCTTGTAAAAACTAGACAGAATCATTCACAGAAACTACTTTGTGATGTGTGTGTTCAACTCAAGGAGTTTAACCTTTCTTTTGATGGAGCAGTTTGGAAAAACTCTGTCTGTAAAGTCTGCAAGCAGATATTTGGACCTCTTTGGGGCCTTCGTTGGAAACGGGATTTCTTCATAGAATGCTAGAAAGAAGAATACTGAGTAAGTTCTTTGTGTTGCCTCTATTCAACTCACAGAGGTGAACTGTCCTTTAGACAGAGCAGATGTGAAACCCTCTTTTTGTGATATTTGCAGGTGGAGATTTCAAGCGCTTTTAGGCCAAATGTAGAAAAGGAAATATCTTCGTATAAAAACTAGACAGAATCATTCTCAGAAACTACTTTGTGATGTGTGCGTTCAATTCACAGAGTATAACCTTTCTTTTGATGGAGGAGTTTGGAGACACTGTCTTTGTAAAGTCTGCAAGTGGATATTTGGACCTCTTTGAGGCCTTCGTTGGAAACGGGATTTCCTCATATAATGTTACACAGAAGAATTCTCAGTAACTTATTTGTGGTGTGCGTATTCAACTCACAGAGTTGAACCTTCCTTCAGAAAGAGCAGATTTGAAACACTCTTTTTGTGGAGTTTCCATGTGGAGATTTCAATCGCTTTGAGACCAAAGGTAGAAAAGGAAACATCTTCGTATAAAAACTAGACAGAATCATTCACAGAAACTACTTTGTGATGTGTGTGTTCAACTCAAGGAGTTTCACCTTTCTTTTGATGGAGCAGTTTGGAAACACTCTGTCTGTAAAGTCTGCAAGCAGATATTTGGACCTCTTTGAGGCCTTCGTTGGAAACGGGATTTCTTCATATAATGTTTGATAGGAGAAGTCTCAGTAACTTCTTTGTGCTGTGTGTATTCAACTCATAGAGTTGAACTTTCCTTTAGAAGAGCAGATGTTAAACACCCTTTTTGTGGAATTTGCAGCTGGAGATTTCAAGCGCTTTGAGGCCTACGGTAGAAAAGGAAACATCTTCTTATAAAATCTAGACAGAATCATTCACAGAAACTTCTTTTTGATGTGTGTGTTCAGCTCACAGAGTTTAACCTTTCTTTTGATGGAGCAGTTTGGAAACACTCTGTTTGTAACGTCTGCAAGTGGATATTTGGACCTCTTTGAGGCCTTCGTTGGAAACGGGATTTCTTCAAGTAATGTTCGACAGAAGAATTCTCAGTAACTTATTTGTGGTGTGTGTATTCAACTCACAGAGTTGAACCTTCCTTTAGACAGAGCAGATTTGAAACAGCCTATTTGTGCAGTTTCCAGTTGGAGATTTCAAGAGCTTTGAGACCAAATGTAGAAAAGGAAACATCTTCGTATAAAAACTAGACAGAATCATTCTCAGAAACTACTTTGTGATGTGTGCGTTCAACTCAAGGAGTTTAAGCTTTCTTTTCATAGAGTAGTTTGGAAACACTCTGTCTGTAAAGTCTGCAAGCAGATATTTGACCTCTTTGAGGCCTTCGTTGGAAACGGGATTTCTTCATAGAATGCTAGAAAGAAGAATACTGAGTAAGTTCTTTGTGTTGCCTCTATTCAACTCACAGAGGTGAACTGTCCTTTAGACAGAGCAGATGTGAAACCCTCTTTTTGTGATATTTGCAGGTGGAGATTTCAAGCGCTTTTAGGCCAAATGTAGAAAAGGAAATATCTTCGTATAAAAACTAGACAGAATCATTCTCAGAAACTACTTTGTGATGTGTGCGTTCAATTCACAGAGTATAACCTTTCTTTTGATGGAGGAGTTTGGAGACACTGTCTTTGTAAAGTCTGCAAGTGGATATTTGGACCTCTTTGAGGCCTTCGTTGGAAACGGGATTTCCTCATATAATGTTACACAGAAGAATTCTCAGTAACTTATTTGTGGTGTGTGTATTCAACTCACAGAGTTGAACCTTCCTTCAGAAAGAGCAGATTTGAAACACTCTTTTTGTGGAGTTTCCATGTGGAGATTTCAATCGCTTTGAGACCAAAGGTAGAAAAGGAAACATCTTCGTATAAAAACTAGACAGAATCATTCACAGAAACTACTTTGTGATGTGTGTGTTCAACTCAAGGAGTTTAACCTTTCTTTTGATGGAGCAGTTTGGAAACACTCTGTCTGTAAAGTCTGCAAGCAGATATTTGGACCTCTTTGAGGCCTTCGTTGGAAACGGGATTTCTTCATAGAACGCTAGAAAGAAGAATACTGAGTAAGTTCTTTTTGTTGCCTCTATTCAACTCACAGAGGTGAACTGTCCTTTAGACAGAGCAGATTTGAAACAGCCTATTTGTGCAGTTTCCAGTTGGAGATTTCAATCGCTTTGAGACAAATGTAGAAAAGGAAACATCTTCGTATAAAAACTAGACAGAATCATTCTCAGAAACTACTTTGTGATGTGTGCGTTCAATTCACAGAGTATAACCTTTCTTTTGATGGAGCAGTTTGGAAACACACTGTTTGTAATGTCTGCAAGTGGATATTTGGACCTCTTTGAGGCCTTCGTTGGAAACGGGATTTCTTCAAGTAATGTTCGACAGAAGAATTCTCAGTAACTTATTTGTGGTGTGTGTATTCAACTCACAGAGTTGAACCTTCCTTTAGACAGAGCAGATTTGAAACACCCTATTTGTGCAGTTTCCAGTTGGAGATTTCAATCGCTTTGAGACCAAATGTAGAAAAGGAAACATCTTCGTATAAAAACTAGACAGAATCATTCTCAGAAACTACTTTGAGATGTGTGCGTTCAACTCAAGGAGTTTAAGCTTTCTTTTCATAGAGTAGTTTGGAAACACTCTGTCTGTAAAGTCTGCAAGCAGATATTTGACCTCTTTGGGGCCTTCGTTGGAAACGGGATTTCTTCATAGAACGCTAGAAAGAAGAATACTGAGTAAGTTCTTTGTGTTGCCTCTATTCAACTCACAGAGGTGAACTGTCCTTTAGACAGAGCAGATGTGAAACCCTCTTTTTGTGATATTTGCAGGTGGAGATTTCAAGCGCTTTTAGGCCAAATGTAGAAAAGGAAATATCTTCGTATAAAAACTAGACAGAATCATTCTCAGAAACTACTTTGTGATGTGTGCGTTCAATTCACAGAGTATAACCTTTCTTTTGATGGAGGAGTTTGGAGACACTGTCTTTGTAAAGTCTGCAAGTGGATATTTGGACCTCTTTGAGGCCTTCGTTGGAAACGGGATTTCCTCATATAATGTTACACAGAAGAATTCTCAGTATCTTATTTGTGGTGTGTGTATTCAACTCACAGAGATGAACCTTCCTTCAGAAAGAGCAGATTTGAAACACTCTTTTTGTGGAGTTTCCATGTGGAGATTTCAATCGCTTTGAGACCAAAGGTAGAAAAGGAAACATCTTCGTATAACAACTAGACAGAATCATTCACAGAAACTACTTTGTGATGTGTGTGTTCAACTCAAGGAGTTTAACCTTTCTTTTGATGGAGCAGTTTGGAAACACTCTGTCTGTAAAGTCTGCAAGCAGATATTTGGACCTCTTTGAGGCCTTCGTTGGAAACGGGATTTCTTCATATAATGTTTGATAGGAGAAGTCTCAGTAACTTCTTTGTGCTGTGTGTATTCAACTCATAGAGTTGAACTTTCCTTTAGAAGAGCAGATGTTAAACACCCTTTTTGTGGAATTTGCAGCTGGAGATTTCAAGCGCTTTGAGGCCTACGGTAGAAAAGGAAACATCTTCTTATAAAATCTAGACAGAATCATTCACAGAAACTTCTTTTTGATGTGTGTGTTCAGCTCACAGAGTTTAACCTTTCTTTTGATGGAGCCGTTTGGAAACACTCTGTTTGTAATGTCTGCAAGTGGATATTTGGACCTCTTTGAGGCCTTCGTTGGAAACGGGATTTCTTCAAGTAATGGTCGACAGAAGAATTCTCAGTAACTTATTTGTGGTGTGTGTATTCAACTCACAGAGTTGAACCTTCCTTTAGACAGAGCAGATTTGAAACACCCTATTTGTGCAGTTTCCAGTTGGAGATTTCAATCGCTTTGAGACCAAATGTAGAAAAGGAAACATCTTCGTATAAAAACTAGACAGAATCATTCTCAGAAACTACTTTGTGATGTGTGCGTTCAACTCAAGGAGTTTAAGCTTTCTTTTCATAGAGTAGATTGGAAACACTCTGTCTGTAAAGTCTGCAAGCAGATATTTGGACCTCATTGGGGTCTTCGTTGGAAACGGTATTTCTTCATAGAACGCTAGAAAGAAGAATACTGAGTAAGTTCTTTGTGTTGCCTCTATTCAACTCACAGAGGTGAACTGTCCTTTAGACAGAGCAGATGTGAAACCCTCTTTTTGTGATATTTGCAGGTGGAGATTTCAAGCGCTTTTAGGCCAAATGTAGAAAAGGAAATATCTTCGTATAAAAACTAGACAGAATCATTCTCAGAAACTACTTTGTGATGTGTGCGTTCAATTCACAGAGTATAACCTTTCTTTTGATGGAGGAGTTTGGAGACACTGTCTTTGTAAAGTCTGCAAGTGGATATTTGGACCTCTTTGAGGCCTTCGTTGGAAACGGGATTTCCTCATATAATGTTACACAGAAGAATTCTCAGTAACTTATTTGTGGTGTGTGTATTCAACTCACAGAGATGAACCTTCCTTCAGAAAGAGCAGATTTGAAACACTCTTTTTGTGGAGTTTCCATGTGGAGATTTCAATCGCTTTGAGACCAAAGGTAGAAAAGGAAACATCTTCTTATAACAACTAGACAGAATCATTCACAGAAACTACATTGTGATGTGTGTGTTCAACTCAAGGAGTTTAACCTTTCTTTTGATGGAGCAGTTTGGAAAAACTCTGTCTGTAAAGTCTGCAAGCAGATATTTGGACCTCTTTGAGGCCTTCGTTGGAAACGGGATTTCTTCATATAATGTTTGATAGGAGAAGTCTCAGTAACTTCTTTGTGCTGTGTGTATTCAACTCATAGAGTTGAACTTTCCTTTAGAAGAGCAGATGTTAAACACCCTTTTTGTGGAATTTGCAGCTGGAGATTTCAAGCGCTTTGAGGCCTACGGTAGAAAAGGAAACATCTTCTTATAAAATCTAGACAGAATCATTCACAGAAACTTCTTTTTGATGTGTGTGTTCAGCTCACAGAGTTTAACCTTTCTTTTGATGGAGCAGTTTGGAAACACTATGTTTGTAATGTCTGCAAGTGGATATTTGGACCTCTTTGAGGCCTTCGTTGGAAACGGGATTTCTTCAAGTAATGTTCGACAGAAGAATTCTCAGTAACTTCTTTGTGGTGTGTGTATTCAACTCACAGAGTTGAACCTTCCTTTAGACAGAGCAGATTTGAAACAGCCTATTTGTGCAGTTTCCAGTTGGAGATTTCAATCGCTTTGAGACCAAATGTAGAAAAGGAAACATCTTCGTATAAAAACTAGACAGAATCATACACAGAAACCACTTTGTGATGTGTGCGTTCAACTCACGAAGTTTAAGCTTTCTTTTCATAGAGTAGTTTGGAAACACTCTGTTTGTAAAGTCTGCAAGCAGATATTTGGACCTCTTTGAGGCCTTCGTTGGAAACGGGATTTCTTCATATCACGCTAGAAAGAAGAATACTGAGTAAGTTCTTTGTGTTGCCTCTATTCAACTCACAGAGGTGAACTGTCCTTTAGACAGAGCAGATGTGAAACCCTCTTTTTGTGATATTTGCAGGTGGAGATTTCAAGCGCTTTGAGGCCAAATGTAGAAAAGGAAATATCTTCGTATAAAAACTAGACAGAATCACTCTCAGAAACTACTTTGTGATGTGTGCGTTCAATTCACAGAGTATAACCTTTCTTTTGATGGAGGAGTTTGGAGACACTGTCTTTGTAAAGTCTGCAAGCAGATATTTGGACCTCTTTGAGGCCTTTGTTGGAAACGGGATTTCTTCATATAATGTTTGATAGGAGAAGTCTCAGTAACTTCTTTGTGCTGTGTGTATTCAACTCATAGAGTTGAACTTTCCTTTAGAAGAGCAGATGTTAAACACCCTTTTTGTGGAATTTGCAGCTGGAGATTTCAAGCGCTTTGAGGCCTACGGTAGAAAAGGAAACATCTTCTTATAAAATCTAGACAGAATCATTCACAGAAACTTCTTTTCGATGTGTGTGTTCAGCTCACAGAGTTTAACCTTTCTTTTGATGGAGCAGTTTGGAAACACTCTGTTTGTAATGTCTGCAAGTGGATATTTGGACCTCTTTGAGGCCTTCGTTGGAAACGGGATTTCATCAAGTAATGGTCGACAGAAGAATTCTCAGTAACTTATTTGTGGTGTGTGTATTCAACTCACAGAGTTGAACCTTCCTTTAGACAGAGCAGATTTGAAACACCCTATTTGTGCAGTTTCCAGTTGGAGATTTCAATCGCTTTGAGACCAAATGTAGAAAAGGAAACATCTTCGTATAAAAACTAGACAGAATCATTCTCAGAAACTACTTTGTGATGTGTGCGTTCAACTCAAGGAGTTTAAGCTTTCTTTTCATAGAGTAGTTTGGAAACACTCTGTCTGTAAAGTCTGCAAGCAGATATTTGGACCTCTTTGAGGCCTTCGTTGGAAACGGGATTTCTTCATAGAACGCTAGAAAGAAGAATACTGAGTAAGTTCTTTGTGTTGCCTCTATTCAACTCACAGAGGTGAACTGTCCTTTAGACAGAGCAGATGTGAAACCCTCTTTTTGTGATATTTGCAGGTGGAGATTTCAAGCGCTTTTAGGCCAAATGTAGAAAAGGAAATATCTTCGTATAAAAACTAGACAGAATCATTCTCAGAAACTACTTTGTGATGTGTGCGTTCAATTCACAGAGTATAACCTTTCTTTTGATGGAGGAGTTTGGAGACACTGTCTTTGTAAAGTCTGCAAGTGGATATTTGGACCTCTTTGAGGCCTTCGTTGGAAACGGGATTTCCTCATATAATGTTACACAGAAGAATTCTCAGTAACTTATTTGTGGTGTGTGTATTCAACTCACAGATTTGAACCTTCCTTCAGAAAGAGCAGATTTGAAACACTCTTTTTGTGGAGTTTCCATGTGGAGATTTCAATCACTTTGAGACCAAAGGTAGAAAAGGAAACATCTTCGTATAAAAACTAGACAGAATCATTCACAGAAACTACTTTGTGATGTGTGTGTTCAACTCAAGGAGTTTAACCTTTCTTTTGATGGAGCAGTTTGGAAACACTCTGTCTGTAAAGTCTGCAAGCAGATATTTGGACCTCTTTGAGGCCTTCGTTGGAAACGGGATTTCTTCATATAATGTTTGATAGGAGAAGTCTCAGTAACTTCTTTGTGCTGTGTGTATTCAACTCATAGAGTTGAACTTTCCTTTAGAAGAGCAGATGTTAAACACCCTTTTTGTGGAATTTGCAGCTGGAGATTTCAAGCGCTTTGAGGCCTACGGTAGAAAAGGAAACATCTTCTTATAAAATCTAGACAGAATCATTCACAGAAACTTCTTTTCGATGTGTGTGTTCAGCTCACAGAGTTTAACCTTTCTTTTGATGGAGCAGTTTGGAAACACTCTGTTTGTAATGTCTGCAAGTGGATATTTGGACCTCTTTGAGGCCTTCGTTGGAAACGGGATTTCATCAAGTAATGGTCGACAGAAGAATTCTCAGTAACTTATTTGTGGTGTGTGTATTCAACTCACAGAGTTGAACCTTCCTTTAGACAGAGCAGATTTGAAACACCCTATTTGTGCAGTTTCCAGTTGGAGATTTCAATCGCTTTGAGACCAAATGTAGAAAAGGAAACATGCTTCGTATAAAAACTAGACAGAATCATTCTCAGAAACTACTTTGTGATGTGTGCGTTCAACTCAAGGAGTTTAAGCTTTCTTTTCATAGAGTAGTTTGGAAACACTCTGTAAAGTCTGCAAGCAGATATTTGGACCTCCTTGAGGCCTTCGTTGGAAACGGGATTTCTTCATAGAACGCTAGAAAGAAGAATACTGAGTAAGTTCTTTGTGTTGCCTCTATTCAACTCACAGAGGTGAACTGTCCTTTAGACAGAGCAGATGTGAAACCCTATTTTTGTGATATTTGCAGGTGGAGATTTCAAGCGCTTTTAGGCCAAATGTAGAAAAGGAAATATCTTCGTAAAAAAACTAGACAGAATCATTCTCAGAAACTACTTTGTGATGTGTGCGTTCAATTCACAGAGTATAACCTTTCTTTTGATGGAGGAGTTTGGAGACACTGTCTTTGTAAAGTCTGCAAGTGGATATTTGGACCTCTTTGAGGCCTTCGTTGGAAACGGGATTTCCTCATATAATGTTACACAGAAGAATTCTCAGTAACTTATTTGTGGTGTGTGTATTCAACTCACAGAGTTGAACCTTCCTTCAGAAAGAGCAGATTTGAAACACTCTTTTTGTGGAGTTTCCATGTGGAGATTTCAATCGCTTTGAGACCAAAGGTAGAAAAGGAAACATCTTCGTATAAAAACTAGACAGAATCATTCACAGAAACTACTTTGTGATGTGTGTGTTCAACTCAAGGAGTTTAACCTTTCTTTTGATGGAGCAGTTTGGAAAAACTCTGTCTGTAAAGTCTGCAAGCAGATATTTGGACCTCTTTGAGGCCTTCGTTGGAAACGGGATTTCTTCATAGAACGCTAGAAAGAAGAATACTGAGTAAGTTCTTTGTGTTGCCTCTATTCAACTCACAGAGGTGAACTGTCCTTTAGACAGAGCAGATGTGAAACCCTCTTTTTGTGATATTTGCAGGTGGAGATTTCAAGCGCTTTTAGGCCAAATGTAGAAAAGGAAATATCTTCGTATAAAAACTAGACAGAATCATTCTCAGAAACTACTTTGTGATGTATGCGTTCAATTCACAGAGTATAACCTTTCTTTTGATGGAGGAGTTTGGAGACACTGTCTTTGTAAAGTCTGCAAGTGGATATTTGGACCTCTTTGAGGCCTTCGTTGGAAACGGGATTTCCTCATATAATGTTACACAGAAGAATTCTCAGTAACTTATTTGTGGTGTGTGTATTCAACTCACAGAGTTGAACCTTCCTTCAGAAAGAGCAGATTTGAAACACTCTTTTTGTGGAGTTTCCATGTGGAGATTTCAATCGCTTTGAGACCAAAGGTAGAAAAGGAAACATCTTCGTATAAAAACTAGACAGAATCATTCACAGAAACTACTTTGTGATGTGTGTGTTCAACTCAAGGAGTTTAACCTTTCTTTTGATGGAGCAGTTTGGAAACACTCTGTCTGTAAAGTCTGCAAGCAGATATTTGGACCTCTTTGAGGCCTTCGTTGGAAACGGGATTTCTTCATATAATGTTTGATAGGAGAAGTCTCAGTAACTTCTTTGTGCTGTGTGTATTCAACTCATAGAGTTGAACTTTCCTTTAGAAGAGCAGATGTTAAACACCCTTTTTGTGGAATTTGCAGCTGGAGATTTCAAGCGCTTTGAGGCCTACGGTAGAAAAGGAAACATCTTCTTATAAAATCTAGACAGAATCATTCACAGAAACTTCTTTTTGATGTGTGTGTTCAGCTCACAGAGTTTAACCTTTCTTTTGATGGAGCAGTTTGGAAACACTCTGTTTGTAACGTCTGCAAGTGGATATTTGGACCTCTTTGAGGCCTTCGTTGGAAACGGGATTTCTTCAAGTAATGTTCGACAGAAGAATTCTCAGTAACTTATTTGTGGTGTGTGTATTCAACTCACAGAGTTGAACCTTCCTTTAGACAGAGCAGATTTGAAACAGCCTATTTGTGCAGTTTCCAGTTGGAGATTTCAAGAGCTTTGAGACCAAATGTAGAAAAGGAAACATCTTCGTATAAAAACTAGACAGAATCATTCTCAGAAACTACTTTGTGATGTGTGCGTTCAACTCAAGGAGTTTAAGCTTTCTTTTCATAGAGTAGTTTGGAAACACTCTGTCTGTAATGTCTGCAAGCAGATATTTGACCTCTTTGAGGCCTTCGTTGGAAACGGGATTTCTTCATAGAACGCTAGAAAGAAGAATACTGAGTAAGTTCTTTGTGTTGCCTCTATTCAACTCACAGAGGTGAACTGTCCTTTAGACAGAGCAGATGTGAAACCCTCTTTTTGTGATATTTGCAGGTGGAGATTTCAAGCGCTTTTAGGCCAAATGTAGAAAAGGAAATATCTTCGTATAAAAACTAGACAGAATCATTCTCAGAAACTACTTTGTGATGTGTGCGTTCAATTCACAGAGTATAACCTTTCTTTTGATGGAGGAGTTTGGAGACACTGTCTTTGTAAAGTCTGCAAGTGGATATTTGGACCTCTTTGAGGCCTTCGTTGGAAACGGGATTTCCTCATTTAATGTTACACAGAAGAATTCTCAGTAACTTATTTGTGGTGTGTGTATTCAACTCACAGAGATGAACCTTCCTTCAGAAAGAGCAGATTTGAAACACTCTTTTTGTGGAGTTTCCATGTGGAGATTTCAATCGCTTTGAGACCAAAGGTAGAAAAGGAAACATCTTCGTATAACAACTAGACAGAATCATTCACAGAAACTACTTTGTGATGTGTGTGTTCAACTCAAGGAGTTTAACCTTTCTTTTGATGGAGCAGTTTGGAAACACTCTGTCTGTAAAGTCTGCAAGCAGATATTTGGACCTCTTTGAGGCCTTCGTTGGAAAAGGGATTTCTTCATATAATGTTTGATAGGAGAAGTCTCAGTAACTTCTTTGTGCTGTGTGTATTCAACTCATAGAGTTGAACTTTCCTTTAGAAGAGCAGATGTTAAACACCCTTTTTGTGGAATTTGCAGCTGGAGATTTCAAGCGCTTTGAGGCCGACGGTAGAAAAGGAAACATCTTCTTATAAAATCTAGACAGAATCATTCACAGAAACTTCTTTTTGATGTGTGTGTTCAGCTCACAGAGTTTAACCTTTCTTTTGATGGAGCAGTTTGGAAACACTCTGTTTGTAATATCTGCAAGTGGATATTTGGACCTCTTTGAGGCCTTCGTTGGAAACGGGATTTCTTCAAGTAATGTTCGACAGAAGAATTCTCAGTAACTTATTTGTGGTGTGTGTATTCAACTCACAGAGTTGAACCTTCCTTTAGACAGAGCAGATTTGAAACAACCTATTTGTGCAGTTTCCAGTTGGAGATTTCAATCGTTTTGAGACCAAATGTAGAAAAGGAAACATCTTCGTATAAAAACTAGACAGAATCATTCTCAGAAACTACTTTGTGATGTGTGCGTTCAATTCACAGAGTATAACCTTTCTTTTGATGGAGGAGTTTGGAGACACTGTCTTTGTAAAGTCTGTAAGTGGATATTTGGACCTCTTTGAGGACTTCGTTGGAAACGGGATTTCCTCATATAATGTTACACAGAAGAATTCTCAGTAACTTATTTGTGGTGTGTGTATTCAACTCACAAGAGTTGAACCTTCCTTCAGAAAGAGCAGATTTGAAACACTCTTTTTGTGGAGTTTCCATGTGGAGATTTCAATCGCTTTGAGACCAAAGGTAGAAAAGGAAACATCTTCGTATAAAAACTAGACAGAATCATTCACAGAAACTACTTTGTGATGTGTGTGTTCAACTCAAGGAGTTTAACCTTTCTTTTGATGGAGCAGTTTGGAAAAACTCTGTCTGTAAAGTCTGCAAGCAGATATTTGGACCTCTTTGAGGCCTTCGTTGGAAACGGGATTTCTTCATATAATGTTTGATAGGAGAAGTCTCAGTAACTTCTTTGTGCTGTGTGTATTCAAGTCATAGAGTTGAACTTTCCTTTAGAAGAGCAGATGTTAAACACCCTTTTTGTGGAATTTGCAGCTGGAGATTTCAAGCGCTTTGAGGCCTACGGTAGAAAAGGAAACATCTTCTTATAAAATCTAGACAGAATCATTCACAGAAACTTCTTTTTGATGAGTGTGTTCAGCTCACAGAGTTTAACCTTTCTTTTGATGGAGCAGTTTGGAAACACTCTGTTTGTAATGTCTGCAAGTGGATATTTGGACCTCTTTGAGGCCTTCGTTGGAAACGGGATTTCTTCATGTAATGTTCGACAGAAGAATTCTCAGTAACTTATTTGTGGTGTGTGTATTCAACTCACAGAGTTGAACCTTCCTTTAGACAGAGCAGATTTGAAACACCCTATTTGTGCAGTTTCCAGTTGGAGATTTCAATCGCTTTGAGACCAAATGTAGAAAAGGAAACATCTTCGTATAAAAACTAGACAGAATCATTCTCAGAAACTACTTTGTGATGTGTGCGTTCAACTCAAGGAGTTTAAGCTTTCTTTTCATAGAGTAGTTTGGAAACACTCTGTCTGTAAAGTCTGCAAGCAGATATTTGGACCTCTTTGAGGCCTTCGTTGGAAACGGGATTTCTTCATAGAACGCTAGAAAGAAGAATACTGAGTAAGTTCTTTGTGTTGCCTCTATTCAACTCACAGAGGTGAACTGTCCTTTAGACAGAGCAGATGTGAAACCCTCTTTTTGTGATATTTGCACGTGGAGATTTCAAGCGCTTTTAGGCCAAATGTAGAAAAGGAAATATCTTCGTATAAAAACTAGACAGAATCATTCTCAGAAACTACTTTGTGATGTGTGCGTTCAATTCACAGAGTATAACCTTTCTTTTGATGGAGGAGTTTGGAGACACTGTCTTTGTAAAGTCTGCAAGTGGATATTTGGACCTCTTTGAGGCCTTCGTTGGAAACGGGATTTCCTCATATAATGTTACACAGAAGAATTCTCAGTAACTTATTTGTGGTGTGTGTATTCAACTCACAGAGTTGAACCTTCCTTCAGAAAGAGCAGATTTGAAACACTCTTTTTGTGGAGTTTCCATGTGGAGATTTCAATCGCATTGAGACCAAAGGTAGAAAAGGAAACATCTTCGTATAAAAACTAGACAGAATCATTCACAGAAACTACTTTGTGATGTGTGTGTTCAACTCAAGGAGTTTAACCTTTCTTTTGATGGAGCAGTTTGGAAACACTCTGTCTGTAAAGTCTGCAAGCAGATATTTGGACCTCTTTGAGGCCTTCGTTGGAAACGGGATTTCTTCATATAATGTTTGATAGGAGAAGTCTCAGTAACTTCTTTGTGCTGTGTGTATTCAACGCATAGAGTTGAACTTTCCTTTAGAAGAGCACATGTTAAACACCCTTTTTGTGGAATTTGCAGCTGGAGATTTCAAGCGCTTTGAGGCCTACGGTAGAAAAGGAAACATCTTCTTATAAAATCTAGACAGAATCATTCACAGAAACTTCTTTTTGATGTGTGTGTTCAGCTCACAGAGTTTAACCTTTCTTTTGATGAAGCAGTTTGGAAACACTCTGTTTGTAATGTCTGCAAGTGGATATTTGGACCTCTTTGAGGCCTTCGTTGGAAACGGGATTTCTTCAAGTAATGTTCGACAGAAGAATTCTCAGTAACTTATTTGTGGTGTGTGTATTCAACTCACAGAGTTGAACCTTCCTTTACACAGTGCAGATTTGAAACACCCTATTTGTGCAGTTTCCAGTTGGAGATTTCAATCGCTTTGAGACCAAATGTAGAAAAGGAAATATCTTCGTATAAAAACTAGACAGAATCATTCTCAGAAACTACTTTGTGATGTGTGCGTTCAACTCAAGGAGTTTAAGCTTTCTTTTCATAGAGTAGTTTGGAAACACTCTGTCTCTAAAGTCTGCAAGCAGATATTTGGACCTCTTTGGGGCCTTCGTTGGAAACGGGATTTCTTCATAGAACGCTAGAAAGAAGAATACTGAGTAAGTTCTTTGTGTTGCCTCTATTCAACTCACAGAGGTGAACTGTCCTTTAGACAGAGCAGATGTGAAACCCTCTTTTTGTGATATTTGCACTTGGAGATTTCAAGCGCTTTTAGGCCAAATGTAGAAAAGGAAATATCTTCGTATAAAAACTAGACAGAATCATTCTCAGAAACTACTTTGTGATGTGTGCGTTCAATTCACAGAGTATAACCTTTCTTTTGATGGAGGAGTTTGGAGACACTGTCTTTGTAAAGTCTGCAAGTGGATATTTGGACCTCTTTGAGGCCTTCGTTGGAAACGGGATTTCCTCATATAATGTTACACAGAAGAATTCTCAGTAACTTATTTGTGGTGTGTGTATTCAACTCACAGAGTTGAACCTTCCTTCAGAAAGAGCAGATTTGAAACACTCTTTTTGTGGAGTTTCCATGTGGAGATTTCAATCGCATTGAGACCAAAGGTAGAAAAGGAAACATCTTCGTATAAAAACTAGACAGAATCATTCACAGAAACTACTTTGTGATGTGTGTGTTCAACTCAAGGAGTTTAACCTTTCTTTTGATGGAGCAGTTTGGAAATACTCTGTCTGTAAAGTCTGCAAGCAGATATTTGGACCTCTTTGAGGCCTTCGTTGGAAACGGGATTTCTTCATATAATGTTTGATAGGAGAAGTCTCAGTAACTTCTTTGTGCTGTGTGTATTCAACTCATAGAGTTGAACTTTCCTTTAGAAGAGCAGATGTTAAACACCCTTTTTGTGGAATTTGCAGCTGGAGATTTCAAGCGCTTTGAGGCTTACGGTAGAAAACGGAACATCTTCTTATAAAATCTTGACAGAATCATTCACAGAAACTTCTTTTCGATGTGTGTGTTCAGCTCACAGAGTTTAACCTTTCTTTTGATGGAGCAGTTTGGAAACACTCTGTTTGTAATGTCTGCAAGTGGATATTTGGACCTCTTTGAGGCCTTCGTTGGAAACGGGATTTCTTCAAGTAATGTTCGACAGAAGAATTCTCAGTAACGTATTTGTGGTGTGTGTATTCAACTCACAGAGTTGAACCTTCCTTTAGACAGAGCAGATTTGAGACACCCTATTTGTGCAGTTTCCAGTTGGAGATTTCAATCGCTTTGAGACCAAATGTAGAAAAGGAAACATCTTCGTATAAAAACTAGACAGAATCATTCTCAGAAACTACTTTGTGATGTGTGCGTTCATCTGAATGAGTTTAAGCTTTCTTTTCATAGAGTAGTTTGGAAACACTCTGTCTGTAAAGTCTGCAAGCAGATATTTGGACCTCTTTGAGGCCTTCGTTGGAAACGGGATTTCTTCATAGAACGCTAGAAAGAAGAATACTGAGTAAGTTCTTTGTGTTGCCTCTATTCAACTCACAGAGGTGAACTGTCCTTTAGACAGAGCAGATGTGAAACCCTCTTTTTGTGATATTTGCAGGTGGAGATTTCAAGCGCTTTTAGGCCAAATGTAGAAAAGGAAATATCTTCGTATAAAAACTAGACAGAATCATTCTCAGAAACTACTTTGTGATGTGTGCGTTCAATTCACAGAGTATAACCTTTCTTTTGATGGAGGAGTTTGGAGACACTGTCTTTGTAAAGTCTGCAAGTGGATATTTGGACCTCTTTGAGGCCTTCGTTGGAAACGGGATTTCCTCATATAATGTTACACAGAAGAATTCTCAGTAACTTATTTGTGGTGTGTGTATTCAACTCACAGAGTTGAACCTTCCTTCAGAAAGAGCAGATTTGAAACACTCTTTTTGAGGAGTTTCCATGTGGAGATTTCAATCGCTTTGAGACCAAAGGTAGAAAAGGAAACATCTTCTTATAAAAACTAGACAGAATCATTCACAGAAACTACTTTGTGATGTGTGTGTTCAACTCAAGGAGTTTAACCTTTCTTTTGATGGAGCAGTTTGGAAAAACTCTGTCTGTAAACTCTGCAAGCAGATATTTGGACCTCTTTGGGGCCTTCGTTGGAAACGGGATTTCTTCATAGAATGCTAGAAAGAAGAATACTGAGTAAGTTCTTTGTGTTGCCTCTATTCAACTCACAGAGGTGAACTGTCCTTTAGACAGAGCAGATGTGAAACCCTCTTTTTGTGATATTTGCAGGTGGAGATTTCAAGCGCTTTTAGGCCAAATGTAGAAAAGGAAATATCTTCGTATAAAAACTAGACAGAATCATTCTCAGAAACTACTTTGTGATGTGTGCGTTCAATTCACAGAGTATAACCTTTCTTTTGATGGAGGAGTTTGGAGACTCTGTCTTTGTAAAGTCTGCAAGCGGATATTTGGACCTCTTTGAGGCCTTCGTTGGAAACGGGATTTCCTCATATAATGTTACACAGAAGAATTCTCAGTAACTTATTTGTGGTGTGTGTATTCAACTCACAGAGATGAACCTTCCTTCAGAAAGAGCAGATTTGAAACACTCTTTTTGTGGAGTTTCCATGTGGAGATTTCAATCGCTTTGAGACCAAAGGTAGAAAAGGAAACATCTTCGTATAACAACTAGACAGAATCATTCACAGAAACTACTTTGTGATGTGTGTGTTCAACTCAAGGAGTTTAACCTTTCTTTTGATGGAGCAGTTTGGAAACACTCTGTCTGTAAAGTCTGCAAGCAGATATTTGGACCTCTTTGAGGCCTTCGTTGGAAACGGGATTTCTTCATATAATGTTTGATAGGAGAAGTCTCAGTAACTTCTTTGTGCTGTGTGTATTCAACTCATAGAGTTGAACTTTCCTTTAGAAGAGCAGATGTTAAACACCCTTTTTGTGGAATTTGCAGCTGGAGATTTCAAGCGCTTTGAGGCCTACGGTAGAAAAGGAAACATCTTCTTATAAAATCTAGACAGAATCATTCACAGAAACTTCTTTTCGATGTGTGTATTCAGCTCACAGAGTTTAACCTTTCTTTTGATGGAGCAGTTTGGAAACACTCTGTTTGTAATGTCTGCAAGTGGATATTTGGACCTCTTTGAGGCCTTCGTTGGAAACGGGATTTCATCAAGTAATGGTCGACAGAAGAATTCTCAGTAACTTATTTGTGGTGTGTGTATTCAACTCACAGAGTTGAACCTTCCTTTAGACAGAGCAGATTTGAAACACCCTATTTGTGCAGTTTCCAGTTGGAGATTTCAATCGCTTTGAGACCAAATGTAGAAAAGGAAACATCTTCGTATAAAAACTAGACAGAATCATTCTCAGAAACTACTTTGTGATGTGTGCGTTCAACTCACGGAGTTTAAGCTTTCATTTCTTAGAGTAGTTTGGAAACACTCTGTCTGTAAAGTCTGCAAGCAGATATTTGGACCTCTTTGAGGCATTCGTTGGAAACGGGATTTCTTCATATAACGCTAGAAAGAAGAATACTGAGTAAGTTCTTTGTGTTGCCTCTATTCAACTCACAGAGGTGAACTGTCCTTTAGACAGAGCAGATGTGAAACCCTCTTTTTGTGATATTTGCAGGTGGAGATTTCAAGCGCTTTTAGGCCAAATGTAGAAAAG
Organism: Homo sapiens; assembly: GCF_000001405.40. NCBI lineage: Eukaryota > Metazoa > Chordata > Mammalia > Primates > Hominidae > Homo > Homo sapiens. The sequence continues at coordinate 34,922,237 of NC_000012.12, forward strand.
GAAATATCTTCGTATAAAAACTAGACAGAATCATTCTCAGAAACTACTTTGTGATGTGTGCGTTCAATTCACAGAGTATAACCTTTCTTTTGATGGAGGAGTTTGGAGACACTGTCTTTGTAAAGTCTGCAAGTGGATATTTGGATCTCTTCGAGGCCTTCGTTGGAAACGGGATTTCCTCATATAATGTTACACAGAAGAATTCTCAGTAACTTATTTGTGGTGTGTGTATTCAACTCACAGAGTTGAACCTTCCTTCAGAAAGAGCAGATTTGAAACACTCTTTTTGTGGAGTTTCCATGTGGAGATTTCAATCGCATTGAGACCAAAGGTAGAAAAGGAAACATCTTCGTATAAAAACTAGACAGAATCATTCACAGAAACTACTTTGTGATGTGTGTGTTCAACTCAAGGAGTTTAACCTTTCTTTTGATGGAGCAGTTTGGAAACACTCTGTCTGTAAAGTCTGCAAGCAGATATTTGGACCTCTTTGAGGCCTTCGTTGGAAACGGGATTTCTTCATATAATGTTTGATAGGAGAAGTCTCAGTAACTTCTTTGTGCTGTGTGTATTCAACTCATAGAGTTGAACTTTCCTTTAGAAGAGCAGATGTTAAACACCCTTTCTGTGGAATTTGCAGCTGGAGATTTCAAGCGCTTTGAGGCCTACGGTAGAAAAGGAAACATCTTCTTATAAAATCTAGACAGAATCATTCACAGAAACTTCTTTTTGATGTGTGTGTTCAGCTCACAGAGTTTAACCTTTCTTTTGATGGAGCAGTTTGGAAACACACTGTTTGTAATGTCTGCAAGTGGAGGTTTGGACCTCTTTGAGGCCTTCGTTGGAAACGGGATTTCTTCATGTAATGTTCGACAGAAGAATTCTCAGTAACTTATTTGTGGTGTGTGTATTCAACTCACAGAGTTGAACCTTCCTTCAGAAAGAGCAGATTTGAAACACCCTATTTGTGCAGTTTCCATTTAGAGATTTCAATCGCTTTGAGACCAAAGGTAGAAAAGGAAACATCTTCGTATAAAAACTAGACAGAATCATTCACAGAAACTACTTTGTGATGTGTGCGTTCAACTCAAGGAGTTTAAGCTTTCTTTTCATAGAGTAGTTTGGAAACACTCTGTCTGTAAAGTCTGCAAGCAGATATTTGACCTCTTTGAGGCCTTCGTTGGAAACGGGATTTCTTCACATAATGTTTGATAGGAGAAGTCTCAGTAACTTCTTTGTGTTGTGTGTATTCAACTCATAGAGTTGAACTTTCCTTTAGAAGAGCAGATGTTAAACACCCTTTTTGTGGAATTTGCAGCTGGAGATTTCAAGCGCTTTGAGGCCTACGGTAGAAAAGGAAACATCTTCTTATAAAATCTAGACAGAATCATTCACAGAAACTTCTTTTTGATGTGTGTGTTCAGCTCACAGAGTTTAACCTTTCTTTTGATGGAGCAGTTGGGAAACACACTGTTTGTAATGTCTGCAAGTGGATATTTGGACCTCTTTGAGGCCTTCGTTGGAAACGGGATTTCTTCCTGTAATGTTCGACAGAAGAATTCTCAGTAACTTATTTGTGGTGTGTGTATTCAACTCACAGAGTTGAACCTTCCTTTAGACAGAGCAGATTTGAAACACCCTATTTGTGCAGTTTCCAGTTGGAGATTTCAATCGCTTTGAGACCAAATGTAGAAAAGGAAACATCTTCGTATAAAAACTAGACAGAATCATTCTCAGAAACTACTTTGTGATGTGTGCGTTCAACTCAAGGAGTTTAAGCTTTCTTTTCATAGAGTAGTTTGGAAACACTCTGTCTGTAAAGTCTGCAAGCAGATATTTGGACCTCTTTGAGGCCTTCGTTGGAAACGGGATTTCTTCAGAGAACGCTAGAAAGAAGAATACTGGGTAAGTTCTTTGTGTTGCCTCTATTCAACTCACAGAGGTGAACTGTCCTTTAGACAGAGCAGATGTGAAACCCTCTTTTTGTGATATTTGCAGGTGGAGATTTCAAGCGCTTTTAGGCCAAATGTAGAAAAGGAAATATCTTCGTATAAAAACTAGACAGAATCATTCTCAGAAACTACTTTGTGATGTGTGCGTTCAATTCACAGAGTATAACCTTTCTTTTGATGGAGGAGTTTGGAGACACTGTCTTTGTAAAGTCTGCAAGTGGATATTTGGACCTCTTTGAGGCCTTCGTTGGAAACGGGATTTCCTCATATAATGTTACACAGAAGAATTCTCAGTAACTTATTTGTGGTGTCTGTATTCAACTCACAGAGTTGAACCTTCCTTCAGAGAGAGCAGATTTGAAACACTCTTTTGGTGGAGTTTCCATGTGGAGATTTCAATCGCTTTGAGACCAAAGGTAGAAAAGGAAACATCTTCGTATAAAAACTAGACAGAATCATTCACAGAAACTACTTTGTGATGTGTGTGTTCAACTCAAGGAGTTTAACCTTTCTTTTGATGGAGCAGTTTGGAAACACTCTGTCTGTAAAGTCTGCAAGCAGATATTTGGACCTCTTTGAGGCCTTCGTTGGAAACGGGATTTCTTCATATAATGTTTGATAGGAGAAGTCTCAGTAACTTCTTTGTTCTGTGTGTATTCAACTCATAGAGTTGAACTTTCCTTTAGAAGAGCAGATGTTAAACACCCTTTTTGTGGAATTTGCAGCTGGAGATTTCAAGCGCTTTGAGGCCTATGGTAGAAAAGGAAACATCTTCTTATAATATCTAGACAGAATCATTCACAGAAACTTCTTTTTGATGTGTGTGTTCAGCTCACAGAGTTTAACCTTTCTTTTGATGGAGCAGTTTGGAAACACTCTGTTTGTAATGTCTGCAAGTGGATATTTGGACCTCTTTGAGGCCTTCGTTGGAAACGGGATTTCGTCATGTAATGTTCGACAGAAGAATTCTCAGTAACTTCTTTGTGGTGTGTGTATTCAACTCACAGAGTTGAACCTTCCTTTAGACAGAGCAGATTTGAAACTCCCTATTTGTGCAGTTTCCAGTTGGAGATTTCAATCGCTTTGAGACCAAATGTAGAAAAGGAAACATCTTCGTATAAAAACTAGACAGAATCATTCTCACAAACTACTTTGTGATGTGAGCGTTCAACTCAAGGAGTTTAAGCTTTCTTTTCATAGATTAGTTTGGAAACACTGTCTGTAAAGTCTGCAAGCAGATATTTGGACCTCTTTGGGGCCTTCGTTGGAAACGGGATTTCTTCATAGAACGCTAGAAAGAAGAATACTGAGTAAGTTCTTTGTGTTGCCTCTATTCAACTCACAGAGGTGAACTGTCCTTTAGACAGAGCAGATGTGAAACCCTCTTTTTGTGATATTTGCACGTGGAGATTTCAAGCGCTTTTAGGCCAAATGTAGAAAAGGAAATATCTTCGTATAAAAACTAGACAGAATCATTCTCAGAAACTACTTTGTGATGTGTGCGTTCAATTCACAGAGTATAACCTTTCTTTTGATGGAGGAGTTTGGAGACACTGTCTTTGTAAAGTCTGCAAGTGGATATTTGGACCTCTTTGAGGCCTTCGTTGGAAACGGGATTTCCTCATATAATGTTACCCAGAAGAATTCTCAGTAACTTATTTGTGGTGTGTGTATTCAACTCACAGAGTTGAACCTTCCTTCAGAAAGAGCAGATTTGAAACACTCTTTTTGTGGAGTTTCCATGTGGAGATTTCAATCGCATTGAGACCAAAGGTAGAAAAGGAAACATCTTCGTATAAAAACTAGACAGAATCATTCACAGAAACTACTTTGTGATGTGTGTGTTCAACTCAAGGAGTTTAACCTTTCTTTTGATGGAGCAGTTTGGAAACACTCTGTCTGTAAAGTCTGCAAGTAGATATTTGGACCTCTTTGAGGCCTTCGTTGGAAACGGGATTTCTTCATATAATGTTTGATAGGAGAAGTCTCAGTAACTTCTTTGTGCTGTGTGTATTCAACTCATAGAGTTGAACTTTCCTTTAGAAGAGCAGATGTTAAACACCCTTTTTGTGGAATTTGCAGCTGGAGATTTCAAGCGCTTTGAGGCCTACGGTAGAAAAGGAAACATCTTCTTATAAAATCTAGACAGAATCATTCACAGAAACTTCTTTTTGATGTGTGTGTTCAGCTCACAGAGTTTAACCTTTCTTTTGATGGAGCAGTTTGGAAACACTCTGTTTGTAATGTCTGCAAGTGGATATTTGGACCTCTTTGAGGCCTTCGTTGGAAACGGGATTTCTTCATGTAATGTTCGACAGAAGAATTCTCAGTAACTTATTTGTGGTGTGTGTATTCAACTCACAGAGTTGAACCTTCCTTTAGACAGAGCAGATTTGAAACACCCTATTTGTGCAGTTTCCAGTTGGAGATTTCAATCGCTTTGAGACCAAATGTAGAAAAGGAAACATCTTCGTATAAAAACTAGACAGAATAATTCTCAGAAACTACTTTCTGATGTGTGCGTTCAACTCAAGGAGTTTAAGCTTTCTTTTCATAGACTAGTTTGGAAACACTCTGTCTGTAAAGTCTGCAAGCAGATATTTGGACCTCTTTGGGGACTTCGTTAGAAACGGGATTTCTTCATAGAACGCTAGAAAGAAGAATACTGAGTAAGTTCTTTGTGTTGCCTCTATTCAACTCACAGAGGTGAACTGTCCTTTAGACAGAGCAGATGTGAAACCCTGTTTTTGTGATATTTGCAGGTGGAGATTTCAAGCGCTTTTAGGCCAAATGTAGAAAAGGAAATATCTTCATATAAAAACTAGACAGAATCATTCTCAGAAACTACTTTGTGATGTGTGCGTTCAATTCACAGAGTATAACCTTTCTTTTGATGGAGGAGTTTGGAGACACTGTCTTTGTAAAGTCTGCAAGCAGATATTTGGACCTCTTTGGGGCCTACGTTGGAAACGGGATTTCTTCATAGAATGCTAGAAAGAAGAATACTGAGTAAGTTCTTTGTGTTGCCTCTATTCAACACACAGAGGTGAACTGTCCTTTAGACAGAGCAGATGTGAAACCCTCTTTTTGTGATATTTGCAGGTGGAGATTTCAAGCGCTTTTAGGCCAAATGTAGAAAAGGAAATATCTTCGTATAAAAACTAGACAGAATCGTTCTCAGAATCTACTTTGTGATGTGTGCGTTCAATTCACAGAGTATAACCTTTCTTTTGATGGAGGAGTTTGGAGACACTGTCTTTGTAAAGTCTGCAAGTGGATATTTGGACCTCTTTGAGGCCTTCGTTGGAAACGGGATTTCCTCATATAATGTTACACAGAAGAATTCTCAGAAACTTATTTGTGGTGTGTGTATTCAACTCACAGAGTTGAACCTTCCTTCAGAAACAGCAGATTTGAAACACTCTTTTTGTGGAGTTTCCATGTGGAGATTTCAATCGCTTTGAGACCAAAGGTAGAAAAGGAAACATCTTCTTATAAAAACTAGACAGAATCATTCACAAAAACTACTTTGTGATGTGTGTGTTCAACTCAAGGAGTTTAACCTTTCTTTTGATGGAGCAGATTGGAAACACTCTGTCTGTAAAGTCTGCAAGCAGATATTTGGACCTCTTTGAGGCCTTCGTTGGAAACGGGATTTCTTCATATAATGTTTGATAGGAGAAGTCTCAGTAACTTCTTTGTCCTGTGTGTATTCAACGCATAGAGTTGAACTTTCCTTTAGAAGAGCAGATGTAAAACACCCTTTTTGTGGAATTTGCAGGTGGAGATTTCAAGCGCTTTGAGGCCTACGGTAGAAAAGGAAACATCTTCTTACAAAATCTAGACAGAATCATTCACAGAAACTTCTTTTTGATGTGTGTGTTCAGCTCACAGAGTTTAACCTTTCTTTTGATGGAGCAGTTTGGAAACACTCTGTTTGTAATGTCTGCAAGTGGATATTTGGACCTCTTTGAGGCCTTCGTTGGAAACGGGATTTCTTCATATAATGTTTGATAGGAGAAGTCTCAGTAACTTCTTTGTGCTGTGTGTATTCAACTCATAGAGTTGAACTTTCCTTTAGAAGAGCAGATGTTAAACACCCTTTTTGTGGAATTTGCAGCTGGAGATTACAAGCGCTTTGAGGCCTACGGTAGAAAAGGAAACATCTTCTTATAAAATCTAGACAGAATCATTCACAGAAACTTCTTTTTGATGTGTGTGTTCAGCTCACAGAGTTTAACCTTTCTTTTGATGGAGCAGTTGGGAAACACACTGTTTGTAATGTCTGCAAGTGGATATTTGGACCTCTTTGAGGCCTTCGTTGGAAACGGGATTTCTTCCTGTAATGTTCGACAGAAGAATTCTCAGTAACTTATTTGTGGTGTGTGTATTCAACTCACAGAGTTGAACCTTCCTTTAGACAGAGCAGATTTGAAACACCCTATTTGTGCAGTTTCCAGTTGGAGATTTCAATCGCTTTGGGACCAAATGTAGAAAAGGAAACATCTTCGTATAAAAACTAGACAGAATCATTCTCAGAAACTACTTTGTGATGTGTGCGTTCAACTCAAGGAGTTTAAGCTTTCTTTTCATAGAGTAGTTTGGAAACACTCTGTCTGTAAAGTCTGCAAGCAGATATTTGGACCTCTTCGAGGCCTTCGTTGGAAACGGGATTTCTTCATAGAACGCTAGAAAGAAGAATACTGAGTAAGTTCTTTGTGTTGCCTCTATTCAACTCACAGAGGTGAACTGTCCTTTAGACAGAGCAGATGTGAAACCCTGTTTTTGTGATATTTGCATGTGGAGATTTCAAGCGCTTTTAGGCCAAATGTAGAAAAGGAAATATCTTCGTATAAAAACTAGACACAATCATTCTCAGAAACTACTTTGTGATGTGTGCGTTCAATTCACAGAGTATAACCTTTCTTTTGATGGAGGAGTTTGGAGACACTGTCTTTGTAAAGTCTGCAAGTGGATATTTGGATCTCTTTGAGGCCTTCGTTGGAAACGGGATTTCCTCATATAATGTTACACAGAAGAATTCTCAGTAACTTATTTGTGGTGTGTGTATTCAACTCACAGAGTTGAACCTTCCTTCAGAAAGAGCAGATTTGTAACACTCTTTTTGTGGAGTTTCCATGTGGAGATTTCAATCGCTTTGAGACCAAAGGTAGAAAAGGAAACATCTTCGTATAAAAACTAGACAGAATCATTCACAGAAACTACTTTGTGATGTGTGTGTTCAACTCAAGGAGTTTAACCTTTCTTTTGATGGAGCAGTATGGAAACACTCTGTCGTGTAAAGTCTGCAAGCAGATATTTGGACCTCTTTGAGGCCTTCGTTGGAAACGGGATTTCTTCATATAATGTTTGATAGGAGAAGTCTCAGTAACTTCTTTGTGCTGTGTGTATTCAACTCATAGAGTTGAACTTTCCTTTAGAAGAGCAGATGTTAAACACCCTTTTTGTGGAATTTGCAGCTGGAGATTTCAAGCGCTTTGAGGCCTCCGGTAGAAAAGGAAACATCTTCTTATAAAATCTAGACAGAATCATTCACAGAAACTTCTTTTCGATGTGTGTGTTCAGCTCACAGAGTTTAACCTTTCTTTTGATGGAGCAGTTTGGAAACACTCTGTTTGTAATGTCTGCAAGTGGATATTTGGACCTCTTTGAGGCCTTCGTTGGAAACGGGATTTCTTCAAGTAATGGTCGACAGAAGAATTCTCAGTAACTTATTTGTGGTGTGTGTATTCAACTCACAGAGTTGAACCTTCCTTTAGACAGAGCAGATTTGAAACACCCTATTTGTGCAGTTTCCAGTTGGAGATTTCAATCGCTTTGAGACCAAATGTAGAAAAGGAAACATCTTCGTATAAAAACTAGACAGAATCATTCTCAGAAACTACTTTGTGATGTGTGCGTTCAACTCAAGGAGTTTAAGCTTTCTTTTCATAGAGTAGTTTGGAAACACTCTGTCTGTAAAATCTGCAAGCAGATATTTGGACCTCTTTGAGGCCTTCGTTGGAAACGGGATTTCTTCATATAACGCTGGAAAGAAGAATACTGAGTAAGTTCTTTGTGTTGCCTCTATTCAACTCACAGAGGTGAACTGTCCTTCAGACAGAGCAGATGTGAAACCCTCTTTTTGTGATATTTGCAGGTGGAGATTTCAAGCGCTTTTAGGCCAAATGTAGAAAAGGAAATATCTTCGTATAAAAACTAGACAGAATCATTCTCAGAAACTACTTTGTGATGTGTGCGTTCAATTCACAGAGTATAACCTTTCTTTTGATGGAGGAGTTTGGAGACACTGTCTTTGTAAAGTCTGCAAGTGGATATTTGGACCTCTTTGAGGCCTTCGTTGGAAACGGGATTTCCTCATATAATGTTACACAGAAGAATTCTCAGTAACTTATTTGTGGTGTGTGTATTCAACTCACAGAGATGAACCTTCCTTCAGAAAGAGCAGATTTGAAACACTCTTTTTGTGGAGTTTCCATGTGGAGATTTCAATCGCTTTGAGACCAAAGGTAGAAAAGGAAACATCTTCGTATAAAAACTAGACAGAATCATTCACAGAAACTACTTTGTGATGTGTGTGTTCAACTCAAGGAGTTTAAACTTCCTTTTGATGGAGCAGTTTGGAAACACTCTGTCTGTAAAGTCTGCAAGCAGATATTTGGACCTCTTTGAGGCCTTCGTTGGAAACGGGATTTCTTCATATAATGTTTGATAGGAGAAGTCTCAGTAACTTCTTTGTGCTGTGTGTATTCAACTCATAGAGTTGAACTTTCCTTTAGAAGAGCAGATGTTAAACACCCTTTTTGTGGAATTTGCAGCTGGAGATTTCAAGCGCTTTGAGGCCTACGGTAGAAAAGGAAACATCTTCTTATAAAATCTAGACAGAATCATTCACAGAAACTTCTTTTTGATGTGTGTGTTCAGCTCACAGAGTTTAACCTTTCTTTTGATGGAGCAGTTTGGAAACACACTGTTTGTAATGTCTGGAAGTGGATATTTGGACCTCTTTGAGGCCTTCGTTGGAAACGGGATTTCTTCAAGTAATGTTCGACAGAAGAATTCTCAGTAACTTATTTGTGGTGTGTGTATTCAACTCACAGAGTTGAACCTTCCTTTAGACAGAGCAGATTTGAAACACCCTATTTGTGCAGTTTCCAGTTGGAGATTTCAATCGCTTTGAGACCAAATGTAGAAAAGGAAACATCTTCGTATAAAAACTAGACAGAATCATTCTCAGAAACTACTTTGTGATGTGTGCGTTCAACTCAAGGAGTTTAAGCTTTCTTTTCATAGAGTAGTTTGGAAACACTCTGTCTGTAAAGTCTGCAAGCAGATATTTGACCTCTTTGAGGCCTTCGTTGGAAACGGGATTTCTTCATAGAACGCTAGAAAGAAGAATACTGAGTAAGTTCTTTGTGTTGCCTCTATTCAACTCACAGAGGTGAACTGTCCTTTAGACAGAGCAGATGTGAAACCCTCTTTTTGTGATATTTGCAGGTGGAGATTTCAAGCGCTTTTAGGCCAAATGTAGAAAAGGAAATATCTTCGTATAAAAACTAGACAGAATCATTCTCAGAAACTACTTTGTGATGTGTGCGTTCAATTCACAGAGTATAACCTTTCTTTTGATGGAGGAGTTTGGAGACACTGTCTTTGTAAAGTCTGCAAGTAGATATTTGGACCTCTTTGAGGCCTTCGTTGGAAACGGGATTTCCTCATATAATGTTACACAGAAGAATTCTCAGTAACTTATTCGTGGTGTCTGTATTCAACTCACAGAGTTGAACCTTCCTTCAGAAAGAGCAGATTTGAAACACTCTTTTGGTGGAGTTTCCATGTGGAGATTTCAATCGCTTTGAGACCAAAGGTAGAAAAGGAAACATCTTCGTATAAAAACTAGACAGAATCATTCACAGAAACTACTTTGTGATGTGTGTGTTCAACTCAAGGAGTTTAACCTTTCTTTTGATGGAGCAGTTTGGAAACACTCTGTCTGTAAAGTCTGCAAGCAGATATTTGGACCTCTTTGAGGCCTTCGTTGAAAACGGGATTTCTTCATATAATGTTTGATAGGAGAATTCTCAGTAACTTATTTGTGGTGTGTGTATTCAACTTACGGATTTGAACCTTCCTTCAGAAAGAGCAGGTTTGAAACACTCTTTTTGTGGAGTTTCCATTTGGAGATTTCAATCGCTTTGAGACCAAAGGTAGAAAAGGAAACATCTTCGTATAAAAACTAGACAGGATCATTCAAAGAAACTAATTTGTTATGTGTGTGTTCAGCTCACAGAGTTTAACCTTTCTTTTGATGGAGCAGTTTGGAAACACTCCGTTTGACAAGTCTGCAAGTGGATATTTGGACCTCTTTGAGGCCTTCGTTGGAAACGGGATTTCTTCATATAATGTTAAACAGAAGAATTCTCAGTAACTTATTTGTGGTGTGTGTATTCAACTCACAGAGTTGAACCTTCCTTTAGACAGAGCAGATTTGAAACACCCTATTTGTGCAGTTCCCAGTTGGAGATTTCAATCGCTTTGAGACCAAATGTAGAAAAGGAAACATCTTCGTATAAAAACTAGACAGAATCATTCTCATAAACTACTTTGTGATGTGTGCGTTCAACTCAAGGAGTTTAAGCTTTCTTTTCATAGAGTAGTTTGGAAACACTCTGTCTGTAAAGTCTGCAAGCAGATATTTGGACCTCTTTGAGGCCTTCGTTGGAAACGGGATTTCTTCATAGAACGCTAGAAAGAAGAATACTGAGTAAGTTCTTTGTGTTGCCTCTATTCAACTCACAGAGGTGAACTGTCCTTTAGACAGAGCAGATGTGAAACCCTCTTTTTGTGATATTTGCAGGTGGAGATTTCAAGCGCTTTTAGGCCAAATGTAGAAAAGGAAATATCTTCGTAGAAAAACTAGACAGAATCATTCTCAGAAACTACTTTGTGATGTGTGCGTTCATTTCACAGAGTATAACCTTTCTTTTGATGGAGGAGTTTGGAGACACTGTGTTTCTAAAGTCTGCAAGTGGATATTTGGACCTCTTTGAGGCCTTCGTTGGAAACGGGATTTCCTCATATAATGTTACACAGAAACAATTCTCAGTAACTTATTTGTGGTGTGTGTATTCAACTCACAGAGTTGAACCTTCCTTCAGAAAGAGCAGATTTGAAACACTCTTTTTGTGGAGTTTCCATGTGGAGATTTCAATCGCTTTGAGACCAAAGGTAGAAAAGGAAACATCTTCATATAAAAACTAGACAGAATCATTCACAGAAACTACTTTGTGATGTGTGTGTTCAACTCAAGGAGTTTAACCTTTCTTTTGATGGAGCAGTTTGGAAACACTCTGTCTGTAAAGTCTGCAAGCAGATATTTGGACCTCTTTGAGGCCTTCGTTGGAAACGGGATTTCTTCATATAATGTTTGATAGGAGAAGTCTCAGTAACTTCTTTGTGCTGTGTGTATTCAACTCATAGAGTTGAACTTTCCTTTAGAAGAGCAGATGTTAAACACCCTTTTTGTGGAATTTGCAGCTGGAGATTTCAAGCGCTTTGAGGCCTACGGTAGAAAAGGAAACATCTTCTTATAAAATCTAGACAGAATCATTCACAGAAACTTCTTTTCGATGTGTGTGTTCAGCTCACAGAGTTTAACCTTTCTTTTGATGGAGCAGTTTGGAAACACTCTGTTTGTAATGTCTGCAAGTGGATATTTGGACCTCTTTGAGGCCTTCGTTGGAAACGGGATTTCTTCAAGTAATGTTCGACAGAAGAATTCTCAGTAACTTATTTGTGGTGTGTGTATTCAACTCACAGAGTTGAACCTTCCTTTAGACAGAGCAGATTTGAAACACCCTATTTGTGCAGTTTCCAGTTGGAGATTTCAATCGCTTTGAGACCAAATGTAGAAAAGGAAACATCTTCGTATAAAAACTAGACAGAATCATTCTCAGAAACTATTTTTTGATGTGTGCGTTCAACTCAAGGAGCTTAAGCTTTCTTTTCATAGAGTAGTTTGGAAACACTCTGTCTGTAAAGTCTGCAAGCAGATATTTGGACCTCTTTGAGGTCTTCGTTGGAAACGGGATTTCTTCATATAACGCTAGAAAGAAGAATACTGAGTAAGTTCTTTGTGTTGCCTCTATTCAACTCACAGAGGTGAACTGTCCTTTAGACAGAGCAGATGTGAAACCCTCTTTTTGTGATATTTGCAGGTGGAGATTTCAAGCGCTTTTAGGCCAAATGTAGAAAAGGAAATATCTTCGTATAAAAACTAGACAGAATCATTCTCAGAAACTACTTTGTGATGTGTGCGTTCAATTCACAGAGTATAACCTTTCTTTTGATGGAGGAGTTTGGAGACACTGTCTTTGTAAAGTCTGCAAGTGGATATTTGGACCTCTTTGAGGCCTTCGTTGGAAACGGGATTTCCTCATATAATGTTACACAGAAGAATTGTCAGTAACTTATTTGTGGTGTGTGTATTCAACTCACAGAGTTGAACCTTCCTTCAGAAAGAGCAGATTTGAAACACTCTTTTTGTGGAGTTTCCATGTGGAGATTTCAATCGCTTTGAGACCAAAGGTAGAAAAGGAAACATCTTCGTATAAAAACTAGACAGAATCATTCACAGAAACTACTTTATGATGTGTGTGTTCAACTCAAGGAGTTTAACCTTTCTTTTGATGGAGCAGTTTGGAAACACTCTGTCTGTAAAGTCTGCAAGCAGATATTTGGACCTCTTTGAGGCCTTCGTTGGAAACGGGATTTCTTCATATAATGTTTGATAGGAGAAGTCTCAGTAACTTCTTTGTGCTGTGTGTATTCAACTCATAGAGTTGAACTTTCCTTTAGAAGAGCAGATGTTAAACACCCTTTTTGTGGAATTTGCAGCTGGAGATTTCAAGCGCTTTGAGGCCTACGGTAGAAAAGGAAGCATCTTCTTATAAAATCTAGACAGAATCATTCACAGAAACTTCTTTTTGATGTGTGTGTTCAGCTCACAGAGTTTAACCTTTCTTTTGATGGAGCAGTTTGGAAACACTCTGTAATGTCTGCAAGTGGATATTTGGACCTCTTTGAGGCCTTCGTTGGAAACGGGATTTCTTCATGTAATGTTCGACAGAAGAATTTTCAGTAACTTATTTGTGGTGTGTGTATTCAACTCACAGGGTTGAACCTTCCTTTAGACAGAGCAGATTTGAAACACCCTATTTGTGCAGTTTCCAGTTGGAGATTTCAATCGCTTTGAGACCAAATGTAGAAAAGGAAACATCTTCGTATAAAAACTAGACAGAATCATTCTCAGAAACTACTTTGTGATGTGTGCGTTCAACTCAAGGAGTTTAAGCTTTCTTTTCATAGAGTAGTTTGGAAACACTCTGTAAAGTCTGCAAGCAGATATTTGGACCTCCTTGAGGCCTTCGTTGGAAACGGGATTTCTTCATAGAACGCTAGAAAGAAGAATACTGAGTAAGTTCTTTGTGTTGCCTCTATTCAACTCACAGAGGTGAACTGTCCTTTAGACAGAGCAGATGTGAAACCCTCTTTTTGTGATATTTGCAGGTGGAGATTTCAAGCGCTTTTAGGCCAAATGTAGAAAAGGAAATATCTTCGTATAAAAACTAGACAGAATCATTCTCAGAAACTACTTTGTGATGTGTGCGTTCAATTCACAGAGTATAACCTTTCTTTTGATGGAGGAGTTTGGAGACACTGTCTTTGTAAAGTCTGCAAGTGGATATTTGGACCTCTTTGAGGCCTTCGTTGGAAACGGGATTTCCTCATATAATGTTACACAGAAGAATTCTCAGTAACTTATTTGTGGTGTGTGTATTCAACTCACAGAGATGAACCTTCCTTCAGAAAGAGCAGATTTGAAACACTCTTTTTGTGGAGTTTCCATGTGGAGATTTCAATCGCTTTGAGACCAAAGGTAGAAAAGGAAACATCTTCGTATAAAAACTAGACAGAATCATTCACAGAAACTACTTTGTGATGTGTGTGTTCAACTCAAGGAGTTTAACCTTTCTTTTGATGGAGCTGTTGGGAAAAACTCTGTCTGTAAAGTCTGCAAGCAGATATTTGGACCACTTTGAGGCCTTCGTTGGAAACGGGATTTCTTCATATAATGTTTGATAGGAGAAGTCTCAGTAACTTCTTTCTGCTGTGTGTATTCAACGCATAGAGTTGAACTTTCCTTTAGAAGAGCAGATGTTAAACACCCTTTTTGTGGAATTTGCAGCTGGAGATTTCAAGCGCTTTGAGGCCTACGGTAGAAAAGGAAACATCTTCTTAGAAAATCTAGACAGAATCATTCACAGAAACTTCTTTTTGATGTGTGTGTTCAGCTCACAGAGTTTAACCTTTCTTTTGATGGAGCAGTTTGGAAACACTCTGTTTGTAATGTCTGCAAGTGGATATTTGGACCTCTTTGAGGCCTTCGTTGGAAACGGGATTTCTTCATGTAATGTTCGACAGAAGAATTCTCAGTAACTTATTTGTGGTGTGTGTATTCAACTCACAGAGTTGAACCTTCCTTTAGACAGAGCAGATTTGAAACACCCTATTTGTGCAGTTTCCAGTTGGAGATTTCAATCGCTTTGAGGCCAATCGTAGAAACGGAAATATCTTCGTATAAAAACAAGACAGATAATCATTCTCAGAAACTACTTTGTGATGTGTGTGTTCAACTCACGGAGTTTAAGCTTTCTTTTCATAGAGTAGTTTGGAAACACTCTGTCTGTAAAGTCTGCAAGCAGATATTTGGACCTCTTTGAGGCCTTCGTTGGAGAAGGGATTTCTTCATATAACGCTAGAAAGAAGAATACTCAGTAACTTCTTTGTGTTGCCTCTATTCAACTCACAGAGGTGAACTGTCCTTTAGACAGAGCAGATGTGAAACCCTCTTTTTGTGATATTTGCAGGTGGAGATTTCAAGCGCTTTTAGGCCAAATGTAGAAAAGGAAATATCTTCGTATAAAAAGTAGACAGAATCATTCTCAGAAACTACTTTGTGATGTGTGCGTTCAATTCACAGAGTATAACCTTTCTTTTGATGGAGGAGTTTGGAGACACTGTCTTTGTAAAGTCTGCAAGTGGATATTTGGACCTCTTTGAGGCCTTCGTTGGAAACGGGATTTCCTCATATAATGTTACACAGAAGAATGCTCAGTAACTTATTTGTGGTGTGTGTATTCAACTCACAGAGTTGAACCTTCCTTCAGAAAGAGCAGATTTCAAACACTCTTTTTGTGGAGTTTCCATGTGGAGATTTCAATCGCTTTGAGACCAAAGGTAGAAAAGGAAACATCTTCGTATAAAAACGAGACAGAATCATTCACAGAAACTACTTTGTGATGTGCGTGTTCAGCTCACAGAGTTTAACCTTTCTTTTGATGGTGCAGTTTGGAAACACTCTGTTTGACAAGTCTGCAAGTGGATATTTGGACCTCTTTGAGGCCTTCGTTGGAAACGGGATTTCTTCATATAATGTTAGACAGAAGAAGTCTCAGTAACTTCTTTGTGCTGTGTGTATTCAACTCACAGAGCTGAACTTTACTTTAGACAGAGCAGATGTTAAACACACTTTTTGTGGAATTTGCAGCTGGAGATTTCTAGCGCTTTGAGGCCTATGGTAGAAAAGGAAACATCTTATAAAATCTAGACAGAATCATTCACAGAAACTTCTTTTTGATGTGTGTGTTTATCTCACAGACTTTAACCTTTCTTTTGATGGAGCAGTTTGCAAACACTGTGTTTGCCATGTCGGCAAGTGGATATTTGGATCTCTTTCAGGCCTTCGTTGGAAACGGGATTTCTTCATGTAATGTTCGACAGAAGAATTCTCAGTAACTTATTTGTGGTGTGTGTATTCAACTCACAGAGTGGAACCTTCCTTTAGACAGAGCAGATTTGAAACACCCTATTTGTGCAGTTTCCAGTTGGAGATTTGAATCGCTTTGAGGCCAATCGTAGAAACGGAAATATCTTCGTATAAAAACAAGACAGAATCATTCTCAGAAACTACTTTGTGATGTGTGCGTTCAACTCACGGAGTTTAAGCTTTCTTTTCATAGAGTAGTTTGGAAACACTCTGTCTGTAAAGTCTGCAAGCAGATATTTGGACCTATTTGAGCCCTTCGTTGGAAAAGGGATTTCTTCATATAACGCTAGAAAGAAGAATACTCAGTAACTTCTTTGTGTTGCCTCTATTCAACTCACAGAGGTGAACTGTCCTTTAGACAGAGCAGATGTGAAACCCTCTTTTTGTGATATTTGCAGGTGGAGATTTCAAGCGCTTTTAGGCCAAATGTAGAAAAGGAAATATCTTCGTATAAAAACTAGACAGAATCATTCTCAGAAACTACTTTGTGATGTGTGCGTTCAATTCACAGAGTATAACCTTTCTTTTGATGGAGGAGTTTCGAGACACTGTCTTTGTAAAGTCTGCAAGTGGATATTTGGACCTCTTTGAGGCCTTCGATGGAAACGGGATTTCCTCGATATAATGTTACACAGAAGAATTCTCAGTAACTTATTTGTGGTGTGTGTATTCAACTCACAGAGTTGAACCTTCCTTTAGACAGAGCAGATTTGAAACACCCTATTTGTGCAGTTTCCAGTTGGAGATTTCAATCGCTTTGAGGCCAATCGTAGAAACGGAAATATCTTCGTATAAATACAAGACAGAATCATTCTCAGAAACTACTTTGTGATGTGTGCGTTCAACTCACGGAGTTTAAGCTTTCTTTTCATAGAGTAGTTTGGAAACACTCTGTCTGTAAAGTCTGCAAGCAGATATTTGGACCTCTTTGAGGCCTTCGTTGGAAACGGGATTTCTTCATATAACGCTAGAAAGAAGAATACTGAGTAAGTTCTTTGTGTTGCCTCTATTCAACTCACAGAGGTGAACTGTCCTTTAGACAGAGCAGATGTGAAACCCTCTTTTTGTGATATTTGCAGGTGGAGATTTCAAGCGCTTTTAGGCCAAATGTAGAAAAGGAAATATCTTCGTATAAAAACTAGACAGAATCATTCTCAGAAACTACTTTGTGATGTGTGCGTTCAATTCACAGAGTATAACCTTTCTTTTGATGGAGGAGTTTGGAGACACTGTCTTTGTAAAGTCTGCAAGTGGATATTTGGACCTCTTTGAGGCCTTTGTTGGAAACGGGATTTCCTCATATAATGTTACACAGGGAGAATTCTCAGTAACTTATTTGTGGTGTGTGTATTCAACTCACAGAGTTGAACCTTCCTTCAGAAAGAGCAGATTTGAAACACTCTTTTTTGTGGAGTTTCCATGTGGAGATTTCAATCGCTTTGAGACCAAAGGTAGAAAAGGAAACATCTTCGTATAAAAACTAGACAGAATCATTCACAGAAACTACTTTGTGATGTGTGTGTTCAACTCAAGGAGGTTAACCTTTCTTTTGATGGAGCAGTTTGGAAACACTCTGTCTGTAAAGTCTGCAAGCAGATATTTGGACCTCTTTGAGGCCTTCGTTGGAAACGGGATTTCTTCATATAATGTTTGATAGGAGAAGTCTCAGTAACTTCTTTGTGCTGTGTGTATTCAACTCATAGAGTTGAACTTTCCTTTAGAAGAGCAGATGTTAAACACCCTTTTTGTGGAATTTGCAGCTGGAAATTTCAAGCGCTTTGAGGCCTACGGTAGAAAAGGAAACATCTTCTTATAAAATCTAGACAGAATCACTCACAGAAACTTCTTTTTGATGTGTGTGTTCAGCTCACAGAGTTTAACCTTTCTTTTGATGGAGCAGTTTGGAAACACACTGTTTGTAATGTCTGCAAGTGGATATTTGGACCTCTTTGAGGCCTTCATTGGAAACGGGATTTCTTCATGTAATGTTCGACAGAAGAAATCTCAGTAACTTATTTGTGGTGTGTGTATTCAACTCACAGAGTTGAACCTTCCTTTAGACAGAGCAGATTTGAAACACCCTATTTGTGCAGTTTGCACTTGGAGATTTCAATCGCTTTGAGACCAAATGTAGAAAAGGAAACATCTTCGTATAAAAACTAGACAGAATCATTCTCAGAAACTACTTTGTGATGTGTGCGTTTAACTCAAGGAGTTTAAGCTTTCTTTTCATAGAGTAGTTTGGAAACACTCTGTCTGTAAAGTCTGCAAGCTGATATTTGGACCTCTTTGAGGCCTTCGTTGGAAACGGGATTTCTTCATAGAACGCTAGAAAGAAGAATACTGAGTAAGTTCTTTGTGTTGCCTCTATTCAACTCACAGAGGTGAACTGTCCTTTAGACAGAGCAGATGTGAAACCCTCTTTTTGTGATATTTGCAGGTGGAGATTTCAAGCGCTTTTAGGCCAAATGTAGAAAAGGAAATATCTTCGTATAAAAACTAGACAGAATCATTCTCAGAAACTACTTTGTGATGAGTGCGTTCAATTCACAGAGTATAACCTTTCTTTTGATGGAGGAGTTTGGAGACACTGTCTTTGTAAAGTCTGCAAGTGGATATTTGGACCTCTTTGAGGCCTTCGTTGGAAACGGGATTTCCTCATATAATGTTACACAGAAGAATTCTCAGTAACTTATTTGTGGTGTGTGTATTCAACTCACAGAGATGAACCTTCCTTCAGAAAGAGCAGATTTGAAACACTCTTTTTGTGGAGTTTCCATGTGGAGATTTCAATCGCTTTGAGACCAAAGGTAGAAAAGGAAACATCTTCGTATAACAACAAGACAGAATCATTCACAGAAACTACTTTGTGATGTGTGTGTTCAACTCAAGGAGTTTAACCTTTCTTTTGATGGAGCAGTTTGGAAACACTCTGTCTGTAAAGTCTGCAAGCAGATATTTGGACCTCTTTGAGGCCTTCGTTGGAAACGGGATTTCTTCATATAATGTTTGATAGGAGAAGTCTCAGTAACTTCTTTGTGCTGTGTGTATTCAACGCATAGAGTTGAACTTTCCTTTAGAAGAGCAGATGTTAAACACCCTTTTTGTGGAATTTGAAGCTGGAGATTTCAAGCGCTTTGAGGCCTACGGTAGAAAAGGAAACATCTTCTTATAAAATCTAGACAGAATCATTCACAGAAACTTCTTTTTGATGTGTGTGTTCAGCTCACAGAGTTTAACCTTTCTTTTGATGGAGCAGTTTGGAAACACTCTGTTTGTAATGTCTGCAAGTGGATATTTGGACCTCTTTGAGGCCTTCGTTGGAAACGGGATTTCTTCAAGTAATGTTCGACACAAGAATTCTCAGTAACTTATTTGTGGTGTGTGTATTCAACTCACAGAGTTGAACCTTCCTTTAGACAGAGCAGATTTGAAACACCCTATTTGTGCAGTTTCCAGTTGGAGATTTCAATCGCTTTGAGACCAAATGTAGAAAAGGAAACATCTTCGTATAAAAACTAGACAGAATCATTCTCAGAAACTACTTTGTGATGTGTGCGTTCAACTCAAGGAGTTTAAGCTTTCTTTTCATAGAGTAGTTTGGAAACACTCTGTCTGTAAAGTCTGCAAGCAGATATTTGGACCTCTTTGGGGCCTTCGTTGGAAACGGGATTTCTTCATAGAACGCTAGAAAGAAGAATACTGAGTAAGTTCTTTGTGTTGCCTCTATTCAACTCACAGAGGTGAACTGTCCTTTAGACAGAGCAGATGTGAAACCCTCTTTTTGTGATATTTGCAGGTGGAGATTTCAAGCGATTTTAGGCCAAATGTAGAAAAGGAAATATCTTCGTATAAAAACTAGACAGAATCATTCTCAGAAACTACTTTGTGATGTGTGCGTTCAATTCACAGAGTATAACCTTTCTTTTGATGGAGGAGTTTGGAGACACTGTCTTTGTAAAGTCTGCAAGTGGATATTTGGATCTCTTTGAGGCCTTCGTTGGAAACGGGATTTCCTCATATAATGTTACACAGAAGAATTCTCAGTAACTTATTTGTGGTGTGTGTATTCAACTCACAGAGTTGAACCTTCCTTCAGAAAGAGCAGATTTGAAACACTCTTTTTGTGGAGTTTCCATGTGGAGATTTCAATCGCATTGAGACCAAAGGTAGAAAAGGAAACATCTTCGTATAAAAACTAGACAGAATCATTCACAGAAACTACTTTGTGATGTGTGTGTTCAACTCAAGGAGTTTAACCTTTCTTTTGATGGAGCAGTTTGGAAACACTCTGTCTGTAAAGTCTGCAAGCAGATATTTGGACCTCTTTGAGGCCTTCGTTGGAAACGGGATTTCTTCATATAATGTTTGATAGGAGAAGTCTCAGTAACTTCTTTGTGCTGTGTGTATTCAACTCATAGAGTTGAACTTTCCTTTAGAAGAGCAGATGTTAAACACCCTTTTTGTGGAATTTGCAGCTGGAGATTTCAAGCGCTTTGAGGCCTACGGTAGAAAAGGAAACATCTTCTTATAAAATCTAGACAGAATCATTCACAGAAACTTCTTTTTGATGTGTGTGTTCAGCTCACAGAGTTTAACCTTTCTTTTGATGGAGCAGTTTGGAAACACTCTGTTTGTAACGTCTGCAAGTGGATATTTGGACCTCTTTGAGGCCTTCGTTGGAAACGGGATTTCTTCAAGTAATGTTCCACAGAAGAATTCTCAGTAACTTATTTGTGGTGTGTGTATTCAACTCACAGAGCTGAACCTTCCTTTAGACAGAGCAGATTTGAAACAGCCTATTTGTGCAGTTTCCAGTTGGAGATTTCAATCGCTTTGAGACCAAATGTAGAAAAGGAAACATCTTCGTATAAAAACTAGACAGAATCATTCTCAGAAACTACTTTGTGATGTGTGCGTTCAACTCAAGGAGTTTAAGCTTTCTTTTCATAGAGTAGTTTGGAAACACTCTGTCTGTAAAGTCTGCAAGCAGATATTTGACCTCTTTGAGGCCTTCGTTGGAAACGGGATTTCTTCATAGAACGCTAGAAAGAAGAATACTGAGTAAGTTCTTTGTGTTGCCTCTATTCAACTCACAGAGGTGAACTGTCCTTTAGACAGAGCAGATGTGAAACCCTCTTTTTGTGATATTTGCAGGTGGAGATTTCAAGCGCTTTTAGGCCAAATGTAGAAAAGGAAATATCTTCGTATAAAAACTAGACAGAATCATTCTCAGAAACTACTTTGTGATGTGTGCGTTGAATTCACAGAGCATAACCTTTCTTTTGATGGAGGAGTTTGGAGACACTGTCTTTGTAAAGTCTGCAAGTGGATATTTGGATCTCTTTGAGGCCTTCGTTGGAAACGGGATTTCCTCATATAATGTTACACAGAAGAATTCTCAGTAACTTATTTGTGGTGTGTGTATTCAACTCACAGAGTTGAACCTTCCTTCAGAAAGAGCAGATTTGAAACACTCTTTTTGTGGAGTTTCCATGTGGAGATTTCAATCGCATTGAGACCAAAGGTAGAAAAGGAAACATCTTCGTATAAAAACTAGACAGAATCATTCACAGAAACTACTTTGTGATGTGTGTGTTCAACTCAAGGAGTTTAACCTTTCTTTTGATGGAGCAGTTTGGAAACACTCTGTCTGTAAAGTCTGCAAGCAGATATTTGGACCTCTTTGAGGCCTTCGTTGGAAACGGGATTTCTTCATATAATGTTTGATAGGAGAAGTCTCAGTAACTTCTTTGTGCTGTGTGTTTTCAACTCATAGAGTTGAACTTTCCTTTAGAAGAGCAGATGTTAAACACCCTTTTTGTGGAATTTGCAGCTGGAGATTTCAAGCGCTTTGAGTCCTACGGTAGAAAAGGAAACATCTTCTTATAAAATCTAGACAGAATCATTCACAGAAACTTGTTTTTGATGTGTGTGTTCAGCTCACAGAGTTTAACCTTTCTTTTGATGGAGCAGTTTGGAAACACTCTGTTTGTAATATCTGCAAGTGAATATTTGGACCTCTTTGAGGCCTTCGTTGGAAACGGGATTTCTTCAAGTAATGTTCGACAGAAGAATTCTCAGTAACTTATTTGTGGTGTGTGTATTCAACTCACAGAGTTGAACCTTCCTTTAGACAGAGCAGATTTGAAACACCGTATTTGTGCAGTTTCCAGTTGGAGATTTCAATCGCTTTGAGACCAAATGTAGAAAAGGAAACATCTTCGTATAAAAACTGGACAGAATCATTCTCAGAAACTACTTTGTGATGTGTGCGTTCAACTCAAGGAGTTTAAGCTTTCTTTTCATAGAGTAGTTTGGAAACACTCTGTCTGTAAAGTGTGCAAGCAGATATTTGGACCTCTTTGGGGCCTTCGTTGGAAACGGGATTTCTTCATAGAACGCTAGAAAGAAGAATACTGAGTAAGTTCTTTGTGTTGCCTCTATTCAACTCACAGAGGTGAACTGTCCTTTAGACAGAGCAGATGTGAAACCCTCTTTTTGTGATATTTGCAGGTGGAGATTTCAAGCGCTTTTAGGCCAAATGTAGAAAAGGAAATATCTTCATATAAAAACTAGACAGAATCATTCTCAGAAACTACTTTGTGATGTGTGCGTTCAATTCACAGAGTATAACCTTTCTTTTGATGGAGGAGTTTGGAGACACTGTCTTTGTAAAGTCTGCAAGTGGATATTTGGACCTCTTTGAGGCCTTCGTTGGAAACGGGATTTCCTCATATAATGTTACCCAGAAGAATTCTCAGTAACTTATTTGTGGTGTGTGTATTCAACTCACAGAGATGAACCTTCCTTCAGAAAGAGCAGATTTGAAACACTCTTTTTGTGGAGTTTCCATGTGGAGATTTCAATCGCTTTGAGACCAAAGGTAGAAAAGGAAACATCTTCGTATAAAAACTAGACAGAATCATTCACAGAAACTACTTTGTGATGTGTGTGTTCAACTGAAGGAGGTTAACCTTCCTTTTGATGGAGCAGTTTGGAAACACTCTGTCTGTAAAGTCTGCAAGCAGATATTTGGACCTCTTTGAGGCCTTCGTTGGAAACGGGATTTATTCATATAATGTTTGATAGGAGCAAGTCTCAGTAACTTCTTTCTGCTGTGTGTATTCAACTCATTGAGTTGAACTTTCCTTTAGAAGAGCAGATGTTAAACACCCTTTTTGTGGAATTTGCAGCTGGAGATTTCAAGCGCTTTGAGGCCTACGGTAGAAAAGGAAACATCTTCTTATAAAATCTAGACAGAATCATTCACAGAAACTTCTTTTTGATGTGTGTGTTCAGCTCACAGAGTTTAACCTTTCTTTTGATGGAGCAGTTTGGAAACACTCTGTTTGTAATGTCTGCAAGTGGATATTTGGACCTCTTTGAGGCCTTCGTTGGAAACGGGATTTCTTCCTGTAATGTTCGACAGAAGAATTCTCAGTAACTTATTTGTGGTGTGTGTATTCAACTCACAGAGTTGAACCTTCCTTTAGACAGAGCAGATTTGAAACACCCTATTTGTGCAGTTTCCAGTTGGAGATTTCAATTGCTTTGAGGCCATAGAAAAGGAAATACATTTGTATAAAAACTTGACAGAATCATTCTCAGAAACTACTTTGTGATGTGTGCGTTCAACTCAAGGAGTTTAAGCTTTCTTTTCATAGAGTAGTTTGGAAACACTCTGTCTGTAAAGTCTGCAAGCAGATATTTGGACCTCTTTGGGGCCTTCGTTGGAAACGGGATTTCTTCATAGAACGCTAGAAAGAAGAATACTGAGGAAGTTCTTTGTGTTGCCTCTATTCAACTCACAAAGGTGAACTGTCCTTTAGACAGAGCAGATGTGAAACCCTCTTTTTGTGATATTTGCAGGTGGAGACTTCAAGCGCTTTTAGGCCAAATGTAGAAAAGGAAATATCTTCGTATAAAAACTAGACAGAATCATTCTCAGAAACTACTTTGTGATGTGTGCGTTCAATTCACAGAGTATAACCTTTCTTTTGATGGAGGAGTTTGGAGACACTGTCTTTGTAAAGTCTGCAAGCAGATATTTGGACCTCTTTGAGGCCTTCGTTGGAAACGGGATTTCTTCATATAATGTTTGATAGGAGAAGTCTCAGTAACTTCTTTGGGCTGTGTGTATTCAACTCATTGAGTTGAACTTTCCTTTAGAAGAGCAGATGTTAAACACCCTTTTTGTGGAATTTGCAGCTGGAGATTTCAAGCACTTTGAGGCCTACAGTAGAAAAGGAAACACCTTCTTATAAAATCTAGACAGAATCATTCACAGAAACTTCTTTTTGATGTGTGTGTTCAGCTCACAGAGTTTAACCTTTCTTTTGATGGAGCAGTTTGGAAACACTCTGTTTGTAATGTCTGCAAGTCGATATTTGGACCTCTTTGAGGCCTTCGTTGGAAACGGGATTTCTTCAAGTAATGTTCGACAGAAGAATTCTCAGTAACTTATTTCTGGTGTGTGTATTCAACTCAAAGAGTTGAACCTTCCTTTAGACAGAGCAGATTTGAAACACCCTATTTGTGCAGTTTCCAGTTGGAGATTTCAATCGCTTTGAGACCAAATGTAGAAAAGGAAACATCTTCGTATAAAAACTAGACAGAATCATTCTCAGAAACTACTTTGTGATGTGTGCGTTCAACTCAAGAAGTTTAAGCTTTCTTTTCATAGAGTAGTTTGGAAACACTCTGTCTGTAAAGTCTGCAAGCAGATATTTGGACCTCTTTGGGGCCTTCGTTGGAAACGTGATTTCTTCATAGAACGCTAGAAAGAAGAATACTGAGTAAGTTCTTTGTGTTGCCTCTACTCAACTCACAGAGGTGAACTGTCCTTTAGACAGAGCAGATGTGAAACCCTCTTTTTGTGATATTTGCAGGTGGAGATTTCAAGCGCTTTTAGGCCAAATGTAGAAAAGGAAATATCTTCGTATAAAAACTAGACAGAATCATTCTCAGAAACTACTTTGTGATGTGTGCGTTCAATTCACAGAGTATAACCTTTCTTTTGATGGAGGAGTTTGGAGACACTGTCTTTGTAAAGTCTGCAAGTGGATATTTGGATCTCTTTGAGGCCTTCGTTGGAAAAGGGATTTCCTCATATAATGTTACACAGAAGAATTCTCAGTAACTTATTTGTGGTGTGTGTATTCAACTCACAGAGTTGAACCTTCCTTCAGAAAGAGCAGATTTGAAACACTCTTTTTGTGGAGTTTCCATGTGGAGATTTCAATCGCTTTGAGACCAAAGGTAGAAAAGGAAACATCTTCGTATAAAAACTAGACAGAATCATTCACAGAAACTACTTTGTGATGTGTGTGTTCAACTCAAGGAGTTTAACCTTTCTTTTGATGGAGCAGTTTGGAAAAACTCTGTCTGTAAAGTCTGCAAGCAGATATTTGGACCTCTTTGAGGCCTTCGTTGGAAACGGGATTTCTTCATATAATGTTTGATAGGAGAAGTCTCAGTAACTTCTTTGTGCTGTGTGTATTCAACTCATAGAGTTGAACTTTCCTTTAGAAGAGCAGATGTTAAACACCCTTTTTGTGGAATTTGCAGCTGGAGATTTCAAGCGCTTTGAGGCCTACGGTAGAAAAGGAAACATCTTCTTATAAAATCTAGACAGAATCATTCACAGAAACTTCTTTTTGATGTGTGTGTTCAGCTCACAGAGTTTAACCTTTCTTTTGATGGAGCAGTTTGGAAACACTCTGTTTGTAATGTCTGCAAGTG
Organism: Homo sapiens; assembly: GCF_000001405.40. NCBI lineage: Eukaryota > Metazoa > Chordata > Mammalia > Primates > Hominidae > Homo > Homo sapiens. The sequence goes on from NC_000012.12 coordinate 34,947,842, forward strand.
GATATTTGGACCTCTTTGAGGCCTTCGTTGGAAACGGGATTTCTTCATGTAATGTTCGACAGAAGAATTCTCAGTAACTTATTTGTGGTGTGTGTATTCAACTCACAGAGTTGAACCTTCCTTTAGACAGAGCAGATTTGAAACACCCTATTTGTGCAGTTTCCAGTTGGAGATTTCAATCGCTTGGAGACCAAATGTAGAAAAGGAAACATCTTCGTATAAAAACTAGACAGAATCATTCTCAGAAACTACTTTGTGATGTGTGCGTTCAACTCAAGGACTTTAAGCTTTCTTTTCATAGAGTAGTTTGGAAACACTCTGTCTGTAAAGTCTGCAAGCAGATATTTGGACCTCTTTGAGGCCTTCGTTGGAAACGGGATTTCTTCATACAACGCTAGAAAGAAGAATACTGAGTAAGTTCTTTGTGTTCCCTCTATTCAACTCACAGAGGTGAACTGTCCTTTAGACAGAGCAGATGTGAAACCCTCTTTTTGTGATATTTGCAGTTGGAGATTTCAAGCGCTTTTAGGCCAAGTGTAGAAAAGGAAATATCTTCGTATAAAAACTAGACAGAATCATTCTCAGAAACTACTTTGTGATGTGTGCGTTCAATTCACAGAGTATAACCTTTCTTTTGATGGAGGAGTTTGGAGACACTGTCTTTGTAAAGTCTGCAAGTGGATATTTGGACCTCTTTGAGGCCTTCGTTGGAAACGGGATTTCCTCATATAATGTTACACAGAAGAATTCTCAGTAACTTATTTGTGGTGTGTGTATTCAACTCACAGAGTTGAACCTTCCTTCAGAAAGAGCAGATTTGAAACACTCTTTTTGTGGAGTTTCCATGTGGAGATTTCAATCGCTTTGAGACCAAAGGTAGAAAAGGAAACATCTTCGTATAAAAACTAGACAGAATCATTCACAGAAACTACTTTGTGATGTGTGTGTTCAACTCAAGGAGTTTAACCTTTCTTTTGATGGAGCAGTTTGGAAAAACTCTGTCTGTAAAGTCTGCAAGCAGATATTTGGACCTCTTTGAGGCCTTCGTTGGAAACAGGGATTTCTTCATATAATGTTTGATAGGAGAAGTCTCAGTAACTTCTTTGTGCTGTGTGTATTCAACTCATAGAGTTGAACTTCCCTTTAGAAGAGCAGATGTTAAACACCGTTTTTGTGGAATTTGCAGCTGGAGATTTCAAGCGCTTTGAGGCCTACAGTAGAAAAGGAAACATCTTCTTATAAAATCTAGACAGAATCATTCACAGAAACTTCTTTTTGATGTGTGTGTTCAGCTCACAGAGTTTAACCTTTCTTTTGATGGAGCAGTTTGGAAACACTCTGTTTGTAATGTCTGCAAGTGGATATTTGGACCTCTTTGAGGCCTTCGTTGGAAACGGGATTTCTTCATGTAATGTTCGACAGAAGAATTCTCAGTAACTTATTTGTGGTGTGTGTATTCAACTCACAGAGTTGAACCTTCCTTTAGACAGAGCCGATTTGAAACACACAATTTGTGCAGTTTCCAGGTGGAGATTTCAATGGCTTTGAGGCCAATCATAGAAACGAAAATATCTTCGTATAAAAACAAGACAGAATCATTCTCAGAAACTACTTTGTGATGTGTGCGTTCAACTCAAGGAGTTTAAGCTTTCTTTTCATAGAGTAGTTTGGAAACACTCTGTCTGTAAAGTCTGCAAGCAGATATTTGGACCTCTTTGGGGCCTTCGTTGGAAACGGGATTTCTTCATAGAACGCTAGAAAGAAGAATACTGAGTAAGTTCTTTGTGTTGCCTCTATTCAACTCACAGAGGTGAACTGTCCTTTAGACAGAGCAGATGTGAAACCCTCTTTTTGTGATATTTGCAGGTGGAGATTTCAAGCGCTTTTAGGCCAAATGTAGAAAAGGAAATATCTTCGTATAAAAACTAGACAGAATCATTCTCAGAAACTACTTTGTGATGTGTGCGTTCAATTCACAGAGTATAACCTTTCTTTTGATGGAGGAGTTTGGAGACACTGTCTTTGTAAAGTCTGCAAGTGGATATTTGGACCTCTTTGAGGCCTTCGTTGGAAACGGGATTTCCTCATATAATGTTACACAGAAGAATTATCAGTAACTTATTTGTGGTGTGTGTATTCAACTCACAGAGATGAACCTTCCTTCAGAAAGAGCAGATTTGAAACACTCTTTTTGTGGAGTTTCCATGTGGAGATTTCAATCGCATTGAGACCAAAGGTAGAAAAGGAAACATCTTCGTATAAAAACTAGACAGAATCATTCACAGAAACTACTTTGTGATGTGTGTGTTCAACTCAAGGAGTTTAACCTTTCTTTTGATGGAGCAGTTTGGAAACACTCTGTCTGTAAAGTCTGCAAGTAGATATTTGGACCTCTTTGAGGCCTTCGTTGGAAACGGGATTTCTTCATATAATGTTTGATAGGAGAAGTCTCAGTAACTTCTTTGTGCTGTGTGTATTCAACTCATAGAGTTGAACTTTCCTTTAGAAGAGCAGATGTTAAACACCCTTTTTGTGGAATTTGCAGCTGGAGATTTCAAGCGCTTTGAGGCCTACGGTAGAAAAGGAAACATCTTCTTATAAAATCTAGACAGAATCATTCACAGAAACTTCTTTTTGATGTGTGTGTTCAGCTCACAGAGTTTAACCTTTCTTTTGATGGAGCAGTTTGGAAACACTCTGTTTGTAATGTCTGCAAGTGGATATTTGGACCTCTTTGAGGCCTTCGTTGGAAACGGGATTTCTTCATGTAATGTTCGACAGAAGAATTCTCAGTAACTTATTTGTGGTGTGTGTATTCAACTCACAGAGTTGAACCTTCCTTTAGACAGAGCAGATTTGAAACACCCTATTTGTGCAGTTTCCAGTTGGAGATTTCAATCGCTTTGAGACCAAATGTAGAAAAGGAAACATCTTCGTATAAAAACTAGACAGAATCATTCTCAGAAACTACTTTGTGATATGTGCGTTCAATTCAAGGAGTTTAAGCTTTCTTTTCATAGAGTAGTTTGGAAACACTCTGTCTGTAAAGTCTGCAAGCAGATATTTGGACCTCATTGGGGTCTTCGTTGGAAACGGGATTTCTTCATAGAACGCTAGAAAGAAGAATACTGAGTAAGTTCTTTGTGTTGCCTCTATTCAACTCACAGAGGTGAACTGTCCTTTAGACAGAGCAGATGTGAAACCCTCTTTTTGTGATATTTGCAGGTGGAGATTTCAAGCGCTTTTAGGCCAAATGTAGAAAAGGAAATATCTTCGTATAAAAACTAGACAGAATCATTCTCAGAAACTACTTTGTGATGTGTGCGTACAATTCACAGAGTATAACCTTTCTTTTGATGGAGGAGTTTGGAGACACTGTCTTTGTAAAGTCTGCGTGTGGATATTTGGACCTCTTTGAGGCCTTCGTTGGAAACGGGATTTCCTCATATAATGTTACACAGAATAATTCTCAGTAACTTATTTGTGGTGTGTGTATTCAACTCACAGAGTTGAACCTTCCTTCAGAAAGAGCAGATTTGAAACACTCTTTTTGTGGAGTTTCCATGTGGAGATTTCAATCGCTTTGAGACCAAAGGTAGAAAAGGAAACATCTTCGTATAAAAACTAGACAGAATCATTCACAGAAACTACATTGTGATGTGTGTGTTCAACTCAAGGAGTTTAACCTTTCTTTTGATGGAGCAGTTTGGAAAAACTCTGTCTGTAAAGTCTGCAAGCAGATATTTGGACCTCTTTGAGGCCTTCGTTGGAAACGGGATTTCTTCATATAATGTTTGATAGGAGAAGTCTCAGTAACTTCTTTGTGCTGTGTGTATTCAACTCATAGAGTTGAACTTTCCTTTAGAAGAGCAGATGTTAAACACCCTTTTTGTGGAATTTGCAGCTGGAGATTTCAAGCGCTTTGAGTCCTACGGTAGAAATGGAAACATCTTATAAAATCTTGACAGAATCATTCACAGAAACTTCTTTTTGATGTGTGTGTTCAGCTCACAGAGTTTAACCTTTCTTTTGATGGAGCAGTTTGGAAACACTCTGTTTGTAATATCTGCAAGTGAATATTTGGACCTCTTTGAGGCCTTCGTTGGAAACGGGATTTCTTCAAGTAATGTTCGACACAAGAATTCTCAGTAACTTATTTGTGGTGTGTGTATTCAACTCACAGAGTTGAACCTTCCTTTAGACAGAGCAGATTTGAAACACCCTATTTGTGCAGTTTCCAGTTGGAGATTTCAATCGCTTTGAGACCAAATGTAGAAAAGGAAACATCTTCGTATAAAAACTAGACAGAATCATTCTCAGAAACTACTTTGTGATGTGTGCGTTCAACTCAAGGAGTTTAAGCTTTCTTTTCATAGAGTAGTTTGGAAACACTCTGTCTGTAAAGTCTGCAAGCAGATATTTGGACCTCTTTGGGGCCTTCGTTGGAAACGGGATTTCTTCATAGAACGCTAGAAAGAAGAATACTGAGTAAGTTCTTTGTGTTGCCTCTATTCAACTCACAGAGGTGAACTGTCCTTTAGACAGAGCAGATGTGAAACCCTGTTTTTGTGATATTTGCAGGTGGAGATTTCAAGCGCTTTTAGGCCAAATGTAGAAAAGGAAATATCTTCGTATAAAAACTAGACAGAATCATTCTCAGAAACTACTTTGTGATGTGTGCGTTCAATTCAGAGTATAACCTTTCTGTTGATGGAGGAGTTTGGAGACACTGTCTTTGTAAAGTCTGCAAGTGGATATTTGGACCTCTTTGAGGCCTTCGTTGGAAACGGGATTTCCTCATATAATGTTACACAGAAGAATTCTCAGTAACTTATTTGTGGTGTGTGTATTCAACTCACAGAGTTGAACCTTCCTTCAGAAAGAGCAGATTTGAAACACTCTTTTTGTGGAGTTTCCATGTGGAGATTTCAATCGCATTGAGACCAAAGGTAGAAAAGGAAACATCTTCGTATAAAAACTAGACAGAATCATTCACAGAAACTACTTTGTGATGTGTGTGTTCAACTCAAGGAGTTTAACCTTTCTTTTGATGGAGCAGTTTGGAAACACTCTGTCTGTAAAGTCTGCAAGCAGATATTTGGACCTCTTTGAGGCCTTCGTTGGAAACGGGATTTCTTCATATAATGTTTGATAGGAGAAGTCTCAGTAACTTCTTTGTGCTGTGTGTATTCAACTCATAGAGTTGAACTTTCCTTTAGAAGAGCAGATGTTAAACACCCTTTTTGTGGAATTTGCAGCTGGAGATTTCAAGCGCTTTGAGGCCGACGGTAGAAAAGGAAACATCTTCTTATAAAATCTAGACAGAATCATTCACAGAAACTTCTTTTTGATGTGTGTGTTCAGCTCACAGAGTTTAACCTTTCTTTTGATGGAGCAGTTTGGAAACACTCTGTTTGTAATGTCTGCAAGTGGATATTTGGACCTCTTTGAGGCCTTCGTTGGAAACGGGATTTCTTCAAGTAATGTTCGACAGAAGAATTCTCAGTAACTTCTTTGTGGTGTGTGTATTCAACTCACAGAGTTGAACCTTCCTTTAGACAGAGCAGATTTGAAAAAGCCTATTTGTGCAGTTTCCAGTTGGAGATTTCAATCGCTTTGAGACCAAATGTAGAAAAGGAAACATCTTCGTATAAAAACTAGACAGAATCATTCTCAGAAACTACTTTGTGATGTGTGCGTTCAACTCAAGGAGTTTAAGCTTTCTTTTCATAGAGTAGTTTGGAAACACTCTGTCTGTAAAGTCTGCAAGCAGATATTTGGACCTCTTTGGGGCCTTCGTTGGAAACGGGATTTCTTCATAGAACGCTAGAAAGAAGAATACTGAGTAAGTTCTTTGTGTTGCCTCTATTCAACTCACAGAGGTGAACTGTCCTTTAGACAGAGCAGATGTGAAACCCTCTTTTTGTGATATTTGCAGGTGGAGATTTCAAGCGCTTTTAGGCCAAATGTAGAAAAGGAAATATCTTCGTATAAAAACTAGACAGAATCATTCTCAGAAACTACTTTGTGATGTGTGCGTTCAATTCACAGAGTATAACCTTTCTTTTGATGGAGGAGTTTGGAGACACTGTCTTTGTAAAGTCTGCAAGTGGATATTTGGACCTCTTTGAAGCCTTCGTTGGAAACGGGATTTCCTCATATAATGTTACACAGAAGAATTCTCAGTAACTTATTTGTGGTGTGTGTATTCAACTCACAGAGATGAACCTTCCTTCAGAAAGAGCAGATTTGAAACACTCTTTTTGTGGAGTTTCCATGTGGAGATTTCAATCGCTTTGAGACCAAAGGTAGAAAAGGAAACATCTTCGTATAAAAACTAGACAGAATCATTCACAGAAACTACTTTGTGATGTGTGTGTTCAACTCAAGGAGGTTAACCTTTCTTTTGATGGAGCAGTTTGGAAACACTCTGTCTGTAAAGTCTGCAAGCAGATATTTGGACCTCTTTGAGGCCTTCGTTGGAAACGGGATTTCTTCATATAATGTTTGATAGGACAAGTCTCAGTAACTTCTTTGTGCTGTGTGTATTCAACTCATAGAGTTGAACTTTCCTTTAGAAGAGCAGATGTTAAACACCCTTTTTGTGGAATTTGCAGCTGGAGATTTCAAGCGCTTTGAGGCCTACGGTAGAAAAGGAAACATCTTCTTATAAAATCTAGACAGAATCATTCACAGAAACTTCTTTTTGATGTGTGTGTTCAGCTCACAGAGTTTAACCTTTCTTTTGATGGAGCAGTTTGGAAACACTCTGTTTGTAATGTCTGCAAGTGGATATTTGGACGTCTTTGAGGCCTTCGTTGGAAACGGGATTTCTTCAAGTAATGTTCGACAGAAGAATTCTCAGTAACTTATTTGTGGTGTGTGTATTCAACTCACAGAGTTGAACCTTCCTTTAGACAGAGCAGATTTGAAACACCCTATTTGTGCAGTTTCCAGTTGGAGATTTCAATCGCTTTGAGACCAAATGTAGAAAAGGAAACATCTTCGTATAAAAACTAGACAGAATCATTCTCAGAAACTACTTTGTGATGTGTGCGTTCAATTCAAGGAGTTTAAGCTTTCTTTTCATAGAGCAGTTTGGAAACACTCTGTCTGTAAAGTCTGCAAGCAGATATTTGGACCTCTTTGAGGCCTTCGTTGGAAACGGGATTTCTTCATAGAACGCTAGAAAGAAGAATACTGAGTAAGTTCTTTGTGTTGCCTCTATTCAACTCACAGAGGTGAACTGTCCTTTAGACAGAGCAGATGTGAAACCCTCTTTTTGGGATATTTGCAGGTGGAGATTTCAAGCGCTTTTAGGCCAAATGTAGAAAAGGAAATATCTTCGTATAAAAACTAGACAGAATCATTCTCAGAAACTACTTTGTGATGTGTGCGTTCAATTCACAGAGTATAACCTTTCTTTTGATGGACGAGTTTGGAGACACTGTCTTTGTAAAGTCTGCAAGTGGATATTTGGACCTCTTTGTGGCCTTCGTTGGAAACGGGATTTCCTCATATAATGTTACACAGAAGAATTCTCAGTAACTTATTTGTGGTGTGTGTATTCAACTCACAGAGTTGAACCTTCCTTCAGAAAGAGCAGATATGAAACACTCTTTTTGTGGAGTTTCCATGTGGAGATTTCAATCGCTTTGAGACCAAAGGTAGAAAAGGAAACATCTTCGTATAAAAACTAGACAGAATCATTCACAGAAACTACTTTGTGATGTGTGTGTTCAACTCAAGGAGTTTAACCTTTCTTTTGATGGAGCAGTTTGGAAACACTCTGTCTGTAAAGTCTGCAAGCAGATATTTGGACCTCTTTGAGGCCTTCGTTGGAAACGGGATTTCTTCATATGATGTTTGATAGGAGAAGTCTCAGTAACTTCTTTGTGCTGTGTGTATTCAACTCATAGAGTTGAACTTTCCTTTAGAAGAGCAGATGTTAAACACCCTTTTTGTGGAATTTGCAGCTGGAGATTTCAAGCGCTTTGAGGCCTACGGTAGAAAAGGAAACATCTTCTTATAAAATCTAGACAGAATCATTCACAGAAACTTCTTTTTGATGTGTGTGTTCAGCTTACAGAGTTTAACCTTTCTTTTGATGGAGCAGTTTGGAAACACTCTGTTTGTAATGTCTGCAAGTGGATATTTGGACCTCTTTGAGGCCTTCGTTGGAAACGGGATTTCTTCCTGTAATGTTCGACAGAAGAATTCTCAGTAACTTATTTGTGGTGTGTGTATTCAACTCACAGAGTTGAACCTTCCTTTAGACAGAGTAGATTTGAAACACCCTATTTGTGCAGTTTCCAGTTGGAGATTTCAATCGCTTTGAGACCAAATGTAGAAAAGGAAACATCTTCGTATAAAAACTAGACAGAATCATTCTCAGAAACTACTTTGTGATGTGTGCGTTCAACTCAAGGAGTTTAAGCTTTCTTTTCATAGAGTAGTTTGGAAACACTCTGTCTGTAATGTCTGCAAGCAGATATTTGGACCTCTTTGAGGCCTTCGTTGGAAACGGGATTTCTTCATAGAACGCTAGAAAGAAGAATACTGAGTAAGTTCTTTGTGTTGCCTCTATTCAACTCACAGAGGTGAACTGTCCTTTAGACAGAGCAGATGTGAAACCCTGTTTTTGTGATATTTGCAGGTGGAGATTTCAAGCGCTTTTAGGCCAAATGTAGAAAAGGAAATATCTTCGTATGAAAACTAGACAGAATCGTTCTCAGAAACTACTTTGTGATGTGTGCGTTCAATTCACAGAGTATAACCTTTCTTTTGATGGAGGAGTTTGGAGACACTGTCTTTGTAAAGTCTGCAAGTGGATATTTGGACCTCTTTGAGGCCTTCGTTGGAAACGGGATTTCCTCATATAATGTTACACAGAAGAATTCTCAGTAACTTATTTGTGGTGTGTGTATTCAACTCACAGAGTTGAACCTTCCTTCAGAAAGAGCAGATTTGAAACACTCTTTTTGTGGAGTTTCCATGTGGAGATTTCAATCGCTTTGAAACCAATGGTAGAAAAGGAAACATCTTCGTATAAAAACTAGACAGAATCATTCACAGAAACTACTTTGTGATGTGTGTGTTCAACTCAAGGAGTTTAACCTTTCTTTTGATGGAGCAGTTTGGAAAAACTCTGTCTGTAAAGTCTGCAAGCAGATATTTGGACCTCTTTGAGGCCTTCGTTGGAAACGGGATTTCTTCATATAATGTTTGATAGGAGAAGTCTCAGTAACTTCTTTGTGCTGTGTGTATTCAACTCATAGAGTTGAACTTTCCTTTAGAAGAGCAGATGTTAAACACCCTTTTTGTGGAATTTGCAGCTGGAGATTTCAAGCGCTTTGAGGCCTACGGTAGAAAAGGAAACATCTTCTTATAAAATCTAGACAGAATCATTCACAGAAACTTCTTTTTGATGTGTGTGTTCAGCTCACAGAGTTTAACCTTTCTTTTGATGGAGCAGTTTGGAAACACTCTGTTTGTAATGTCTGCAAGTGGATATTTGGACCTCTTTGAGGCCTTCGTTGGAAACGGGATTTCTTCCTGTAATGTTCGACAGAAGAATTCTCAGTAACTTATTTGTGGTGTGTGTATTCAACTCACAGAGTTCAACCTTCCTTTAGACAGAGCAGATTTGAAACACCCTATTTGTGCAGTTTCCAGTTGGAGATTTCAATCGCTTTGAGACCAAATGTAGAAAAGGAAACATCTTCGTATAAAAACTAGACAGAATCATTCTCAGAAACTACTTTGTGATGTGTGCGTTCAACTCAAGGAGTTTAAGCTTTCTTTTCATAGAGTAGTTTGGAAACACTCTGTCTGTAAAGTCTGCAAGCAGATATTTGGACCTCTTTGGGGCCTTCGTTGGAAACGGGATTTCTTCATAGAACGCTAGAAAGAAGAATACTGAGTAAGTTCTTTGTGTTGCCTCTATTCAACTCACAGAGGTGAACTGTCCTTTAGACAGAGCAGATGTGAAACCCTCTTTTTGTGATATTTGCAGGTGGAGATTTCAAGCGCTTTTAGGCCAAATGTAGAAAAGGAAATATCTTCGTATAAAAACTAGACAGAATCATTCTCAGAAACTACTTTGTGATGTGTGCGTTCAATTCACAGAGTATAACCTTTCTTTTGATGGAGGAGTTTGGAGACACTGTCTTTGTAAAGTCTGCAAGTGGATATTTGGACCTCTTTGAGGCCTTCGTTGGAAACGGGATTTCCTCATATAATGTTACACAGAAGAATTCTCAGTAACTTATTTGTGGTGTGTGTATTCAACTCACAGAGTTGAACCTTCCTTCAGAAAGAGCAGATTTGAAACACTCTTTTTGAGGAGTTTCCATGTGGAGATTTCAATCGCTTTGAGACCAAAGGTAGAAAAGGAAACATCTTCTTATAAAAACTAGACAGAATCATTCACAGAAACTACTTTGTGATGTGTGTGTTCAACTCAAGGAGTTTAACCTTTCTTTTGATGGAGCAGTTTGGAAAAACTCTGTCTGTAAAGTCTGCAAGCAGATATTTGGACCTCTTTGGGGCCTTCGTTGGAAACGGGATTTCTTCATAGAATGCTAGAAAGAAGAATACTGAGTAAGTTCTTTGTGTTGCCTCTATTCAACTCACAGAGGTGAACTGTCCTTTAGACAGAGCAGATGTGAAACCCTCTTTTTGTGATATTTGCAGGTGGAGATTTCAAGCGCTTTTAGGCCAAATGTAGAAAAGGAAATATCTTCGTATAAAAACTAGACAGAATCATTCTCAGAAACTACTTTGTGATGTGTGCGTTCAATTCACAGAGTATAACCTTTCTTTTGATGGAGGAGTTTGGAGACACTGTCTTTGTAAAGTCTTCAAGTGGATATTTGGACCTCTTTGAGGCCTTCGTTGGAAACGGGATTTCCTCATATAATGTTACACAGAAGAATTCTCAGTAACTTATTTGTGGTGTGTGTATTCAACTCACAGAGATGAACCTTCCTTCAGAAAGAGCAGATTTGAAACACTCTTTTTGTGGAGTTTCCATTTGGAGATTTCAATCGCTTTGAGACCAAAGGTAGAAAAGGAAACATCTTCGTATAAAAACTAGACAGAATCATTCACAGAAACTACTTTGTGATGTGTGTGTTCAACTCAAGGAGTTTAACCTTTCTTTTGATGGAGCAGTTTGGAAACACTCTGTCTGTAAAGTCTGCAAGCAGATATTTGGACCTCTTTGAGGCCTTCGTTGGAAACGGGATTTCTTCATATAATGTTTGATAGGAGAAGTCTCAGTAACTTCTTTGTGCTGTGTGTATTCAACTCATAGAGTTGAACTTTCCTTTAGAAGAGCAGATGTTAAACACCCTTTTTGTGGAATTTGCAGCTGGAGATTTCAAGCGCTTTGAGGCCTACGGTAGAAAAGGAAATATCTTCTTATAAAATCTAGACAGAATCATTCACAGAAACTTCTTTTTGATGTGTGTGTTCAGCTCACAGAGTTTAACCTTTCTTTTGATGGAGCAGGTTGGAAACAATCTGTTTGTAATGTCTGCAAGTGGATATTTGGACCTCTTTGAGGCCTTCGTTGGAAACGGGATTTCTTCAAGTAATGTTCGACAGAAGAATTCTCAGTAACTTATTTGTGGTGTGTGTATTCAACTCACAGAGTTGAACCTTCCTTTAGACAGAGCAGATTTGAAACAGCCTATTTGTGCAGTTTCCAGTTGGAGATTTCAATCGCTTTGAGACCAAACGTAGAAAAGGAAACATCTTCGTATAAAAACTAGACAGAATCATTCTCAGAAACTACTTTGTGATGTGTGCGTTCAACTCAAGGAGTTTAAGCTTTCTTTTCATAGAGTAGTTTGGAAACACTCTGTCTGTAAAGTCTGCAAGCAGATATTTGGACCTCTTTGGGGCCTTCGTTGGAAACGGGATTTCTTCATAGAACGCTAGAAAGAAAGAATACTGAGTAAGTTCTTTGTGTTGCCTCTATTCAACTCACAGAGGTGAACTGTCCTTTAGACAGAGCAGATGTGAAACCCTCTTTTTGTGATATTTGCAGGTGGAGATTTCAAGCGCTTTTAGGCCAAATGTAGAAAAGGAAATATCTTCGTATAAAAACTAGACAGAATCATTCTCAGAAACTACTTTGTGATGTGTGCGTTCAATTCACAGAGTATAACCTTTCTTTTGATGGAGGAGTTTGGAGACACTGTCTTTGTAAAGTCTGCAAGTGGATATTTGGACCTCTTTGAGGCCTTCGTTGGAAACGGGATTTCCTCATATAATGTTACCCAGAAGAATTCTCACTAACTTATTTGTGGTGTGTGTATTCAACTCACAGAGATGAACCTTCCTTCAGAAAGAGCAGATTTGAAACACTCTTTTTGTGGAGTTTCCATGTGGAGATTTCAATCGCTTTGAGACCAAAGGTAGAAAAGGAAACATCTTCGTATAACAACTAGACAGAATCATTCACAGAAACTACTTTGTGATGTGTGTGTTCAACTCAAGGAGTTTAACCTTTCTTTTGATGGAGCAGTTTGGAAACACTCTGTCTGTAAAGTCTGCAAGCAGATATTTGGACCTCTTTGAGGCCTTCGTTGGAAACGGGATTTCTTCATATAATGTTTGATAGGAGAAGTCTCAGTAACTTCTTTGTGCTGTGTGTATTCAACTCATAGAGTTGAACTTTCCTTTAGAAGAGCAGATGTTAAACACCCTTTTTGTGGAATTTGCAGCTGGAGATTTCAAGCGCTTTGAGGCCTACGGTAGAAAAGGAAACATCTTCTTATAAAATCTAGACAGAATCATTCACAGAAACTTCTTTTTGATGTGTGTGTTCAGCTCACAGAGTTTAACCTTTCTTTTGATGGAGCAGTTGGGAAACACACTGTTTGTAATGTCTGCAAGTGGATATTTGGACCTCTTTGAGGCCTTCGTTGGAAACGGGATTTCTTCCTGTAATGTTCGACAGAAGAATTCTCAGTAACTTATTTGTGGTGTGTGTATTCAACTCACAGAGTTGAACCTTCCTTTAGACAGAGCAGATTTGAAACAGCCTATTTGTGCAGTTTCCAGTTGGAGATTTCAATCGCTTTGAGACCAAATGTAGAAAAGGAAACATCTTCGTATAAAAACTAGACAGAATCATTCTCAGAAACTACTTTGTGATGTGTGCGTTCAACTCAAGGAGTTTAAGCTTTCTTTTCATAGAGTAGTTTGGAAACACTCTGTCTGTAAAGTCTGCAAGCAGATATTTGACCTCTTTGAGGCCTTCGTTGGAAACGGGATTTCTTCATAGAACGCTAGAAAGAAGAATACTGAGTAAGTTCTTTGTGTTGCCTCTATTCAACTCACAGAGGTGAACTGTCCTTTAGACAGAGCAGATGTGAAACCCTCTTTTTGTGATATTTGCAGGTGGAGATTTCAAGCGCTTTTAGGCCAAATGTAGAAAAGGAAATATCTTCGTATAAAAACTAGACAGAATCATTCTCAGAAACTACTTTGTGATGTGTGCGTTCAATTCACAGAGTATAACCTTTCTTTTGATGGAGGAGTTTGGAGACACTGTCTTTGTAAAGTCTGCAAGTGGATATTTGGACCTCTTTGAGGCCTTCGTTGGAAACGGGATTTCCTCATATAATGTTACACAGAAGAATTCTCAGTAACTTATTTGTGGTGTGTGTATTCAACTCACAGAGTTGAACCTTCCTTCAGAAAGAGCAGATTTGAAACACTCTTTTTGTGGAGTTTCCATGTGGAGATTTCAATCGCTTTGAGACCAAAGGTAGAAAAGGAAACATCTTCGTATAAAAACTAGACAGAATCATTCACAGAAACTACTTTGTGATGTGTGTGTTCAACTCAAGGAGTTTAACCTTTCTTTTGATGGAGCAGTTTGGAAATACTCTGTCTGTAAAGTCTGCAAGCAGATATTTGGACCTCTTTGAGGCCTTCGTTGGAAACGGGATTTCTTCATATAATGTTTGATAGGAGAAGTCTCAGTAACTTCTTTGTGCTGTGTGTATTCAACTCATAGAGTTGAACTTTCCTTTAGAAGAGCAGATGTTAAACACCCTTTTTGTGGAATTTGCAGCTGGAGATTTCAAGCGCTTTGAGGCCTACGGTAGAAAAGCAAACATCTTCTTATAAAATCTAGACAGAATCATTCACAGAAACTTCTTTTTGATGTGTGTGTTCAGCTCACAGAGTTTAACCTTTCTTTTGATGGAGCAGTTTGGAAACACTCTGTTTGTAATGTCTGCAAGTGGATATTTGGACCTCTTTGAGGCCTTCTTTGGAAACGGGATTTCTTCAAGTAATGTTCGACAGAAGAATTCTCAGTAACTTATTTGTGGTGTGTGTATTCAACTCACAGAGTTGAACCTTCCTTTAGACAGAGCAGATTTGAAACACCCTATTTGTGCAGTTTCCAGTTGGAGATTTCAATCGCTTTGAGACCAAATGTAGAAAAGGAAACATCTTCGTATAAAAACTAGACAGAATCATTCTCAGAAACTACTTTGTGATGTGTGCGTTCAACTCAAGGAGTTTAAGCTTTCTTTTCATAGAGTAGTTTGGAAACACTCTGTCTGTAAAGTCTGCAAGCAGATATTTGGACCTCATTGGGGCCTTCGTTGGAAACGGGATTTCTTCATAGAACGCTAGAAAGAAGAATACTGAGTAAGTTCTTTGTGTTGCCTCTATTCAACTCACAGAGGTGAACTGTCCTTTAGACAGAGCAGATGTGAAACCCTCTTTTTGTGATATTTGCACGTGGAGATTTCAAGCGCTTTTAGGCCAAATGTAGAAAAGGAAATATCTTCGTATAAAAACTAGACAGAATCATTCTCAGAAACTACTTTGTGATGTGTGCGTTCAATTCACAGAGTATAACCTTTCTTTTGATGGAGGAGTTTGGAGACACTGTCTTTGTAAAGTCTGCAAGTGGATATTTGGACCTCTTTGAGGCCTTCGTTGGAAACGGGATTTCCTCATATAATGTTACACAGAAGAATTCTCAGTAACTTATTTGTGGTGTGTGTATTCAACTCACAGAGTTGAACCTTCCTTCAGAAAGAGCAGATTTGAAACACTCTTTTTGTGGAGTTTCCATGTGGAGATTTCAATCGCATTGAGACCAAAGGTAGAAAAGGAAACATCTTCGTATAAAAACTAGACAGAATCATTCACAGAAACTACTTTGTGATGTGTGTGTTCAACTCAAGGAGTTTAACCTTTCTTTTGATGGAGCAGTTTGGAAACACTCTGTCTGTAAAGTCTGCAAGCAGATATTTGGACCTCTTTGAGGCCTTCGTTGGAAACGGGATTTCTTCATATAATGTTTGATAGGAGAAGTCTCAGTAACTTCTTTGTGCTGTGTGTATTCAACGCATAGAGTTGAACTTTCCTTTAGAAGAGCACATGTTAAATACCCTTTTTGTGGAATTTGCAGCTGGAGATTTCAAGCGCTTTGAGGCCTACGGTAGAAAAGGAAACATCTTCTTATAAAATCTAGACAGAATCATTCACAGAAACTTCTTTTTGATGTGTGTGTTCAGCTCACAGAGTTTAACCTTTCTTTTGATGGAGCAGTTTGGAAACACTCTGTTTGTAATGTCTACAAGTGGATATTTGGACCTCTTTGAGGCCTTCGTTGGAAACGGGATTTCTTCAAGGAATGTTCGACAGAAGAATTTTCAGTAACTTATTTCTGGTGTGTATATTCAACTCACAGAGTTGAACCTTCCTTTAGACAGAGCAGATTTGAAACAGCCTATTTGTGCAGTTTCCAGTTGGAGATTTCAATCGCTTTGAGACCAAATGTAGAAAAGGAAACATCTTCGTATAAAAACTAGACAGAATCATTCTCAGAAACTACTTTGTGATGTGTGCGTTCAACTCAAGGAGTTTAAGCTTTCTTTTCATAGAGTAGTTTGGAAACACTCTGTCTGTAAAGTCTGCAAGCAGATATTTGGACCTCTTTGAGGCCTTCGTTGGAAACGGGATTTCTTCATAGAACGCTAGAAAGAAGAATACTGAGTAAGTTCTTTGTGTTGCCTCTATTCAACTCACAGAGGTGAACTGTCCTTTAGACAGAGCAGATGTGAAACCCTCTTTTTGTGATATTTGCAGGTGGAGATTTCAAGCACTTTTAGGCCAAATGTAGAAAAGGAAATATCTTCGTATAAAAACTAGACAGAATCATTCTCAGAAACTACTTTGTGATGTGTGCGTTCAATTCACAGAGTATAACCTTTCTTTTGATGGAGGAGTTTGGAGACACTGTCTTTGTAAAGTCTGCAAGTGGATATTTGGACCTCTTTGAGGCCTTCGTTGGAAACGGGATTTCCTCATATAATGTTACACAGAAGAATTCTCAGTAACTTATTTGTGGTGTGTGTATTCAACTCACAGAGTTGAACCTTCCTTCAGAAAGAGCAGATTTGAAACACTCTTTTTGTGGAGTTTCCATGTGGAGATTTCAATCGCTTTGTGACCAAAGGTAGAAAAGGAAACATCTTCGTATAAAAACTAGACAGAATCATTCACAGAAACTACTTTGTGATGTGTGTGTTCAACTCAAGGAGTTTAACCTTTCTTTTGATGGAGCAGTTTGGAAACACTCTGTCTGTAAAGTCTGCAAGCAGATATTTGGACCTCTTTGAGGCCTTCGTTGGAAACGGGATTTCTTCATATAATGTTTGATAGGAGAAGTCTCAGTAACTTCTTTGTGCTGTGTGTATTCAACTCATAGAGTTGAACTTTCCTTTAGAAGAGCAGATGTTAAACACCCTTTTTGTGGAATTTGCAGCTGGAGATTTCAAGCGCTTTGAGGCCTACGGTAGAAAAGGAAACATCTTCTTATAAAATCTAGACAGAATCATTCACAGAAACTTCTTTTTGATGTGTGTGTTCAGCTCACAGAGTTTAACCTTTCTTTTGATGGAGCAGTTTGGAAACACTCTGTTTGTAATGTCTGCAAGTGGTTATTTGGACCTCCTTGAGGCCTTCGTTGGAAACGGGATTTCTTCAAGTAATGTTCGACGGAAGAATTCTCAGTAACTTATTTGTGGTGTGTGTATTCAACTCACAGAGTTGAACCTTCTTTAGACAGAGCAGATTTGATACACCCTATTTGTGCAGTTTCCAGGTGGAGATTTCAATCGCTTTGAGACCAAATGTAGAAAAGGAAACATCTTCGTATAAAAACTAGACAGAATCATTCTCAGAAACTACTTTGTGATGTGTGCGTTCAACTCAAGGAGTTTAAGCTTTCTTTTCATAGAGTAGTTTGGAAACACTCTGTCTGTAAAGTCTGCAAGCAGATATTTGGACCTCTTTGGGGCCTTCGTTGGAAACGGGATTTCTTCATAGAACGCTAGAAAGAAGAATACTGAGTAAGTTCTTTGTGTTGCCTCTATTCAACTCACAGAGGTGAACTGTCCTTTAGACAGAGCAGATGTGAAACCCTCTTTTTGTGATATTTGCAGGTGGAGATTTCAAGCGCTTTTAGGCCAAATGTAGAAAAGGAAATATCTTCGTATAAAAACTAGACAGAATCATTCTCAGAAACTACTTTGTGATGTGTGCGTTCAATTCACAGAGTATAACCTTTCTTTTGATGGAGGAGTTTGGAGACACTGTCTTTGTAAAGTCTGCAAGTGGATATTTGGACCTCTTTGAGGCCTTCGTTGGAAACGGGATTTCCTCATATAATGTTACACAGAAGAATTCTCAGTAACTTATTTGTGGTGTGTGTATTCAACTCACAGAGTTGAACCTTCCTTCAGAAAGAGCAGATTTGAAACACTCTTTTTGTGGAGTTTCCATGTGGAGATTTCAATCGCATTGAGACCAAAGGTAGAAAAGGAAACATCTTCGTATAAAAACTAGACAGAATCATTCACAGAAACTACTTTGTGATGTGTGTGTTCAACTCAAGGAGGTTAACCTTTCTTTTGATGGAGCAGTTTGGAAACACTCTGTCTGTAAAGTCTGCAAGCAGATATTTGGACCTCTTTGAGGCCTTCGTTGGAAACGGGATTTCTTCATATAATGTTTGATAGGAGAAGTCTCAGTAACTTCTTTGTGCTGTGTGTATTCAACTCATAGAGTTCAACTTTCCTTTAGAAGAGCAGATGTTAAACACCCTTTTTGTGGAATTTGCAGCTGGAGATTTCAAGCGCTTTTAGTCCTACGGTAGAAAAGGAAACATCTTCTTATAAAATCTAGACAGAATCATTCACAGAAACGTCTTTTTGATGTGTGTGTTCAGCTCACAGAGTTTAACCTTTCTTTTGATGGAGCAGTTTGGAAACACTCTCTTTGTAATGTCTGCAAGTGGATATTTGGACCTCTTTGAGGCCTTCGTTGGAAACGGGATTTCTTCATGTAATGTTCGACAGAAGAATTCTCAGTAACTTATTTGTGGTGTGTGTATTCAACTCACAGAGTTGAACCTTCCTTTAGACAGAGCAGATTTGAAACACCCTATTTGTGCAGTTTCCAGTTGGAGATTTCAATCGCTTTGAGACCAAATGTAGAAAAGGAAACATCTTCGTATAAAAACTAGACAGAATCATTCTCAGAAACTACTTTGTGATGTGTGCGTTCAACTCAAGGAGTTTAAGCTTTCTTTTCATAGAGTAGTTTGCAAACAATCTGTCTGTAAAGTCTGCAAGCAGATATTTGGACCTATTTGGGGCCTTCGTTGGAAACGGGATTTCTTCATAGAACGCTAGAAAGAAGAATACTGAGTAAGTTCTTTGTGTTGCCTCTATTCAACTCACAGAGGTGAACTGTCCTTCAGACAGAGCAGATGTGAAACCCTCTTTTTGTGATATTTGCAGGTGGAGATTTCAAGCGCTTTTAGGCCAAATGTAGAAAAGGAAATATCTTCGTATAAAAACTAGACAGAATCATTCTCAGAAACTACTTTGTGATGTGTGCGTTCAATTCACGGAGTATAACCTTTCTTTTGATGGAGGAGTTTGGAGACACTGTCTTTGTAAAGTCTGCAAGTGGATATTTGGATCTCTTTGAGGCCTTCGTTGGAAACGGGATTTCCTCATATAATGTTACACAGAAGAATTCTCAGTAACTTATTTGTGGTGTGTGTATTCAACTCACAGATTTGAACCTTCCTTCAGAAAGAGCAGATTTGAAACACTCTTTTTGTGGAGTTTCCATGTGGAGATTTCAATCACTTTGAGACCAAAGGTAGAAAAGGAAACATCTTCGTATAAAAACTAGACAGAATCATTCACAGAAACTACTTTGTGATGTGTGTGTTCAACTCAAGGAGTTTAACCTTTCTTTTGATGGAGCAGTTTGGAAACACTCTGTCTGTAAAGTCTGCAAGCAGATATTTGGACCTCTTTGAGGCCTTCGTTGGAAACGGGATTTCTTCATATGATGTTTGATAGGAGAAGTCTCAGTAACTTCTTTGTGCTGTGTGTATTCAACTCATAGAGTTGAACTTTCCTTTAGAAGAGCAGATGTTAAACACCCTTTTTGTGGAATTTGCAGCTGGAGATTTCAAGCGCTTTGAGGCCTACGGTAGAAAAGGAAACATCTTCTTATAAAATCTAGACAGAATCATTCACAGAAACTTCTTTTTGATGTGTGTGTTCAGCTCACAGAGTTTAACCTTTCTTTTGATGGAGCAGTTTGGAAACACTCTGTTTGTAATGTCTGCAAGTGGATATTTGGACCTCTTTGAGGCCTTCGTTGGAAACGGGATTTCTTCAAGTAATGTTCGACAGAAGAATTCTCAGTAACTTATTTGTGGTGTGTGTATTCAACTCACAGAGTTGAACCTTCCTTTAGGCAGAGCAGATTTGAAACAGCCTATTTGTGCAGTTTCCAGTTGGAGATTTCAAGAGCTTTGAGACCAAATGTAGAAAAGGAAACATCTTCGTATAAAAACTAGACAAAATCATTCTCAGAAACTACTTTGTAATGTGTGCGTTCAACTCAAGGGAGTTTAAGCTTTCTTTTCATAGAGTAGTTTGGAAACACTCTGTCTGTAAAGACTGCAAGCAGATATTTGGACCTCTTTGGGGCCTTCGTTGGAAACGGGATTTCTTCATAGAACGCTAGAAAGAAGAATACTGAGTAAGTTCTTTGTGTTGCCTCTATTCAACTCACAGAGGTGAACTGTCCTTTAGACAGAGCAGATGTGAAACCCTCTTTTTGTGATATTTGCAGGTGGAGATTTCAAGCGCTTTTAGGCCAAATGTAGAAAAGGAAATATCTTCGTATAAAAACTAGACAGAATCATTCTCAGAAACTACTTTGTGATGTGTGCGTTCAATTCACAGAGTATAACCTTTCTTTTGATGGAGGAGTTTGGAGACACTGTCTTTGTAAAGTCTGCAAGTGGATATTTGGACCTCTTTGAGGCCTTCGTTGGAAACGGGATTTCCTCATATAATGTTACACAGAAGAATTCTCAGTAACTTATTTGTGGTGTGTGTATTCAACTCACAGAGTTGAACCTTCCTTCAGAAAGAGCAGATTTGAAACACTCTTTTTGTGGAGTTTCCATGTGGAGATTTCAATCGCTTTGAGACCAAAGGTAGAAAAGGAAACATCTTCGTATAACAACTAGACAGAATCATTCACAGAAACTACTTTGTGATGTGTGTGTTCAACTCAAGGAGTTTAACCTTTCTTTTGATGGAGCAGTTTGGAAACACTCTGTCTGTAAAGTCTGCAAGCAGATATTTGGACCTCTTTGAGGCCTTCGTTGGAAACGGGATTTCTTCATATAATGTTTGATAGGAGAAGTCTCAGTAACTTCTTTGTGCTGTGTGTATTCAACTCATAGAGTTGAACTTTCCTTTAGAAGAGCAGATGTTAAACACCCTTTTTGTGGAATTTGCAGCTGGAGATTTCAAGCGCTTTGAGGCCTCCGGTAGAAAAGGAAACATCTTCTTATAAAATCTAGACAGAATCATTCACAGAAACTTCTTTTTGATGTGTGTGTTCAGCTCACAGAGTTTAACCTTTCTTTTCATGGAGCAGTTTGGAAACCCTCTGTTTGTAATGTCTGCAAGTGGATATTTGGACCTCTTTGAGGCCTTCGTTGGAAACGGGATTTCTTCATGTAATGTTCGACAGAAGAATTCTCAGTAACTTATTTGTGGTGTGTGTATTCAACTCACAGAGTTGAACCTTCCTTTAGACAGAGCAGATTTGAAACAACCTATTTGTGCAGTTTCCAGTTGGAGATTTCAATCGCTTTGAGACCAAATGTAGAAAAGGAAACATCTTCGTATAAAAACTAGACAGAATCATTCTCAGAAACTACTTTGTGATGTGTGCGTTCAACTCAAGGAGTTTAAGCTTTCTTTTCATAGAGTAGTTTGGAAACACTCTGTCTGTAAAGTCTGCAAGCAGATATTTGGACCTCTTTGAGGCCTTCGTTGGAAACGGGATTTCTTCATAGAACGGTAGAAAGAAGAATACTGAGTAAGTTCTTTGTGTTGCCTCTATTCAACTCACAGAGGTGAACTGTCCTTTAGACAGAGCAGATGTGAAACCCTCTTTTTGGGATATTTGCAGGTGGAGATTTCAAGCGCTTTTAGGTCAAATGTAGAAAAGGATATATCTTCGTATAAAAACTAGACAGAATCATTCTCAGAAACTACTTTGTGATGTGTGCGTTCAATTCACAGAGTATAACCTTTCTTTTGATGGAGGAGTTTGGAGACACTGTCTTTGTAAAGTCTGCAAGTGGATATTTGGACCTCTTTGAGGCCTTCGTTGGAAATGGGATTTCCTCATATAATGTTACCCAGAAGAATTCTCAGTAACTTATTTGTGGTGTGTGTATTCAACTCACAGAGATGAACCTTCCTTCAGAAAGAGCAGATTTGAAACACTCTTTTTGTGGAGTTTCCATGTGGAGATTTCAATCGCTTTGAGACCAAAGGTAGAAAAGGAAACATCTTCGTATAACAACTAGACAGAATCATTCACAGAAACTACTTTGTGATGTGTGTGTTCAACTCAAGGAGTTTAACCTTTCTTTTGATGGAGCAGTTTGGAAACACTCTGTCTGTAAAGTCTGCAAGCAGATATTTGGACCTCTTTGAGGCCTTCGTTGGAAACGGGATTTCTTCATATAATGTTTGATAGGAGAAGTCTCAGTAACTTCTTTGTGCTGTGTGTATTCAACTCATAGAGTTGAACTTTCCTTTAGAAGAGCAGATGTTAAACACCCTTTTTGTGGAATTTGCAGCTGGAGATTTCAAGCGCTTTGAGGCCTACGGTAGAAAAGGAAACATCTTCTTCTAAAATCTAGACAGAATCATTCACAGAAACTTCTTTTCGATGTGTGTGTTCAGCTCACAGAGTTTAACCTTTCTTTTGATGGAGCAGTTTGGAAACACTCTGTTTGTAATGTCTGCAAGTGGATATTTGGACCTCTTTGAGGCCTTCGTTGGAAACGGGATTTCTTCAAGTAATGTTCGACAGAAGAATTCTCAGTAACTTATTTGTGGTGTGTGTATTCAACTCACAGAGTTGAACCTTCCTTTAGACAGAGCAGATTTGAAACACCCTATTTGTGCAGTTTCCAGTTGGAGATTTCAATCGCTTTGAGACCAAATGTAGAAAAGGAAACATCTTCGTATAAAAACTAGACAGAATCATTCTCAGAAACTACTTTGTGATGTGTGCGTTCAACTCAAGGAGTTTAAGCTTTCTTTTCATAGAGTAGTTAGGAAACACTCTGTCTGTAAAGTCTGCAAGCAGATATTTGGACCTCTTTGAGGCCTTCGTTGGAAACGGGATTTCCTCATATAATGTTACACAGAAGAATTCTCAGTAACTTATTTGTGGTGTGTGTATTCAACTCACAGAGATGAACCTTCCTTCAGAAAGAGCAGATTTGAAACACTCTTTTTGTGGAGTTTCCATGTGGAGATTTCAATCGCTTTGAGACCAAAGGTAGAAAAGGAAACATCTTCGTATAAAAACTAGACAGAATCATTCACAGAAACTACTTTGTGATGTGTGTGTTCAACTCAAGGAGTTTAACCTTTCTTTTGATGGAGCAGTTTGGAAACACTCTGTCTGTAAAGTCTGCAAGCAGATATTTGGACCTCTTTGAGGCCTTCGTTGGAAACGGGATTTCTTCATATAATGTTTGATAGGAGAAGTCTCAGTAACTTCTTTGTGCTGTGTGTATTCAACTCATAGAGTTGAACTTTCCTTTAGAAGAGCAGATGTTAAACACCCTTTTTGTGGAATTTGCAGCTGGAGATTTCAAGCGCTTTGAGGCCTACGGTAGAAAAGGAAACATCTTCTTATAAAATCTAGACAGAATCATTCACAGAAACTTCTTTTTGATGTGTGTGTTCAGCTCACAGAGTTTAACCTTTCTTTTGATGGAGCAGTTGGGAAACACACTGTTTGTAATGTCTGCAAGTGGATATTTGGACCTCTTTGAGGCCTTCGTTGGAAACGGGATTTCTTCCTGTAATGTTTGACAGAAGAATTCTCAGTAACTTATTTGTGGTGTGTGTATTCAACTCACAGAGCTGAACCTTCCTTTAGACAGAGCAGATTTGAAACAGCCTATTTGTGCAGTTTCCAGTTGGAGATTTCAATCGCTTTGAGACCAAATGTAGAAAAGGAAACATCTTCGTATAAAAACTAGACAGAATCATTCTCAGAAACTACTTTGTGATGTGTGCGTTCAACTCAAGGAGTTTAAGCTTTCTTTTCATAGAGTAGTTTGGAAACACTCTGTCTGTAAAGTCTGCAAGCAGATATTTGACCTCTTTGAGGCCTTCGTTGGAAACGGGATTTCTTCATAGAACGCTAGAAAGAAGAATACTGAGTAAGTTCTCTGTGTTGCCTCTATTCAACTCACAGAGGTGAACTGTCCTTTAGACAGAGCAGATGTGAAACCCTCTTTTTGTGATATTTGCAGGTGGAGATTTCAAGCGCTTTTAGGCCAAATGTAGAAAAGGAAATATCTTCGTATAAAAACTAGACAGAATCATTCTCAGAAACTACTTTGTGATGTGTGCGTTCAATTCACAGAGTATAACCTTTCTTTTGATGGAGGAGTTTGGAGACACTGTCTTTGTAAAGTCTGCAAGTGGATATTTGGACCTCTTTGAGGCCTTCGTTGGAAACGGGATTTCCTCATATAATGTTACCCAGAAGAATTCTCAGTAACTTATTTGTGGTGTGTGTATTCAACTCACAGAGATGAACCTTCCTTCAGAAAGAGCAGATTTGAAACACTCTTTTTGTGGAGTTTCCATGTGGAGATTTCAATCGCTTTGAGACCAAAGGTAGAAAAGGAAACATCTTCGTATAACAACTAGACAGAATCATTCACAGAAACTACTTTGTGATGTGTGTGTTCAACTCAAGGAGTTTAACCTTTCTTTTGATGGAGCAGTTTGGAAACACTCTGTCTGTAAAGTCTGCAAGCAGATATTTGGACCTCTTTGAGGCCTTCGTTGGAAACGGGATTTCTTCATATAATGTTTGATAGGAGAAGTCTCAGTAACTTCTTTGTGCTGTGTGTATTCAACTCATAGAGTTGAACTTTCCTTTAAAAGAGCAGATGTTAAACACCCTTTTTGTGGAATTTGCAGCTGGAGATTTCAAGCGCTTTGAGGCCTACGGTAGAAAAGGAAACATCTTCTTATAAAATCTAGACAGAATCATTCACAGAAACTTCTTTTCGATGTGTGTGTTCAGCTCACAGAGTTTAACCTTTCTTTTGATGGAGCAGTTTGGAAACACTCTGTTTGTAATGTCTGCAAGTGGATATTTGGACCTCTTTGAGGCCTTCGTTGGAAACGGGATTTCTTCAAGTAATGTTCGACAGAAGAATTCTCAGTAACTTATTTGTGGTGTGTGTATTCAACTCACAGAGTTGAACCTTCCTTTAGACAGAGCAGATTTGAAACACCCTATTTGTGCAGTTTCCAGTTGGAGATTTCAATCGCTTTGAGACCAAATGTAGAAAAGGAAACATCTTCGTATAAAAACTAGACAGAATCATTCTCAGAAACTACTTTGTGATGTGTGCGTTCAACTCAAGGAGTTTAAGCTTTCTTTTCATAGAGTAGTTTGGAAACACTCTGTCTGTAAAGTCTGCAAGCAGATATTTGGACCTCTTTTGGGGGCCTTCGTTGGAAACGGGATTTCTTCATAGTAACTGCTAGAAAGAAGAATACTGAGTAAGTTCTTTGTGTTGCCTCTATTCAACTCACAGAGGTGAACTGTCCTTTAGACAGAGCAGATGTGAAACCCTCTTTTTGTGATATTTGCAGGTGGAGATTTCAAGCACTTTTAGGCCAAATGTAGAAAAGGAAATATCTTCGTATAAAAACTAGACAGAATCATTCTCAGAAACTACTTTGTGATGTGTGCGTTCAATTCACAGAGTATAACCTTTCTTTTGATGGAGGAGTTTGGAGACACTGTCTTTGTAAAGTCTGCAAGTGGATATTTGGACCTCTTTGAGGCCTTCGTTGGAAACGGGATTTCCTCATATAATGTTACACAGAAGAATTCTCAGTAACTTATTTGTGGTGTGTGTATTCAACTCACAGAGATGAACCTTCCTTCAGAAAGAGCAGATTTGAAACACTCTTTTTGTGGAGTTTCCATGTGGAGATTTCAATCGCTTTGAGACCAAAGGTAGAAAAGGAAACATCTTCGTATAAAAACTAGACAGAATCATTCACAGAAACTACTTTGTGATGTGTGTGTTCAACTCAAGGAGGTTAACCTTTCTTTTGATGGAGCAGTTTGGAAACACTCTGTCTGTAAAGTCTGCAAGCAGATATTTGGACCTCTTTGAGGCCTTCGATGGAAACGGGATTTCTTCATATAATGTTTGATAGGAGAAGTCTCAGTAACTTCTTTGTGCTGTGTGTATTCAACTCATAGAGTTGAACTTTCCTTTAGAAGAGCAGATGTTAAACACCCTTTTTGTGGAATTTGCAGCTGGAGATTTCAAGCGCTTTGAGGCCTACGGTAGAAAAGGAAACATCTTCTTATAAAATCTAGACAGAATCATTCACAGAAACCTCTTTTTGATGTGTGTGTTCAGCTCACAGAGTTTAACCTTTCTTTTAATGGAGCAGTTTGGAAACACTCTGTTTGTAATGTCTGCAAGTGGATATTTGGACCTCTTTGAGGCCTTCGTTGGAAACGGGAATTCTTCATGTAATGTTCGACAGAAGAATTCTCAGTAACTTATTTGTGGTGTGTGTATTCAACTCACAGAGTTGAACCTTCCTTTAGACAGAGCAGATTTGAAACACCCTACTTGTGCAGTTTCCAGTTGGAGATTTCAATCGCTTTGAGACCAAATGTAGAAAAGGAAACATCTTCGTATAAAAACTAGACAGAATCATTCTCAGAAACTACTTTGTGATGTGTGCGTTCAACTCAAGGAGTTTAAGCTTTCTTTTCATAGAGTAGTTTGGAAACACTCTGTCTGCAAAGTCTGCAAGCAGATATTTGGACCTCTTTGGGGCCTTCGTTGGAAACGGGATTTCTTCATAGAACGCTAGAAAGAAGAATACTGAGTAAGTTCTTTGTGTTGCCTCTATTCAACTCACAGAGGTGAACTGTCCTTTAGACAGAGCAGATGTGAAACCCTCTTTTTGTGATATTTGCAGGTGGAGATTTCAAGCGCTTTTAGGCCAAATGTAGAAAAGGAAATATCTTCGTATAAAAACTAGACAGAATCATTCTGAGAAACTACTTTGTGATGTGTGCGTTCAATTCACAGAGTATAACCTTTCTTCTGATGGAGGAGTTTGGAGACACTCTCTTTGTAAACTCTGCAAGTGGATATTTGGATCTCTTTGAGGCCTTCGTTTGAAACGGGATTTCCTCATATAATGTTACACAGAAGAATTCTCAGTAACTTATTTGTGGTGTGTGTATTCAACTCACAGAGTTGAACCTTCCTTCAGAAAGAGCAGATTTGAAACACTCTTTTTGTGGAGTTTCCATGTGGAGATTTCAATCGCATTGAGACCAAAGGTAGAAAAGGAAACATCTTCGTATAAAAACTAGACAGAATCATTCACAGAAACTACTTTGTGATGTGTGTGTTCAACTCAAGGAGTTTAACCTTTCTTTTGATGGAGCAGTTTGGAAACACTCTGTCTGTAAAGTCTGCAAGTAGATATTTGGACCTCTTTGAGGCCTTCGTTGGAAACGGGATTTCTTCATATAATGTTTGATAGGAGAAGTCTCAGTAACTTCTTTGTGCTGTGTGTATTCAACTCATAGAGTTGAACATTCCTTTAGAAGAGCAGATGTTAAACACCCTTTTTGTGGAATTTGCAGCTGGAGATTTCAAGCGCTTTGAGGCCTACAGTAGAAAAGGAAACATCTTCTTATAAAATCTAGACAGAATCATTCACAGAAACTTCTTTTTGATGTGTGTGTTCAGCTCACAGAGTTTAACCTTTCTTTTGATGGAGCAGTTTGGAAACACTCTGTTTGTAATGTCTGCAAGTGGATATTTGGACCTCTTTGAGGCCTTCTTTGGAAACGGGATTTCTTCAAGTAATGTTCGACAGAAGAATTCTCAGTAACTTATTTGTGGTGTGTGTATTCAACTCACAGAGTTGAACCTTCCTTTAGACACAGCAGATTTGAAACACCCTATTTGTGCAGTTTCCAGTTGGAGATTTCAATCGCTTTGAGACCAAACGTAGAAAAGGAAACATCTTCGTATAAAAACTAGACAGAATCATTCTCAGAAACTACTTTGTGATGTGTGCGTTCAACTCAAGGAGTTTAAGCTTTCTTTTCATAGAGTAGTTTGGAAACACTCTGTCTGTAAAGTCTGCAAGCAGATATTTGGACCTCTTTGAGGCCTTCGTTGGAAACGGGATTTCTTCATAGAACGCTAGAAAGAAGAATACTGAGTAAATTCTTTGTGTTGCCTCTATTCAACTCACAGAGGTGAACTGTCCTTTAGAGAGAGCAGATGTGAAACCTTCTTTTTGTGATATTTGCAGGAGGAGATTTCAAGTGCTTTTAGGCCAAATGTAGAAAAGGAAATATCTTCGTATAAAAACTAGATAGAATCATTCTCAGAAACTACTTTGTGATGTGTGCGTTCAATTCACAGAGTATAACCTTTCTTTTGATGGAGGAGTTTGGAGACACTGTCTTTGTAAAGTCTGCAAGTGGATATTTGGATCTCTTTGAGGCCTTCGTTGGAAACGGGATTTCCTCATATAATGTTACACAGAAGAATTCTCAGTAACTTATTTGTGGTGTGTGTATTCAACTCACAGAGTTGAACCTTCCTTCAGAAAGAGCAGATTTGTAACACTCTTTTTGTGGAGTTTCCATGTGGAGATTTCAATCGCTTTGAGACCAAAGGTAGAAAAGGAAACATCTTCGTATAAAAACTAGACAGAATCATTCACAGAAACTACTTTGTGATGTGTGTGTTCAACTCAAGGAGTTTAACCTTTCTTTTGATGGAGCAGTTTGGAAACACTCTGTCTGTAAAGTCTGCAAGCAGATATTTGGACCTCTTTGAGGCCTTCGTTGGAAACGGGATTTCTTCATATAATGTTTGATAGGAGAAGTCTCAGTAACTTCTTTGTGCTGTGTGTATTCAACGCATAGAGTTGAACTTTCCTTTAGAAGAGCAGATGTTAAACACCCTTTTTGTGGAATTTGCAGCTGGAGATTTCAAGCGCTTTGAGGCCTACGGTAGAAAAGGAAACATCTTCTTATAAAATCTAGACAGAATCATTCACAGAAACTTCTTTTTGATGTGTGTGTTCAGCTCACAGAGTTTAACCTTTCTTTTGATGGAGCAGTTTGGAAACACTCTGTTTGTAATGTCTGCAAGTGGATATTTGGACCTCTTTGAGGCCTTCGTTGGAAACGGGATTTCTTCAAGTAATGTTCGACAGAAGAATTCTCAGTAACTTATTTGTGGTGTGTGTATTCAACTCACAGAGTTGAACCTTCCTTTAGACAGAGCAGATTTGAAACATCCTATTTGTGCAGTTTCCAGTTGGAGATTTCAATCGCTTTGAGACCAAATGTAGAAAAGGAAACATCTTCGTATAAAAACTAGACAGAATCATTCTCAGAAACTACTTTGTGATGTGTGCGTTCAACTCAAGGAGTTTAAGCTTTCTTTTCATAGAGTAGTTTGGAAACACTCTGTCTGTAAAGTCTGCAAGCAGATATTTGGACCTCTTTGAGGCCTTCGTTGGAAATGGGATTTCTTCATAGAACGCTAGAAAGAAGAATACTGAGTAAGTTCTTTGTGTTGCCTCTATTCAACTCACAGAGGTGAACTCTCCTTTAGATAGAGCAGATGTGAAACCCTCTTTTTGTGATATTTGCAGGTGGAGATTTCAAGCGCTTTTAGGCAAAATGTAGAAAAGGAAATATCTTCGTATAAAAACTAGACAGAATCCTTCTCAGAAACTACTTTGTGATGTGTGAGTTCAATTCACAGAGTATAACCTTTCTTTTGATGGAGGAGTTTGGAGACACTGTCTTTGTAAAGTCTGCATGTGGATATTGGGACCTCTTTGAGGCCTTCGTTGGAAATGGGATTTCCTCATATAATGTTACACAGAAGAATTCTCAGTAACTTATTTGTGGTGTGTGTATTCAACTCACAGAGTTGAACCTTCCTTCAGAAAGAGCAGATTTGAAACACTCTTTTTGTGGAGTTTCCATGTGGAGATTTCAATCGCTTTGAGACCAAAGGTAGAAAAGGAAACATCTTCGTATAAAAACTAGACAGAATCATTCACAGAAACTAGTTTGTGATGTGTGTGTTCAACTCAAGGAGTTTAACCTTTCTTTTGATGGAGCAGTTTGGAAACACTCTGTCTGTAAAATCTGCAAGCAGATATTTGGACCTCTTTGAGGCCTTCGTTGGAAACGGGATTTCTTCATATAATGTTTGATAGGAGAAGTCTCAGTAACTTCTTTGTGCTGTGTGTATTCAACTCATAGAGTTGAACTTTCCTTTAGAAGAGCAGATGTTAAACACCCTTTTTGTGGAATTTCCAGCTGGAGATTTCAAGCGCTTTGAGGGCTAAGGTAGAAAAGGAAACATCTTCTTATAAAATCTAGACAGAATCATTCACAGAAACTTCTTTTTGATGTGTGTGTTCAGCTCACAGAGTTTAACCTTTCTTTTGATGGAGCAGTTGGGAAACACACTGTTTGTAATGTCTGCAAGTGGATATTTGGACCTCTTTGAGGCCTTCGTTGGAAACGGGATTTCTTCCTGTAATGTTCGACAGAAGAATTCTCAGTAACTTATTTGTGGTGTGTGTATTCAACTCACAGAGTTGAACCTTCCTTTAGACAGAGCAGATTTGAAACACCCTATTTGTGCAGTTTCCAGTTGGAGATTTCAATCGCTTTGAGACCAAATGTAGAAAAGGAAACATCTTCGTATAAAAACTAGACAGAATCATTCTCAGAAACTACTTTGTGATGTGTGCGTTCAACTCAAGGAGTTTAAGCTTTCTTTTCATAGAGTAGTTTGGAAACACTCTGTCTGTAAAGTCTGCAAGCAGATATTTGGACCTCTTTGAGGCCTTCGTTGGAAACGGGATTTCTTCAGAGAACGCTGGAAAGAAGAATACTGGGTAAGTTCTTTGTGTTGCCTCTATTCAACTCACAGAGGTGAACTGTCCTTTAGACAGAGCAGATGTGAAACCCTCTTTTTGTGATATTTGCAGGTGGAGATTTCAAGCGCTTTTAGGCCAAATGTAGAAAAGGAAATATCTTCGTATAAAAACTAGACAGAATCATTCTCAGAAACTACTTTGTGATGTGTGCGTTCAGTTCACAGAGTATAACCTTTCTTTTGATGGAGGAGTTTGGAGACACTGTCTTTGTAAAGTCTGCAAGTGGATATTTGGACCTCTTTGAGGCCTTCGTTGGAAACGGGATTTCCTCATATAATGTTACACAGAAGAATTCTCAGTAACTTATTTGTGGTGTGTGTATTCAACTCACAGAGTTGAACCTTCCTTCAGAAAGAGCAGATTTGAAACACTCTTTTTGTGGAGTTTCCATGTGGAGATTTCAATCGCTTTGAGACCAAAGGTAGAAAAGGAAACATCTTCGTATAAAAACTAGACAGAATCATTCACAGAAACTACTTTGTGATGTGTGTGTTCAACTCAACGAGTTTAACCTTTCTTTTGATGGAGCAGTTTGGAAACACTCTGTCTGTAAAGTCTGCAAGCAGATATTTGGACCTCTTTGAGGGCCTCGTTGGAAACGGGATTTCTTCATATAATGTTTGATAGGAGAAGTCTCAGTAACTTCTTTGTGCTGTGTGTATTCAACTCATAGAGTTGAACTTTCCTTTAGAAGAGCAGATGTTAAACACCCTTTTTGTGGAATTTGCAGCTGGAGATTTCAAGCGCTTTGAGGCCTACGGTAGAAAAGGAAACATCTTCTTATAAAATCTAGACAGAATCATTCACAGAAACTTCTTTTCGATGTGTGTGTTCAGCTCACAGAGTTTAACCTTTCTTTTGATGGAGCAGTTTGGAAACACTCTGTTTGTAATGTCTGCAAGTGGATATTTGGACCTCTTTGAGGCCTTCGTTGGAAACGGGATTTCATCAAGTAATGGTCGACAGAAGAATTCTCAGTAACTTATTTGTGGTGTGTGTATTCAACTCACAGAGTTGAACCTTCCTTTAGACAGAGCAGATTTGAAACACCCTATTTGTGCAGTTTCCAGTTGGAGATTTCAATCGCTTTGAGACCAAATGTAGAAAAGGAAACATCTTCGTATAAAAACTAGATAGAATCATTCTCAGAAACTACTTTGTGATGTGTGCGTTCAACTCAAGGAGTTTAAGCTTTCTTTTCATAGAGTAGTTTGGAAACACTCTGTCTGTAAAGTCTGCAAGCAGATATTTGGACCTCTTTGGGGCCTTCGTTGGAAACGGGATTTCTTCATAGAACGCTAGAAAGAAGAATACTGAGTAAGTTCTTTGTGTTGCCTCTATTCAACTCACAGAGGTGAACTGTCCTTTAGACAGAGCAGATGTGAAACCCTCTTTTTGTGATATTTGCAGGTGGAGATTTCAAGCACTTTTAGGCCAAATGTAGAAAAGGAAATATCTTCGTATAAAAACTAGACAGAATCATTCTCAGAAACTACTTTGTGATGTGTGCGTTCAATTCACAGAGTATAACCCTTCTTTTGATGGAGGAGTTTGGAGACACTGTCTTTGTAAAGTCTGCAAGTGGATATTTGGACCTCTTTGAGGCCTTCGTTGGAAACGGGATTTCCTCATATAATGTTACACAGAAGAATTCTCAGTAACTTATTTGTGGTGTGTGTATTCAACTCACAGAGTTGAACCTTCCTTCAGAAAGAGCAGATTTGAAACACTCTTTTTGTGGAGTTTCCATGTGGAGATTTCAATCGCTTTGAGACCAAAGGTAGAAAAGGAAACATCTTCGTATAAAAACTGGACAGAATCATTCACAGAAACTACTTTGTGATGTGTGTGTTCAACTCAAGGAGTTTAACCTTTCTTTTGATGGAGCAGTTTGGAAACACTCTGTCTGTAAAGTCTGCAAGCAGATATTTGGACCTCTTTGAGGCCTTCGTTGGAAACGGGATTTCTTCATATAATGTTTGATTGGAGAAGTCTCAGTAACTTCTTTGTGATGTGTGTATTCAACGCATAGAGTTGAACTTTCCTTTAGAAGAGCAGATGTTAAACACCCTTTTTGTGGAATTTGCAGCTGGAGATTTCAAGCGCTTTGAGGCCTACGGTAGAAAAGGAAACATCTTCTTATAAAATCTAGACAGAATCATTCACAGAAACTTCTTTTTGATGTGTGTGTTCAGCTCACAGAGTTTAACCTTTCTTTTGATGGAGCAGTTTGGAAACACTCTGTTTGTAATGTCTGCAAGTGGATATTTGGACCTCTTTGAGGCCTTCGTTGGAAACGGGATTTCTTCAAGTAATGTTCGACAGAAGAATTCTCAGTAACTTATTTGTGGTGTGTGTATTCAACTCACAGAGTTGAACCTTCCTTTAGACAGAGCAGATTTGAAACACCCTATTTGTGCAGTTTCCAGTTGGAGATTTCAATCGCTTTGAGACCAAATGTAGAAAAGGAAACATCTTCGTATAAAAACTAGACAGAATCATTCTCAGAAACTACTTTGTGATGTGTGCGTTCAACTCAAGGAGTTTAAGCTTTCTTTTCATAGAGTAGTTTGGAAACACTCTGTCTGTAAAGTCTGCAAGCAGATATTTGACCTCTTTGAGGCCTTCGTTGGAAACGGGATTTCTTCATAGAACGCTAGAAAGAAGAATACTGAGTAAGTTCTTTGTGTTGCCTCTATTCAACTCACAGAGGTGAACTGTCCTTTAGACAGAGCAGATGTGAAACCCTCTTTTTGTGATATTTCCAGGTGGAGATTTCAAGCGCTTTTAGGCCAAATGTAGAAAAGGAAATATCTTCGTATAAAAACTAGACAGAATCATTCTCAGAAACTACTTTGTGATGTGTGCGTTCAATTCACAGAGTATAACCTTTCTTTTGATGGAGGAGTTTGGAGACACTGTCTTTGTAAAGTCTGCAAGTGGATATTTGGACCTCTTTGAGGCCTTCGTTGGAAACGGGATTTCCTCATATAATGTTACACAGAAGAATTCTCAGTAACTTATTTGTGGTGTGTGTATTCAACTCACAGAGTTGAACCTTCCTTCAGAAAGAGCAGATTTGAAACACTCTTTTTGTGGAGTTTCCATGTGGAGATTTCAATCGCTTTGAGACCAAAGGTAGAAAAGGAAACATCTTCGTATAAAAACTAGACAGAATCATTCACAGAAACTACTTTGTGATGTGTGTGTTCAACTCAAGGAGTTTATCCTTTCTTTTGATGGAGCAGTTTGGAAACACTCTGTCTGTAAAGTCTGCAAGCAGATATTTGGACCTCTTTGAGGCCTTCGTTGGAAACGGGATTTCTTCATATAATGTTTGATAGGAGAAGTCTCAGTAACTTCTTTGTGCTGTGTGTATTCAACTCATAGAGTTGAACTTTCCTTTAGAAGAGCAGATGTTAATGACCCTTTTTGTGGAATTTGCAGCTGGAGATTTCAAGCACTTTGAGGCCTACGGTAGAAAAGGAAACATCTTCTTATAAAATCTAGACAGAATCATTCACAGAAACTTCTTTTTGATGTGTGTGTTCAGCTCACAGAGTTTAACCTTTCTTTTGATGGAGCAGTTTGGAAACACTCTGTTTGTAATGTCTGCAAGTGGATATTTGGACCTCTTTGAGGCCTTCGTTGGAAACGGGATTTCTTCCTGTAATGTTCGACAGAAGAATTCTCAGTAACTTATGTGTGGTGTGTGTATTCAACTCACAGAGTTGAACCTTCCTTTAGACAGAGCAGATTTGAAACACCCTATTTGTGCAGTTTCCAGTTGGAGATTTCAATCGCTTTGAGACCAAATGTAGAAAAGGAAACATCTTCGTATAAAAACTAGACAGAATCATTCTCAGAAACTACTTTGTGATGTGTGCGTTCAACTCAAGGAGTTTAAGCTTTCTTTTCATAGAGTAGTTTGGAAACACTCTGTCTGTAAAGTCTGCAAGCAGATATTTGGACCTCATTGAGGCCTTCGTTGGAAACGGGATTTCTTCATAGAACGCTAGAAAGAAGAATACTGAGTAAGTTCATTGTGTTGCCTCTATTCAACTCACAGAGGTGAACTGTCCTTTAGACAGAGCAGATGTGAAACCCTCTTTTTCTGATATTTGCAGGTGGAGATTTCAAGCGCTTTTAGGCCAAATGTAGAAAAGGAAATATCTTCTTATAAAAACTAGACAGAATCATTCTCAGAAACTACTTTGTGATGTGTGCGTTCAATTCACAGAGTATAACCTTTCTTTTGATGGAGGAGTTTGGAGACACTGTCTTTGTAAAGTCTGCATGTGGATATTTGGACCTCTTTGAGGCCTTCGTTGGAAACGGGATTTCCTCATATAATGTTACACAGAAGAATTCTCATTAACTTATTTGTGATGTGTGTATTCAACTCACAGAGTTGAACCTTCCTTCAGAAAGAGTAGATTTGAAACACTCTTTTTGTGGAGTTTCCATGTGGAGATTTCAATCGCTTTGAGACCAAAGGTAGAAAAGGAAACATCTTCGTATAAAAACTAGACAGAATCATTCACAGAAACTACTTTGTGATGTGTGTGTTCAACTCAAGGAGTTTAACCTTTCTTTTGATGGAGCAGTTTGGAAACACTCTGTCTGTAAAGTCTGCAAGCGGATATTTGGACCTCTTTGGGGCCTTCGTTGGAAACGGGATTTCTTCATAGAACGCTAGAAAGAAGAATACTGAGTAAGTTCTTTGTGTTGCCTCTATTCAACTCACAGAGGTGAACTGTCCTTTAGACAGAGCAGATGTGAAACCCTCTTTTTGTGATATTTGCAGGTGGAGATTTCAAGCGCTTTTAGGCCAAATGTAGAAAAGGAAATATCTTCGTATAAAAACTAGACAGAATCATTCTCAGAAACTACTTTGTGATGTGTGCGTTCAATTCACAGAGTATAACCTTTCTTTTGATGGAGGAGTTTGGAGACACTGTCTTTGTAAAGTCTGCAAGTGGATATTTGGACCTCTTTGAGGCCTTCGTTGGAAACGGGATTTCCTCATATAATGTTACACAGAAGAATTCTCAGTAACTTATTTGTGGTGTGTGTATTCAACTCACAGAGATGAACCTTCCTTCAGAAAGAGCAGATTTGAAACACTCTTTTTGTGGAGTTTCCATGTGGAGATTTCAATAGCTTTGAGACCAAAGGTAGAAAAGGAAACATCTTCGTATAAAAACTAGACAGAATCATTCACAGAAACTACTTTGTGATGTGTGTGTTCAACTCAAGGAGTTTAACCTTTCTTTTGATGGAGCAGTTTGGAAACACTCTGTCTGTAAAGTCTGCAAGCAGATATTTGGACCTCTTTGAGGCCTTCGTTGGAAACGGGATTTCTTCATATAATGTTTGATAGGAGAAGTCTCAGTAACTTCTTTGTGCTGTGTGTATTCAACTCATAGAGTTGAACTTTCCTTTAGAAGAGCAGATGTTAAACACCCTTTTTGTGGAATTTGCAGCTGGAGATTTCAAGCGCTTTGAGGCCTACGGTAGAAAAGGAAACATCTTCTTATAAAATCTAGACAGAATCATTCACAGAAACTTCTTTTCGATGTGTGTGTTCAGCTCACAGAGTTTAACCTTTCTTTTGATGGAGCAGTTTGGAAACACTCTGTTTGTAATGTCTGCAAGTGGATATTTGGACCTCTTTGAGGCTTCGTTGGAAACGGGATTTCTTCAAGTAATGTTCGACAGAAGAATTCTCAGTAACTTATTTGTGGTGTGTGTATTCAACTCACAGAAGTTGAACCTTCCTTTAGACAGAGCAGATTTGAAACACCCTATTTGTGCAGTTTTCAGGTGGAGATTTCAATCGCTTTGAGGCCAATCGTAGAAACGGAAATATCTTCGTATAAAAACAAGACAGAATCATTCTCAGAAACTACTTTGTGATGTGTGCGTTCAACTCAAGGAGTTTAAGCTTTCTTTTCATAGAGTAGTTTGGAAACACTCTGTCTGTAAAGTCTGCAAGCAGATATTTGGACCTCTTTGGGGCCTTCGTTGGAAACGGGATTTCTTCATAGAACGCTAGAAAGAAGAATACTGAGTAAGTTCTTTGTGTTGCCTCTATTCAACTCACAGAGGTGAACTGTCCTTTAGACAGAGCAGATGTGAAACCCTCTTTTTGTGATATTTGCAGGTGGAGATTTCAAGCGCTTTTAGGCCAAATGTAGAAAAGGAAATATCTTCGTATAAAAACTAGACAGAATCATTCTCAGAAACTACTTTGTGATGTGTGCGTTCAATTCACAGAGTATAACCTTTCTTTTGATGGAGGAGTTTGGAGACACTGTCTTTGTAAAGTCTGCAAGTGGATATTTGGATCTCTTTGAGGCCTTCGTTGGAAACGGGATTTCCTCATATAATGTTACACAGAAGAATTCTCACTAACTTATTTGTGGTGTGTGTATTCAACTCACAGAGATGAACCTTCCTTCAGAAAGAGCAGATTTGAAACACTATTTTTGTGGAGTTTCCATGTGGAGATTTCAACCGCTTTGAGACCAAATGTAGAAAAGGAAACATCTTCGTATAACAACTAGACAGAATCATTCACAGAAACTACTTTGTGATGTGTGTGTTCAACTCAAGGAGTTTAAACTTCCTTTTGATGGAGCAGTTTGGAAACACTCTGTCTGTAAAGTCTACAAGCAGATATTTGGACCTCTTTGAGGCCTTCGTTGGAAACGGGATTTCTTCATATAATGTTTGATAGGAGAAGTCTCAGTAACTTCTTTGTGCTGTGTGTATTCAACTCATAGAGTTGAACTTTCCTTTAGAAGAGCAGATGTTAAACACCCTTTTTGTGGAATTTGCAGCTGGAGATTTCAAGCGCTTTGAGGCCTACGGTAGAAAAGGAAACATCTTCTTATAAAATCTAGACAGAATCATTCACAGAAACTTCTTTTTGATGTGTGTGTTCAGCTCACAGAGTTTAACCTTTCTTTTGATGGAGCAGTTTGGAAACACACTGTTTGTAATGTCTGCAAGTGGATGTTTGGACCTCTTTGAGGCCTTCGTTGGAAACGGGATTTCTTCATGTAATGTTCGACAGAAGAATTCTCAGTAACTTATTTGTGGTGTGTGTATTCAACTCACTGAGTTGAACCTTCCTTTAGACAGAGCAGATTTGAAACACCCTATTTGTGCAGTTTCCAGTTGGAGATTTCAATCGCTTTGAGACCAAATGTAGAAAAGGAAACATCTTCGTATAAAAACTAGACAGCATCATTCTCAGAAACTACTTTGTGATGGGTGCGTTGAACTCAAGGAGTTTAAGCTTTCTTTTCATAGAGTAGTTTGAAAACACTCTGTCTGTAAAGTCTGCAAGCAGATATTAGGACCTCATTGGGGTCTTCGTTGGAAACGGGATTTTTCATAGAACGCTAGAAAGATAAGAATACTGAGTAAGTTCTTTGTGTTGCCTCTATTCAACTCACAGAGGTGAACTGTCCTTTAGACAGAGCAGATGTGAAACCCTCTTTTTGTGATATTTGCAGGTGGAGATTTCAAGCGCTTTTAGGCCAAATGTAGAAAAGGAAATATCTTCGTATAAAAACTAGACAGAATCATTCTCAGAAACTACTTTGTGATGTGTGCGTTCAATTCACAGAGTATAACCTTTCTTTTGATGGAGGAGTTTGGAGACACTGTCTTTGTAAAGTCTGCAAGTGGATATTTGGACCTCTTTGAGGCCTTCGTTGGAAACGGGATTTCCTCATATAATGTTACCCAGAAGAATTCTCAGTAACTTATTTGTGGTGTGTGTATTCAACTCACAGAGTTGAACCTTCCTTCAGAAAGAGCAGATTTGAAACACTCTTTTTGTGGAGTTTCCATGTGGAGATTTCAATCGCATTGAGACCAAAGGTAGAAAAGGAAACATCTTCGTATAAAAACTAGACAGAAACATTCACAGAAACTACTTTGTGATGTGTGTGTTCAACTCAAGGAGTTTAACCTTTCTTTTGATGGAGCAGTTTGGAAACACTCTGTCTGTAAAGTCTGCAAGCAGATATTTGGACCTCTTTGAGGCCTTCGTTGGAAACGGGATTTCTTCATATAATGTTTGATAGGAGAAGTCTCAGTAACTTCTTTGTGCTGTGTGTATTCAACTCATAGAGTTGAACTTTCCTTTAGAAGAGCAGATGTTAAACACCCTTTTTGTGGAATTTGCAGCTGGAGATTTCAAGCGCTTTGAGGCCTACGGTAGAAAAGGAAACATCTTCTTATAAAATCTAGACAGAATCATTCACAGAAACTTCTTTTTTATGTGTGTGTTCAGCTCACAGAGTTTAACCTTTCTTTTGATGGAGCAGTTTGGAAACACTCTGTTTGTAATGTCTGCAAGTCGATATTTGGACCTCTTTGAGGCCTTCGTTGGAAACGGGATTTCTTCAAGTAATGTTCGACAGAAGAATTCTCAGTAACTTATTTGTGGTGTGTGTATTCAACTCACAGAGTTGAACCTTCCTTTAGACAGAGCAGATTTGAAACACCCTATTTGTGCAGTTTCCAGTTGGAGATTTCAATCGCTTTGAGACCAAATGTAGAAAAGGAAACATCTTCGTATAAAAACTAGACAGAATCATTCTCAGAAACTACTTTGTGATGTGTGCGTTCAACTCAAGGAGTTTAAGCTTTCTTTTCATAGAGTAGTTTGGAAACACTCTGTCTGTAAAGTCTGCAAGCAGATATTTGGACCTCTTTGGGGCCTTCGTTGGAAACGGGATTTCTTCATAGAACGCTAGAAAGAAGAATACTGAGTAAGTTCTTTGTGTTGCCTCTATTCAACTCACAGAGGTGAACTGTCCTTTAGACAGATCAGATGTGAAACCCTCTTTTTGTGATATTTGCAGGTGGAGATTTCAAGCGCTTTTAGGCCAAATGTAGAAAAGGAAATATCTTCGTATAAAAACTAGACAGAATCATTCTCAGAAACTACTTTGTGATGTGTGCGTTCAATTCACAGAGTATAACCTTTCTTTTGATGGAGGAGTTTGGAGACACTGTCTTTGTAAAGTCTGCAAGTGGATATTTGGACCTCTTTGAGGCCTTCGTTGGAAACGGGATTTCCTCATATAATGTTACACAGAAGAATTCTCAGTAACTTATTTGTGGTGTGTGTATTCAACTCACAGAGATGAACCTTCCTTCAGAAAGAGCAGATTTGAAACACTCTTTTTGTGGAGTTTCCATGTGGAGATTTCAATCGCTTTGAGACCAAAGGTAGAAAAGGAAACATCTTCGTATAACAACTAGACAGAATCATTCACAGAAACTACTTTGTGATGTGTGTGTTCAACTCAAGGAGTTTAACCTTTCTTTTGATGGAGCAGTTTGGAAACACTCTGTCTGTAAAGTCTGCAAGTAGATATTTGGACCTCTTTGAGGCCTTCGTTGGAAACGGGATTTCTTCATATAATGTTTGATAGGAGAAGTCTCAGTAACTTCTTTGTGCTGTGTGTATTCAACTCATAGAGTTGAACTTTCCTTTAGAAGAGCAGATGTTAAACACCCTTTTTGTGGAATTTGCAGCTGGAGATTTCAAGCGCTTTGAGGCCTACGGTAGAAAAGGAAACATCTTCTTATAAAATCTAGACAGAATCATTCACAGAAACTTCTTTTTGATGTGTGTGTTCAGCTCACAGAGTTTAACCTTTCTTTTGATGGAGCAGTTGGGAAACACACTGTTTGTAATGTCTGCAAGAGGATATTTGGACCTCTTTGAGGCCTTCGTTGGAAACGGGATTTCTTCCTGTAATGTTCGACAGAAGAATTCTCAGTAACTTATTTGTGGTGTGTGTATTCAACTCACAGAGTTGAACCTTCCTTTAGACAGAGCAGATTTGAAACAGCCTATTTGTGCAGTTTCCAGTTGGAGATTTCAATCGCTTTGAGACCAAATGTAGAAAGGGAAACATCTTCGTATAAAAACTAGACAGAATCATTCTCAGAAACTACTTTGTGATGTGTGCGTTCAACTCAAGGAGTTTAAGCTTTCTTTTCATAGAGTAGTTTGGAAACACTCTGTCTGTAAAGTCTGCAAGCAGATATTTGACCTCTTTGAGGCCTTCGTTGGAAACGGGATTTCTTCATAGAACGCTGGAAAGAAGAATACTGAGTAAGTTCTTTGTGTTGCCTCTATTCAACTCACAGAGGTGAACTGTCCTTTAGACAGAGCAGATGTGAAACCCTCTTTTTGTGATATTTGCAGGTGGAGATTTCAAGCGCTTTTAGGCCAAATGTAGAAAAGGAAATATCTTCGTATAAAAACTAGACAGAATCATTCTCAGAAACTATTTTGTGATGTGTGCGTTCAATTCACAGAGTATAACCTTTCTTTTGATGGAGGAGTTTGGAGACACTGTCTTTGTAAAGTCTGCAAGTGGATATTTGGACCTCTTTGAGGCCTTCGTTGGAAACGGGATTTCCTCATATAATGTTACACAGAAGAATTCTCAGTAACTTATTTGTGGTGTGTGTATTCAACTCACAGAGTTGAACCTTCCTTCAGAAAGAGCAGATTTGAAACACTCTTTTTGTGGAGTTTCCATGTGGAGATTTCAATCGCTTTGAGACCAAAGGTAGAAAAGGAAACATCTTCTTATAAAAACTAGACAGAATCATTCACAGAAACTACTTTGTGATGTGTGTGTTCAACTCAAGGAGTTTAACCTTTCTATTGATGGAGCAGTTTGGAAAAACTCTGTCTGTAAAGTCTGCAAGCAGATATTTGGACCTCTTTGGGGCCTTCGTTGGAAACGGGATTTCTTCATAGAATGCTAGAAAGAAGAATACTGAGTAAGTTCTTTGTGTTGCCTCTATTCAACTCACAGAGGTGAACTGTCCTTTAGACAGAGCAGATGTGAAACCCTCTTTTTGTGATATTTGCAGGTGGAGATTTCAAGCGCTTTTAGGCCAAATGTAGAAAAGGAAATATCTTCGTATAAAAACTAGACAGAATCATTCTCAGAAACTACTTTGTGATGTGTGCGTTCAATTCACAGAGTATAACCTTTCTTTTGATGGAGGAGTTTGGAGACACTGTCTTTGTAAAGTCTGCAAGTGGATATTTGGACCTCTTTGAGGCCTTCGTTGGAAACGGGATTTCCTCATATAATGTTACACAGAAGTATTCTCAGTAACTTATTTGTGGTGTGTGTATTCAACTCACAGAGTTGAACCTTCCTTCAGAAAGAGCAGATTTGAAACACTCTTTTTGTGGAGTTTCCATGTGGAGATTTCAATCGCATTGAGACCAAAGGTAGAAAAGGAAACATCTTCGTATAAAAACTAGACAGAATCATTCACAGAAACTACTTTGTGATGTGTGTGTTCAACTCAAGGAGTTTAACCTTTCTTTTGATGGAGCAGTTTGGAAACACTCTGTCTGTAAAGTCTGCAAGTAGATATTTGGACCTCTTTGAGGCCTTCGTTGGAAACGGGATTTCTTCATATAATGTTTGATAGGAGAAGTCTCAGTAACTTCTTTGTGCTGTGTGTATTCAACTCATAGAGTTGAACTTTCCTTTAGAAGAGCAGATGTTAAACACCCTTTTTGTGGAATTTGCAGCTGGAGATTTCAAGCGCTTTGAGGCCTACGGTAGAAAAGGAAACATCTTCTTATAAAATCTAGACAGAATCATTCACAGAAACTTCTTTTTGATGTGTGTGTTCAGCTCACAGAGTTTAACCTTTCTTTTGATGGAGCAGTTTGGAAACACTCTGTTTGTAATGTCTGCAAGTGGATATTTTGACCTCTTTGAGGCCTTCGCTGGAAACGGGATTTCTTCAAGTAATGTTCGACAGAAGAATTCTCAGTAACTTATTTGTGGTGTGTGTATTCAACTCACAGAGTTGAACCTTCCTTTAGACAGAGCAGATTTGAAACACCCTATTTGTGCAGTTTCCAGTTGGAGATTTCAATCGTTTTGAGACCAAATGTAGAAAAGGAAACATCTTCGTATATAAACTAGACAGAATCATTCTCAGAAACTACTTTGTGATGTGTGCGTTCAACTCAAGGAGTTTAAGCTTTCTTTTCATAGAGTAGTTTGGAAACACTCTGTCTGTAAAGTCTGCAAGCAGATATTTGGACCTCATTTAGGCCTTCGTTGGAAACGGGATTTCTTCATAGAACGCTAGAAAGAAGAATACTGAGTAAGTTCCTTGTGTTGCCTCTATTCAACTCACAGAGGTGAACTGTCCTTTAGACAGAGCAGATGTGAAACCCTCTTTTTGTGATATTTGCAGGTGGAGATTTCAAGCGCTTTTAGGCCAAATGTAGAAAAGGAAATATCTTCGTATAAAAACTAGACAGAAATCATTCTCAGAAACTACTTTGTGATGTGTGCGTTCAATTCACAGAGTATAACCTTTCTTTTGATGGAGCAGTTTGGAGACACTGTCTTTGTAAAGTCTGCAAGTGGATATTTGGACCTCTTTGAGGCCTTCGTTGGAAACGGCATTTCCTCATATAATGTTACACAGAAG
Source organism: Homo sapiens (assembly GCF_000001405.40). Classification (NCBI taxonomy): domain Eukaryota; kingdom Metazoa; phylum Chordata; class Mammalia; order Primates; family Hominidae; genus Homo; species Homo sapiens. Next base: position 34,991,056 of record NC_000012.12, read on the forward strand.
AATTCTCAGTAACTTATTTGTGGTGTGTGTATTCAACTCACAGAGTTGAACCTTCCTTCAGAAAGAGCAGATTTGAAACACTCTTTTTGTGGAGTTTCCATGTGGAGATTTCAATCGCTTTGAGACCAAAGGTAGAAAAGGAAACATCTTCGTATAAAAACTAGACAGAATCATTCACAGAAACTACTTTGTGATGTGTGTGTTCAACTCAAGGAGTTTAACCTTTCTTTTGATGGAGCAGTTTGGAAATACTCTGTCTGTAAAGTCTGCAAGCAGATATTTGGACCTCTTTGAGGCCTTCGTTGGAAACGGGATTTCTTCATATAATGTTTGATAGGAGAAGTCTCAGTAACTTCTTTCTGCTGTGTGTATTCAACTCATTGAGTTGAACTTTCCTTTAGAAGAGCAGATGTTAAACACCCTTTTTGTGGAATTTGCAGCTGGAGATTTCAAGCGCTTTGAGGCCTACGGTAGAAAAGGAAACATCTTCTTATAAAATCTAGACAGAATCATTCACAGAAACTTCTTTTTGATGTGTGTGTTCAGCTCACAGAGTTTAACCTTTCTTTTGATGGAGCAGTTTGGAAACACTCTGTTTGTAATGTCTGCAAGTGGATATTTGGACCTCTTTGAGGCCTTCGCTGGAAACGGGATTTCTTCCTGTAATGTTCGACAGAAGAATTCTCAGTAACTTATTTGTGGTGTGTGTATTCAACTCACAGAGTTGAACCTTCCTTTAGACAGAGCAGATTTGAAACACCCTATTTGTGCAGTTCCCAGTTGCAGATTTCAATCGCTTTGAGACCAAATGTAGAAAAGGAAACATCTTCGTATAAAAACTAGACAGAATCATTCTCAGAAACTACTTTGTGATGTGTGCCTTCAACTCAAGGAGTTTAAGCTTTCTCTTCATACAGTAGTTTGGAAACACTCTGTCTGTAAAGTCTGCAAGCAGATATTTGGACCTCTTAGGGGCCTTCGTTGGAAACGGGATTTCTTCATAGAACGCTAGAAAGAAGAATACTGAGTAAGTTCTTTGTGTTGCCTCTATTCAACTCACAGAGGTGAACTGTCCTTTAGACAGAGCAGATGTGAAACCCTCTTTTTGTGATATTTGCAGGTGGAGATTTCAAGCGCTTTTAGGCCAAATGTAGAAAAGGAAATATCTTCGTATAAAAACTAGACAGAATCATTCTCAGAAACTACTTTGTGATGTGTGCGTTCAATTCACAGAGTAGAACCTTTCTTTTGATGGAGGAGTTTGGAGACACTGTCTTTGTAAAGTCTGCAAGTGGATATTTGGACCTCTTTGAGGCCTTCGTTGGAAACGGGATTTCCTCATATAATGTTACACAGAAGAATTCTCAGTAACTTATTTGTGGTGTGTGTATTCAACTCACAGAGTTGAACCTTCCTTCAGAAAGAGCAGATTTGAAACACTCTTTTTTGTGGAGTTTCCATGTGGAGATTTCAATCGCTTTGAGACCAAAGGTAGAAAAGGAAACATCTTCGTATAAAAACTAGACAGAATCATTCACAGAAACTACTTTGTGATGTGTGTGTTCAACTCAAGGAGGTTAACCTTTCTTTTGATGGAGCGGTTTGGAAACACTCTGTCTGTAAAGTCTGCAAGCAGATATTTGGACCTCTTTGAGGCCTTCGTTGGAGAAGGGATTTCTTCATATAATGTTTGATAGGAGAAGTCTCAGTAACTTCTTTGTGCTGTGTGTATTCAACTCATAGAGTTGAACTTTCCTTTAGAAGAGCAGATGTTAAACACCCTTTTTGTGGAATTTGCAGCTGGAGATTTCAAGCGCTTTGAGGCCTACGGTAGAAAAGGAAACATCTTCTTATAAAATCTAGACAGAATCATTCACAGAAACTTCTTTTCGATATGTGTGTTCAGCTCACAGAGTTTAACCTTTCTTTTGATGGAGCAGTTTGGAAACACTCTGTAATGTCTGCAAGTGGATATTTGGACCTCTTTGAGGCCTTCGTTGGAAACGGGATTTCTTCATGTAATGTTCGACAGAAGAATTCTCAGTAACTTATTTGTGGTGTGTGTATTCAACTCACAGAGTTGAGCCTTCCTTTAGACAGAGCAGATTTGAAACAACCTATTTGTGCAGTTTGCACTTGGAGATTTCAATCGCTTTGAGACCAAATGTAGAAAAGGAAACATCTTCGTATAAAAACTAGACACAATCATTCTCAGAAACTACTTTGTGATGTGTGCGTTTAACTCAAGGAGTTTAAGCTTTCTTTTCATAGAGTAGTTTGGAAACACTCTGTCTGTAAAGTCTGCAAGCAGATATTTGGACCTCTTTGAGGCCTTCGTTGGAAACGGGATTTCTTCATAGAACGCTAGAAAGAAGAATACTGAGTAAGTTCTTTGTGTTGCCTCTATTCAACTCACAGAGGTGAACTGTCCTTTAGACAGAGCAGATGTGAAACCCTCTTTTTGTGATATTTGCAGGTGGAGATTTCAAGCGCTTTTAGGCCAAATGTAGAAAAGGAAATATCTTCGTATAAAAACTAGACAGAATCATTCTCAGAAACTACTTTGTGATGTGTGCGTTCAATTCACAGAGTAGAACCTTTCTTTTGATGGAGGAGTTTGGAGACACTGTCTTTGTAAAGTCTGCAAGTGGATATTTGGACCTCTTTGAGGCCTTCGTTGGAAACGGGATTTCCTCATATAATGTTACACAGAAGAATTCTCAGTAACTTATTTGTGGTGTGTGTATTCAACTCACAGAGTTGAACCTTCCTTCAGAAAGAGCAGATTTGAAACACTCTTTTTTGTGGAGTTTCCATGTGGAGATTTCAATCGCTTTGAGACCAAAGGTAGAAAAGGAAACATCTTCGTATAAAAACTAGACAGAATCATTCACAGAAACTACTTTGTGATGTGTGTGTTCAACTCAAGGAGGTTAACCTTTCTTTTGATGGAGCAGTTTGGAAACACTCTGTCTGTAAAGTCTGCAAGCAGATATTTGGACCTCTTTGAGGCCTTCGTTGGAAACGGTATTTCTTCATATAATGTTTGATAGGAGAAGTCTCAGTAACTTCTTTGTGCTGTGTGTATTCAACTCATAGAGTTGAACTTTCCTTTAGAAGAGCAGATGTTAAACACCCTTTTTGTGGAATTTGCAGCTGGAGATTTCAAGCGCTTTGAGGCCTACGGTAGAAAAGGAAACATCTTCTTATAAAATCTAGACAGAATCATTCACAGAAACTTCTTTTCGATATGTGTGTTCAGCTCACAGAGTTTAACCTTTCTTTTGATGGAGCAGTTTGGAAACACTCTGTAATGTCTGCAAGTGGATATTTGGACCTCTTTGAGGCCTTCGTTGGAAACGGGATTTCTTCATGTAATGTTCGACAGAAGAATTCTCAGTAACTTATTTGTGGTGTGTGTATTCAATTTACAGAGTTGAACCTTCCTTTAGACAGAGCAGATTTGAAACACCCTATTTGTGCAGTTTCCAGTTGGAGATTTCAATCGCTTTGAGACCAAATGTAGAAAAGGAAACATCTTCGTATAAAAACTAGACAGAATCATTCTCAGAAACTACTTTGTGATGTGTGCGTTCAACTGAAGGAGTTTAAGCTTTCTTTTCATAGAGTAGTTTGGAAACACTCTGTCTGTAAAGTCTGCAAGCAGATATTTGGACCTCTTTGGGGCCTTCGTTGGAAACGGGATTTCTTCATAGAACGCTAGAAAGAAGAATACTGAGTAAGTCCTTTGTGTTGCCTCTATTCAACTCACAGAGGTGAACTGTCCTTTAGACAGAGCAGATGTGAAACCCTCTTTTTGTGATATTTGCAGGTGGAGATTTCAAGCGCTTTTAGGCCAAATGTAGAAAAGGAAATATCTTCGTATAAAAACTAGACAGAATCATTCTCAGAAACTACTTTGTGATGTGTGCGTTCAATTCACAGAGTATAACCTTTCTTTTGATGGAGGAGTTTGGAGACACTGTCTTTGTAAAGTCTGCAAGTGGATATTTGGACCTCTTTGAGGCCTTCGTTGGAAACGGGATTTCCTCATATAATGTTACACAGAAGAATTCTCAGTAACTTATTTGTGGTGTGTGTATTCAACTCACAGAGATGAACCTTCCTTCAGAAAGAGCAGATTTGAAACACTCTTTTTGTGGAGTTTCCATGTGGAGATTTCAATCGCTTTGAGACCAAAGGTAGAAAAGGAAACATCTTCGTATAACAACTAGACAGAATCATTCACAGAAACTACTTTGTGATGTGTGTGTTCAACTCAAGGAGTTTAACCTTTCTTTTGATGGAGCAGTTTGGAAACACTCTGTCTGTAAAGTCTGCAAGCAGATATTTGGACCTCTTTGAGGCCTTCGTTGGAAACGGGATTTCTTCATATAATGTTTGATAGGAGAAGTCTCAGTAACTTCTTTGTGCTGTGTGTATTCAACTCATAGAGTTGAACTTTCCTTTTGAAGAGCAGATGTTAAACACCCTTTTTGTGGAATTTGCAGCTGGAGATTTCAAGCGCTTTGAGGCCTACGGTAGAAAAGGAAACATCTTCTTATAAAATCTAGACAGAATCATTCACAGAAACTTCTTTTCGATGTGTGTGTTCAGCTCACAGAGTTTAACCTTTCTTTTGATGGAGCAGTTTGGAAACACTCTGTTTGTAATGTCTGCAAGTGGATATTTGGACCTCTTTGAGGCCTTCGTTGGAAACGGGATTTCATCAAGTAATGGTCGACAGAAGAATTCTCAGTAACTTATTTGTGGTGTGTGTATTCAACTCACAGAGTTGAACCTTCCTTTAGACAGAGCAGATTTGAAACACCCTATTTGTGCAGTTTCCAGTTGGAGATTTCAATCGCTTTGAGACCAAATGTAGAAAAGGAAACATCTTCGTATAAAAACTAGACAGAATCATTCTCAGAAACTACTTTGTGATGTGTGCGTTCAACTCAAGGAGTTTAAGCTTTCTTTTCATAGAGTAGTTTGGAAACACTCTGTCTGTAAAGTCTGCAAGCAGATATTTGGACCTCTTTGGGGCCTTCGTTGGAAACGGGATTTCTTCATAGAACGCTAGAAAGAAGAATACTGAGTAAGTTCTTTGTGTTGCCTCTATTCAACTCACAGAGGTGAACTGTACTTTAGACAGAGCAGATGTGAAACCCTCTTTTTGTGATATTTGCAGGTGGAGATTTCAAGCGCTTTTAGGCCAAATGTAGAAAAGGAAATATCTTCGTATAAAAACTAGACAGAATCATTCTCAGAAACTATTTTGTGATGTGTGCGTTCAATTCACAGAGTATAACCTTTCTTTTGATGGAGGAGTTTGGAGACACTGTCTTTGTAAAGTCTGCAAGTGGATATTTGGAACTCTTTGAGGCCTTCGTTGGAAACGGGATTTCCTCATATAATGTTACACAGAAGAATTCTCAGTAACTTATTTGTGGTGTGTGTATTCAACTCACAGAGTTGAACCTTCCTTCAGAAAGAGCAGATTTGAAACACTCTTTTTGTGGAGTTTCCATGTGGAGATTTCAATCGCTTTGAGACCAAAGGTAGAAAAGGAAACATCTTCGTATAAAAACTAGACAGAATCATTCACAGAAACTACTTTGTGATGTGTGTGTTCAACTCAAGGAGTTTAACCTTTCTTTTGATGGAGCAGTTTGGAAAAACTCTGTCTGTAAAGTCTGCAAGCAGATATTTGGACCTCTTTGAGGCCTTCTTTGGAAACGGGATTTCTTCATATAATGTTTGATAGGAGAAGTCTCAGTAACTTCTTTGTGCTGTGTGTATTCAACTCATAGAGTTGAACTTTCCTTTAGAAGAGCAGATGTTAAACACCCTTTTTGTGGAATTTGCAGCTGGAGATTTCAAGCGCCTTTGAGGCCTACGGTAGAAAAGGAAACATCTTCTTATAAAATCTAGACAGAATCATTCACAGAAACTTCTTTTTGATGTGTGTGTTCAGCTCACAGAGTTTAACCTTTCTTTTGATGGAGCAGTTTGGAAACACTCTGTTTGTAATGTCTGCAAGTGGATATTTGGACCTCTTTGAGGCCTTCGTTGGAAACGGGATTTCTTCAAGTAATGTTCGATAGAAGAATTCTCAGTAACTTATTTGTGGTGTGTGTATTGAACTCACAGAGTTGAACCTCCCTTCAGACAGAGCAGATTTGAAACACCCTATTTGTGCAGTTTCCAGTTGGAGATTTCAATCGCTTTGAGACAAATGTAGAAAAGGAAACATCTTCGTATAAAAACTAGACAGAATCATTCTCAGAAACTACTTTGTGATGTGTGCGTTCAACTCAAGGAGTTTAAGCTTTCTTTTCATAGAGTAGTTTGGAAACACTCTGTCTGTAAAGTCTGCAAGCAGATATTTGGACCTCTTTGAGGCCTTCGTTGGAAACGGGATTTCTTCATAGAACGCTAGAAAGAAGAATACTGAGTAAGTTCTTTGTGTTGCCTCTATTCAACTCACAGAGGTGAACAGTCCATTAGACAGAGCAGGTGTGAAACCCTCTTTTTGTGATATTTGCAGGTGGAGATTTCAAGCGCTTTTAGGCCAAATGTAGAAAAGGAAATATCTTCGTATAAAAACTAGACAGAATCATTCTCAGAAACTACTTTGTGATGTGTGCGTTCAATTCACAGAGTATAACCTTTCTTTTGATGGAGGAGTTTGGAGACACTGTCTTTGTAAAGTCTGCAAGTGGATATTTGGACCTCTTTGAGGCCTTCGTTGGAAACGGGATTTCCTCATATAATGTTACACAGAAGAATTCTCAGTAACTTATTTGTGGTGTGTGTATTCAACTCACAGAGTTGAACCTTCCTTCAGAAAGAGCAGATTTGAAACACTCTTTTTGTGGAGTTTCCATGTGGACATTTCAATCGCTTTGAGACCAAAGGTAGAAAAGGAAACATCTTCGTATAAAAACTAGACAGAATCACTCACAGAAACTACTTTGTGATGTGTGTGTTCAACTCAAGGAGTTTAACCTTTCTTTTGATGGAGCAGTTTGGAAAAACTCTGTCTGTAAAGTCTGCAAGCAGATATTTGGACCTCTTTGAGGCCTTCGTTGGAAACGGGATTTCTTCATATAATGTTTGATAGGAGAAGTCTCAGTAACTTCTTTGTGCTGTGTGTATTCAACTCATAGAGTTGAACTTTCCTTTAGAAGACCAGATGTTAAACACCCTTTTTGTGGAATTTGCAGCTGGAGATTTCAAGCGCTTTGAGGCCTACGGTAGAAAAGGAAACATCTTCTTATAAAATCTAGACAGAATCATTCACAGAAACTTCTTTTTGATGTGTGTGTTCAGCTCACCGAGTTTAACCTTTCTTTTGATGGAGCAGTTTGGAAACACTCTGTTTGTAATATCTGCAAGTGGATATTTGGACCTCTTTGGGGCCTTCGTTGGAAACGGGATTTCTTCAAGTAATGTTCGACAGAAGAATTCTCAGTAACTTATTTGTGGTGTGTGTATTCAACTCACAGAGTTGAACCTTCCTTTAGACAGAGCAGATTTGAAACACCCTATTTGTGCAGTTTCCAGTTGGAGATTTCAATCGCTTTGAGACCAAATGTAGAAAAGGAAACATCTTCGTATAAAAACTAGACAGAATCATTCTCAGAAACTACTTTGTGATGTGTGCGTTCAACTCAAGCAGTTTAAGCTTTCTTTTCATAGAGTAGTTTGGAAACACTCTGTCTGTAAAGTCTGCAAGCAGATATTTGGACCTCTTTGGGGCCTTCGTTGGAAACGGGATTTCTTCATAGAACGCTAGAAAGAAGAATACTCAGTAACTTCATTGTGTTGCGTCTATTCAACTCACAGAGTTGAACTGTCCTTTAGACAGAGCAGATGTGAAACCCTCTTTTTGTGATATTTGCAGGTGGAGATTTCAAGCGCTTTTAGGCCAAATGTAGAAAAGGAAATATCTTCGTATAAAAACTAGACAGAATCATTCTCAGAAACTACCTTGGGATGTGTGCGTTCAATTCACAGAGTATAACCTTTCTTTTGATGGAGGAGTTTGGAGACACTGTCTTTGTAAAGTCTGCAAGTGGATATTTGGACCTCTTTGAGGCCTTCGTTGGAAACGGGATTTCCTCATATAATGTTACACAGAAGAATTCTCAGTAACTTATTTGTGGTGTGTGTATTCAACTCACAGAGTTGAACCTTCCTTCAGAAAGAGCAGATTTGAAACACTCTTTTTGTGGAGTTTCCATGTGGAGATTTCAATCGCTTTGAGACCAAAGGTAGAAAAGGAAACATCTTCGTATAAAAACTAGACAGAATCATTCACAGAAACTACTTTGTGATGTGTGTGTTCAACTCAAGGAGTTTAACCTTTCTTTTGATGGAGCAGTTTGGAAACACTCTGTCTGTAAAGTCTGCAAGCAGATATTTGGACCTCTTTGAGGCCTTCGTTGGAAACGGGATTTCTTCATATAATGTTTGATAGGAGAAGTCTCAGTAACTTCTTTGTCCTGTGTGTATTCAACTCATAGAGTTGAACTTTCCTTTAGAAGAGCAGATGTTAAACACCCTTTTTGTGGAATTTGCAGCTGGAGATTTCAAGCGCTTTGAGGCCTACGGTAGAAAAGGCAACATCTTATAAAATCTAGACAGAATCATTCACAGAAACTTCTTTTTGATGTGTGTGTTCAGCTCACAGAGTTTAACCTTTCTTTTGATGGAGCAGTTGGGAAACACACTGTTTGTAATGTCTGCAAGTGGATAATTGGACCTCTTTGAGGCCTTCGTTGGAAACGGGATTTCTTCCTGTAATGTTCGACAGAAGAATTCTCAGTAACTTATTTGTGGTGTGTGTATTCAACTCACAGAGTTGAACCTTCCTTTAGACAGAGCAGATTTGAAACACCCTATTTGTGCAGTTTCCAGTTGGAGATTTCAATCGCTTTGAGACCAAATGTAGAAAAGGAAACATCTTCGTATCAAAACTAGACAGAATCATTCTCCGAAACTACTTTGTGATGTGTGCGTTCAACTCAAGGAGTTTAAGCTTTCTTTTCATAGAGTAGTTTGGAAACACTCTGTCTGTAAAGTCTGCAAGCAGATATTTGGACCTCTTTGGGGCCTTCGTTGGAAACGGGATTTCTTCATAGAACGCTAGAAAGAAGAATACTGAGTAAGTTCTTTGTGTTGCCTCTATTCAACTCACAGAGGTGAACTGTCCTTTAGACAGAGCAGATGTGAAACCCTCTTTTTGTGATATTTGCACGTGGAGATTTCAAGCGCTTTTAGGCCAAATGTAGAAAAGGAAATATCTTCGTATAAAAACTAGACAGAATCATTCTCAGAAACTACTTTGTGATGTGTGCGTTCAATTCACAGAGTATAACCTTTCTTTTGATGGAGCAGTTTGGAGACACTGTCTTTGTAAAGTCTGCAAGTGGATATTTGGACCTCTTTGAGGCCTTCGTTGGAAACGGGATTTCCTCATATAATGTTACACAGAAGAATTCTCAGTAACTTATTTGTGGTGTGTGTATTCAACTCACAGAGTTGAACCTTCCTTCAGAAAGAGCAGATTTGTAACACTCTTTTTGTGGAGTTTCCATGTGGAGATTTCAATCGCTTTGAGACCAAAGGTAGAAAAGGAAACATCTTCGTATAAAAACTAGACAGAATCATTCACAGAAACTACTTTGTGATGTGTGTGTTCAACTCAAGGAGTTTAACCTTTCTTTTGATGGAGCAGTTTGGAAACACTCTGTCTGTAAAGTCTGCAAGCAGATATTTGGACCTCTTTGAGGCCTTCGTTGGAAACGGGATTTCTTCATATAATGTTTGATAGGAGAAGTCTCAGTAACTTCTTTGTGCTGTGTGTATTCAACTCATAGAGTTGAACTTTCCTTTAGAAGAGCAGATGTTAAACACCCTTTTTGTGGAATTTGCAGCTGGAGATTTCAAGCGCTTTGAGGCCTACGGTAGAAAAGGAAACATCTTCTTATAAAATCTAGACAGAATCATTCACAGAAACTTCTTTTTGATGTGTGTGTTCAGCTCACAGAGTTTAACCTTTCTTTTGATGGAGCAGTTTGGAAACACTCTGTTTGTAATGTCTGCAAGTGGATATTTGGACCTCTTTGAGGCCTTCGTTGGAAACGGGATTTCTTCAAGTAGTGTTCGAAAGAAGAATTCTCAGTAACTTATTTGTGGTGTGTGTATTCAACTCACAGAGTTGAACCTTCCTTTAGACAGAGCAGATTTGAAACAGCCTATTTGTGCAGTTTCCAGTTGGAGATTTCAATCGCTTTGAGACCAAACGTAGAAAAGGAAACATCTTCGTATAAAAACTAGACAGAATCATTCTCAGAAACTACTTTGTGATGTGTGCGTTCAACTCAAGGAGTTTAAGCTTTCTTTTCATAGAGTAGTTTGGAAACACTCTGTCTGTAAAGTCTGCAAGCAGATATTTGGACCTCTTTGGGGCCTTCGTTGGAAACGGGATTTCTTCATAGAACGCTAGAAAGAAGAATACTGAGTAAGTTCTTTGTGTTGCCTCTATTCAACTCACAGAGGTGAACTGTCCTTTAGACAGAGCAGATGTGAAACCCTCTTTTTGTGATATTTGCAGGTGGAGATTTCAAGCGCTTTTAGGCCAAATGTAGAAAAGGAAATATCTTCGTATAAAAACTAGACAGAATCATTCTCAGAAACTACTTTGTGATGTGTGCGTTCAATTCACAGAGTATAACCTTTCTTTTGATGGAGGAGTTTGGAGACACTGTCTTTGTAAAGTCTGCAAGTGGATATTTGGACCTCTTTGAGGCCTTCGTTGGAAACGGGATTTCCTCATATAATGTTACACAGAAGAATTCTCAGTAACTTATTTGTGGTGTGTGTATTCAACTCACAGAGTTGAACCTTCCTTCAGAAAGAGCAGATTTGAAACACTCTTTTTGTGGAGTTTCCATGTGGAGATTTCAATCGCTTTGAGACCAAAGGTAGAAAAGGAAACATCTTCGTATAAAAACTAGACAGAATCATTCACAGAAACTACTTTGTGATGTGTGTGTTCAACTCAAGGAGTTTAACCTTTCTTTTGATGGAGCAGTTTGGAAACACTCTGTCTGTAAAGTCTGCAAGCAGATATTTGGACCTCTTTGGGGCCTTCGTTGGAAACGGGATTTCTTCATATAATGTTTGATAGGAGAAGTCTCAGTAACTTCTTTGTGCTGTGTGTATTCAACTCATAGAGTTGAACTTTCCTTTAGAAGAGCAGATGTTAAACACCCTTTTTGTGGAATTTGCAGCTGGAGATTTCAAGCGCTTTGAGGCCTACGGTAGAAAAGGAAACATCTTCTTATAAAATCTAGACAGAATCATTCACAGAAACTTCTTTTTGATGTGTGTGTTCAGCTCACAGGGTTTAACCTTTCTTTTGATGGAGCAGTTTGGAAACACTCTGTTTGTAATGTCTGCAAGTGGATATTTGGACCTCTTTGAGGCCTTCGTTGGAAACGGGATTTCTTCAAGTAATGTTCGACAGAAGAATTCTCAGTAACTTATTTGTGGTGTGTGTATTCAACTCACAGAGTTGAACCTTCCTTTAGACAGAGCAGATTTGAAACACCCTATTTGTGCAGTTTCCAGTAGGAGATTTCAATCGCTTTGAGACCAAATGTAGAAAAGGAAACATCTTCGTATAAAAACTAGACAGAATCATTCTCAGAAACTACTTTGTGATGTGTGCAGTTCAACTCAAGGAGTTTAAGCTTTCTTTTCATAGAGTAGTTTGGAAGCACTCTGTCTGTAAAGTCTGCAAGCAGATATTTGGACCTTTTTGAGGCCTTCGTTGGAAACGGGATTTCTTCATATAACGCTAGAAAGAAGAATACTGAGTAAGTTCTTTGTGTTGCCTCTATTCAACTCACAGAGGTGAACTGTCCTTTAGACAGAGCAGATGTGAAACCCTCTTTTTGTGATATTTGCAGGTGGAGATTTCAAGCGCTTTTAGGCCAAATGTAGAAAAGGAAATATCTTCGTATAAAAACTAGACAGAATCATTCTCAGAAACTACTTTGTGATGTGTGCGTTCAATTCACAGAGTATAACCTTTCTTTTGATGGAGGAGTTTGGAGACACTGTCTTTGTAAAGTCTGCAAGTGGATATTTGGACCTCTTTGAGGCCTTCGTTGGAAACGGGATTTCCTCATATAATGTTACCCAGAAGAATTCTCAGTAACTTATTTGTGGTGTGTGTATTCAACTCACAGAGATGAACTTTCCTTCAGAAAGAGCAGATTTGAAACACTCTTTTTGTGGAGTTTCCATGTGGAGATTTCAATCGCTTTGAGACCAAAGGTAGAAAAGGAAACATCTTCGTATAACAACTAGACAGAATCATTCACAGAAACTACTTTGTGATGTGTGTGTTCAACTCAAGGAGTTTAACCTTTCTTTTGATGGAGCAGTTTGGAAACACTCTGTCTGTAAAGTCTGCAAGCAGATATTTGGACCTCTTTGAGGCCTTCGTTGGAAACGGGATTTCTTCATATAATGTTTGATAGGAGAAGTCTCAGTAACTTCTTTGTGCTGTGTGTATTCAACTCATAGAGTTGAACTTTCCTTTAGAAGAGCAGATGTTAAACACCCTTTTTGTGGAATTTGCAGCTGGAGATTTCAAGCGCTTTGAGGCCTACGGTAGAAAAGGAAACATCTTCTTATAAAATCTAGACAGAATCATTCACAGAAACTTCTTTTTGATGTGTGTGTTCAGCTCACAGAGTTTAACCTTTCTTTTGATGGAGCAGTTTGGAAACACTCTGTTTGTAACGTCTGCAAGTGGATATTTGGACCTCTTTGAGGCCTTCGTTGGAAACGGGATTTCTTCAAGTAATGTTCGACAGAAGAATTCTCAGTAACTTATTTGTGGTGTGTGCATTCAACTCACAGAGCTGAACCTTCCTTTAGACAGAGCAGATTTGAAACAGCCTATTTGTGCAGTTTCCAGTTGGAGATTTCAAGAGCTTTGAGACCAAATGTAGAAAAGGAAACATCTTCGTATAAAAACTAGACAGAATCATTCTCAGAAACTACTTTGTGATGTGTGCGTTCAACTCAAGGAGTTTAAGCTTTCTTTTCATAGAGTAGTTTGGAAACACTCTGTCTGTAAAGTCTGCAAGCAGATATTTGACCTCTTTGAGGCCTTCGTTGGAAACGGGATTTCTTCATAGAACGCTAGAAAGAAGAATACTGAGTAAGTTCTTTGTGTTGCCTCTATTCAACTCACAGAGGTGAACTGTCCTTTAGACAGAGCAGATGTGAAACCCTCTTTTTGTGATATTTGCAGGTGGAGATTTCAAGCGCTTTTAGGCCAAATGTAGAAAAGGAAATATCTTCGTATAAAAACTAGACAGAATCATTCTCAGAAACTACTTTGTGATGTGTGCGTTCAATTCACAGAGTATAACCTTTCTTTTGATGGAGGAGTTTGGAGACACTGTCTTTGTAAAGTCTGCAAGTGGATATTTGGACCTCTTTGAGGCCTTCGTTGGAAACGGGATTTCCTCATGTAATGTTACACAGAAGAATTCTCAGTAAATTATTTGTGGTGTGTGTATTCAACTCACAGAGTTGAACCTTCCTTCAGAAAGAGCAGATTTGAAACACTCTTTTTGTGGAGTTTCCATGTGGAGATTTCAATCGCTTTGAGACCAAAGGTAGAAAAGGAAACATCTTCTTATAAAAACTAGACAGAATCATTCACAGAAACTACTTTGTGATGTGTGTGTTCAACTCAAGGAGTTTAACCTTTCTTTTGATGGAGCAGTTTGGAAACACACTGTCTGTAAAGTCTGCAAGCAGATATTTGGACCTCTTTGAGGCCTTCGTTGGAAACGGGATTTCTTCATATAATGTTTGATAGGAGAAGTCTCAGTAACTTCTTTGTGCTGTGTGTATTCAACTCATAGAGTTGAACTTTCCTTTAGAAGAGCAGATGTTAAACACCCTTTTTGTGGAATTTGCTGCTGGAGATTTCAAGCGCTTTGAGGCCTACGGGAGAAAAGGAAACATCTTCTTATAAAATCTAGACAGAATCATTCACAGAAACTTCTTTTCGATGTGTGTGTTCAGCTCACAGAGTTTAACCTTTCTTTTGATGGAGCAGTTTGGAAACACTCTGTTTGTAATGTCTGCAAGTGGATATTTGGACCTCTTTGAGGCCTTCGTTGGAAACGGGATTTCATCAAGTAATGGTCGACAGAAGAATTCTCAGTAACTTATTTGTGGTGTGTGTATTCAACTCACAGAGTTGAACCTTCCTTTAGACAGAGCAGATTTGAAACACCCTATTTGTGCAGTTTCCAGTTGGAGATTTCAATCGCTTTGAGACCAAATGTAGAAAAGGAAACATCTTCGTATAAAAACTAGACAGAATCATTCTCAGAAACTACTTTGTGATGTGTGCGTTCAACTCAAGGAGTTTAAGCTTTCTTTTCATAGAGTAGTTTGGAAACACTCTGTCTGTAAAGTCTGCAAGCAGATATTTGGACCTCTTTGGGGCCTTCGTTGGAAACGGGATTTCTTCATAGAACGCTAGAAAGAAGAATACTGAGTAAGTTCTTTGTGTTGCCTCTATTCAACTCACAGAGGTGAACTGTCCTTTAGACAGAGCAGATGTGAAACCCTCTTTTTGTGATATTTGCAGGTGGAGACTTCAAGCGCTTTTAGGCCAAATGTAGAAAAGGAAATATCTTCGTATAAAAACTAGACAGAATCATTCTCAGAAACTACTTTGTGATGTGTGCGTTCAATTCACAGAGTATAACCTTTCTTTTGATGGAGGAGTTTGGAGACACTGTGTTTGTAAAGTCTGCAAGTGGATATTTGGACCTCTTTGAGGCCTTCGTTGGAAACAGGATTTCCTCATATAATGTTACACAGAAGAATTCTCAGTAACTTATTTGTGGTGTGTGTATTCAACTCACAGAGTTGAACCTTCCTTCAGAAAGAGCAGATTTGAAACACTCTTTTTGTGGAGTTTCCATGTGGAGATTTCAATCGCTTTGAGACCAAAGGTAGAAAAGGAAACATCTTCGTATAAAAACTAGACAGAATCATTCACAGAAACTACTTTGTGATGTGTGTGTTCAACTCAAGGAGTTTAACCTTTCTTTTGATGGAGCAGTTTGGAAACACTCTGTCTGTAAAGTCTGCAAGCAGATATTTGGACCTCTTTGAGGCCTTCGTTGGAAACGGGATTTCTTCATATAATGTTTGATAGGAGAAGTCTCAGTAACTTCTTTGTGCTGTGTGTATTCAACTCATAGAGTTGAACTTTCCTTTAGAAGAGCAGATGTTAAACACCCTTTTTGTGTAATTTGCAGCTGGAGATTTCAAGCGCTTTGAGGCCTACGGTAGAAAAGGAAACATCTTCTTATAAAATCTAGACAGAATCATTCACAGAAACTTCTTTTTGATGTGTGTGTTCAGCTCACAGAGTTTAACCTTTCTTTTGATGGAGCAGTTGGGAAACACACTGTTTGTAATGTCTGCAAGAGGATATTTGGACCTCTTTGAGGCCTTCGTTGGAAACGGGATTTCTTCCTGTAATGTTCGACAGAAGAATTCTCAGTAACTTATTTGTGGTGTGTGTATTCAACTCACAGAGTTGAACCTTCCTTTAGACAGAGCAGATTTGAAACAGCCTATTTGTGCAGTTTCCAGTTGGAGATTTCAATCGCTTTGAGACCAAATGTAGAAAGGGAAACATCTTCGTATAAAAACTAGACAGAATCATTCTCAGAAACTACTTTGTGATGTGTGCGTTCAACTCAAGGAGTTTAAGCTTTCTTTTCATAGAGTAGTTTGGAAACACTCTGTCTGTAAAGTCTGCAAGCAGATATTTGACCTCTTTGAGGCCTTCGTTGGAAACGGGATTTCTTCATAGAACGCTAGAAAGAAGAATACTGAGTAAGTTCTTTGTGTTGCCTCTATTCAACTCACAGAGGTGAACTGTCCTTTAGACAGAGCAGATGTGAAACCCTCTTTTTGTGATATTTGCAGGTGGAGATTTCAAGCGCTTTTAGGCCAAATGTAGAAAAGGAAATATCTTCGTATAAAAACTAGACAGAATCATTCTCAGAAACTACTTTGTGATGTGTGCGTTCAATTCACAGAGTATAACCTTTCTTTTGATGGAGGAGTTTGGAGACACTGTCTTTGTAAAGTCTGCAAGTGGATATTTGGACCTCTTTGAGGCCTTCGTTGGAAACGGGATTTCCTCATATAATGTTACCCAGAAGAATTCTCAGTAACTTATTTGTGGTGTGTGTATTCAACTCACAGAGTTGAACCTTCCTTCAGAAAGAGCAGATTTGAAACACTCTTTTTGTGGAGTTTCCATGTGGAGATTTCAATCGCTTTGAGACCAAAGGTAGAAAAGGAAACATCTTCGTATAAAAACTAGACAGAATCATTCACAGAAACTACTTTGTGATGTGTGTGTTCAACTCACGGAGTTTAAACTTTCTTTTGATGCAGCAGTTTGGAAACACTCTGTTTGTCACGTCTGCAAGTGGATATTTGGACCTCTTTGAGGCCTTCGTTGGAAAAGGGATTTCTTCTTATAACGCTAGAAAGAAGAAGTCTCAGTAACTTCTTTGTGCTGTGTGTATTCAACTCATAGAGTTGAACTTTCCTTTAGAAGAGCAGATGTTAAACACCCTTTTTGTGGAATTTGCAGCTGGAGATTTCAAGCGCTTTGAGGCCTACGGTAGAAAAGGAAACATCTTCTTATAAAATCTAGACAGAATCATTCACAGAAACTTCTTTTTGATGTGTGTGTTCAGCTCACAGAGTTTAACCTTTCTTTTGATGGAGCAGTTTGGAAACACTCTGTTTGTAATGTCTGCAAGTGGATATTTGGACCTCTTTGAGGCCTTCGTTGGAAACGGGATTTCTTCAAGTAATGTTCGACAGAAGAATTCTCAGTAACTTATTTGTGGTGTGTGTATTCAACTCACAGAGTTGAACCTTCCTTTAGACAGAGCAGATTTGAAACAGCCTATTTGTGCAGTTTCCAGTTGGAGATTTCAATCGCTTTGAGACCAAATGTAGAAAAGGAAACATCTTCGTATAAAAACTAGACAGAATCATTCTCAGAAACTACTTTGTGATGTGTGCGTTCAACTCAAGGAGTTTAAGCTTTCTTTTCATAGAGTAGTTTGGAAACACTCTGTCTGTAAAGTCTGCAAGCAGATATTTGACCTCTTTGAGGCCTTCGTTGGAAACGGGATTTCTTCATAGAACGCTAGAAAGAAGAATACTGAGTAAGTTCTTTGTGTTGCCTCTATTCAACTCACAGAGGTGAACTGTCCTTTAGACAGAGCAGATGTGAAACCCTCTTTTTGTGATATTTGCAGGTGGAGATTTCAAGCGCTTTTAGGCCAAATGTAGAAAAGGAAATATCTTCGTATAAAAACTAGACAGAATCATTCTCAGAAACTACTTTGTGATGTGTGCGTTCAATTCACAGAGTATAACCTTTCTTTTGATGGAGGAGTTTGGAGACACTGTCTTTGTAAAGTCTGCAAGTGGATATTTGGACCTCTTTGAGGCCTTCGTTGGAAACGGGATTTCCTCATATAATGTTACACAGAAGAATTCTCAGTAACTTATTTGTAGTGTGTGTATTCAACTCACAGAGATGAAACTTCCTTCAGAAAGAGCAGATTTGAAACACTCTTTTTGTGGAGTTTCCATGTGGAGATTTCAATCGCTTTGAGACCAAAGGTAGAAAAGGAAACATCTTCGTATAACAACTAGACAGAATCATTCACAGAAACTACTTTGTGATGTGTGTGTTCAACTCAAGGAGTTTAACCTTTCTTTTGATGGAGCAGTTTGGAAACACTCTGTCTGTAAAGTCTGCAAGCAGATATTTGGACCTCTTTGAGGCCTTCGTTGGAAACGGGATTTCTTCATATAATGTTTGATAGGAGAAGTCTCAGTAACTTCTTTGTGCTGTGTGTATTCAACTCATAGAGTTGAACTTTCCTTTAGAAGAGCAGATCTTAAACACCCTTTTTGTGGAATTTGCAGCTGGAGATTTCAAGCGCTTTGAGGCCTACGGTAGAAAAGGAAACATCTTCTTATAAAATCTAGACAGAATCATTCACAGAAACTTCTTTTTGATGTGTGTGTTCAGCTCACAGAGTTTAACCTTTCTTTTGATGGAGCAGTTTGGAAACACTCTGTTTGTAATGTCTGCAAGTGGATATTTGGACCTCTTTGAGGCCTTCGTTGGAAACGGGATTTCTTCAAGTAATGTTCGACAGAAGAATTCTCAGTAACTTATTTGTGGTGTGTGTATTCAACTCACAGAGTTGAACCTTCCTTTAGACAGAGCAGATTTGAAACACCCTATTTGTGCAGTTCCCAGTTGGAGATTTCAATCGCTTTGAGACCAAATGTAGAAAAGGAAACATCTTCGTATAAAAACTAGACAGAATCATTCTCAGAAACTACTTTGTGATGTGTGCGTTCAACTCAAGGAGTTTAAGCTTTCTTTTCATAGAGTAGTTTGGAAACACTCTGTCTGTAAAGTCTGCAAGCAGATATTTGGACCTCTTTGGGGCCTTCATTGGAAACGGGATTTCTTCATAGAACGCTAGAAAGAAGAATACTGAGTAAGTTCTTTGTGTTGCCTCTATTCAACTCACAGAGGTGAACTGTCCTTTAGACAGAGCAGATGTGAAACCCTCTTTTTGTGATATTTGCAGGTGGAGATTTCAAGCGCTTTTAGGCCAAATGTAGAAAAGGAAATATCTTCGTATAAAAACTAGACAGAATCATTCTCAGAAACTACTTTGTGATGTGTGCGTTCAATTCACAGAGTATAACCTTTCTTTTGATGGAGGAGTTTGGAGACACTGTCTTTGTAAAGTCTGCAAGTGGATATTTGGACCTCTTTGAGGCCTTCGTTGGAAACGGGATTTCCTCATATAATGTTACACAGAAGAATTCTCAGTAACTTATTTGTGGTGTGTGTATTCAACTCACAGAGATGAACCTTCCTTCAGAAAGAGCAGATTTGAAACACTCTTTTTGTGGAGTTTCCATGTGGAGATTTCAATCGCTTTGAGACCAAAGGTAGAAAAGGAAACATCTTCGTATAACAACTAGACAGAATCATTCACAGAAACTACTTTGTGATGTGTGTGTTCAACTCAAGGAGTTTAACCTTTCTTTTGATGGAGCAGTTTGGAAACACTCTGTCTGTAAAGTCTGCAAGCAGATATTTGGACCTCTTTGAGGCCTTCGTTGGAAACGGGATTTCTTCATATAATGTTAGATAGGAGAAGTCTCAGTAACTTCTTTGTGCTGTGTGTATTCAACTCATAGAGTTGAACTTTCCTTTAGAAGAGCAGATGTTAAACACCCTTTTTGTGGAATTTGCAGCTGGAGATTTCAAGCGCTTTGAGGCCTACGGTAGAAAAGGAAACATCTTCTTATAAAATCTAGACAGAATCATTCACAGAAACTTCTTTTTGATGTGTGTGTTCAGCTCACAGAGTTTAACCTTTCTTTTGATGGAGCAGTTTGGAAACACTCTGTTTGTAATGCCTGCAAGTGGATATTTGGACCTCTTTGAGGCCTTCGTTGGAAACGGGAATTCTTCATGTAATGTTCGACAGAAGAATTCTCAGTAACTTATTTGTGGTGTGTGTATTCAACTCACAGAGTTGAACCTTCCTTTAGACAGAGCAGATTTGAAACAGCCTATTTGTGCAGTTTCCAGTTGGAGATTTCAAGAGCTTTGAGACCAAATGTAGAAAAGGAAACATCCTTCGTATAAAAACTAGACAGAATCATTCTCAGAAACTACTTTGTGATGTGTGCGTTCAACTCAAGGAGTTTAAGCTTTCTTTTCATAGAGTAGTTTGGAAACACTCTGTCTGTAAAGTCTGCAAGCCGATATTTGGACCTCTTTGGGGCCTTCGTTGGAAACGGGATTTCTTCATAGAACGCTAGAAAGAAGAATACTCAGTAACTTCTTTGTGTTGCCTCTATTCAACTTACAGAGGTGAACTGTCCTTTAGACAGAGCAGATGTGAAACCCTCTTTTTCTGATATTTGCAGGTGTAGATTTCAAGCGCTTTTAGGCCAAATGTAGAAAAGGAAATATCTTCGCATAAAAACTAGACAGAATCATTCTCAGAAACTACTTTGTGATGTGTGCGTTCAATTCACAGAGGATAACCTTTCTTTTGATGGAGGAGTTTGGAGACACTGTCTTTGTAAAGTCTGCAAGTGGATATTTGGATCTCTTTGAGGCCTTCGTTGGAAACGGGATTTCCTCATATAATGTTACACAGAAGAATTCTCAGTAACTTATTTGTGGTGTGTGTATTCAACTCACAGAGTTGAACCTTCCTTCAGAAAGAGCAGATTTGAAACACTCTTTTTGTGGAGTTTCCATGTGGAGATTTCAATCGCATTGAGACCAAAGGTAGAAAAGGAAACATCTTCGTATAAAAACTAGACAGAATCATTCACAGAAACTACTTTGTGATGTGTGTGTTCAACTCAAGGAGTTTAACCTTTCTTTTGATGGAGCAGTTTGGAAACACTCTGTCTGTAAAGTCTGCAAGCAGATATTTGGACCTCTTTGAGGCCTTCGTTGGAAACGGGATTTCTTCATATAATGTTTGATAGGAGAAGTCTCAGTAACTTCTTTGTGCTGTGTGTATTCAACTCATAGAGTTGAACTTTCCTTTAGAAGAGCAGATGTTAAACACCCTTTTTGTGGAATTTGCAGCTGGAGATTTCAAGCGCTTTGAGGCCTACGGTAGAAAAGGAAACATCTTCTTATAAAATCTAGACAGAATCATTCACAGAAACTTCTTTTTGATGTGTGTGTTCCGCTCACAGAGTTTAACCTTTCTTTTGATGGAGCAGTTTGGAAACACTCTGTTTGTAATGTCTGCAAGTGGATATTTGGACCTCTTTGAGGCCTTCGTTGGAAACGGGATTTCTTCAAGTAATGGTCGACAGAAGAATTCTCAGTAACTTATTTGTGGTGTGTGTATTCAACTCAGAGAGTTGAACCTTCCTTTAGACAGAGCAGATTTGAAACACCCTATTTGTGCAGTTTCCAGTTGGAGATTTCAATCGCTTTGTGACCAAATGTAGAAAAGGAAACTTCTTCGTATAAAAACTAGACAGAATTATTCTCAGAAACTACTTTGTGATGTGTGCGTTCAACTCAAGGAGTTTAAGCTTTCTTTTCATAGAGTAGTTTGGAAACACTCTGTCTGTAAAGTCTGCAAGCAGATATTTGGACCTCTTTGGGGCCTTCGTTGGAAACGGGATTTCTTCATGGAACGCTAGAAAGAAGAATACTGAGTAAGTTCTTTGTGTTGCCTCTATTCAACTCGCAGAGGTGAACTGTCCTTTAGACAGAGCAGATGTGAAACCCTCTTTTTGTGATATTTGCAGGTGGAGATTTCAAGCGCTTTTAGGCCAAATGTAGAAAAGGAAATATCTTCGTATAAAAACTAGACAGAATCATTCTCAGAAACTACTTTCTGATGTGTGCGTTCATTTCACAGAGTATAACCTTTCTTTTGATGGAGGAGTTTGGAGACACTGTGTTTCTAAAGTCTGCAAGTGGATATTTGGACCTCTTTGAGGCCTTCGTTGGAAACGGGATTTCCTCATATAATGTTACACAGAAGAATTCTCAGTAACTTATTTGTGGTGTGTTTATTCAACTCACAGAGGTGAACCTTCCTTCAGAAAGAGCAGATTTGAAACCCTCTTTTTGTGGAGTTTCCATGTGGAGATTTCAATCGCTTTGAGACCAAAGGTAGAAAAGGAAACATCTTCGTATAAAAACTAGACAGAATCATTCACAGAAACTACTTTGTGATGTGTGTGATCAACTCAAGGAGTTTAACCTTTCTTTTCATGGAGCAGTTTGGAAACACTCTATCTGTAAAGTCTGCAAACAGATATTTGGACCTCTTTGAGGCCTTCGGTGGAAACGGGATTTCTTCAAGTAATGTTCGACAGAAGAATTCTCAGTAACTTATTTGTGGTGTGTGTATTCAACTCACAGAGTTGAACCTTCCTTTAGACAGAGCAGATTTGAAACACCCTATTTGTGCAGTTTCCAGTTGGAGATTTCAATCGCTTTGAGACCAAATGTAGAAAAGGAAACATCTTCGTATTAAAACTAGACAGAATCATTCTCAGAAAGTACTTTGTGATGTGTGCGTTCAACTCAAGGAGTTTAAGCTTTCTTTTCATAGAGTAGTTTGGAAACACTCTGTCTGTAAAGTCTGCAAGCAGATATTTGACCTCTTTGAGGCCTTCGTTGGAAACGGGATTTCTTCATAGAACGCTAGAAAGAAGAATACTGAGTAAGTTCTTTGTGTTGCCTCTATTCAACTCACAGAGGTGAACTGTCCTTTAGACAGAGCAGATGTGAAACCCTCTTTTTGTGATATTTTCAGTGGAGATTTCAAGTGCTTTTAGGCCAAATGTAGAAAAGGAAATATCTTCGTATAAAAACTAGACAGAATCATTCTCAGAAACTACTTTGTGATGTGTGCGTTCAATTCACATAGTATAACCTTTCTTTTGATGGAGGAGTTTGGAGACACTGTCTTTGTAAAGTCTGCAAGTGGATATTTGGACCTCTTTGAGGCCTTCGTTGGAAACGGGATTTCCTCATATAATGTTACACAGAAGAATTCTCAGTAACTTATTTGTGGTGTGTGTATTCAACTCACAGAGTTGAACCTTCCTTCAGAAAGAGCAGATTTGAAACACTCTTTTTGTGGAGTTTCCATGTGGAGATTTCAATCGCTTTGAGACCAAAGGTAGAAAAGGAAACATCTTCGTATAAAAACTAGACAGAATCATTCACAGAAACTACTTTGTGATGTGTGTGTTCAACTCAAGGAGTTTAACCTTTCTTTTGATGGAGCAGTTTGGAAAAACTCTGTCTGTAAAGTCTGCAAGCAGATATTTGGACCTCTTTGAGGCCTTCGTTGGAAACGGGATTTCTTCATATAATGTTTGATAGGAGAAGTCTCAGTAACTTCTTTGTGCTGTGTGTATTCAACTCATAGAGTTGAACTTTCCTTTAGAAGAGCAGATGTTAAACACCCTTTTTGTGGAATTTGCAGCTGGAGATTTCAAGCGCTTTGAGGCCTACGGTAGAAAAGGAAACATCTTCTTATAAAATCTAGACAGAATCATTCACAGAAACTTCTTTTTGATGTGTGTGTTCAGCTCACAGAGTTTAACCTTTCTTTTGATGGAGCAGTTTGGAAACACTCTGTTTGTAATGTCTGCAAGTGGATATTTGGACCTCTTTGAGGCCTTCGTTGGAAACGGGATTTCTTCAAGTAATGTTCGACAGAAGAATTCTCAGTAACTTATTTGTGGTGTGTGTATTCAACTCACAGAGTTGAACCTTCCTTTAGACAGAGCAGATTTGAAACACCCTATTTGTGCAGTTTCCAGTTGGAGATTTCAATCGCTTTGAGACCAAATGTAGAAAAGGAAACATCTTCGTATAAAAACTAGACAGAATCATTCTCAGAAACTACTTTGTGATGTGTGCGTTCAACTCAAGGAGTTTAAGCTTTCTTTTCATAGAGTAGTTTGGAAACACTCTGTCTGTAAAGTCTGCAAGCAGATATTTGGACCTCTTTGGGGCCTTCGTTGGAAACGGGATTTCTTCATAGAACGCTAGAAAGAAGAATACTGAGTAAGTTCTTTGTGTTGCCTCTATTCAACTCACAGAGGTGAACTGTCCTTTAGACAGAGCAGATGTGAAACCCTCTTTTTGTGATATTTGCAGGTGGAGATTTCAAGCGCTTTTAGGCCAAATGTAGAAAAGGAAATATCTTCGTATAAAAACTAGACAGAATCATTCTCAGAAACTACTTTGTGATGTGTGCGTTCAATTCACAGAGTATAACCTTTCTTTTGATGGAGGAGTTTGGAGACACTGTCTTTGTAAAGTCTGCAAGTGGATATTTGGACCTCTTTGAGGCCTTCGTTGGAAACGGGATTTCCTCATATAATGTTACACAGAAAGAATTCTCAGTAACTTATTTGTGGCGTGTGTATTCAACTCACAGAGTTGAACCTTCCTTCAGAAAGAGCAGATTTGAAACACTCTTTTTGTGGAGTTTCCATGTGGAGATTTCAATGGCTTTGAGACCAAATGTAGAAAAGGAAACATCTTCGTATAAAAACTAGACAGATCATTCACAGAAACTACTTTGTGATGTGTGTGTTCAACTCAAGGAGTTTAACCTTTCTTTTGATGGAGCAGTTTGGAAACACTCTGTCTGTAAAGTCTGCAAGCAGATATTTGGACCTCTTTGAGGCCTTCGTTGGAAACGGGATTTCTTCATATAATGTTTGATAGGAGAAGTCTCAGTAACTTCTTTGTGCTGTGTGTATTCAACTCATAGAGTTGAACTTTCCTTTAGAAGAGCAGATGTTAAACACCCTTTTTGTGGAATTTGCAGCTGGAGATTTCAAGCGCTTTGAGGCCTACGGTAGAAAAGGAAACATCTTCTTATAAAATCTAGACAGAATCATTCACAGAAACTTCTTTTCGATGTGTGTGTTCAGCTCACAGAGTTTAACCTTTCTTTTGATGGAGCAGTTTGGAAACACTCTGTTTGTAATGTCTGCAAGTGGATATTTGGACCTCTTTGAGGCCTTCGTTGGAAACGGGATTTCTTCAAGTAATGTTCGACAGAAGAATTCTCAGTAACTTATTTGTGGTGTGTGTATTCAACTCACAGAGTTGAACCTTCCTTTAGACAGAGCAGATTTGAAACACACTGTTTGTGCAGTTTCCAGTTGGAGATTTCAATCGCTTTGAGACCAAATGTAGAAAAGGAAACATCTTCGTATAAAAACTAGACAGAATCATTCTCAGAAACTACTTTGTGATGTGTGCGTTCAACTCAAGGAGTTTAAGCTTTCTTTTCATAGAGTAGTTTGGAAACACTCTGTCTGTAAAGTCTGCAAGCAGATATTTGGACCTCTTTAGGGCCTTCGGTTGGAAACGGGATTTCTTCATAGAACGCTAGAAAGAAGAATACTGAGTAAGTTCTTTGTGTTGCCTCTATTCAACTCACAGAGGTGAACTGTCCTTTAGACAGAGCAGATGTGAAACCTTCTTTTTGTGATATTTGCAGGTGGAGATTTCAAGCGCTTTGAGGCCAAATGTAGAAAAGGAAATATCTTCGTATAAAAACTAGACAGAATCATTCTCAGAAACTACTTTGAGATGTGTGCGTTCAATTCACAGAGTATAACCTTTCTTTTGATGGAGGAGTTTGGAGACACTGTCTTTGTAAAGTCTGCAAGTGGATATTTGGACCTCTTTGAGGCCTTCGTTGGAAACGGGATTTCCTCATATAATGTTACACAGAAGAATTCTCAGTAACTTATTTGTGGTGTGTGTATTCAACTCACAGAGTTGAACCTTCCTTCAGAAAGAGCAGATTTGAAACACTCTTTTTGTGGAGTTTCCATGTGGAGATTTCAATCGCATTGAGACCAAAGGTAGAAAAGGAAACATCTTCGTATAAAAACTAGACAGAATCATTCACAGAAACTACTTTGTGATGTGTGTGTTCAACTCAAGGAGTTTAACCTTTCTTTTGATGGAGCAGTTTGGAAAAACTCTGTCTGTAAAGTCTGCAAGCAGATATTTGGACCTCTTTGAGGCCTTCGTTGGAAACGGGATTTCTTCATATAATGTTTGATAGGAGAAGTCTCAGTAACTTCTTTGTGCTGTGTGTATTCAACTCATAGATTTGAACTTTCCTTTAGAAGAGCAGATGTTAAACACCCTTTTTGTGGAATTTGCAGCTGGAGATTTCAAGCGCTTTGAGGCCTACTGTAGAAAAGGAAACATCTTCTTATAAAATCTAGACAGAATCATTCACAGAAACATCTTTTTGATGTGTGTGTTCAGCTCACAGAGTTTAACCTTTCTTTTGATGGAGCAGTTTGGAAACACACTGTTTGTAATCTCTGCAAGTGGATATTTGGACCTCTTTGAGGCCTTCGTTGGAAACGGGATTTCTTCATGTAATGTTCGACAGAAGAATTCTCAGTAACTTATTTGTGGTGTGTGTATTCAACTCACAGAGCTGACCCTTCCTTTAGACAGAGCAGATTTGAAACAGCCTATTTGTGCAGTTTCCAGTTGGAGATTTCAATCGCTTTGAGACCAAATGTAGAAAAGGAAACATCTTCGTATAAAAACTAGACAGAATCATTCTCAGAAACTACTTTGTGATGTGTGCGTTCAACTCAAGGAGTTTAAGCTTTCTTTTCATAGAGTAGTTTGGAAACACTCTGTCTGTAAAGTCTGCAAGCAGATATTTGGACCTCTTTGAGGCCTTCGTTGGAAACGGGATTTCTTCATAGAGCGCTAGAAAGAAGAATACTGAGTAAGTTCTTTGTGTTGCCTCTATTCAACTCACAGAGGTGAACTGTCCTTTAGACAGAGCAGATGTGAAACCCTCCTTTTGTGATATTTGCAGGTGGAGATTTCAAGCGCTTTTAGGCCAAATGTAGAAAAGGAAATATCTTCGTATAAAAACTAGACAGAATCATTCTCAGAAACTACTTTGTGATGTGTGCGTTCAATTCACAGAGTATAACCTTTCTTTTGATGGAGGAGTTTGGAGAAACTGTCTTTGTAAAGTCTGCAAGTGGATATTTGGACCTCTTTGAGGCCTTCGTTGGAAACGGGATTTCCTCATATAATGTTACACAGTAGAATTCTCAGTAACTTATTTGTGGTGTGTGTATTCAACTCACAGAGTTGAACCTTCCTTCAGAAAGAGCAGATTTGAAACACTCTTTTTGTGGAGTTTCCATGTGGAGATTTCAATCGCTTTGAGACGAAAGGTAGAAAAGGAAACATCTTCGTATAAAAACTAGACAGAATCATTCACAGAAACTACTTTGTGATGTGTGTGTTCAACTCAAGGAGTTTAACCTTTCTTTTGATGGAGCAGTTTGGAAAAACTCTGTCTGTAAAGTCTGCAAGCAGATATTTGGAACTCTTTGGGGCCTTCGTTGGAAACGGGATTTCTTCATAGAACGCTAGAAAGAAGAATACTGAGTAAGTTCTTTGTGTTGCCTCTATTCAACTCACAGAGGTGAACTGTCCTTTAGACAGAGCAGATGTGAAACCCTCTTTTTGTGATATTTGCAGGTGGAGATTTCAAGCGCTTTTAGGCCAAATGTAGAAAAGGAAATATCTTCGTATAAAAACTAGACAGAATCATTCTCAGAAACTACTTTGTGATGTGTGCGTTCAATTCACAGAGTATAAACTTTCTTTTGATGGAGGAGTTTGGAGACACTGTCTTTGTAAAGTCTGCAAGTGGATATTTGGACCTCTTTGAGGCCTTCGTTGGAAACGGGATTTCCTCATATAATGTTACACAGAAGAATTCTCAGTAACTTATTTGTGGTGTGTGTATTCAACTCACAGAGTTGAACCTTCCTTCAGAAAGAGCAGATTTGAAACACTCTTTTTGTGGAGTTTCCATGTGGAGATTCCAATCGCTTTGAGACCAAAAGTAGAAAAGGAAACATCTTCGTATAAAAACTAGACAGAATCATTCACAGAAACTACTTTGTGATGTGTGTGTTCAACTCAAGGAGTTTAACCTTTCTTTTGATGGAGCAGTTTGGAAACACTCTGTCTGTAAAGTCTGCAAGCAGATATTTGGACCTCTTTGAGGCCTTCGTTGGAAACGGGATTTCTTCATATAATGTTTGATAGGAGAAGTCTCAGTAACTTCTTTGTGCTGTGTGTATTCAACTCATAGAGTTGAACTTTCCTTTAGAAGAGCAGATGTTAAACACCCTTTTTGTGGAATTTGCAGCTGGAGATTTCAAGCGCTTTGAGGCCTACGGTAGAAAAGGAAACATCTTCTTATAAAATCTAGACAGAATCATTCACAGAAACTTCTTTTCGATGTGTGTGTTCAGCTCACAGAGTTTAACCTTTCTTTTGATGGAGCAGTTTGGAAACACTCTGTTTGTAATGTCTGCAAGTGGATATTTGGACCTCTTTGAGGCCTTCGTTGGCAACGGGATTTCTTCAAGTAATGGTCGACAGAAGAATTCTCAGTAACTTATTTGTGGTGTGTGTATTCAACTCACAGAGTTGAACCTTCCTTTAGACAGAGCAGATTTGAAACACCCTATTTGTGCAGTTTCCAGTTGGAGATTTCAATCGCTTTGAGACCAAATGTAGAAAAGGAAACATCTTCGTATAAAAACTAGACAGAATCATTCTCAGAAACTACTTTGTGATGTGTGCGTTCAACTCAAGGAGTTTAAGCTTTCTTTTCATAGAGTAGTTTGGAAACACTCTGTCTGTAAAGTCTGCAAGCAGATATTTGGACCTCTTTGGGGCCTTCGTTGGAAACGGGATTTCTTCATAGAACGCTAGAAAGAAGAATACTGAGTAAGTTCTTTGTGTTGCCTCTATTCAACTCACAGAGGTGAACTGTCCTTTAAACAGAGCAGATGTGAAACCCTCTTTTTGTGATATTTGCAGGTGGAGATTTCAAGCGCTTTTAGGCCAAATGTAGAAAAGGAAATATCTTCGTATAAAAACTAGACAGAATCATTCTCAGAAACTACTTTGTGATGTGTGCGTTCAATTCACAGAGTATAACCTTTCTTTTGATGGAGGAGTTTGGAGACACTGTCTTTGTAATGTCTGCAAGTGGATATTTGGATCTCTTTGAGGCCTTCGTTGGAAACGGGATTTCCTCATATAATGTTACACAGAAGAATTCTCAGTAACTTATTTGTGGTGTGTGTATTCAACTCACAGAGATGAACCTTCCTTCAGAAAGAGCAGATTTGAAACACTCTTTTTGTGGAGTTTCCATGTGGAGATTTCAATCGCTTTGAGACCAAAGGTAGAAAAGGAAACATCTTCGTATAAAAACTAGACAGAATCATTCACAGAAACTACTTTTTGATGTGTGTGTTCAACTCAAGGAGTTTAACCTTTCTTTTGATGGAGCAGTTTGGAAACACTCTGTCTGTAAAGTCTGCAAGCAGATATTTGGACCTCTTTGAGGCCTTCGTTGGAAACGGGATTTCTTCATATAATGTTAGACAGAAGAAGTCTCAGTAACTTCTTTGTGCTGTGTGTATTCAACTCATAGAGTTGAACTTTCCTTTAGAAGAGCAGATGTTAAACACCCTTTTTGTGGAATTTGCAGCTGGAGATTTCAAGCGCTTTGAGGCCTACGGTAGAAAAGGAAACATCTTCTTATAAAATCTAGACAGAATCATTCACAGAAACTTCTTTTTGATGTGTGTGTTCAGCTCACAGAGTTTAACCTTTCTTTTGATGGAGCAGTTTGGAAACACTCTGTTTGTAACGTCTGCAAGTGGATATTTGGACCTCTTTGAGGCCTTCGTTGGAAACGGGATTTCTTCAAGTAATGTTCGACAGAAGAATTCTCAGTAACTTATTTGTGGTGTGTGTATTCAACTCACAGAGTTGAACCTTCCTTTAGACAGAGCAGATTTGAAACAGCCTATTTGTGCAGTTTCCAGTTGGAGATTTCAAGAGCTTTGAGACCAAATGTAGAAAAGGAAACATCTTCGTATAAAAACTAGACAGAATCATTCTCAGAAACTACTTTGTGATGTGTGCGTTCAACTCAAGGAGTTTAAGCTTTCTTTTCATAGAGTAGTTTGGAAACACTCTGTCTGTAATGTCTGCAAGCAGATATTTGACCTCTTTGAGGCCTTCGTTGGAAACGGGATTTCTTCATAGAACGCTAGAAAGAAGAGATACTGAGTAAGTTCTTTGTGTTGCCTCTATTCAACTCACAGAGGTGAACTGTCCTTTAGACAGAGCAGATGTGAAACCCTCTTTTTGTGATATTTGCAGGTGGAGATTTCAAGCGCTTTTAGGCCAAATGTAGAAAAGGAAATATCTTCGTATAAAAACTAGACAGAATCATTCTCAGAAACTACTTTGTGATGTGTGCGTTCAATTCACAGAGTATAACCTTTCTTTTGATGGAGGAGTTTGGAGACACTGTCTTTGTAAAGTCTGCAAGTGGATATTTGGACCTCTTTGAGGCCTTCGTTGGAAACGGGATTTCCTCATATAATGTTACACAGAAGAATTCTCAGTAACTTATTTGTGGTGTGTGTATTCAACTCACAGAGATGAACCTTCCTTCAGAAAGAGCAGATTTGAAACACTCTTTTTGTGGAGTTTCCATGTGGAGATTTCAATCGCTTTGAGACCAAAGGTAGAAAAGGAAACATCTTCGTATAACAACTAGACAGAATCATTCACAGAAACTACTTTGTGATGTGTGTGTTCAACTCAAGGAGTTTAACCTTTCTTTTGATGGAGCAGTTTGGAAACACTCTGTCTGTAAAGTCTGCAAGCAGATATTTGGACCTCTTTGAGGCCTTCGTTGGAAACGGGATTTCTTCATATAATGTTTGATAGGAGAAGTCTCAGTAACTTCTTTGTGCTGTGTGTATTCAACTCATAGAGTTGAACTTTCCTTTAGAAGAGCAGATGTTAAACACCGTTTTTGTGGAATTTGCAACTGGAGATTTCAAGCGCTTTGAGGCCTACGGTAGAAAAGGAAACATCTTATACAATCTAGACAGAATCATTCACAGAAACTTCTTTTTGATGTGTGTGTTCAGCTCACCGAGTTTAACCTTTCTTTTGATGGAGTAGTTTGGAAACACTCTGTTTGTAATGTCTGCAAGTGGATATTTGGACCTCTTTGAGGCCTTCCTTGGAAACGGGATTTCTTCATGTAATGTTCGACAGAAGAATTCTCAGTAACTTATTTGTGG
Source organism: Homo sapiens (assembly GCF_000001405.40). NCBI lineage: Eukaryota > Metazoa > Chordata > Mammalia > Primates > Hominidae > Homo > Homo sapiens. Next base: position 35,021,983 of record NC_000012.12, read on the forward strand.
TGTGTGTATTCAACACACAGAGCTGAACCTTCCTTTAGACAGAGCAGATTTGAAACAGCCTATTTGTGCAGTTTCCAGTTGGAGATTTCAATCGCTTTGAGACCAAATGTAGAAAAGGAAACATCTTCGTATAAAAACTAGACAGAATCATTCTCAGAAACTACTTTGTGATGTGTGCGTTCAACTCAAGGAGTTTAAGCTTTCTTTTCATAGAGTAGTTTGGAAACACTCTGTCTGTAAAGTCTGCAAGCAGATATTTGACCTCTTTGAGGCCTTCGTTGGAAACGGGATTTCTTCATAGAACGCTAGAAAGAAGAATACTGAGTAAGTTCTTTGTGTTGCCTCTATTCAACTCACAGAGGTGAACTGTCCTTTAGACAGAGCAGATGTGAAACCCTCTTTTTGTGATATTTGCAGGTGGAGATTTCAAGCGCTTTTAGGCCAAATGTAGAAAAGGAAATATCTTCGTATAAAAACTAGACAGAATCATTCTCAGAAACTACTTTGTGATGTGTGCGTTCAATTCACAGAGTATAACCTTTCTTTTGATGGAGGAGTTTGGAGACACTGTCTTTGTAAAGTCTGCAAGTGGATATTTGGACCTCTTTGAGGCCTTCGTTGGAAACGGGATTTCCTCATATAATGTTACACAGAAGAATTCTCAGTAACTTATTTGTGGTGTGTGTATTCAACTCACAGAGTTGAACCTTCCTTCAGAAAGAGCAGATTTGAAACACTCTTTTTGTGGAGTTTCCATGTGGAGATTTCAATCGCTTTGAGACCATAGGTAGAAAAGGAAACATCTTCGTATAAAAACTAGACAGAATCATTCACAGAAACTACTTTGTGATGTGTGTGTTCAACTCAAGGAGTTTAACCTTTCTTTTGATGGAGCAGTTTGGAAAAACTCTGTCTGTAAAGTCTGCAAGCAGATATTTGCACCTCTTTGGGGCCTTCGTTGGAAACGGGATTTGCTTAATAGAATGCTAGAAAGAAGAATACTGAGTAAGTTCTTTGTGTTGCCTCTATTCAACTCACAGAGGTGAACTGTCCTTTAGACAGAGCAGATGTGAAACCCTCTTTTTGTGATATTTGCAGGTGGAGATTTCAAGCGCTTTTAGGCCAAATGTAGAAAAGGAAATATCTTCGTATAAAAACTAGACAGAATCATTCTCAGAAACTACTTTGTGATGTGTGCGTTCAATTCACAGAGTATAACCTTTCTTTTGATGGAGGAGTTTGGAGACACTGTCTTTGTAAAGTCTGCAAGTGGATATTTGGACCTCTTTGAGGCCTTCGTTGGAAACGGGATTTCCTCATATAATGTTACACAGAAGAATTCTCAGTAACTTATTTGTGGTGTGTGTATTCAACTCACAGAGTTGAACCTTCCTTCAGAAAGAGCAGATTTGAAACACTCTTTTTGTGGAGTTTCCATGTGGAGATTTCAATCGCATTGAGACCAAAGGTAGAAAAGGAAACATCTTCGTATAAAAACTAGACAGAATCATTCACAGAAACTACTTTGTGATGTGTGTGTTCAACTCAAGGAGTTTAACCTTTCTTTTGATGGAGCAGTTTGGAAACACTCTGTCTGTAAAGTCTGCAAGCAGATATTTGGACCTCTTTGAGGCCTTCGTTGGAAACGGGATTTCTTCATATAATGTTTGATAGGAGAAGTCTCAGTAACTTCTTTGTGCTGTGTGTATTCAACTCATAGAGTTGAACTTTCCTTTAGAAGAGCAGATGTTAAACACCCTTTTTGTGGAATTTGCAGCTGGAGATTTCAAGCGCTTTGAGGCCTACGGTAGAAAAGGAAACATCTTCTTATAAAATCTAGACAGAATCATTCACAGAAACTTCTTTTTGATGTGTGTGTTCAGCTCACAGAGTTTAACCTTTCTTTTGATGGAGCAGTTTGGAAACACTCTGTTTGTAATGTCTGCAAGTGGATATTTGGACCTCTTTGAGGCCTTCGTTGGAAACGGGATTTCTTCATGTAATGTTCGACAGAAGAATTCTCAGTAACTTATTTGTGGTGTGTGTATTGAACTCACAGAGTTGAACCTCCCTTTAGACAGAGCAGATTTGAAACACCCTATTTGTGCAGTTTCCAGTTGGAGATTTCAATCGCTTTGAGACCAAATGTAGAAAAGGAAACATCTTCGTATAAAAACTAGACAGAATCATTCTCAGAAACTACTTTGTGATGTGTGCGTTCAACTCAAGGAGTTTAAGCTTTCTTTTCATAGAGTAGTTTGGAAACACTCTGTCTGTAAAGTCTGCAAGCAGATATTTGGACCTCTTTGAGGCCTTCGTTGGAAACGGGATTTCTTCATAGAACGCTAGAAAGAAGAATACTGAGTAAGTTCTTTGTGTTGCCTCTATTCAACTCACAGAGGTGAACTGTCCTTTAGACAGAGCAGATGTGAAACCCTCTTTTTGTGATATTTGCAGGTGGAGATTTCAAGCGCTTTTAGGCCAAATGTAGAAAAGGAAATATCTTCGTATAAAAACTAGACAGAATCATTCTCAGAAACTACTTTGTGATGTGTGCGTTCAATTCACATAGTATAACCTTTCTTTTGATGGAGGAGTTTGGAGACACTATCTTTGTAAAGTCTGCAAGTGGATATTTGGACCTCTTTGAGGCCTTCGTTGAAAACGGGATTTCCTCATATAATGTTACACAGAAGAATTCTCAGTAACTTATTTGTGGTGTGTGTATTCAACTCACAGAGTTGAACCTTCCTTCAGAAAGAGCAGATTTGAAACACTCTTTTTGTGGAGTTTCCATGTGGAGATTTCAATCGCATTGAGACCAAAGGTAGAAAAGGAAACATCTTCGTATAAAAACTAGACAGAATCATTCACAGAAACTACTTTGTGATGTGTGTGTTCAACTCAAGGAGTTTAACCTTTCTTTTGATGGAGCAGTTTGGAAACACTCTGTCTGTAAAGTCTGCAAGCAGATATTTGGACCTCTTTGAGGCCTTCGTTGGAAACGGGATTTCTTCATATAATGTTTGATAGGAGAAGTCTCAGTAACTTCTTTATGCTGTGTGTATTCAACTCATATAGTTGAACTTTCCTTTAGAAGAGCAGATGTTAAACACCCTTTTTGTGGAATTTGCAGCTGGAGATTTCAAGCGCTTTGAGGCCTACGGTAGAAAAGGAAACATCTTCTTATAAAATCTAGACAGAATCATTCACAGAAACTTCTTTTTGATGTGTGTGTTCAGCTCACAGAGTTTAACCTTTCTTTTGATGGAGCAGTTTGGAAACACTCTGTTTGTAATGTCTGCAAGTGGATATTTGGACCTCTTTGAGGCCTTCGTTGGAAACGGGATTTCTTCAAGTAATGTTCGACAGAAGAATTCTCAGTAACTTATTTGTGGTGTGTGTATTCAACTCACAGAGTTGAACCTTCCTTTAGACAGAGCAGATTTGAAACACCCTATTTGTGCAGTTTCCAGTTGGAGATTTCAATCGCTTTGAGACCAAATATAGAAAAGGAAACAACTTCGTATAAAAACTAGACAGAATCATTCTCAGAAACTACTTTGTGATGTGTGCGTTCAACTCAAGGAGTTTAAGCTTTCTTTTCATAGAGTAGTTTGGAAACACTCTGTCTGTAAAGTCTGCAAGCAGATATTTGGACCTCTTTGGGGCCTTCGTTGGAAACGGGATTTCTTCATAGAACGCTAGAAAGAAGAATACTCAGTAAGTTCTTTGTGTTGCCTCTATTCAACTCACAGGGGTGAACTGTCCTTTAGACAGAGCAGATGTGAAACCCTCTTTTTGTGATATTTGCAGGTGGAGATTTCAAGCGCTTTTAGGCCAAATGTAGAAAAGGAAATATTCTTCGTATAAAAACTAGACAGAATCATTCTCAGAAACTACTTTGTGATGTGTGCGTTCAATTCACAGAGTATAACCTTTCTTTTGATGGAGGAGTTTGGAGACACTGTCTTTGTAAAGTCTGCAAGTGGATATTTGGACCTCTTTGAGGCCTTCGTTGGAAACGGGATTTCCTCATATAATGTTACACAGAAGAATTCTCAGTAACTTATTTGTGGTGTGTGTATTCAACTCACAGAGTTGAACCTTCCTTCAGAAAGAGCAGATTAGAAACACTCTTTTTGTGGAGTTTCCATGTGGAGATTTCAATCGCTTTGAGACCAAAGGTAGAAAAGGAAACATCTTCGTATAAAAACTAGACAGAATCATTCACAGAAACTACTTTGTGATGTGTGTGTTCAACTCAAGGAGTTTAACCTTTCTTTTGATGGAGCAGTTTGGAAACACTCTGTCTGTAAAGTCTGCAAGCAGACATTTGGACCTCTTTGAGGCCTTCGTTGGAAACGGGATTTCTTCATATAATGTTTGATAGGAGAAGTCTCAGTAACTTCTTTGTGCTGTGTGTATTCAACTCATAGAGTTGAACTTTCCTTTAGAAGAGCAGATGTTAAACACCCTTTTTGTGGAATTTGCAGCTGGAGATTTCAAGCGCTTTGAGGCCTACGGTAGAAAAGGAAACATCTTCTTATAAAATCTAGACAGAATCATTCACAGAAACTTCTTTTTGATGTGTGTGTTCAGCTCACAGAGTTTAACCTTTCTTTTGATGGAGCAGTTTGGAAACACTCTGTTTGTAACGTCTGCAAGTGGATATTTGGACCTCTTTGAGGCCTTCGTTGGAAACGGGATTTCTTCAAGTAATGTTCGACAGAAGAATTCTCAGTAACTTATTTGTGGTGTGTGTATTCAACTCACAGAGTTGAACCTTCCTTTAGACAGAGCAGATTTGAAACACCCTATTTGTGCAGTTTCCAGTTGGAGATTTCAATCGCTTTGAGACCAAATGTAGAAAAGGAAACATCTTCGTATAAAAACTAGACAGAATCATTCTCAGAAACTACTTTGTGATGTGTGCGTTCAACTCAAGGAGTTTAAGCTTTCTTTTCATAGAGTAGTTTGGAAACACTCTGTCTGTAAAGTCTGCAAGCAGATATTTGACCTCTTTGAGGCCTTCGTTGGAAACGGGATTTCTTCATAGAACGCTAGAAAGAAGAATACTGAGTAAGTTCTTTGTGTTGCCTCTATTCAACTCACAGAGGTGAACTGTCCTTTAGACAGAGCAGATGTGAAACCCTCTTTTTGTGATATTTCCAGGTGGAGATTTCAAGCGCTTTTAGGCCAAATGTAGAAAAGGAAATATCTTCGTATAAAAACTAGACAGAATCATTCTCAGAAACTACTTTGTGATGTGTGCGTTCAATTCACAGAGTATAACCTTTCTTTTGATGGAGGAGTTTGGAGACACTGTCTTTGTAAAGTCTGCAAGTGGATATTTGGACCTCTTTGAGGCCTTCGTTGGAAACGGGATTTCCTCATATAATGTTACCCAGAAGAATTCTCAGTAACTTATTTGTGGTGTGTTTATTCAACTCACAGAGTTGAACCTTCCTTCAGAAAGAGCAGATTTGAAACACCCTTTTTGTGGAGTTTCCAGGTGGAGATTTCAATCGCATTGAGAACAAAGGTAGAAAAGGAAACATCTTCGTATAAAATCTAGACAGAATCATTCACAGAAACTACTTTGTGATGTGTGTGTTCAACTCAAGGAGTTTAACCTTTCTTTTGATGGAGCAGTTTGGAAACACTCTGTCTGTAAAGTCTGCAAGCAGATATTTGGACCTCTTTGAGGCCTTCGTTGGAAACGGGATTTCTTCATATAATGTTTGATAGGAGAAGTCTCAGTAACTTCTTTGTGCTGTGTGTATTCAACGCATAGAGTTGAACTTTCCTTTAGAAGAGCAGATGTTAAACACCCTTTTTGTGGAATTTGCAGCTGGAGATTTCAAGCGCTTTGAGGCCTACGGTAGAAAAGGAAACATCTTCTTATAAAATCCAGACAGAATCATTCACAGAAACTTCTTTTTGATGTGTGGGTTCAGCTCACAGAGTTTAACCTTTCTTTTGATGGAGCAGTTTGGAAACACTCTGTTTGTAATGTCTGCAAGTGGATATTTGGACCTCTTTGAGGCCTTCGTTGGAAACGGGATTTCTTCAAGTAATGTTCGACAGAAGAATTCTCAGTAACTTATTTGTGGTGTGTGTATTCAACTCACAGAGTTGAACCTTCCTTTAGACAGAGCAGATTTGAAACACCCTATTTGTGCAATTTCCAGTTGGAGATTTCAATCGCTTTGAGACCAAATGTAGAAAAGGAAACATCTTCGTATAAAAACTAGACAGAATCATTCTCAGAAACTACTTTGTGATGTGTGCGTTCAACTCAAGGAGTTTAAGCTTTCTTTTCATAGAGTAGTTTGGAAACACTCTGTCTGTAAAGTCTGCAAGCAGATATTTGGACCTCATTGGGGCCTTCGTTGGAAACGGGATTTCTTCATAGAACGCTAGAAAGAAGAATACTGACTAAGTTCTTTGTGTTGCCTCTATTCAACTCACAGAGGTGAACTGTCCTTTAGACAGAGCAGATGTGAAACCCTCTTTTTGTGATATTTGCAGGTGGAGATTTCAAGCGCTTTTAGGCCAAATGTAGAAAAGGAAATATCTTCGTATAAAAACTAGACAGAATCATTCTCAGAAACTACTTTGTGATGTGTGCGTTCAATTCACAGAGTATAACCTTTCTTTTGATGGAGGAGTTTGGAGACACTGTCTTTGTAAAGTCTGCAAGTGGATATTTGGACCTCTTTGAGGCCTTCGTTGGAAACGGGATTTCCTCATATAATGTTACACAGAAGAATTCTCAGTAACTTATTTGTGGTGTGTGTATTCAACTCACAGAGTTGAACCTTCCTTCAGAAAGAGCAGATTTGAAACACTCTTTTTGTGGAGTTTCCATGTGGAGATTTCAATCGCTTTGAGACCAAAGGTAGAAAAGGAAACATCTTCGTATAAAAACTAGACAGAATCATTCACAGAAACTACTTTGTGATGTGTGTGTTCAACTCAAGGAGTTTAACCTTTCTTTTGATGGAGCAGTTTGGAAATACTCTGTCTGTAAAGTCTGCAAGCAGATATTTGGACCTCTTTGAGGCCTTCGTTGGAAACGGGATTTCTTCATATAATGTTTGATAGGAGAAGTCTCAGTAACTTCTTTGTGCTGTGTGTATTCAACTCATAGAGTTGAACTTTCCTTTAGAAGAGCAGATGTTAAACACCCTTTTTGTGGAATTTGCAGCTGGAGATTTCAAGCGCTTTGAGGCCTACGGTAGAAAAGGAAACATCTTCTTATAAAATCTAGACAGAATCATTCACAGAAACTTCTTTTTGATGTGTGTGTTCAGCTCACAGAGTTTAACCTTTCTTTTGATGGAGCAGTTTGGAAACACTCTGTTTGTAATGTCTGCAAGTGGATATTTGGACGTCTTTGAGGCCTTCGTTGGAAACGGGATTTCTTCATGTAATGTTCGACAGAAGAATTCTCAGTAACTTATTTGTGGTGTGTGTATTCAACTCACAGAGTTGAACCTTCCTTTAGACAGAGCAGATTTGAAACACCCTATTTGTGCAGTTTCCAGTTGGAGATTTCAATCGCTTTGAGACCAAATGTAGAAAAGGAAACATCTTCGCATAAAAACTAGACAGAATCATTCTCAGAATCTACTTTGTGATGTGTGCGTTCAACTCAAGGAGTTTAACCTTTCTTTTCATAGAGTAGTTTGGAAACACTCTGTCTGTAAAGTCTGCAAGCAGATATTTGGACCTCTTTGGGGCCTTCGTTGGAAACGGGATTTCTTCATAGAACGCTAGAAAGAAGAATACTGAGTAAGTTCTTTGTGTTGCCTCTATTCAACTCACAAAGGTGAACTGTCCTTTAGACAGAGCAGATGTGAAACCCTCTTTTTGTGATATTTGCAGGTGGAGACTTCAAGCGCTTTTAGGCCAAATGTAGAAAAGGAAATATCTTCGTATAAAAACTAGACAGAATCATTCTCAGAAACTACTTTGTGATGTGTGCGTTCAATTCACAGAGTATAACCTTTCTTTTGATGGAGGAGTTTGGAGACACTGTCTTTGTAAAGTCTGCAAGTGGATATTTGGACCTCTTTGAGGCCTTCGTTGGAAACGGGATTTCCTCATATAATGTTACACAGAAGAATTCTCAGTAACTTATTTGTGGTGTGTGTATTCAACTCACAGAGTTGAACCTTCCTTCAGAAAGAGCAGATTTGAAACACTCTTTTTGTGGAGTTTCCATGTGGAGATTTCAATCGCTTTGAGACCAAAGGTAGAAAAGGAAACATCTTCGTATAAAAACTAGACAGAATCATTCACAGAAACTACTTTGTGATGTGTGTGTTCAACTCAAGGAGGTTAACCTTTCTTTTGATGGAGCAGTTTGGAAACACTCTGTCTGTAACGTCTGCAAGCAGATATTTGGACCTCTTTGAGGCCTTCGTTGGAAACGGGATTTCTTCATATAATGTTTGATAGGAGAAGTCTCAGTAACTTCTTTGTGCTGTGTGTATTCAACTCATAGAGTTGAACTTTCCTTTAGAAGAGCAGATGTTAAACACCCTTTTTGTGGAATTTGCAGCTGGAGATTTCAAGCGCTTTGAGGCCTACGGTAGAAAAGGAAACATCTTCTTATAAAATCTAGACAGAATCATTCACAGAAACTTCTTTTTGATGTGTGTGTTCAGCTCACAGAGTTTAACCTTTCTTTTGATGGAGCAGTTTGGAAACACTCTGTTTGTAATGTCTGGAAGTGGATATTTGGACCTCTTTGAGGCCTTCGTTGGAAACGGGATTTCTTCAAGTAATGTTCGACAGAAGAATTCTCAGTAACTTCTTTGTGGTGTGTGTATTCAACTCACAGAGTTGAACCTTCCTTTAGACAGAGCAGATTTGAAACAGCCTATTTGTGCAGTTTCCAGTTGGAGATTTCAATCGCTTTGAGACCAAATGTAGAAAAGGAAACATCTTCGTATAAAAACTAGACAGAATCATTCTCAGAAACTACTTTGTGATGTGTGCGTTCAACTCAAGGAGTTTAAGCTTTCTTTTCATAGAGTAGTTTGGAAACACTCTGTCTGTAAAGTCTGCAAGCAGATATTTGGACCTCTTTGGGGCCTTCGTTGGAAACGGGATTTCTTCATAGAACGCTAGAAAGAAGAATACTGAGTAAGTTCTTTGTGTTGCCTCTATTCAACTCACAGAGGTGAACTGTCCTTTAGACAGAGCAGATGTGAAACCCTCTTTTTGTGATATTTGCAGGTGGAGATTTCAAGCGCTTTTAGGCCAAATGTAGAAAAGGAAATATCTTCGTATAAAAACTAGACAGAATCATTCTCAGAAACTACTTTGTGATGTGTGCGTTCAATTCACAGAGTATAACCTTTCTTTTGATGGAGGAGTTTGGAGACACTGTCTTTGTAAAGTCTGCAAGTGGATATTTGGACCTCTTTGAGGCCTTCGTTGGAAACGGGATTTCCTCATATAATGTTACACAGAAGAATTCTCAGTAACTTATTTGTGGTGTGTGTATTCAACTCACAGAGTTGAACCTTCCTTCAGAAAGAGCAGATTTGAAACACTCTTTTTGTGGAGTTTCCATGTGGAGATTTCAATCGCTTTGAGACCAAAGGTAGAAAAGGAAACATCTTCGTATAAAAACTAGACAGAATCATTCACAGAAACTACTTTGTGATGTGTGTGTTCAACTCAAGGGAGTTTAACCTTTCTTTTGATGGAGCAGTTTGGAAACACTCTGTCTGTAAAGTCTGCAAGCAGATATTTGGACCTCTTTGAGGCCTTCGTTGGAAACGGGATTTCTTCATATAATGTTTGATAGGAGAAGTCTCAGTAACTTCTTTGTGCTGTGTGTATTCAACTCATAGAGTTGAACTTTCCTTTAGAAGAGCAGATGTTAAACACCCTTTTTGTGGAATTTGCAGCTGGAGATTTCAAGCGCTTTGAGGCCTACGGTAGAAAAGGAAACATCTTCTTATAAAATCTAGACAGAATCATTCACAGAAACTTCTTTTCGATGTGTGTGTTCAGCTCACAGAGTTTAACCTTTCTTTTGATGGAGCAGTTTGGAAACACTCTGTTTGTAATGTCTGCTAGTGGATATTTGGACCTCTTTGAGGCCTTCGTTGGAAACGGGATTTCTTCAAGTAATGGTCGACAGAAGAATTCTCAGTAACTTATTTGTGGTGTGTGTATTCAACTCACAGAGTTGAACCTTCCTTTAGACAGAGCAGATTTGAAACACCCTATTTGTGCAGTTTCCAGTTGGAGATTTCAATCGCTTTGAGACCAAATGTAGAAAAGGAAACATCTTCGTATAAAAACTAGACAGAATCATTCTCAGAAACTACTTTGTGATGTGTGCGTTCAACTCAAGGAGTTTAAGCTTTCTTTTCATAGAGTAGTTTGGAAACACTCTGTCTGTAAAGTCTGCAAGCAGATATTTGGACCTCTTTGGGGCCTTCGTTGGAAACGGGATTTCTTCATAGAACGCTAGAAAGAAGAATACTGAGTAAGTTCTTTGTGTTGCCTCTATTCAACTCACAGAGGTGAACTGTCCTTTAGACAGAGCAGATGTGAAACCCTCTTTTTGTGATATTTGCAGGTGGAGATTTCAAGCGCTTTTAGGCCAAATGTAGAAAAGGAAATATCTTCGTATAAAAACTAGACAGAATCATTCTCAGAAACTACTTTGTGATGTGTGCGTTCAATTCACAGAGTATAACCTTTCTTTTGATGGAGGAGTTTGGAGACACTGTCTTTGTAAAGTCTGCAAGTGGATATTTGGACCTCTTTGAGGCCTTCGTTGGAAACGGGATTTCCTCATATAATGTTACACAGAAGAATTCTCAGTAACTTATTTGTGGTGTGTGTATTCAACTCACAGAGATGAACCTTCCTTCAGAAAGATCAGATTTGAAACACTCTTTTTGTGGAGTTTCCATGTGGAGATTTCAATCGCTTTGAGACCAAAGGTAGAAAAGGAAACATCTTCGTATAAAAACTAGACAGAATCATTCACAGAAACTACTTTGTGATGTGTGTGTTCAACTCAAGGAGTTTAACCTTTCTTTTGATGGAGCAGTTTGGAAACACTCTGTCTGTAAAGTCTGCAAGCAGATATTTGGACCTCTTTGAGGCCTTCGTTGGAAACGGGATTTCTTCATATAATGTTTGATAGGAGAAGTCTCAGTAACTTCTTTGTGCTGTGTGTATTCAACTCATAGAGTTGAACTTTCCTTTAGAAGAGCAGATGTTAAACACCCTTTTTGTGGAATTTGCAGCTGGAGATTTCAAGCGCTTTGAGGCCTACGGTAGAAAAGGAAACATCTTCTTATAAAATCTAGACAGAATCATTCACAGAAACTTCTTTTTGATGTGTGTGTTCAGCTCACAGAGTTTAACCTTTCTTTTGATGGAGCAGGTTGGAAACACTCTGTTTGTAATGTCTGCAAGTGGATATTTGGACCTCTTTGAGGCCTTCGTTGGAAACGGGATTTCTTCAAGTAATGTTCGACAGAAGAATTCTCAGTAACTTATTTGTGGTGTGTGTATTCAACTCACAGAGTTGAACCTTCCTTTAGACAGAGCAGATTTGAAACACCCTATTTGTGCAGTTTCCAGTTGGAGATTTCAATCGCTTTGAGACCAAATGTAGAAAAGGAAACATCTTCGTATAAAAACTAGACAGAATCATTCTCAGAAACTACTTTGTGATGTGTGCGTTCAACTCAAGGAGTTTAAGCTTTCTTTTCATAGAGTAGTTTGGAAACACTCTGTCTGTAAAGTCTGCAAGCAGATATTTGGACCTCTTTGAGGCCTTCGTTGGAAACGGGATTTCTTCATAGAACGTTAGAAAGAAGAATACTGAGTAAGTTCTTTGTGTTGCCTCTATTCAACTCACAGAGGTGAACTGTCCTTTAGACAGAGCAGATGTGAAACCCTGTTTTTGTGATATTTGCAGGTGGAGATTTCAAGCGCTTTTAGGCCAAATGTAGAAAAGGAAATATCTTCATATAAAAACTAGACAGAATCATTCTCAGAAACTACTTTGTGATGTGTGCGTTCAATTCACAGAGTATAACCTTTCTTTTGATGGAGGAGTTTGGAGACACTGTCTTTGTAAAGTCTGCAAGTGGATATTTGGATCTATTTGAGGCCTTCGATGGAAACGGGATTTCCTCATATAATGTTACACAGAAGAATTCTCAGTAACTTATTTGTGGTGTGTGTATTCAACTCACAGAGTTGAACCTTCCTTCAGAAAGAGCAGATTTCAAACACTCTTTTTGTGGAGTTTCCATGTGGAGATTTCAATCGCTTTGAGACCAAATGTAGAAAAGGAAACATCTTCGTATAAAAACTAGACAGAATCATTCACAGAAACTACTTTGTTATGTGTGTGTTCAACTCAAGGAGTTTAACCTTTCTTTTGATGGAGCAGTTTGGAAACACTCTGTCTGTAAAGTCTGCAAGCAGATATTTGGACCTCTTTGAGGCCTTCGTTGGAAACGGGATTTCTTCATATAATGTTTGATAGGAGAAGTCTCAGTAACTTCTTTGTGCTGTGTGTATTCAACTCATAGAGTTGAACTTTCCTTTAGAAGAGCAGATGTTAAACACCCTTTTTGTGGAATTTGCAGCTGGAGATTTCAAGCGCTTTGAGGCCTACGGTAGAAAAGGAAACATCTTCTTATAAAATCTAGACAGAATCATTCACAGAAACTTCTTTTTGATGTGTGTGTTCAGCTCACAGAGTTTAACCTTTCTTTTGATGGAGCAGTTTGGAAACACTCTGTTTGTAATGTCTGCAAGTGGATATTTGGACCTCTTTGAGGCCTTCGTTGGAAACGGGATTTCTTCAAGTAATGGTCGACGGAAGAATTCTCAGTAACTTATTTGTGGTGTGTGTATTCAACTCACAGAGTTGAACCTTCCTTTAGACAGAGCAGATTTGAAACACCCTATTTGTGCAGTTTCCAGTTGGAGATTTCAATCGCTTTGAGACCAAATGTAGAAAAGGAAACATCTTCGTATAAAAACTAGACAGAATCATTCTCAGAAACTACTTTGTGATGTGTGCGTTCAACTCAAGGAGTTTAAGCTTTCTTTTCATAGAGTAGTTTGGAAACACTCTGTCTGTAAAGTCTGCAAGCAGATATTTGGACCTCTTTGGGGCCTTCGTTGGAAACGGGATTTCTTCAGAGAACGCTAGAAAGAAGAATACTGAGTAAGTTCTTTGTGTTGCCTCTATTCAACTCACAGAGGTGAACTGTCCTTTAGACAGATCAGATGTGAAACCCTCTTTTTGTGATATTTGCAGGTGGAGATTTCAAGCGCTTTTAGGCCAAATGTAGAAAAGGAAATATCTTCGTATAAAAACTAGACAGAATCATTCTCAGAAACTACTTTGTGATGTGTGCGTTCAATTCACAGAGTATAACCTTTCTTTTGATGGAGGAGTTTGGAGACACTGTCTTTGTAAAGTCTGCAAGTGGATATTTGGACCTCTTTGAGGCCTTCGTTGGAAACGGGATTTCCTCATATAATGTTACACAGAAGAATTCTCAGTAACTTATTTGTGGTGTGTGTATTCAACTCACAGAGTTGAACCTTCCTTCAGAAAGAGCAGATTTGAAACACTCTTTTTGTGGAGTTTCCATGTGGAGATTTCAATCGCTTTGAGACCAAAGGTAGAAAAGGAAACATCTTCGTATAAAAACTAGACAGAATCATTCTCAGAAACTACTTTGTGATGTGTGTGTTCAACTCAAGGAGTTTAACCTTTCTTTTGATGGAGCAGTTTGGAAACACACTGTCTGTAAAGTCTGCAAGCAGATATTTGGACCTCTTTGAGGCCTTCGTTGGAAACGGGATTTCTTCATATAATGTTTGATAGAAGAATACTGAGTAAGTTCTTTGTGTTGCCTCTATTCAACTCACAGTAGGTGAACTGTCCTTTAGACAGAGCAGATGTGAAACCCTCTTTTTGTGATATTTGCACGTGGAGATTTCAAGCGCTTTTAGGCCAAATGTAGAAAAGGAAATATCTTCGTATAAAAACTAGACAGAATCATTCTCAGAAACTACTTTGTGATGTGTGCGTTCAATTCACAGAGTATAACCTTTCTTTTGATGGAGGAGTTTGGAGACACTGTCTTTGCAAAGTCTGCAAGTGGATATTTGGACCTCTTTGAGGCCTTCGTTGGAAACGGGATTTCCTCATATAATGTTACACAGAAGAATTCTCAGTAACTTATTTGTGGTGTGTGTATTCAACTCACAGAGATGAACCTTCCTTCAGAAAGAGCAGATTTGAAACACTCTTTTTGTGGAGTTTCCATGTGGAGATTTCAATCGCTTTGAGACCAAAGGTAGAAAAGGAAACATCTTCGTATAACAACTAGACAGAATCATTCACAGAAACTACTTTGTGATGTGTGTGTTCAACTCAAGGAGTTTAACCTTTCTTTTGATGGAGCAGTTTGGAAACACTCTGTCTGTAAAGTCTGCAAGCAGATATTTGGACCTCTTTGAGGCCTTCGTTGGAAACGGGATTTCTTCATATAATGTTTGATAGGAGAAGTCTCAGTAACTTCTTTGTGCTGTGTGTATTCAACTCATAGAGTTGAACTTTCCTTTAGAAGAGCAGATGTTAAACACCCTTTTTGTGGAATTTGCAGCTGGAGATTTCAAGCGCTTTGAGGCCTACGGTAGAAAAGGAAACATCTTCTTATAAAATCTAGACAGAATCATTCACAGAAACTTCTCTTTGATGTGTGTGTTCAGCTCACAGTGTTTAACCTTTCTTTTGATGGAGCAGTTTGGAAAAACTGTGTTTGTAATGTCTGCAAGTGGATATTTGGACCCCTTGAGGCCTTCGCTGGAAACGGGATTTCTTCATGTAATGTTCGACAGAAGAATTCTCAGTAACTTATTTGTGGTGTGTGTATTCAACTCACAGAGTTGACCATTCCTTTAGACAGAACAGATTTGAAACTCCCTATTTGTGCAGTTTCCAGTTGGAGATTTCAATCGCTTTGAGACCAAATGTAGAAAAGGAAACATCTTCGTATAAAAACTAGACAGAATCACTCTCAGAAACTACTTTGTGATGTGTGCGTTCAACTCAAGGAGTTTAATCTTTCTTTTCATAGAGTAGTTTGGAAACACTCTGTCTGTAAAGTCTGCAAGCAGATATTTGGACCTCTTTGAGGCCTTCGTTGGAAACCGGATTTCTTCATAGAACGCTAGAAAGAAGAATACTGAGTAAGTTCTTTGTGTTGCCTCTATTCAACTCACAGAGGTGAACTGTCCTTTAGACAGAGCAGATGTGAAACCCTGTTTTTGTGATATTTGCAGGTGGAGGTTTCAAGCGCTTTTAGGCCAAATGTAGAAAAGGAAATATCTTCGTATAAAAACTAGACAGAATCATTCTCAGAAACTACTTTGTGATGTGTGCGTTCAATTCACAGAGTATAACCTTTCTTTTGATGGAGGAGTTTGGAGACACTGTCTTTGTAAAGTCTGCAAGTGGATATTTGGACCTCTTTGAGGCCTTCGTTGGAAACGGGATTTCTTCAAGTAATGTTCGACAGAAGAATTCTCAGTAACTTATTTGTGGTGTGTGTATTCAACTCACAGAGTTGAACCTTCCTTTAGACAGAGCAGATTTGAAACACCCTATTTGTGCAGTTTCCAGTTGGAGATTTCAATCGCTTTGAGACCAAATGTAGAAAAGGAAACATCTTCGTATAAAAACTAGACAGAATCATTCTCAGAAACTACTTTGTGATGTGTGCGTTCAACTCAAGGAGTTTAAGCTTTCTTTTCATAGAGTAGTTTGGAAACACTCTGTCTGTAAAGTCTGCAAGCAGATATTTGGACCTCTTTGAGGCCTTCGTTGGAAACGGGATTTCTTCATAGAACGTTAGAAAGAAGAATACTGAGTAAGTTCTTTGTGTTGCCTCTATTCAACTCACAGAGGTGAACTGTCCTTTAGACAGAGCAGATGTGAAACCCTGTTTTTGTGATATTTGCAGGTGGAGATTTCAAGCGCTTTTAGGCCAAATGTAGAAAAGGAAATATCTTCATATAAAAACTAGACAGAATCATTCTCAGAAACTACTTTGTGATGTGTGCGTTCAATTCACAGAGTATAACCTTTCTTTTGATGGAGGAGTTTGGAGACACTGTCTTTGTAAAGTCTGCAAGTGGATATTTGGACCTCTTTGAGGCCTTCGTTGGAAACGGGATTTCCTCATATAATGTTACCCAGAAGAATTCTCAGTAACTTATTTGTGGTGTGTGTATTCAACTCACGGAGTTGAACCTTCCTTCAGAAAGAGCAGATTTGAAAAACTCTTTTTGTGGAGTTTCCATGTGGAGATTTCAATCGCTTTGAGACCAAAGGTGGAAAAGGATACATCTTCGTATAAAAACTAGACAGAATCATTCACAGAAACTACTTTGTGATGTGTGTGTTCAACTCAAGGAGTTTAACCTTTCTTTTGATGGAGCAGTTTGGAAAAACTCTGTCTGTAAAGTCTGCAAGAAGATATTTGGACCTCTTTGAGGCCTTCATTGGAAACGGGATTTCTTCATATAATGTTTGATAGGAGAAATCTCGGTAACTTCTTTGTGCTGTGTGTATTCAACTCATAGAGTTGAACTTTCCTTTAGAAGAGCAGATGTTAAACACGCTTTTTGTGGAATTTGCAGCTGGAGATTTCAAGCGCTTTGAGGCCTACGGTAGAAAAGGAAACATCTTCTTATAAAATCTAGACAGAATCATTCACAGAAACTTCTTTTTGATGTGTGTGTTCAGCTCACAGACTTTAACCTTTCTTTTGATGGAGCAGTTGGGAAACACTCTGTAATGTCTGCAAGTGGATATTTGGACCTCTTTGAGGCCTTCGTTGGAAACGGGATTTCTTCATGTAATGTTCGACAGAAGAATTCTCAGTAACTTATTTGTGGTGTGTGTATTCAACTCACAGAGTTGAACCTTCCTTTAGACAGAGCAGATTTGAAACACCCTATTTGTGCAGTTTCCAGTTGGAGATTTCAATCGCTTTGAGACCAAATGTAGAAAAGGAAACATCTTCGTATAAAAACTAGACAGAATCATTCTCAGAAACTACTTTGTGATGTGTGCGTTCAACTCAAGGAGTTTAAGCTTTCTTTTCATAGAGTAGTTTGGAAACACTCTGTCTGTAAAGTCTGCAAGCAGATATTTGGACCTCTTTGGGGCCTTCGTTGGAAACGGGATTTCTTCATAGAACGCTAGAAAGAAGAATACTGAGTAAGTTCTTTGTGTTGCCTCTATTCAACTCACAGAGGTGAACTGTCCTTTAGACAGAGCAGATGTGAAACCCTCTTTTTGTGATATTTGCAGGTGGAGATTTCAAGCGCTTTTAGGCCAAATGTAGAAAAGG
Organism: Homo sapiens; assembly: GCF_000001405.40. Taxonomy (NCBI): domain Eukaryota; kingdom Metazoa; phylum Chordata; class Mammalia; order Primates; family Hominidae; genus Homo; species Homo sapiens. The sequence continues at coordinate 35,039,427 of NC_000012.12, forward strand.
AAATATCTTCGTATAAAAACTAGACAGAATCATTCTCAGAAACTACTTTGTGATGTGTGCGTTCAATTCACAGAGTATAACCTTTCTTTTGATGGAGGAGTTTGGAGACACTGTCTTTGTAAAGTCTGCAAGTGGATATTTGGACCTCTTTGAGGCCTTCGTTGGAAACGGGATTTCCTCATATAATGTTACCCAGAAGAATTCTCAGTAACTTATTTGTGGTGTGTGTATTCAACTCAGAGAGATGAACCTTCCTTCAGAAAGAGCAGATTTGAAACACTCTTTTTGTGGAGTTTCCATGTGGAGATTTCAATCGCTTTGAGACCAAAGGTAGAAAAGGAAACATACTTCGTATAACAACTAGACAGAATCATTCACAGAAACTACTTTGTGATGTGTGTGTTCAACTCACAGAAGTTTAACCTTTCTTTTGATGGAGCAGTTTGGAAACACTCTGTTTGTCACGTCTGCAAGTGGATATTTGGACCTCTTTGAGGCCTTCGTTGGAAACGGGATTTCTTCATATAATGTTTGATAGGAGAAGTCTCAGTAACTTCTTTGTGCTGTGTGTATTCAACTCATAGAGTTGAACTTTCCTTTAGAAGAGCAGATGTTAAACACCCTTTTTGTGGAATTTGCAGCTGGAGATTTCAAGCGCTTTGAGGCCTACGGTAGAAAAGGAAACATCTTCTTATAAAATCTAGACAGAATCATTCACAGAAACTTCTTTTTGATGTGTGTGTTCAGCTCACAGAGTTTAACCTTTCTTTTGATGGAGCAGTTTGGAAACACTCTGTTTGTAACGTCTGCAAGTGGATATTTGGACCTCTTTGAGGCCTTCGTTGGAAACGGGATTTCTTCCTGTAATGTTCGACAGAAGAATTCTCAGTAACTTATTTGTGGTGTGTGTATTCAACTCACAGAGTTGAACCTTCCTTTAGACAGAGCAGATTTGAAACAGCCTATTTGTGCAGTTTCCAGTTGGAGATTTCAATCGCTTTGAGACCAAATGTAGAAAAGGAAACATCTTCGTATAAAAACTAGACAGAATCATTCTCAGAAACTACTTTGTGATGTGTGCGTTCAATTTACAGAGTATAACCTTTCTTTTGATGGAGGAGTTTGGAGACACTGTGTTTGTAAAGTCTGCAAGTGGATATTTGGATCTCTTTGAGGCCTTCGTTGGAAACGGGATTTCTTCATAGAACGCTAGAAAGAAGAATACTGAGTAAGTTCTTTGTGTTGCCTCTATTCAACTCACAGAGGTGAACTGTCCTTTAGGCAGAGCAGATGTGAAACCCTCTTTTTGTGATATTTGCAGGTGGAGATTTCAAGCGCTTTTAGGCCAAATGTAGAAAAGGAAATATCTTCGTATAAAAACTAGACAGAATCATTCTCAGAAACTACTTTGTGACGTGTGCGTTCAATTCACAGAGTATAACCTTTCTTTTGATGGAGGAGTTTGGAGACACTGTCTTTGTAAAGTCTGCAAGTGGATATTTGGACCTCTTTGAGGCCTTCGTTGGAAACGGGATTTCCTCATATAATGTTACACAGAAGAATTCTCAGTAACTTATTTGTGGTGTGTGTATTCAACTCACAGAGATGAACCTTCCTTCAGAAAGAGCAGATTTGAAACACTCTTTTTGTGGAGTTTCCATGTGGAGATTTCAATCGCATTGAGACCAAAGGTAGAAAAGGAAACATCTTCGTATAAAAACTAGACAGAATCATTCACAGAAACTACTTTGTGATGTGTGTGTTCAACTCAAGGAGTTTAACCTTTCTTTTGATGGAGCAGTTTGGAAACACTCTGTCTGTAAAGTCTGCAAGCAGATATTTGGACCTCTTTGAGGCCTTCGTTGGAAATGGGATTTTTTCATATAATGTTTGATAGGAGAAGTCTCAGTAACTTCTTTGTGCTGTGTGTATTCAACTCATAGAGTTGAACTTTCCTTTAGAAGAGCAGATGTTAAACACCCTTTTTGTGGAATTTGCAGCTGGAGATTTCAAGCGCTTTGAGGCCTACGGTAGAAAAGGAAACATCTTCTTATAAAATCTAGACAGAATCATTCACAGAAACTTCTTTTCGATGTGTGTGTTCAGCTCACAGAGTTTAACCTTTCTTTTGATGGAGCAGTTTGGAAACACTCTGTTTGTAATGTCTGCAAGTGGATATTTGGACCTCTTTGAGGCCTTCGTTGGAAACGGGATTTCATCAAGTAATGGTCGACAGAAGAATTCTCAGTAACTTATTTGTGGTGTGTGTATTCAACTCACAGAGTTGAACCTTCCTTTAGACAGAGCAGATTTGAAACACGCTATTTGTGCAGTTTCCAGTTGGAGATTTCAATCGCTTTGAGACCAAATGTAGAAAAGGAAACATCTTCGTATAAAAACTAGACAGAATCATTCTCAGAAACTACTTTGTGATGTGTGCGTTCAACTCAAGGAGTTTAAGCTTTCTTTTCATAGAGTAGTTTGGAAACACTCTGTCTGTAAAGTCTGCAAGCAGATATTTGGACCTCTTTGGGGCCTTCGTTGGAAACGGGATTTCTTCGTAGAACGCTAGAAAGAAGAATACTGAGTAAGTTCTTTGTGTTGCCTCTATTCAACTCACAGAGGTGAACTGTCCTTTAAACAGAGCAGATGTGAAACCCTCTTTTTGTGATATTTGCAGGTGGAGATTTCAAGCGCTTTTAGGCCAAATGTAGAAAAGGAAATATCTTCGTATAAAAACTAGACAGAATCATTCTCAGAAACTACTTTGTGATGTGTGCGTTCAATTCACAGAGTATAACCTTTCTTTTGATGGAGGAGTTTGGAGACACTGTCTTTGTAATGTCTGCAAGTGGATATTTGGATCTCTTTGAGGCCTTCGTTGGAAACGGGATTTCCTCATATAATGTTACACAGAAGAATTCTCAGTAACTTATTTGTGGTGTGTGTATTCAACTCACAGAGATGAACCTTCCTTCAGAAAGAGCAGATTTGAAACACTCTTTTTGTGGAGTTTCCATGTGGAGATTTCAATCGCTTTGAGACCAAAGGTAGAAAAGGAAACATCTTCGTATAAAAACTAGACAGAATCATTCACAGAAACTACTTTGTGATGTGTGTGTTCAACTCAAGGAGTTTAACCTTTCTTTTGATGGAGCAGTTTGGAAACACTCTGTCTGTAAAGTCTGCAAGCAGATATTTGGACCTCTTTGAGGCCTTCGTTGGAAACGGGATTTCTTCATATAATGTTAGACAGAAGAAGTCTCAGTAACTTCTTTGTGCTGTGTGTATTCAACTCATAGAGTTGAACTTTCCTTTAGAAGAGCAGATGTTAAACACCCTTTTTGTGGAATTTGCAGCTGGAGATTTCAAGCGCTTTGAGGCCTACGGTAGAAAAGGAAACATCTTCTTATAAAATCTAGACAGAATCATTCACAGAAACTTCTTTTTGATGTGTGTGTTCAGCTCACAGAGTTTAACCTTTCTTTTGATGGAGCAGTTTGGAAACACTCTGTTTGTAATGTCTGCAAGTGGATATTTGGACCTCTTTGAGGCCTTCGCTGGAAACGGGATTTCTTCCTGTAATGTTCGACAGAAGAATTCTCAGTAACTTATTTGTGGTGTGTGTATTCAACTCAAAGAGTTGAACCTTCCTTTAGACAGAGCAGATTTGAAACACCCTATTTGTGCAGTTTCCAGTTGGAGATTTCAATCGCTTTGAGACCAAATGTAGAAAAGGAAACATCTTCGTATAAAAACTAGACAGAATCATTCTCAGAAACTACTTTGTGATGTGTGCGTTCAACTCAAGGAGTTTAAGCTTTCTTTTCATAGAGTAGTTTGGAAACACTCTGTCTGTAAAGTCTGCAAGCAGATATTTGGACCTCTTTGAGGCCTTCGTTGGAAACGGGATTTCTTCATAGAACGGTAGAAAGAAGAATACTGAGTAAGTTCTTTGTGTTGCCTCTATTCAACTCACAGAGGTGAACTGTCCTTTAGACAGAGCAGATGTGAAACCCTCTTTTTGTGATATTTGCAGGTGGAGATTTCAAGCGCTTTTAGGCCAAATGTAGAAAAGGAAATATCTTCGTATAAAAACTAGACAGAATCATTCTCAGAAACTACTTTGTGATGTGTGCATTCAATTCACAGAGTATAACCTTTCTTTTGATGGAGGAGTTTGGAGACACTGTCTTTGTAAAGACTGCAATTGGATATTTGGACCTCTTTGAGGCCTTCGTTGGAAACGGGATTTCCTCATATAATGTTACACAGAAGAATTCTCAGTAACTTATTTGTGGTGTGTGTATTCAACTCACAGAGTTGAACCTTCCTTCAGAAAGAGCAGATTTGAAACACTCTTTTTTGTGGAGTTTCCATGTGGAGATTTCAATCGCTTTGAGACCAAAGGTAGAAAAGGAAACATCTTCGTATAAAAACTAGACAGAATCATTCACAGAAACTACTTTGTGATGTGTGTGTTCAACTCAAGGAGGTTAACCTTTCTTTTGATGGAGCAGTTTGGAAACACTCTGTCTGTAAAGTCTGCAAGCAGATATTTGGACCTCTTTGAGGCCTTCGTTGGAAACGGTATTTCTTCATATAATGTGTGATAGGAGAAGTCTCAGTAACTTCTTTGTGCTGTGTGTATTCAACTCATAGAGTTGAACTTTCCTTTAGAAGAGCAGATGATAAACACCCCTTTTGTGGAATTTGCAGCTGGAGATTTCAAGCGCTTTGAGGCCTATGGTAGAAAAGGAAACATCTTCTTATAAAATCTAGACAGAATCATTCACAGAAACTTCTTTTTGATGTGTCTGTTCAGCTCACAGAGTATAACCTTTCTTTTGATGGAGCAGTTTGGAAACACTCTGTTTGTAATGTCTGCAAGTGGATATTTGGACCTCTTTGAGGCCTTCGTTGGAAACGGGATTTCTTCAAGTAATGTTCGACAGAAGAATTCTCAGTAACTTATTTGTGGTGTGTGTATTCAACTCACAGAGTTGAACCTTCCTTTAGACAGAGCAGATTTGAAACACCCTATTTGTGCAGTTTCCATTTGGAGATTTCAATTGCTTTGAGACCAAATGTAGAAAAGGAAACATCTTCGTATAAAAACTAGACAGAATCATTCTCAGAAACTACTTTGTGATGTGTGCGTTCAACTCAAGGAGTTTAAGCTTTCTTTTCATAGAGTAGTTTGGAAACACTCTGTCTGTAAAGTCTGCAAACAGATATTTGGACCTCTTAGGGGCCTTCGTTGGAAACGGGATTTCTTCATAGAACGCTAGAAAGAAGAATACTGAGTAAGTTCTTTGTGTTGCCTCTATTCAACTCACAGAGGTGAACTGTCCTTTAGACAGAGCAGATGTGAAACCCTCTTTTTGTGATATTTGCAGGTGGAGATTTCAAGCGCTTTTAGGCCAAATGTAGAAAAGGAAATATCTTCGTATAAAAACTAGACAGAATCATTCTCAGAAACTACTTTGTGATGTGTGCGTTCAATTCACAGAGTATAACCTTTCTTTTGATGGAGGAGTTTGGAGACACTGTCTTTGTAAGTCTGCAAGTGGATATTTGGACCTCTTTGAGGCCTTCGTTGGAAACGGGATTTCCTCATATAATGTTACACAGAAGAATTCTCAGTAACTTATTTGTGGTGTGTGTATTCAACTCACAGAGTTGAACCTTCCTTCAGAAAGAGCAGATTTGAAACACTCTTTTTGTGGAGTTTCCATGTGGAGATTTCAATCGCATTGAGAACAAAGGTAGAAAAGGAAACATCTTCGTATAAAAACTAGACAGAATCATTCACAGAAACTATTTTGTGATGTGTGTGTTCAACTCAAGGAGTTTAACCTTTCTTTTGATGGAGCAGTTTGGAAAAACTCTGTCTGTAAAGTCTGTAAGCAGATATTTGGACCTCTTTGAGGCCTTCGTTGGAAACGGGATTTCTTCATATAATGTTTGATAGGAGAATTCTCAGCAACTTCTTTGTGCTGTGTGTATTCAACTCATAGAGTTGAACTTTCCTTTAGAAGAGCAGATGTTAAACACCCTTTTTGTGGAATTTGCAGCTGGAGATTTCAAGCGCTTTGAGGCCTACGGTAGAAAAGGAAACATCTTCTTAGAAAATCTAGACAGAATCATTCACAGAAACTTCTTTTTGATGTGTGTGTTCAGCTCACAAAGTTTAACCTTTCTTTTGATGGAGCAGTTTGGAAACACTCTGTTTGTAATGTCTGCAAGTGGATATTTGGACCTGTTTGAGGCCTTCGTTGGAAACGGGATTTCTTCATGTAATGTTCGACAGAAGAATTCTCAGTAACTTATTTGTTGTGTGTGTATTCAACTCACAGAGTCGAACCTTCCTTTAGACAGAGCAGATTTGAAACACCCTATTTGTGCAGTTTCCAGTTGGAGATTTCAATCGCTTTGAGACCAAATGTAGAAAAGGAAACATCTTCGTATAAAAACTAGACAGAATCATTCTCAGAAACTACTTTGTGATGTGTGCGTTCAACTCAAGGAGTTTAAGGTTTCTTTTCATAGAGTAGTTTGGAAACACTCTGTCTGTAAAGTCTGCAAGCAGATATTTGGACCTCTTTGAGGCCTTCGTTGGAAACGGGATTTCTTCATAGAACGCTAGAAAGAAGAATACTGAGTAAGTTCTTTGTGTTGCCTCTATTCAACTCACAGAGGTGAACCTGTCCTTTAGACAGAGCAGATGTGAAACCCTCTTTTTGTGATATTTGCAGGTGGAGATTTCAAGCGCTTTTAGGCCAAATGTAGAAAAGGAAATATCTTCGTATAAAAACTAGACAGAATCATTCTCAGAAACTACTTTGTGATGTGTGCGTTCAATTCACAGAGTATAACCTTTCTTTTGATGGAGGAGTTTGGAGACACTGTCTTTGTAAAGTCTGCAAGTGGATATTTGGACCTCTTTGAGGCCTTCGTTGGAAACGGGATTTCCTCATATAATGTTACACAGAAGAATTCTCAGTAACTTATTTGTGGTGTGTGTATTCAACTCACAGAGTTGAACCTTCCTTCAGAAAGAGCAGATTTGAAACACTCTTTTTGTGGAGTTTCCATGTGGAGATTTCAATCGCTTTGAGACCAAAGGTAGAAAAGGAAACATCTTCGTATAAAAACTAGACAGAATCATTCACAGAAACTACTTTGTGATGTGTGTGTTCAACTCAAGGAGTTTAACCTTTCTTTTGATGGAGCAGTTTGGAAACACTCTGTCTGTAAAGTCTGCAAGCAGATATTTGGACCTCTTTGAGGCCTTCGTTGGAAACGGGATTTCTTCATATAATGTTTGATAGGAGAAGTCTCAGTAACTTCTTTGTGCTGTGTGTATTCAACTCATAGAGTTGAACTTTCCTTTAGAAGAGCAGATGTTAAACACCCTTTTTGTGGAATTTGCAGCTGGAGATTTCAAGCGCTTTGAGGCCTACGGTAGAAAAGGAAACATCTTCTTATAAAATCTAGACAGAATCATTCACAGAAACTTCTTTTCGATGTGTGTGTTCAGCTCACAGAGTTTAACCTTTCTTTTGATGGAGCAGTTTGGAAACACTCTGTTTGTAATGTCTGCAAGTGGATATTTGGACCTCTTTGAGGCCTTCGTTGGAAACGGGATTTCTTCAAGTAATGTTCGACAGAAGAATTCTCAGTAACTTATTTGTGGTGTGTGTATTCAACTCACAGAGTTGAACCTTCCTTTAGACAGAGCAGATTTGAAACACCCTATTTGTGCAGTTTCCAGTTGGAGATTTCAATCGCTTTGAGACCAAATGTAGAAAAGGAAACATCTTCGTATAAAAACTAGACAGAATCATTCTCAGAAACTACTTTGTGATGTGTGCGTTCAACTCAAGGAGTTTAAGCTTTCTTTTCATAGAGTAGTTTGGAAACACTCTGTCTGTAAAGTCTGCAAGCAGATATTTGGACCTCTTTGAGGCCTTCGTTGGAAACGGGATTTCTTCATAGAACGCTAGAAAGAAGAATAGTGAGTAAGTTCTTGGTGTTGCCTCTATTCAACTCACAGAGGTGAACTGTCCTTTAGACAGAGCAGATGTGAAACCCTCTTTTTGTGATATTTGCAGGTGGAGATTTCAAGCGCTTTTAGGCCAAATGTAGAAAAGGAAATATCTTCGTATAAAAACTAGACAGAATCATTCTCAGAAACTACTTTGTGATGTGTGCGTTCAATTCACAGAGTATAACCTTTCTTTTGATGGAGGAGTTTGGAGACACTGTCTTTGTAAAGTCTGCAAGTGGATATTTGCACCTCTTTGAGGCCTTCGTTGGAAACGGGATTTCCTCATATAATGTTACACAGAAGAATTCTCAGTAACTTATTTGTGGTGTGTGTATTCAACTCACAGAGTTGAACCTTCCTTCAGAAAGAGCAGATTTGAAACACTCTTTTTGTGGAGTTTCCATGTGGAGATTTCAATCGCTTTGAGACCAAAGGTAGAAAAGGAAACATCTTTGTAGAAAAACTAGACAGAATCATTCACAGAAACTACTTTGTGATGTGTGTGTTCAACTCAAGGAGTTTAACCTTTCTTTTGATGGAGCAGTTTGGAAAAACTCTGTCTGTAAAGTCTGCAAGCAGATATTTGTACCTCTTTGAGGCCTTCGTTGGAAACGGGATTTCTTCATCTAATGTTTGATAGGAGAAGTCTCAGTAACTTCTTTGTGCTGTGTGTATTCAACTCATAGAGTTGAACTTTCCTTTAGAAGAGCAGATGTTAAACACCCTTTTTGTGGAATTTGCAGCTGGAGATTTCAAGCGCTTTGAGGCCTACGGTAGAAAAGGAAACATCTTCTTATAAAATCTAGACAGAATCATTCACAGAAACTTCTTTTTGATGTGTGTGTTCAGCTCACAGAGTTTAACCTTTCTTTTGATGGAGCAGTTTGGAAACACTCTGTTTGTAACGTCTGCAAGTGGATATTTGGACCTGTTTGAGGCCTTCGTTGGAAACGGGATTTCTTCAAGTAATGTTCGACAGAAGAATTCTCAGTAACTTATTTGTGGTGTGTGTATTCAACTCACAGAGTTGAACCTTCCTTTAGACAGAGCAGATTTGAAACAGCCTATTTGTGCAGTTTCCAGTTGGAGATTTCAAGAGCTTTGAGACCAAATGTAGAAAAGGAAACATCTTCGTATAAAAACTAGACAGAATCATTCTCAGAAACTACTTTGTGATGTGTGCGTTCAACTCAAGGAGTTTAAGCTTTCTTTTCATAGAGTAGTTTGGAAACACTCTGTCTGTAAAGTCTGCAAGCAGATATTTGACCTCTTTGAGGCCTTCGTTGGAAACGGGATTTCTTCATAGAACGCTAGAAAGAAGAATACTGAGTAAGTTCTTTGTGTTGCCTCTATTCAACTCACAGAGGTGAACTGTCCTTTAGACAGAGCAGATGTGAAACCCTCTTTTTGTGATATTTGCAGGTGGAGATTTCAAGCGCTTTTAGGCCAAATGTAGAAAAGGAAATATCTTCGTATAAAAACTAGACAGAATCATTCTCAGAAACTACTTTGTGATGTGTGCGTTCAATTCACAGAGTATAACCTTTCTTTTGATGGAGGAGTTTGGAGTCACTGTCTTTGTAAAGTCTGCAAGTGGATATTTGGACCTCTTTGAGGCCTTCGTTGGAAACGGGATTTCCTCATATAATGTTACACAGAAGAATTCTCAGTAACTTATTTGTGGTGTGTGTATTCAACTCACAGAGTTGAACCTTCCTTCAGAAAGAGCAGATTTGAAACACTCTTTTTGTGGAGTTTCCATGTGGAGATTTCAATCGCTTTGAGACCAAAGGTAGAAAAGGAAACATCTTCGTATAAAAACTAGACAGAATCATTCACAGAAACTACTTTGTGATGTGTGTGTTCAACTCAAGGAGTTTAACCTTTCTTTTGATGGAGCAGTTTGGAAACACTCTGTCTGTAAAGCGTGCAAGCAGATATTTGGACCTCTTTGAGGCCTTCGTTGGAAACGGGATTTCTTCATATAATGTTTGATAGGAGAAGTCTCAGTAACTTCTTTGTGCTGTGTGTATTCAACTCATAGAGTTGAACTTTCCTTTAGAAGAGCAGATGTTAAACACCCTTTTTGTGGAATTTGCAGCTGGAGATTTCAAGCGCTTTGAGGCCTACGGTAGAAAAGGAAACATCTTCTTATAAAATCTAGACAGAATCATTCACAGAAACTTCTTTTTGATGTGTGTGTTCAGCTCACAGAGTTTAACCTTTCTTTTGATGGAGCAGTTTGGAAACACTCTGTTTGTAATGTCTGCAAGTGGATATTTGGACCTCTTTGAGGCCTTCGTTGGAAACGGGATTTCTTCATGTAATGTTCGACAGAAGAATTCTCAGTAACTTATTTGTGGTGTGTGTATTCAACTCACAGAGTTGAACCTTCCTTTAGACAGAGCAGATTTGAAACACCCTATTTGTGCAGTTTCCAGTTGGAGATTTCAATCGCTTTGAGACCAAATGTAGAAAAGGAAACATCTTCGTATAAAAACTAGACAGAATCATTCTCAGAAACTACTTTGTGATGTGTGCGTTCAACTCAAGGAGTTTAAGCTTTCTTTTCATAGAGTAGTTTGGAAACACTCTGTCTGTAAAGTCTGCAAGCAGATATTTGGACCTCTTTGGGGCCTTCGTTGGAAACGGGATTTCTTCATAGAACGCTAGAAAGAAGAATACTGAGTAAGTTCTTTGTGTTGCCTCTATTCAACTCACAGAGGTGAACTGTCCTTTAGACAGAGCAGATGTGAAACCCTCTTTTTGTGATATTTGCAGGTGGAGATTTCAAGCACTTTTAGGCCAAATGTAGAAAAGGAAATATCTTCGTATAAAAACTAGACAGAATCATTCTCAGAAACTACTTTGTGATGTGTGCGTTCAATTCACAGAGTATAACCTTTCTTTTGATGGAGGAGTTTGGAGACACTGTCTTTGTAAGGTCTGCAAGTGGATATTTGGACCTCTTTGAGGCCTTCGTTGGAAACGGGATTTCCTCATATAATGTTACACAGAAGAATTCTCAGTAACTTATTTGTGGTGTGTGTATTCAACTCACAGAGATGAACCTTCCTTCAGAAAGAGCAGATTTGAAACACTCTTTTTGTGGAGTTTCCATGTGGAGATTTCAATCGCTTTGAGACCAAAGGTAGAAAAGGAAACATCTTCTTATAAAAACTAGACAGAATCATTCACAGAAACTACTTTGTGATGTGTGTGTTCAACTCAAGGAGTTTAACCTTTCTTTTGATGGAGCTGTTTGGAAAAACTCTGTCTGTAAAGTCTGCAAGCAGATATTTGGACCTCTTTGGGGCCTTCGTTGGAAACGGGATTTCTTCATATAATGTTTGATAGGAGAAGTCTCAGTAACTTCTTTCTGCTGTGTTTATTCAACGCATAGAGTTGAACTTTCCTTTAGAAGAGCAGATGTTAAATACCCTTTTTGTAGAATTTGCAGCTGGAGATTTCAAGCGCTTTGAGGCCTACGGTAGAAAAGGAAACATCTTCTTATAAAATCTAGACAGAATCATTCACAGAAACTTCTTTTTCATGTGTGTGTTCAGCTCACAGAGTTTAACCTTTCTTTTGATGGAGCAGTTTTGAAACACTCTGTTTGTAATGTCTGCAAGTGGATATTTTGACCTCTTTGAGGCCTTCTTTGGAAACGGTATTTCTTCAAGTAATGTTCGACAGAAGAATTCTCAGTAACTTATTTGTGGTGTGTGTATTCAACTCACAGAGTTGAACCTTCCTTTAGACAGAGCAGATTTGAAACACCCTATTTGTGCAGTTTCCAGTTGGAGATTTCAATCGCTTTGAGACCAAATGTAGAAAAGGAAACATCTTCGTATAAAAACTAGACAGAATCATTCTCAGAAACTACTTTGTGATGTGTGCGTTCAACTCAAGGAGTTTAAGCTTTCTTTTCATAGAGTAGTTTGGAAACACTCTGTCTGTAAAGTGTGCAAGCAGATATTTGGACCTCTTTGAGGCCTTCGTTGGAAACGGGATTTCTTCATAGAACGCTAGAAAGAAGAATACTGAGTAAGTTCTTTGTGTTGCCTCTATTCAACTCACAGAGGTGAACTGTCCTTTAGACAGAGCAGATGTGAAACCCTCTTTTTGTGATATTTGCAGGTGGAGATTTCAAGCGCTTTTAGGCCAAATGTAGAAAAGGAAATATCTTCGTATGAAAACTAGACAGAATCGTTCTCAGAAACTACTTTGTGATGTGTGCGTTCAATTCACAGAGTATAACCTTTCTTTTGATGGAGGAGTTTGGAGACACTGTCTTTGTAAAGTCTGCAAGTGGATATTTGGACCTCTTTGAGGCCTTCGTTGGAAACGGGATTTCCTCATATAATGTTACACAGAAGATTCTCAGTAACTTATTTGTGGTGTGTGTATTCAACTCACAGAGTTGAACCTTCCTTCAGAAAGAGCAGATTTGAAACACTCTTTTTGTGGAGTTTCCATGTGGAGATTTCAATCGCTTTGAGACCAAAGGTAGAAAAGGAAACATCTTCGTATAAAAACTAGACAGAATCATTCACAGAAACTACTTTGTGATGTGTGTGTTCAACTCAAGGAGTTTAACCTTTCTTTTGATGGAGCTGTTTGGAAAAACTCTGTCTGTAAAGTCTGCAAGCAGATATTTGGACCTCTTTGGGGCCTTCGTTGGAAACGGGATTTCTTCATATAATGTTTGATAGGAGAAGTCTCAGTAACTTCTTTCTGCTGTGTTTATTCAACGCATAGAGTTGAACTTTCCTTTAGAAGAGCAGATGTTAAACACCATTTTTGTAGAATTTGCAGCTGGAGATTTCAAGCGCTTTGAGGCCTACGGTAGAAAAGGAAACATCTTCTTATAAAATCTAGACAGAATCATTCACAGAAACTTCTTTTCGATGTGTGTGTTCAGCTCACAGAGTTTAACCTTTCTTTTGATGGAGCAGTTTTGAAACACTCTGTTTGTAATGTCTGCAAGTGGATATTTTGACCTCTTTGAGGCCTTCTTTGGAAACGGGATTTCTTCAAGTAATGTTCGACAGAAGAATTCTCAGTAACTTATTTGTGGTGTGTGTATTCAACTCACAGAGTTGAACCTTCCTTTAGACAGAGCAGATTTGAAACACCCTATTTGTGCAGTTTCCAGTTGGAGATTTCAATCGCTTTGAGACCAAATGTAGAAAAGGAAACATCTTCGTATAAAAACTAGACAGAATCATTCTCAGAAACTACTTTGTGTTGTGTGCGTTCAACTCAAGGAGTTTAAGCTTTCTTTTCATAGAGTAGTTTGGAAACACTCTGTCTGTAAAGTCTGCAAGCAGATATTTGGACCTCTTTGATGCCTTCGTTGGAAACGGGATTTCTTCATAGAACGCTAGAAAGAAGAATTCTCAGTAACTTATTTGTGGTGTGTGTATTCAACTCACAGAGTTGAACCTTCCTTCAGTAAAGAGCAGATTTGAAACACTCTTTTTGTGGAGTTTCCATGTGGAGATTTCAATCGCTTTGAGACCAAAGGTAGAAAAGGAAACATCTTCTTATAAAAACTAGACAGAATCATTCACAGAAACTACTTTGTGATGTGTGTGTTCAACTCAAGGAGTTTAACCTTTCTTTTGATGGAGCAGTTTGGAAAAACTCTGTCTGTAAAGTCTGCAAGCAGATATTTGGACCTCTTTGAGGCCTTCGTTGGAAACGGGATTTCTTCAAGTAATGTTCGACAGAAGAATTCTCAGTAACTTATTTGTGGTGTGTGTATTCAACTCACAGAGTTGAACCTTCTTTAGACAGAGCAGATTTGATACACCCTATTTGTGCAGTTTCCAGGTGGAGATTTCAATCGCTTTGAGACCAAATGTAGAAAAGGAAACATCTTCGTATAAAAACTAGACAGAATCATTCTCAGAAACTACTTTGTGATGTGTGCGTTCAACTCAAGGAGTTTAAGCTTTCTTTTCATAGAGTAGTTTGGAAACACTCTGTCTGTAAAGTCTGCAAGCAGATATTTGGACCTCTTTGGGGCCTTCGTTGGAAACGGGATTTCTTCATAGAACGCTAGAAAGAAGAATACTGAGTAAGTTCTTTGTGTTGCCTCTATTCAACTCACAGAGGTGAACTGTCCTTTAGACAGAGCAGATGTGAAACCCTCTTTTTGTGATATTTGCAGGTGGAGATTTCAAGCGCTTTTAGGCCAAATGTAGAAAAGGAAATATCTTCGTATAAAAACTAGACAGAATCATTCTCAGAAACTACTTTGTGATGTGTGCGTTCAATTCACAGAGTATAACCTTTCTTTTGATGGAGCAGTTTGGAAACACTCTGTTTGTAATGTCTGCAAGTGGATATTTGGACCTCTTTGAGGCCTTCGTTGGAAACGGGATTTCCTCATATAATGTTACACAGAAGAATTCTCAGTAACTTATTTGTGGTGTGTGTATTCAACTCACAGAGTTGAACCTTCCTTTAGACAGAGCAGATTTGAAACACCCTATTTGTGCAGTTTCCAGTTGGAGATTTCAATCGCTTTGAGACCAAATGTAGAAAAGGAAACATCTTCGTATAAAAACTAGACAGAATCATTCACGGAAACTACTTTGTGATGTGTGTGTTCAACTCAAGGAGTTTAACCTTTCTTTTGATGGAGCAGTTTGGAAACACTCTGTCTGTAAAGTCTGCAAGCAGATATTTGGACCTCTTTGAGGCCTTCGTTGGAAATGGGATTTCGTCATATAATGTTTGATAGGAGAAGTCTCAGTAACTTCTTTGTGCTGTGTGTATTCAACTCATAGAGTTGAACTTTCCTTTAGAAGAGCAGATGTTAAACACCCTTTTTGTGGAATTTGCAGCTGGAGATTTCAAGCGCTTTGAGGCCTACGGTAGAAAAGGAAACATCTTCTTATAAAATCTAGACAGAATCATTCACAGAAACTTCTTTTTGATGTGTGTGTTCAGCTCACAGAGTTTAACCTATCTTTTGATGGAGCAGTTTGGAAACACACTGTTTGTAATGTCTGCAAGTGGATATTTGGACCTCTTTGAGGCCTTCGTTGGAAACGGGATTTCTTCCTGTAATGTTCGACAGAAGAATTCTCAGTAAGTTATTTGTGGTGTGTGTATTCAACTCACAGAGTTGAACCTTCCTTTAGACAGAGCAGATTTGAAACACCCTATTTGTGCAGTTTCCAGTTGGAGATTTCAATCGCTTTGAGATCAAATGTAGAAAAGGAAACATCTTCGTATAAAAACTAGACAGAATCATTCTCAGAAACTACTTTGTGATGTGTGCGTTCAACTCAAGGAGTTTAAGCTTTCTTTTCATAGAGTAGTTTGGAAACACTCTGTCTGTAAAGTCTGCAAGCAGATATTTGGACCTCTTTGGGGCCTTCGTTGGAAACGGGATTTCTTCATAGAACGCTAGAAAGAAGAATACTGAGTAAGTTCTTTGTGTTGCCTCTATTCAACTCACAGAGGTGAACTGTCCTTTAGACAGAGCAGATGTGAAACCCTCTTTTTGTGATATTTGCAGGTGGAGATTTCAAGCGCTTTTAGGCCAAATGTAGAAAAGGAAATATCTTCGTATAAAAACTAGACAGAATCATTCTCAGAAACTACTTTGTGATGTGTGCGTTCAATTCACAGAGTATAACCTTTCTTTTGATGGAGGAGTTTGGAGACACTGTCTTTGTAAAGTCTGCAAGTGGATATTTGGATCTCTTTGAGGCCTTCGTTGGAAACGGGATTTCCTCATATAATGTTACACAGAAGAATTCTCAGTAACTTATTTGTGGTGTGTGTATTCAACTCACAGAGATGAACCTTCCTTCAGAAAGAGCAGATTTGAAACACTCTTTTTGTGGAGTTTCCATGTGGAGATTTCAATCGCTTTGAGACCAAAGGTAGAAAAGGAAACATCTTCGTATAAAAACTAGACAGAATCATTCACAGAAACTACTTTGTGATGTGTGTGTTCAACTCAGGAGGTTAACCTTTCTTTTGATGGAGCAGTTTGGAAACACTCTGTCTGTAAAGTCTGCAAGCAGATATTTGGACCTCTTTGAGGCCTTCGTTGGAAACGGGATTTCTTCATATAATGTTTGATAGGAGAAGTCTCAGTAACTTCTTTATGCTGTGTGTATTCAACTCATAGAGTTGAACTTTCCTTTAGAAGAGCAGATGTTAAACACCCTTTTTGTGGAATTTGCAGCTGGAGATTTCAAGCGCTTTGAGGCCTACGGTAGAAAAGGAAATATCTTCTTATAAAATCTAGTCAGAATCATTCACAGAAACTTCTTTTTGATGTGTGTGTTCAGCTCACAGAGTTTAACCTTTCTTTTGATGGAGCAGGTTGGAAACAATCTGTTTGTAATGTCTGCAAGTGGATATTTGGACCTCTTTGAGGCCTTCGTTGGAAACGGGATTTCTTCAAGTAATGTTCGACAGAAGAATTCTCAGTAACTTATTTGTGGTGTGTGTATTCAACTCACAGAGTTGAACCTTCCTTTAGACAGAGCAGATTTGAAACAGCCTATTTGTGCAGTTTCCAGTTGGAGATTTCAATCGCTTTGAGACCAAACGTAGAAAAGGAAACATCTTCGTATAAAAACTAGACAGAATCATTCTCAGAAACTACTTTGTGATGTGTGCGTTCAACTCAAGGAGTTTAAGCTTTCTTTTCATAGAGTAGTTTGGAAACACTCTGTCTGTAAAGTCTGCAAGCAGATATTTGGACCTCTTTGGGGCCTTCGTTGGAAACGGGATTTCTTCATAGAACGCTAGAAAGAAGAATACTGAGTAAGTTCTTTGTGTTGCCTCTATTCAACTCACAGAGGTGAACTGTCCTTTAGACAGAGCAGATGTGAAACCCTCTTTTTGTGATATTTGCAGGTGGAGATTTCAAGCGCTTTTAGGCCAAATGTAGAAAAGGAAATATCTTCGTATAAAAACTAGACAGAATCATTCTCAGAAACTACTTTGTGATGTGTGCATTCAATTCACAGAGTATAACCTTTCTTTTGACGGAGGAGTTTGGAGACACTGTCTTTGTAAAGTCTGCAAGTGGATATTTGGACCTCTTTGAGGCCTTCGTTGGAAACGGGATTTCCTCATATAATGTTACACAGAAGAATTCTCAGTAACTTATTTGTGGTGTGTGTATTCAACTCACAGATTTGAACCTTCCTTCAGAAAGAGCAGATTTGAAACACTCTTTTTGTGGAGTTTCCATGTGGAGATTTCAATCACTTTGAGACCAAAGGTAGAAAAGGAAACATCTTCGTATAAAAACTAGACAGAATCATTCACAGAAACTACTTTGTGATGTGTGTGTTCAACTCAAGGAGTTTAACCTTTCTTTTGATGGAGCAGTTTGGAAACACTCTGTCTGTAAAGTCTGCAAGCAGATATTTGGACCTCTTTGAGGCCTTCGTTGGAAACGGGATTTCTTCATATAATGTTTGATAGGAGAAGTCTCAGTAACTTCTTTGTGCTGTGTGTATTCAACTCATAGAGTTGAACTTTCCTTTAGAAGAGCAGATGTTAAACACCCTTTTTGTGGAATTTGCAGCTGGAGATTTCAAGCGCTTTGAGGCCTACGGTAGAAAAGGAAACATCTTCTTATAAAATCTAGACAGAATCATTCACAGAAACTTCTTTTCGATGTGTGTGTTCAGCTCACAGAGTTTAACCTTTCTTTTGATGGAGCAGTTTGGAAACACTCTGTTTGTAATGTCTGCAAGTGGATATTTGGACCTCTTTGAGGCCTTCGTTGGAAACGGGATTTCTTCAAGTAATGTTCGACAGAAGAATTCTCAGTAACTTATTTGTGGTGTGTGTATTCAACTCACAGAGTTGAACCTTCCTTTAGACAGAGCAGATTTGAAACACCCTATTTGTGCAGTTTCCAGTTGGAGATTTCAATCGCTTTGAGACCAAATGTAGAAAAGGAAACATCTTCGTATAAAAACTAGACAGAATCATTCTCAGAAACTACTTTGTGATGTGTGCGTTCAACTCAAGGAGTTTAAGCTTTCTTTTCATAGAGTAGTTTGGAAACACTCTGTCTGTAAAGTCTGCAAGCATATATTTGGACCTCTTTGGGGCCTTCGTTGGAAACGGGATTTCTTCATAGAACGCTAGAAAGAAGAATACTGAGTACGTTCTTTGTGTTGCCTCTATTCAACTCACAGAGGTGAACTGTCCTTTAGACAGAGCAGATGTGAAACCCTCTTTTTGTGATATTTGCAGGTGGAGATTTCAAGCGCTTTTAGGCCAAATGTAGAAAAGGAAATATCTTCGTATAAAAACTAGACAGAATCATTCTCAGAAACTACTTTGTGATGTGTGCGTTCAATTCACAGAGTATAAGCTTTCTTTTGATGGAGGAGTTTGGAGACACTGTCTTTGTAAAGTCTGCAAGTGGATATTTGGACCTCTTTGAGGACTTCGTTGGAAAGGGGATTTCCTCATATAATGTTACACAGAAGAATTCTCAGTAACTTATTTGTGGTGTGTGTATTCAACTCACAGAGTTGAACCTTCCTTCAGAAAGAGCAGATTTGAAACACTCTTTTTGTGGAGTTTCCATGTGGAGATTTCAATCGCTTTGAGACCAAAGGTAGAAAAGGAAACATCTTCGTATAAAAACTAGACAGAAACATTCACAGAAACTACTTTGTGATGTGTGTGTTCAACTCAAGGAGTTTAACCTTTCTTTTGATGGAGCAGTTTGGAAACACTCTGTCTGTAAAGTCTGCAAGCAGATATTTGGACCTCTTTGAGGCCTTCGTTGGAAACGGGATTTCTTCATATAATGTTTGATAGGAGAAGTCTCAGTAACTTCTTTGTGCTGTGTGTATTCAACTCATAGAGTTGAACTTTCCTTTAGAAGAGCAGATGTTAAACACCCTTTTTGTGGAATTTGCAGCTGGAGATTTCAAGCGCTTTGAGGCCTACGGTAGAAAAGGAAACATCTTCTTATAAAATCTAGACAGAATCATTCACAGAAACTTCTTTTCGATGTGTGTGTTCAGCTCACAGAGTTTAACCTTTCTTTTGATGGAGCAGTTTGGAAACACACTGTTTGTAATGTCTGCAAGTGGAGGTTTGGACCTCTTTGAGGCCTTCGTTGGAAACGGGATTTCTTCATGTAATGTTCAACAGAAGAATTCTCAGTAACTTATTTGTGGTGTGTGTATTCAACTCACAGAGTTGAACCTTCCTTCAGAAAGAGCAGATTTGAAACACCCTATTTGTGCAGTTTCCAGTTAGAGATTTCAATCGCTTTGAGACCAAATGTAGAAAAGGAAACATCTTCGTATAAAAACTAGACAGAATCATTCTCAGAAACTACTTTGTGATGTATGCGTTCAACACAAGGAGTTTAAGCTTTCTTTTCATAGAGTAGTTTGGAAACACTCTGTCTGTGAAGTCTGCAAGCAGATATTTGGACCTCTTTGAGGCCTTCGTTGGAAACGGGATTTCTTCATAGAACGCTAGAAAGAAGAATACTGAGTAAGTTCTTTGTGTTGCCTCTATTCAACTCACAGAGGTGAACTGTCTTTTAGACAGAGCAGATGTGAAAACCTCTTTTTGTGATATTTGCAGGTGGAGATTTCAAGCGCTTTTAGGCCAAATGTAGAAAAGGAAATATCTTCGTATAAAAACTAGACAGAATCATTCTCAGAAACTACTTTGTGATGTGTGCGTTCAATTCACAGAGTATAACCTTTCTTTTGATGGAGGAGTTTGGAGACACTGTCTTTGTAAAGTCTGCACGTGGATATTTGGACCTCTTTGAGGCCTTCGTTGGAAACGGGATTTCCTCATATAATGTTACACAGAAGAATTCTCAGTAACTTATTTGTGGTGTGTGTATTCAACTCACAGAGTTGAACCTTCCTTCAGAAAGAGCAGATTTGAAACACTCTTTTTGTGGAGTTTCCATGTGGAGATTTCAATCGCATTGAGACCAAAGGTAGAAAAGGAAACATCTTCGTATAAAAACTAGACAGAATCATTCACAGAAACTACTTTGTGATGTGTGTGTTCAACTCACAGAGTTTAACCTTTCTTTTGATGGAGCAGTTTGGAAACACTCTGTTTGTCACGTCTGCAAGTGGATATTTGGACCTCTTTGAGGCCTTCGTTGGAAACGGGATTTCTTCATATAATGTTTGATAGGAGAAGTCTCAGTAACTTCTTTGTGCTGTGTGTATTCAACTCATAGAGTTGAACTTTCCTTTAGAAGAGCAGATGTTAAACACCCTTTTTGTGGAATTTGCAGCTGGAGATTTCAAGCGCTTTGAGGCCTACGGTAGAAAAGGAAACATCTTCTTATAAAATCTAGACAGAATCATTCACAGAAACTTCTTTTCGATGTGTGTGTTCAGCTCACAGAGTTTAACCTTTCTTTTGATGGAGCAGTTTGGAAACACTCTGTTTGTAATGTCTGCAAGTGGATATTTGGACCTCTTTGAGGCCTTCGTTGGAAACGGGATTTCTTCAAGTAATGGTCGACAGAAGAATTCTCAGTAACTTATTTGTGGTGTGTGTATTCAACTCACAGAGTTGAACCTTCCTTTAGACAGAGCAGATTTGAAACACCCTATTTGTGCAGTTTCCAGTTGGAGATTTCAATCGCTTTGAGACCAAATGTAGAAAAGGAAACATCTTCGTATAAAAACTAGACAGAATCATTCTCAGAAACTACTTTGTGATGTGTGCGTTCAACTCAAGGAGTTTAAGCTTTCTTTTCATAGAGTAGTTTGGAAACACTCTGTCTGTAAAGTCTGCAAGCAGATATTTAGACCTCTTTGAGGCCTTCGTTGGAAACGGGATTTCTTCATGTAACGCTAGAAAGAAGAATACTGAGTAAGTTCTTTGTGTTGCCTCTATTCAACTCACAGAGGTGAACTGTCCTTTAGACAGAGCAGATGTGAAACCCTCTTTTTGTGATATTTGCAGGTGGAGATTTCAAGCGCTTTTAGGCCAAATGTAGAAAAGGAAATATCTTCGTATAAAAACTAGACAGAATCATTCTCAGAAACTACTTTGTGATGTGTGCGTTCAATTCACAGAGTATAACCTTTCTTTTGATGGAGGAGTTTGGAGACACTGTCTTTGTAAAGTCTGCAAGTGGATATTTGGACCTCTTTGAAGCCTTCGTTGGAAACGGGATTTCCTCATATAATGTTACACAGAAGAATTCTCAGTAACTTATTTGTGGTGTGTGTATTCAACTCACAGAGATGAACCTTCCTTCAGAAAGAGCAGATTTGAAACACTCTTTTTGTGGAGTTTCCATGTGGAGATTTCAATCGCTTTGAGACCAAAGGTAGAAAAGGAAACATCTTCGTATAGCAACTAGACAGAATCATTCACAGAAACTACTTTGTGATGTGTGTGTTCAACTCAAGGAGTTTAACCTTTCTTTTGATGGAGCAGTTTGGAAACACTCTGTCTGTAAAGTCTGCAAGCAGATATTTGGACCTCTTTGAGGCCTTCGTTGGAAACGGGATTTCTTCATATAATGTTTGATAGGAGAAGTCTCAGTAACTTCTTTGTGCTGTGTGTATTCAACTCATAGAGTTGAACTTTCCTTTAGAAGAGCAGATGTTAAACACCCTTTTTGTGGAATTTGCAGCTGGAGATTTCAAGCGCTTTGAGACCTATGGTAGAAAAGGAAACATCTTCTTATAAAATCTAGACAGAATCATTCACAGAAACTTCTTTTCGATGTGTGTGTTCAGCTCACAGAGTTTAACCTTTCTTTTGATGGAGCAGTTTGGAAACACTCTGTTTGTAATGTCTGCAAGTGGATATTTGGACCTCTTTGAGGCCTTCGTTGGAAACGGGATTTCTTCAAGTAATGTTCGACAGAAGAATTCTCAGTAACTTATTTGTGGTGTGTGTATTCAACTCACAGAGTTGAACCTTCCTTTAGACAGAGCAGATTTGAAACTCCCTATTTGTGCAGTTTCCAGTTGGAGATTTCAATCGCTTTGAGACCAAATGTAGAAAAGGAAACATCTTCGTATAAAAACTAGACAGAATCATTCTCCGAAACTACTTTGTGATGTGTGCGTTCAACTCAAGGAGTTTAAGCTTTCTTTTCATAGAGTAGTTTGGAAACACTCTGTCTGTAAAGTCTGCAAGCAGATATTTGGACCTCTTTGGGGCCTTCGTTGGAAACGGGATTTCTTCATAGAACGCTAGAAAGAAGAATACTGAGTAAGTTCTTTGTGTTGCCTCTATTCAACTCACAGAGGTGAACTGTCCTTTAGACAGAGCAGATGTGAAACCCTCTTTTTGTGATATTTGCAGGTGGAGATTTCAAGCGCTTTTAGGCCAAATGTAGAAAAGGAAATATCTTCGTATAAAAACTAGACAGAATCATTCTCAGAAACTGCTTTGTGATGTGTGCGTTCAATTCACAGAGTATAACCTTTCTTTTGATGGAGGAGTTTGGAGACACTGTCTTTGTAAAGTCTGCAAGTGGATATTTGGACCTCTTTGAGGCCTTCGTTGGAAACGGGATTTCCTCATATAATGTTACACAGAAGAATTCTCAGTAACTTATTTGTGGTGTGTTTATTCAACTCACAGAGTTGAACCTTCCTTCAGAAAGAGCAGATTTCAAACACACTTTTTGTGGAGTTTCCATGTGGAGATTTCAATCGCATTGAGACCAAAGGTAGAAAAGGAAACATCTTCGTATAAAATCTAGACAGAATCATTCACAGAAACTTCTTTTTCATGTGTGTGTTCAGCTCACAGAGTTTAATCTTTCTTTTGATGGAACAGTTTGGAAACACTCTGTTTGTAATGTCTGCAAGTGGATATTTGGACCTCTTTGAGGCCTTCGTTGGAAACGGGATTTCTTCATATAATGTTTGATAGGAGAAGTCTCAGTAACTTCTTTGTGCTGTGTGTATTCAACTCATAGAGTTGAACTTTCCTTTAGAAGAGCAGATGTTAAACACCCTTTTTGTGGAATTTGCAGCTGGAGATTTCAAGCGCTTTGTGGCCTACGGTAGAAAAGGAAATATGTTCTTATAAAATCTAGACAGAATCATTCACAGAAACTTCTTTTTGATGTGTGTGTTCAGCTCACAGAGTTTAACCTTTCTTTTGATGGAGCAGTTTGGAAACACTCTGTTTGTAATGTCTGCAAGTGGATATTTGGACCTCTTTGAGGCCTTCGTTGGAAACGGGATTTCTTCATGTAATGTTCGACAGAAGAATTCTCAGTAACTTATTTGTGGTGTGTGTATTCAACTCACAGAGTTGAACCTTCCTTTAGACAGAGCAGATTTGAAACACCCTATTTGTGCAGTTTCCAGTTGGAGATTTCAATCGCTTTGAGACCAAATGTAGAAAAGGAAACATCTTCGTATAAAAACTAGACAGAATCATTCTCAGAAACTACTTTGAGATGTGTGCGTTCAACTCAAGGAGTTTAAGCTTTCTTTTCATAGAGTAGTTTGGAAACACTCTGTCTGTAAAGTCTGCAAGCAGATATTTGACCTCTTTGGGGCCTTCGTTGGAAACGGGATTTCTTCATAGAACGCTAGAAAGAAGAATACTGAGTAAGTTCTTTGTGTTGCCTCTATTCAACTCACAGAGGTGAACTGTCCTTTAGACAGAGCAGATGTGAAACCCTCTTTTTGTGATATTTGCAGGTGGAGATTTCAAGCGCTTTTAGGCCAAATGTAGAAAAGGAAATATCTTCGTATAAAAACTAGACAGAATCATTCTCAGAAACTACTTTGTGATGTGTGCGTTCAATTCACAGAGTATAACCTTTCTTTTGATGGAGGAGTTTGGAGACACTGTCTTTGTAAAGTCTGCAAGTGGATATTTGGACCTCTTTGAGGCCTTCGTTGGAAACGGGATTTCCTCATATAATGTTACACAGAAGAATTCTCAGTAACTTATTTGTGGTGTGTGTATTCAACTCACAGAGTTGAACCTTCCTTTAGACAGAGCAGATTTGAAACACTCTTTTTGTGGAGTTTCCATGTGGAGATTTCAATCGCTTTGAGACCAAAGGTAGAAAAGGAAACATCTTCGTATAAAAACTAGACAGAATCATTCTCAGAAACTACTTTGTGATGTGTGTGTTCAACTCAAGGAGGTTAACCTTTCTTTTGATGGAGCAGTTTGGAAACACTCTGTCTGCAAAGTCTGCAAACAGATATTTGGACCTCTTTGAGGCCTTCGTTGGAAACGGGATTTCTTCATATAATGTTTGATAGGAGAGGTCTCAGTAACTTCTTTGTGCTGTGTGTATTCAACTCATTGAGTTGAACTTTCCTTTAGAAGATCAGGTGTTAAACACCCTTTTTGTGGAATTTGCAGCTGGAGATTTCAAGCACTATGAGGCCTACGGTAGAAAAGGAAACATCTTCTTATAAAATCTAGACAGAATCATTCACAGAAACTTCTTTTTGATGTGTGTGTTCAGCTCACAGAGTTTAACCTTTCTTTTGATGGAGCAGTTTGGAAACACTCTGTTTGTAATGTCTGCAAGTGGATATTTGGACCTCTTTGAGGCCTTCGTTGGAAACGGGATTTCTTTCAAGTAATGTTCGACAGAAGAATTCTCAGTAACTTATTTGTGGTGTGTGTATTCAACTCACAGAGTTGACCCTTCCTTTAGACAGATCAGATTTGAAACTCCCTATTTGTGCAGTTTCCAGTTGGAGATTTCAATCGCTTTGAGACCCAATGTAGAAAAGGAAACATCTTCGTATAAAAACTAGACAGAATCATTCTCAGAAACTACTTTGTGATGTGTGCGTTCAACTCAAGGAGTTTAAGCTTTCTTTTCATAGAGTAGTTTGGAAACACTCTGTCTGTAAAGTCTGCAAGCAGATATTTGGACCTCTTTGAGGCCTTCGTTGGAAACGGGATTTCTTCATAGAACGCTAGAAAGAAGAATACTGAGTAAGTTCTTTGTGTTGCCTCTATTCAACTCACAGAGGTGAACTGTCCTTTAGACAGAGCAGGTGTGAAACCCTCTTTTTGTGATATTTGCACGTGGAGATTTCAAGCGCTTTTAGGCCAAATGTAGAAAAGGAAATATCTTCGTATAAAAACTAGACAGAATCATTCTCAGAAACTACTTTGTGATGTGTGCGTTCAATTCACAGAGTATAACCTTTCTTTTGATGGAGGAGTTTGGAGACACTGTCTTTGTAAAGTCTGCAAGTGGATATTTGGACCTCTTTGAGGCCTTCGTTGGAAACGGGATTTCCTCATATAATGTTACACAGAAGAATTCTCAGTAACTTATTTGTGGTGTGTGTATTCAACTCACAGAGTTGAACCTTCCTTCAGAAAGAGCAGATTTGAAACACTCTTTTTGTGGAGTTTCCATGTGGAGATTTCAATCGCTTTGAGACCAAATGTAGAAAAGGAAACATCTTCGTATAAAAACTAGACAGAATCATTCACAGAAACTACTTTGTGATGTGTGTGTTCAGCTCACAGAGTTTAACCTTTCTTTTGATGGTGCAGTTTGGAAACACTCTGTTTGACAAGTCTGCAAGTGGATATTTGGACCTCTTTTAGGCCTTCGTTGGAAACGGGATTTCTTCATATAATGTTAGACAGAAGAAGTCTCAGTAACTTCTTTGTGCTGTGTGTATTCAACTCACAGAGCTGAACTTTACTTTAGACAGAGCGGATGTTAAACACACTTTTTGTGGAATTTGCAGCTGGAGATTTCTAGCGCTTTGAGGCCTATGGTAGAAAAGGAAACATCTTCTTATAAAATCTAGACAGAATCATTCACAGAAACTTCCTTTTGATGTGTGTGTTCATCTCACAGAGTTTAACCTTTCTTTTGACGGAGCAGGTTGGAAAAACTGTGTTTGCATTGTCGGCAACTGGATATATGGACCTCTTTGAGGCCTTCGTTGGAAACGGGATTTCTTCATGTAATGTTCGACAGAAGAATTCTCAGTAACTTATTTGTGGTGTGTGTATTCAACTCACAGAGTTGAACCTTCATTTAGACAGAGCAGATTTGAAACAGCCTATTTGTGCAGTTTCCAGTTGGAGATTTCAATCGCTTTGAGACCAAATGTAGAAAGGGAAACATCTTCGTATAAAAACTAGACAGAATCATTCTCAGAAACTACTTTGTGATGTGTGCGTTCAACTCAAGGAGTTTAAGCTTTCTTTTCATAGAGTAGTTTGGAAACACTCTGTCTGTAAAGTCTGCAAGCAGATATTTGACCTCTTTGAGGCCTTCGTTGGAAACGGGATTTCTTCATAGAACGCTAGAAAGAAGAATACTGAGTAAGTTCTTTGTGTTGCCTCTATTCAACTCACAGAGGTGAACTGTCCTTTAGACAGAGCAGATGTGAAACCCTCTTTTTGTGATATTTGCAGGTGGAGATTTCAAGCGCTTTTAGGCCAAATGTAGAAAAGGAAATATCTTCGTATAAAAACTAGACAGAATCATTCTCAGAAACTACTTTGTGATGTGTGCGTTCAATTCACAGAGTATAACCTTTCTTTTGATGGAGGAGTTTGGAGACACTGTCTTTGTAAAGTCTGCAAGTGGATATTTGGACCTCTTTGAGGCCTTCGTTGGAAACGGGATTTCCTCATATAAAGTTACACAGAAGAATTCTCAGTAACTTATTTGTGGTGTGTGTATTCAACTCACAGAGTTGAACCTTCCTTCAGAAAGAGCAGATTTGAAACACTCTTTTTGTGGAGTTTCCATGTGGAGATTTCAATCGCTTTGAGACCAAAGGTAGAAAAGGAAACATCTTCGTATAAAAACTAGACAGAAACATTCACAGAAACTACTTTGTGATGTGTGTGTTCAACTCAAGGAGTTTAACCTTTCTTTTGATGGAGCAGTTTGGAAACACTCTGTCTATAAAGTCTGCAAGCAGATATTTGGACCTCTTTGAGGCCTTCGTTGGAAACGGGATTTCTTCATATAATGTTTGATAGGAGAAGTCTCAGTAACTTCTTTGTGCTGTGTGTATTCAACTCATAGAGTTGAACTTTCCTTTAGAAGAGCAGATGTTAAACACCCTTTTTGTGGAATTTGCAGCTGGAGATTTCAAGCGCTTTGAGGCCTACGGTAGAAAAGGAAACATCTTCTTATAAAATCTAGACAGAATCATTCACAGAAACTTCTTTTTGATGTGTGTGTTCAGCTCACAGAGTTTAACCTTTCTTTTGATGGAGCAGTTGGGAAACACACTGTTTGTAATGTCCGCAAGTGGATATTTGGACCTCTTTGAGGCCTTCGTTGGAAACGGGATTTCTTCAAGTAATGTTCGACAGAAGAATTCTCAGTAACTTATTTGTGGTGTGTGTATTCAACACACAGAGCTGAACCTTCCTTTAGACAGAGCAGATTTGAAACAGCCTATTTGTGCAGTTTCCAGTTGGAGATTTCAATCGCTTTGAGACCAAATGTAGAAAAGGAAACATCTTCGTATAAAAACTAGACAGAATCATTCTCAGAAACTACTTTGTGATGTGTGCGTTCAACTCAAGGAGTTTAAGCTTTCTTTTCATAGAGTAGTTTGGAAACACTCTGTCTGTAAAGTCTGCAAGCAGATATTTGACCTCTTTGAGGCCTTCGTTGGAAACGGGATTTCTTCATAGAACGCTAGAAAGAAGAATACTGAGTAAGTTCTTTGTGTTGCCTCTATTCAACTCACAGAGGTGAACTGTCCTTTAGACAGAGCAGATGTGAAACCCTCTTTTTGTGATATTTGCAGGTGGAGATTTCAAGCGCTTTTAGGCCAAATGTAGAAAAGGAAATATCTTCGTATAAAAACTAGACAGAATCATTCTCAGAAACTACTTTGTGATGTGTGCGTTCAATTCACAGAGTATAAGCTTTCTTTTGATGGAGGAGTTTGGACACACTGTCTTTGTAAAGTCTGCAAGTGGATTTTTGGACCTCTTTGAGGCCTTCGTTGGAAACGGGATTTCCTCATATAATGCTACACAGAAGAATTCTCAGTAACTTATTAGTGGTGTGTGTATTCAACTCACAGAGTTGAACCTTCCTTCAGAAAGAGCAGATTTGAAACACTCTTTTTGTGGAGTTTCCATGTGGAGATTTCAATCGCTTTGAGACCAAAGGTAGAAACGGAAATATCTTCGTATAAAAACTAGACAGAATCATTCACAGAAACTACTTTGTGATGTGTGTGTTCAACTCAAGGAGTTTAACCTTTCTTTTGATGGAGCAGTTTGGAAACACTCTGTCTGTAAAGTCTGCAAGCAGATATTTGGACCTCTTTGAGGCCTTCGTTGGAAATGGGATTTCTTCATATAATGTTTGATAGGAGAAGTCTCAGTAACTTCTTTGTGCTGTGTGTATTCAACTCATAGAGTTGAACTTTCCTTTAGAAGAGCAGATGTTAAACACCCTTTGTGTGGAATTTGCAGCTGGAGATTTCAAGCGCTTTGAGGCCTACGGTAGAAAAGGAAACATCTTCTTATAAAATCTAGACAGAATCATTCACAGAAACTTCTTTTTGATGTGTGTGTTCAGCTCACAGAGTTTAACCTTTCTTTTGATGGAGCAGTTTGGAAACACTCTGTTTGTAACGTCTGCAAGTGGATATTTGGACCTCTTTGAGGCCTTCGTTGGAAACGGGATTTCTTCAAGTAATGTTCGACAGAAGAATTCTCAGTAACTTATTTGTGGTGTGTGTATTCAACTCACAGAGCTGAACCTTCCTTTAGACAGAGCAGATTTGAAACAGCCTATTTGTGCAGTTTCCAGTTGGAGATTTCAAGAGCTTTGAGACCAAATGTAGAAAAGGAAACATCTTCGTATAAAAACTAGACAGAATCATTCTCAGAAACTACTTTGTGATGTGTGCGTTCAACTCAAGGAGTTTAAGCTTTCTTTTCATAGAGTAGTTTGGAAACACTCTGTCTGTAAAGTCTGCAAGCAGATATTTGACCTCTTTGAGGCCTTCGTTGGAAACGGGATTTCTTCATAGAACGCTAGAAAGAAGAATACTGAGTAAGTTCTTTGTGTTGCCTCTATTCAACTCACAGAGGTGAACTGTCCTTTAGACAGAGCAGATGTGAAACCCTCTTTTTGTGATATTTGCAGGTGGAGATTTCAAGCGCTTTTAGGCCAAATGTAGAAAAGGAAATATCTTCGTATAAAAACTAGACAGAATCATTCTCAGAAACTACTTTGTGATGTGTGCGTTCAATTCACAGAGTATAACCTTTCTTTTGATGGAGGAGTTTGGAGACACTGTCTTTGTAAAGTCTGCAAGTGGATATTTGGACCTCTTTGAGGCCTTCGTTGGAAACGGGATTTCCTCATATAATGTTACACAGAAGAATTCTCAGTAACTTATTTGTGGTGTGTGTATTCAACTCACAGAGTTGAACCTTCCTTCAGAAAGAGCAGATTTGAAACACTCTTTTTGTGGAGTTTCCATGTGGAGATTTCAATCGCTTTGAGACCAAAGGTAGAAAAGGAAACATCTTCGTATAAAAACTAGACAGAATCATTCACAGAAACTACTTTGTGATGTGTGTGTTCAACTCAAGGAGTTTAACCTTTCTTTTGATGGAGCAGTTTGGAAAAACTCTGTCTGTAAAGTCTGCAAGCAGATATTTGGACCTCTTTGAGGCCTTCGTTGGAAACGGGATTTCTTCATAGAATGCTAGAAAGAAGAATACTGAGTAAGTTCTTTGTGTTGCCTCTATTCAACTCACAGAGGTGAACTGTCCTTTAGACAGAGCAGATGTGAAACCCTCTTTTTGTGATATTTGCAGGTGGAGATTTCAAGCGCTTTGAGGCCAAATGTAGAAAAGGAAATATCTTCGTATAAAAACTAGACAGAATCATTCTCAGAAACTACTTTGTGATGTATGCGTTCAATTCACAGAGTATAACCTTTCTTTTGATGGAGGAGTTTGGAGACACTGTCTTTGTAAAGTCTGCAAGTGGATATTTGGACCTCTTTGAGGCCTTCGTTGGAAACGGGATTTCCTCATATAATGTTACACAGAAGAATTCTCAGTAACTTATTTGTGGTGTGTGTATTCAACTCACAGAGTTGAACCTTCCTTCAGAAAGAGCAGATTTGAAACACTCTTTTTGTGGAGTTTCCATGTGGAGATTTCAATCGCTTTGAGACCAAAGGTAGAAAAGGAAACATCTTCGTATAAAAACTAGACAGAATCATTCACAGAAACTACTTTGTGATGTGTGTGTTCAACTCAAGGAGTTTAACCTTTCTTTTGATGGAGCAGTTTGGAAACACTCTGTCTGTAAAGTCTGCAAGCAGATATTTGGACCTCTTTGAGGCCTTCGTTGGAAACGGGATTTCTTCATATAATGTTTGATAGGAGAAGTCTCAGTAACTTCTTTGTGCTGTGTGTATTCAACTCATAGAGTTGAACTTTCCTTTAGAAGAGCAGATGTTAAACACCCTTTTTGTGGAATTTGCAGCTGGAGATTTCAAGCGCTTTGAGGCCTACGGTAGAAAAGGAAACATCTTCTTATAAAATCTAGACAGAATCATTCACAGAAACTTCTTTTCGATGTGTGTGTTCAGCTCACAGAGTTTAACCTTTCTTTTGATGGAGCAGTTTGGAAACACTCTGTTTGTAATGTCTGCAAGTGGATATTTGGACCTCTTTGAGGCCTTCGTTGGAAACGGGATTTCTTCAAGTAATGTTCGACAGAAGAATTCTCAGTAACTTATTTGTGGTGTGTGTATTCAACTCACAGAGTTGAACCTTCCTTTAGACAGAGCAGATTTGAAACACCCTATTTGTGCAGTTTCCAGTTGGAGATTTCAATCGCTTTGAGACCAAATGTAGAAAAGGAAACATCTTCGTATAAAAACTAGACAGAATCATTCTCAGAAACTACTTTGTGATGTGTGCGTTCAACTCAAGGAGTTTAAGCTTTCTTTTCATAGAGTAGTTTGGAAACACTCTGTCTGTAAAGTCTGCAAGCAGATATTTGGACCTCTTTGGGGCCTTCGTTGGAAACGGGATTTCTTCATAGAACGCTAGAAAGAAGAATACTGAGTAAGTTCTTTGTGTTGCCTCTATTCAACTCACAGAGGTGAACTGTCCTTTAGACAGAGCAGATGTGAAACCCTCTTTTTCTGATATTTGCAGGTGGAGATTTCAAGCGCTTTTAGGCCAAATGTAGAAAAGGAAATATACTTCGTATAAAAATTAGACAGAATCATTCTCAGAAACTACTTTGTGATGTGTGCGTTCAATTCACAGAGTATAACCTTTCTTTTGATGGAGGAGTTTGGAGACACTGTCTTTGTAAAGTCTGCAAGTGGATATTTGGACCTCTTTGAGGCCTTCGTTGGAAACGGGATTTCCTCATATAATGTTACACAGAAGAATTCTCAGTAACTTATTTGTGGTGTGTGTATTCAACTCACAGAGTTGAACCTTCCTTCAGAAAGAGCAGATTTGAAACACTCTTTTTGTGGAGTTTCCATGTGGAGATTTCAATCGCTTTGAGACCAAAGGTAGAAAAGGAAACATCTTCGTATAAAAACTAGACAGAATCATTCACAGAAACTACTTTGTGATGTGTGTGTTCAACTCAAGGAGTTTAACCTTTCTTTTGATGGAGCAGTTTGGAAACACTCTGTCTGTAAAGTCTGCAAGCAGATATTTGGACCTCTTTGAGGCCTTCGTTGGAAACGGGATTTCTTCATATAATGTTTGATAGGAGAAGTCTCAGTAACTTCTTTGTGCTGTGTGTATTCAACTCATAGAGTTGAACTTTCCTTTAGAAGAGCAGATGTTAAACACCCTTTTTGTGGAATTTGCAGCTGGAGATTTCAAGCGCTTTGAGGCCTACGGTAGAAAAGGAAACATCTTCTTATAAAATCTAGACAGAATCATTCACAGAAACTTCTTTTTGATGTGTGTGTTCAGCTCACAGAGTTTAACCTTTCTTTTGATGGAGCAGTTGGGAAACACACTGTTTGTAATGTCCGCAAGTGGATATTTGGACCTCTTTGAGGCCTTCGTTGGAAACGGGATTTCCTCATATAATGTTACACAGAAGAATTCTCAGTAACTTATTTGTGGTGTGTGTATTCAACTCACAGAGTTGAACCTTCCTTCAGAAAGAGCAGATTTGAAACACTCTTTTTGAGGAGTTTCCATGTGGAGATTTCAATCGCTTTGAGACCAAAGGTAGAAAAGGAAACATCTTCTTATAAAAACTAGACAGAATCATTCACAGAAACTACTTTGTGATGTGTGTGTTCAACTCAAGGAGTTTAACCTTTCTTTTGATGGAGCAGTTTGGAAAAACTCTGTCTGTAAAGTCTGCAAGCAGATATTTGGACCTCTTTGGGGCCTTCGTTGGAAACGGGATTTCTTCATAGAATGCTAGAAAGAAGAATACTGAGTAAGTTCTTTGTGTTGCCTCTATTCAACTCACAGAGGTGAACTGTCCTTTAGACAGAGCAGATGTGAAACCCTCTTTTTGTGATATTTGCAGGTGGAGATTTCAAGCGCTTTTAGGCCAAATGTAGAAAAGGAAATATCTTCGTATAAAAACTAGACAGAATCATTCTCAGAAACTACTTTGTGATGTGTGCGTTCAATTCACAGAGTATAACCTTTCTTTTGATGGAGGAGTTTGGAGACACTGTCTTTGTAAAGTCTGCAAGTGGATATTTGGACCTCTTTGAGGCCTTTGTTGGAAACGGGATTTCCTCATATAATGTTACACAGGGAGAATTCTCAGTAACTTATTTGTGGTGTGTGTATTCAACTCACAGAGTTGAACCTTCCTTCAGAAAGAGCAGATTTGAAACACTCTTTTTGTGGAGTTTCCATGTGGAGATTTCAATCGCTTTGAGACCAAAGGTAGAAAAGGAAACATCTTCGTATAAAAACTAGACAGAATCATTCACAGAAACTACTTTGTGATGTGTGTGTTCAACTCAAGGAGTTTAACCTTTCTTTTGATGGAGCAGTTTGGAAAAACTCTGTCTTTAAAGTCTGCAAGCAGATATTTGGACCTCTTTGAGGCCTTCGTTGGAAACGGGATTTCTTCATATAATGTTTGATAGGAGAAGTCTCAGTAACTTCTTTGTGCTGTGTGTATTCAACTCATAGAGTTGAACTTTCCTTTAGAAGAGCAGATGTTAAACACCCTTTTTGTGGAATTTGCAGCTGGAGATTTCAAGCGCTTTGAGGCCTACGGTAGAAAAGGAAACATCTTCTTATAAAATCTAGACAGAATCATTCACAGAAACTTCTTTTTGATGTGTGTGTTCAGCTCACCGAGTTTAACCTTTCTTTTGATGGAGCAGTTTGGAAACACTCTGTTTGTAATGTCTGCAAGTGGATACTTGGACCTCTTTGAGGCCTTCGTTGGAAACGGGATTTCTTCATGTAATGTACGACAGAAGAATTCTCAGTAACTTATTTGTGGTGTGTGTATTCAACTCACAGAGTTGAACCTTCCTTTAGACAGAGCAGATTTGAAACAGCCTATTTGTGCAGTTTCCAGTTGGAGATTTCAATCGCTTTGAGACCAAATGTAGAAAAGGAAACATCTTCGTATAAAAACTAGACAGAATCATTCTCCGAAACTACTTTGTGATGTGTGCGTTCAACTCAAGGAGTTTAAGCTTTCTTTTCATAGAGTAGTTTGGAAACACTCTGTCTGTAAAGTCTGCAAGCAGATATTTGGACCTCTTTGGGGCCTTCGTTGGAAACGGGATTTCTTCATAGAACGCTAGAAAGAAGAATACTGAGTAAGTTCTTTGTGTTGCCTCTATTCAACTCACAGAGGTGAAATGTCCTTTAGGCAGAGCAGATGTGAAACCCTCTTTTTGTGATATTTGCAGGTGGAGATTTCAAGCGCTTTTAGGCCAAATGTAGAAAAGGAAATATCTTCGTATAAAAACTAGACAGAATCATTCTCAGAAACTACTTTGTGACGTGTGTGTTCAATTCACAGAGTATAACCTTTCTTTTGATGGAGGAGTTTGGAGACACTGTCTTTGTAAAGTCTGCAAGTGGATATTTGGACCTCTTTGAGGCCTTCGTTGGAAACGGGATTTCCTCATATAATGTTACACAGAAGAATTCTCAGTAACTTATTTGTGGTGTGTGTATTCAACTCACAGAGATGAACCTTCCTTCAGAAAGAGCAGATTTGAAACACTCTTTTTGTGGAGTTTCCATGTGGAGATTTCAATCGCATTGAGAGCAAAGGTAGAAAAGGAAACATCTTCGTATAAAAACTAGACAGAATCATTCACAGAAACTACATTGTGATGTGTGTGTTCAACTCAAGGAGTTTAACCTTTCTTTTGATGGAGCAGTTTGGAAAAACTCTGTCTGTAAAGTCTGCAAGCAGATATTTGGACCTCTTTGAGGCCTTCGTTGGAAACGGGATTTCTTCATATAATGTTTGATAGGAGAAGTCTCAGTAACTTCTTTGTGCTGTGTGTATTCAACTCATAGAGTTGAACTTTCCTTTAGAAGAGCAGATGTTAAACACCCTTTTTGTGGAATTTGCAGCTGGAGATTTCAAGCGCTTTGAGTCCTACGGTAGAAAAGGAAACATCTTCTTATAAAATCTAGACAGAATCATTCACAGAAACTTGTTTTTGATGTGTGTGTTCAGCTCACAGAGTTTAACATTTCTTTTGATGGAGCAGTTTGGAAACACTCTGTTTGTAATATCTGCAAGTGAATATTTGGACCTCTTTGAGGCCTTCGTTGGAAACGGGATTTCTTCAAGTAATGTTCGACAGAAGAATTCTCAGTAACTTATTTGTGGTGTGTGTATTCAACTCACAGAGTTGAACCTTCCTTTAGACAGAGCAGATTTGAAACACCCTATTTGTGCAGTTTCCAGTTGGAGATTTCAATCGCTTTGAGACCAAATGTAGAAAAGGAAACATCTTCGTATAAAAACTAGACAGAATCATTCTCAGAAACTACTTTGTGATGTGTGCGTTCAACTCAAGGAGTTTAAGCTTTCTTTTCATAGAGTAGTTTGGAAACACTCTGTCTGTAAAGTCTGCAAGCAGATATTTGGACCTCTTTGGGGCCTTCGTTGGAAACGGGATTTCTTCATAGAACGCTAGAAAGAAGAATACTGAGTAAGTTCTTTGTGTTGCCTCTATTCAACTCACAGAGGTGAACTGTCCTTTAGACAGAGCAGATGTGAAACCCTCTTTTTGTGATATTTGCAGGTGGAGATTTCAAGCGCTTTTAGGCCAAATGTAGAAAAGGAAATATCTTCGTATAAAAACTAGACAGAATCATTCTCAGAAACTACTTTGTGATGTGTGCGTTCAATTCACAGAGTATAACCTTTCTTTTGATGGAGGAGTTTGGAGACACTGTCTTTGTAAAGTCTGCAAGTGGATATTTGGACCTCTTTGAGGCCTTCGTTGGAAACGGGATTTCCTCATATAATGTTACACAGAAGAATTCTCAGTAACTTATTTGTGGTGTGTTTATTCAACTCACAGAGTTGAACCTTCCTTCAGAAAGAG
Organism: Homo sapiens; assembly: GCF_000001405.40. NCBI lineage: Eukaryota > Metazoa > Chordata > Mammalia > Primates > Hominidae > Homo > Homo sapiens. The sequence goes on from NC_000012.12 coordinate 35,075,028, forward strand.
CAGATTTCAAACACACTTTTTGTGGAGTTTCCATGTGGAGATTTCAATCGCATTGAGACCAAAGGTAGAAAAGGAAACATCTTCATATAAAATCTAGACAGAATCATTCACAGAAACTTCTTTTTCATGTGTGTGTTCAGCTCACAGAGTTTAATCTTTCTTTTGATGGAACAGTTTGGAAACACTCTGTTTGTAATGTCTGCAAGTGGATATTTGGACCTCTTTGAGGCCTTCGTTGGAAACGGGATTTCTTCATATAATGTTTGATAGGAGAAGTCTCAGTAACTTCTTTGTGCTGTGTGTATTCAAGTCATAGAGTTGAACTTTCCTTTAGAAGAGCAGATGTTAAACACCCTTTTTGTGGAATTTGCAGCTGGAGATTTCAAGCGCTTTGAGGCCTACGGTAGAAAAGGAAACATCTTCTTATAAAATGCTAGACAGAATCATTCACAGAAACTTCTTTTTGATGTGTGTGTTCAGCTCACAGAGTTTAACCTTTCTTTTGATGGAGCAGTTTGGAAACACTCTGTTTGTAATGTCTGCAAGTGGATATTTGGACCTCTTTGAGGCCTTCGTTGGAAACGGGATTTCTTTCAAGTAATGTTCGACAGAAGAATTCTCAGTAACTTCTTTGTGGTGTGTGTATTCAACTCACAGAGTTGAACCTTCCTTTAGACAGAGCAGATTTGAAACAGCCTATTTGTGCAGTTTCCAGTTGGAGATTTCAATCGCTTTGAGACCAAATGTAGAAAAGGAAACATCTTCGTATAAAAACTAGACAGAATCATTCTCCGAAACTACTTTGTGATGTGTGCGTTCAACTCAAGGAGTTTAAGCTTTCTTTTCATAGAGTAGTTTGGAAACACTCTGTCTGTAAAGTCTGCAAGCAGATATTTGGACCTCTTTGGGGCCTTCGTTGGAAACGGGATTTCTTCATAGAACGCTAGAAAGAAGAATACTGAGTAAGTTCTTTGTGTTGCCTCTATTCAACTCACAGAGGTGAACTGTCCTTTAGACAGAGCAGATGTGAAACCCTCTTTTTGGGATATTTGCAGGTGGAGATTTCAAGCGCTTTTAGGCCAAATGTAGAAAAGGAAATATCTTCGTATAAAAACTAGACAGAATCATTCTCAGAAACTACTTTGTGATGTGTGCGTTCAATTCACAGAGTATAACCTTTCTTTTGATGGAGGAGTTTGGAGACACTGTCTTTGTAAAGTCTGCAAGTGGATATTTGGACCTCTTTGAGGCCTTCGTTGGAAACGGGATTTCCTCATATAATGTTACACAGAAGAATTCTCAGTAACTTATTTGTGGTGTGTGTATTCAACTCACAGAGATGAACCTTCCTTCAGAAAGAGCAGATTTGAAACACTCTTTTTGTGGAGTTTCCATGTGGAGATTTCAATCGCTTTGAGACCAAAGGTAGAAAAGGAAACATCTTCGTATAACAACTAGACAGAATCATTCACAGAAACTACTTTGTGATGTGTGTGTTCAACTCAAGGAGTTTAACCTTTCTTTTGATGGAGCAGTTTGGAAACACTCTGTCTGTAAAGTCTGCAAGCAGATATTTGGACCTCTTTGAGGCCTTCGTTGGAAACGGGATTTCTTCATATAATGTTTGATAGGAGAAGTCTCAGTAACTTCTTTGTGCTGTGTGTATTCAACTCATAGAGTTGAACTTTCCTTTAGAAGAGCAGATGTTAAACACCCTTTTTGTGGAATTTGCAGCTGGAGATTTCAAGCGCTTTGAGGCCTACGGTAGAAAAGGAAACATCTTCTTATAAAATCTAGACAGAATCATTCACAGAAACTTCTTTTTGGTGTGTGTGTTCAGCTCACAGAGTTTAACCTTTCTTTTGATGGAGCAGTTTGGAAACACTCTGTTTGTAATGTCTGCAAGTGGATATTTGGACCTCTTTGAGGCCTTCGTTGGAAACGGGATTTCTTCAAGTAATGGTCGACAGAAGAATTCTCAGTAACTTATTTGTGGTGTGTGTATTCAACTCACAGAGTTGAACCTTCCTTTAGACAGAGCAGATTTGAAACACCCTATTTGTGCAGTTTCCAGTTGGAGATTTCAATCGCTTTGAGACCAAATGTAGAAAAGGAAACATCTTCGTATAAAAACTAGACAGAATCATTCTCAGAAACTGCTTTGTGATGTGTGCGTTCAACTCAAGGAGTTTAAGCTTTCTTTTCATAGAGTAGTTTGGAAACACTTTGTCTGTAAAGTCTGCAAGCAGATATTTGGACCTCTTTGAGGCCTTCGTTGGAAACGGGATTTCTTCATAGAACGCTAGAAAGAAGAATACTAAGTTCTTTGTGTTGCCTCTATTCTACTCACAGAGGTGAACTGTCCTTTAGACAGAGCAGATGTGAAACCCTCTTTTTGGGATATTTGCAGTTGGAGATTTCAAGTGCTTTTAGGCCAAACGTAGAAAAGGAAATATCTTCGTATAAAAACTAGACAGAATCATTCTCAGAAACTACTTTGTGATGTGTGCGTTCAATTCACAGAGTATAACCTTTCTTTGATGGAGGAGTTTGGAGACACTGTCTTTGTAAAGTCTGCAAGTGGATATTTGGACCTCTTTGAGGCCTTCGTTGGAAACGGGATTTCCTCATATAATGTTACACAGAAGAATTCTCAGTAACTTATTTGTGGTGTGTGTATTCAACTCACAGAGTTGAACCTTCCTTCAGAAAGAGCAGATTTGAAACACTCTTTTTGTGGAGTTTCCATGTGGAGATTTCAATGGCTTTGAGACCATAGGTGGAAAAGGAAACATCTTCGTATAGAAAGTAGACAGAATCATTCACAGAAACTATTTTGTGATGTGTGTGTTCAACTCACAGAGTTTAACCTTTCTTTGGATGGAGCAGTTTGGAAACACTCTGTTTGTCACGTCTGCAAGTGGATATTTGGACCTCTTTGAGGCCTTCGTTGGAAACGGGATTTCTTCATATAATGTTTGAAAGGAGAAGTCTCAGTAACTTCTTTGTGCTGTGTGTATTCAACTCATGGAGTTGAACTTTCCTTTAGAAGAGCAGATGCTAAACACCCTTTTTGTGGAATTTGCAGCTGGAGAATTCAAGAGCTTTGAGGCCTACAGTAAAAAAGGAAACATCTTCTTCTAAAATCTAGACAGAATAATTCACAGAAACTTCTTTTTGATGTGGGTGTTCAGCTCACAGAGTTTAACCTTTCTATTGATGGAGCAGTTTGGAAACACTCTGTTTGTAATGTCTGCAAGTGGATATTTGGACCTCTTTGAGGCCTTCGTTGGAAACCGGATTTCTTCATGTAATGTTCGACAGAAGAATTCTCCGTAACTTATTTGTGGTGTGTGTATTCAACTCACAGAGTGGAACCTTCCTTTAGACACAGCAGATTTGAAACACCCTATTTGTGCAGTTTCCAGTTGGAGATTTCAATCGCTTGGAGGCCAATCATAGAAACGGAAATATCTTCGTATAAAAACAAGACAGAATCATTCTCAGAAACTACTTTGTGATGTGTGCGTTCAACTCAAGGGAGTTTAAGCTTTCTTTTCATAGAGTAGTTTGGAAACACTCTGTCTGTAAAGTCTGCAAGCAGATATTTGGACCTCTTTGAGGCCTTCGTTGGAAACGGGATTTCTTCATGTAACGCTAGAAAGAAGAATACTCAGTAACTTCTTTGTGCTGCCTCTATTCAACTCACAGAGGTGAACTGTCCTTTAGACAGAGCAGATGTGAAACCCTCTTTTTGTGATATTTGCAGGTGGAGATTTCAAGCGCTTTTAGGCCAAATGTAGAAAAGGAAATATCTTCGTATAAAAACTAGACAGAATCATTCTCAGAAACTACTTTGTGATGTGTGCGTTCAATTCACAAAGGATAAGCTTTCTTTGGATGGAGGAATTTGGAGACACTGTCTTTGTAAAGTCTGCAAGTGGATATTTGGACCTTTTTGAGGCCTTCGTTGGAAACGGGATTTCCTCCTATAATGTTACACAGAAGAATTCTCAGTAACTTATTTGTGGTGTGTGTATTCAACTCACAGAGTTGAACCTTCCTTCAGAAAGAGCAGATTTGAAACACTCTTTTTGTGGAGTTTCCATGTGGAGATTTCAATGGCTTTGAGACCAAAGGTAGAAAAGGAAACATCTTCGTATAAAAACTAGACAGAATCATTCACAGAAACTACTTTGTGATGTGTGTGTTCAACTCACAGAGTTTAACCTTTCTTTTGATGGAGCAGTTTGGAAACACTCTGTTTGTCACGTCTGCAAGTGGATATTTGGACCTCTTTGAGGCCTTCGTTGGAAACGGGATTTCTTCATATAATGTTTGATAGGAGAAGTCTCAGTAACTTCTTTGTGCTGTGTGTATTCAACTCATAGAGTTGAACTTTCCTTTAGAAGAGCAGATGTTAAACACCCTTTTTGTGGAATTTGCAGCTGGAGATTTCAAGCGCTTTGAGGCCTACGGTAGAAAAGGAAACATCTTCTTATAAAATCTAGACAGAATCATTCACAGAAACTTCTTTTTGATGTGTGTGTTCAGCTCACAGAGTTTAACCTTTCTTTTGATGGAGCAGTTTGGAAACACTCTGTTTGTAATGTCTGCAAGTGGATATTTGGACCTCTTTGAGGCCTTCGTTGGAAACGGGATTTCTTCAAGTAATGGTCGACAGAAGAATTCTCAGTAAGTTATTTGTGGTGTGTGTATTCAACTCACAGAGTTGAACCTTCCTTTAGACAGAGCAGATTTGAAACACCCTATTTGTGCAGTTTCCAGTTGGAGATTTCAATCGCTTTGAGACCAAATGTAGAAAAGGAAACATCTTCGTATAAAAACTAGACAGAATCATTCTCAGAAACTACTTTGTGATGTGTGCGTTCAACTCAAGGAGTTTAAGCTTTCTTTTCATAGAGTAGTTTGGAAACACTCTGTCTGTAAAGTCTGCAAGCAGATATTTGGACCTCTTTGGGGCCTTCGTTGGAAACGGGATTTCTTCATAGAACGCTAGAAAGAAGAATACTGAGTAAGTTCTTTGTGTTGCCTCTATTCAACTCACAGAGGTGAACTGTCCTTTAGACAGAGCAGATGTGAAACCCTCTTTTTGTGATATTTGCAGGTGGAGATTTCAAGCGCTTTTAGGCCAAATGTAGAAAAGGAAATATCTTCGTATAAAAACTAGACAGAATCATTCTCAGAAACTACTTTGTGATGTGTGCGTTCAATTCACAGAGTATAACCTTTCATTTTATGGAGGAGCTTGGAGACACTGTCTTTGTAAAGTCTGCAAGTGGATATTTGGACCTCTTTGAGGCCTTCGTTGGAAACGGGATTTCCTCATATAATGTTACACAGAAGAATTCTCAGTAACTTATTTGTGGTGTGTGTATTCAACTCACAGAGATGAACCTTCCTTCAGAAAGAGCAGATTTGAAACACTCTTTTTGTGGAGTTTCCATGTGGAGATTTCAATCGCTTTGAGACCAAAGGTAGAAAAGGAAACATCTTCGTATAACAACTAGACAGAATCATTCACAGAAACTACTTTGTGATGTGTGTGTTCAACTCAAGGAGTTTAACCTTTCTTTTGATGGAGCAGTTTGGAAACACTCTGTCTGTAAAGTCTGCAAGCAGATATTTGGACCTCTTTGAGGCCTTCGTTGGAAACGGGATTTCTTCATATAATGTTTGATAGGAGAAGTCTCAGTAACTTCTTTGTGCTGTGTGTATTCAACTCATAGAGTTGAACTTTCCTTTAGAAGAGCAGATGTTAAACACCCTTTTTGTGGAATTTGACAGCTGGAGATTTCAAGCGCTTTGAGGCCTACGGTAGAAAAGGAACATCTTCTTATAAAATCTAGACAGAATCATTCACAGAAACTTCTTTTTGATGTGTGTGTTCAGCTCACAGAGTTTAACCTTTCTTTTGATGGAGCAGTTGGGAAACACACTGTTTGTAACGTCCGCAAGTGGATATTTGGACCTCTTTGAGGCCTTCGTTGGAAACGGGATTTCTTCCTGTAATGTTCGACAGAAGAATTCTCAGTAACTTATTTGTGGTGTGTGTATTCAACACACAGAGCTGAACCTTCCTTTAGACAGAGCAGATTTGAAACAGCCTATTTGTGCAGTTTCCAGTTGGAGATTTCAATCGCTTTGAGACCAAATGTAGAAAAGGAAACATACTTCGTATAAAAACTAGACAGAATCATTCTCAGAAACTACTTTGTGATGTGTGCGTTCAACTCAAGGAGTTTAAGCTTTCTTTTCATAGAGTAGTTTGGAAACACTCTGTCTGTAAAGTCTGCAAGCAGATATTTGGACCTCTTTGGGGCCTTCGTTGGAAACGGGATTTCTTCATAGAACGCTAGAAAGAAGAATACTGAGTAAGTTCTTTGTGTTGCCTCTATTCAACTCACAGAGGTGAACTGTCCTTTAGACAGAGCAGATGTGAAACCCTCTTTTTGTGATATTTGCACGTGGAGATTTCAAGCGCTTTTAGGCCAAATGTAGAAAAGGAAATATCTTCGTATAAAAACTAGACAGAATCATTCTCAGAAACTACTTTGTGATGTGTGCGTTCAATTCACAGAGTATAACCTTTCTTTGATGGAGGAGTTTGGAGACACTGTCTTTGTAAAGTCTGCAAGTGGATATTTGGACCTCTTTGAGGCCTTCGTTGGAAACGGGATTTCCTCATATAATGTTACACAGAAGAATTCTCAGTAACTTATTTGTGGTGTGTGTATTCAACTCACAGAGTTGAACCTTCCTTCAGAAAGAGCAGATTTGAAACACTCTTTTTGTGGAGTTTCCATGTGGAGATTTCAATCGCATTGAGACCAAAGGTAGAAAAGGAAACATCTTCGTATAAAAACTAGACAGAATCATTCACAGAAACTACTTTGTGATGTGTGTGTTCAACTCAAGGAGTTTAACCTTTCTTTTGATGGAGCAGTTTGGAAAAACTCTGTCTGTAAAGTCTGCAAGCAGATATTTGGACCTCTTCGAGGCCTTCGTTGGAAACGGGATTTCTTCATATAATGTTTGATAGGAGAAGTCTCAGTAACTTCTTTGTCCTGTGTGTATTCAACGCATAGAGTTGAACTTTCCTTTAGAAGAGCAGATGTAAAACATCCTTTTTGTGGAATTTGCAGGTGGAGATTTCAAGCGCATTGAGGCCTACGGTAGAAAAGGAAACATCTTCTTACAAAATCTAGACAGAATCATTCACAGAAACTTCTTTTTGATGTGTGTGTTCAGCTCACAGAGTTTAAACTTTCTTTTGATGGAGCAGTTTGGAAACACTCTGTTTGTAATGTCTGCAAGTGGATATTTGGACCTCTTTGAGGCCTTCGTTGGAAACGGGATTTCTTCAAGTAATGTTCGACAGAAGAATTCTCAGTAACTTATTTGTGGTGTGTGTATTCAACTCACAGAGTTGAACCTTCCTTTAGACAGAGCAGATTTGAAACCCCCTATTTGTGCAGTTTCCAGTTGGAGATTTCAATCGCTTTGAGACCAAATGTAGAAAAGGAAACATCTTCGTATAAAAACTAGACAGAATCATTCTCAGAAACTACTTTGTGATGTGTGCGTTCAACTCAAGGAGTTTAAGCTTTCTTTTCATAGAGTAGTTTGGAAACACTCTGTCTGTAAAGTCTGCAAGCAGATATTTGGACCTCTTTGGGGCCTTCGTTGGAAACGGGATTTCTTCATAGAACGCTAGAAAGAAGAATACTGAGTAAGTTCTTTGTGTTGCCTCTATTCAACTCACAGAGGTGAACTGTCCTTTAGACAGAGCAGATGTGAAACCCTCTTTTTGTGATATTTGCAGGTGGAGATTTCAAGCGCTTTTAGGCCAAATGTAGAAAAGGAAATATCTTCGTATAAAAACTAGACAGAATCATTCTCAGAAACTACTTTGTGATGTGTGCGTTCAATTCACAGAGTATAACCTTTCTTTTGATGGAGGAGTTTGGAGACACTGTCTTTGTAAAGTCTGCAAGTGGATATTTGGACCTCTTTGAGGCCTTCGTTGGAAACGGGATTTCCTCATATAATGTTACACAGAAGAATTCTCACTAACTTATTTGTGGTGTGTGTATTCAACTCACAGAGATGAACCTTCCTTCAGAAAGAGCAGATTTGAAACACTCTTTTTGTGGAGTTTCCATGTGGAGATTTCAATCGCTTTGAGACCAAAGGTAGAAAAGGAAACATCCTTCGTATAACAACTAGACAGAATAATTCACAGAAACTACTTTGTGATGTGTGTGTTCAACTCAAGGAGTTTAACCTTTCTTTTGATGGAGCAGTTTGGAAACACTCTGTCTGTAAAGTCTGCAAGCAGATATTTGGACCTCTTTGAGGCCTTCGTTGGAAACGGGATTTCTTCATATAATGTTTGATAGGAGAAGTCTCAGTAACTTCTTGGTGCTGTGTGCATTCAACTCATAGAGTTGAACTTTCCTTTAGAAGAGCAGATGTTAAACACCCTTTTTGTGGAATTTGCAGCTGGAGATTTCAAGCGCTTTGAGGCCTACGGTAGAAAAGGAAACATCTTCTTATAAAATCTAGACAGAATCATTCACAGAAACTTCTTTTTGATGTGTGTGTTCAGCTCACAGAGTTTAACCTTTCTTTTGATGGAGCAGTTTGGAAACACTCTGTTTGTAATGTCTGCAAGTGGATATTTGGACCTCTTTGAGGCCTTCGTTGGATACGGGATTTCTTCAAGTAATTTTCGACAGAAGAATTCTCAGTAACTTATTTGTGGTGTGTGTATTCAACTCACAGAGTTGAACCTTCCTTTAGACAGAGCAGATTTGAAACACCCTATTTGTGCAGTTTCCAGTTGGAGATTTCAATCGCTTTGAGACCAAATGTAGAAAAGGAAACATCTTCGTATAAAAACTAGACAGAATCATTCTCAGAAACTACTTTGTGATGTGTGCGTTCAACTCAAGGAGTTTAAGCTTTCTTTTCATAGAGTAGTTTGGAAACACTCTGTCTGTAAAGTCTGCAAGCAGATATTTGGACCTCTTTGGGGCCTTCGTTGGAAACGGGATTTCTTCATAGAACGCTAGAAAGAAGAATACTGAATAAGTTCTTTGTGTTGCCTCTATTCAACTCACAGAGGTGAAATGTCCTTTAGACAGAGCAGATGTGAAACCCTCTTTTTGTGATATTTGCAGGTGGAGATTTCAAGCGCTTTTAGGCCAAATGTAGAAAAGGAAATATCTTCGTATAAAAACTAGACAGAATCATTCTCAGAAACTACTTTGTGATGTATGCGTTCAATTCACAGAGTATAACCTTTCTTTTGATGGAGGAGTTTGGAGACACTGTCTTTGTAAAGTCTGCAAGTGGATATTTGGACCTCTTTGAGGCCTTCGTTGGAAACGGGATTTCCTCATATAATGTTACACAGAAGAATTCTCAGTAACTTATTTGTGGTGTGTGTATTCAACTCACAGAGTTGAACCTTCCTTCAGAAAGAGCAGATTTGAAACACTCTTTTTGTGGAGTTTCCATGTGGACATTTCAATCGCATTGAGACCAAAGGTAGAAAAGGAAACATCTTCGTATAAAAACTGGACAGAATCATTCACAGAAACTACTTTGTGATGTGTGTGTTCAACTCAAGGAGTTTAACCTTTCTTTTGATGGAGCAGTTTGGAAACACTCTGTCTGTAAAGTCTGCAAGTAGATATTTGGACCTCTTTGAGGCCTTCGTTGGAAACGGGATTTCTTCATATAATGTTTGATAGGAGAAGTCTCAGTAACTTCTTTGTGCTGTGTGTATTCAACTCACAGAGTTGAACTTTCCTTTAGAAGAGCAGATGTTAAACACCCTTTTTGTGGAATTTGCAGCTGGAGATTTCAAGCGCTTTGAGGCCTACTGTAGAAAAGGAAACATCTTCTTATAAAATCTAGACAGAATCATTCACAGAAACTTCTTTTTGATGTGTGTGTTCAGCTCACAGAGTTTAACCTTTCTTTTGATGGAGCAGTTTGGAAACACTCTGTTTGTAATGCCTGCAAGTGGATATTTGGACCTCGTTGAGGCGTTCGTTGGAAACGGGATTTCTTCATGTAATGTTCGACAGAAGAATTCTCAGTAACTTATTTGTGGTGTGTGTATTCAACTCACAGAGTTGAACCTTCCTTTAGACAGAGCAGATTTGAAACACCCTATTTGTGCAGTTTCCAGTTGGAGATTTCAATCGCTTTGAGGCCAATCGTAGAAACGGAAATATCTTCGTATAAAAACAAGACAGAATCATTCTCAGAAACTACTTTGTGATGTGTGCGTTCAACTCAAGGAGTTTAAGCTTTCTTTTCATAGAGTAGTTTGGAAACACTCTGTCTGTAAAGTCTGCAAGCAGATATTTGGACCTCTTTGAGGCCTTCGTTGGAAACGGGATTTCTTCATATAACGCTAGAAAGAAGAATACTGAGTAAGTTCTTTGTGTTGCCTCTATTCAACTCACAGAGGTGAACTGTCCTTTAGACAGAGCAGATGTGAAACCCTCTTTTTGTGATATTTGCAGGTGGAGATTTCAATCGCTTTGAGACCGAAGGTAGAAAAGGAAACATCTTCGTATAAAAACTAGACAGAATCATTCTCAGAAACTACTTTGTGATGTGTGCGTTCAATTCACAGAGTATAACCTTTCTTTTGATGGAGGAGTTTGGAGACACTGTCTTTGTAAAGTCTGCAAGTGGATATTTGGACCTCTTTGAGGCCTTCGTTGGAAACGGGATTTCCTCATATAATGTTACACAGAAGAATTCTCAGTAACTTATTTGTGGTGTGTGTATTCAACTCACAGAGTTGAACCTTCCTTCAGAAAGAGCAGATTTGAAACACTCTTTTTGTGGAGTTTCCATGTGGAGATTTCAATGGCTTTGAGACCAAAGGTAGAAAAGGAGACATCTTCCTATAAAAACTAGACAGAATCATTCACAGAAACTACTTTGTGATGTGTGTGTTCAGCTCACAGAGTTTAACCTTTCTTTTGATGGTGCAGTTTGGAAACACTCTGTTTGACAAGTCTGCAAGTGGATATTTGGACCTCTTTGAGGCCTTCGTTGGAAACGGGATTTCTTCATATAATGTTAGACAGAAGAAGTCTCAGTAACTTCTTTGTGCTGTGTGTATTCAACTCACAGAGCTGAACTTTACTTTAGACAGAGCAGATGTTAAACACACTTTTTGTGGAATTTGCAGCTGGAGATTTCTAGCGCTTTGAGGCCTATGGTAGAAAAGGAAACATCTTCTTATAAAATCTAGACAGAATCATTCACAGAAACTTCTTTTTGATGTGTGTGTTCAGCTCACAGAGATTAACCTTTCTTTTGATGGAGCAGTTTGGAAACACTCTGTTTGTAATGTCTGCAAGTGGATATTTGGACCTCTTTGAGGCCTTCGTTGGAAACGGGATTTCTTCATGTAACGTTTGACAGAAGAATTCTCAGTAACTTATTTGTGGTGTGTGTATTCAACTCACAGAGTTGAACCTTCCTTTAGACAGAGCAGATTTGAAACACCCTATTTGTGCAGTTTCCAGTTGGAGATTTCAATCGCTTTGAGACCAAATGTAGAAAAGGAAACATGCTTCGTATAAAAACTAGACAGAATCATTCTCAGAAACTACTTTGTGATGTGTGCGTTCAACTCAAGGAGTTTAAGCTTTCTTTTCATAGAGTAGTTTGGAAACACTCTGTAAAGTCTGCAAGCAGATATTTGGACCTCTTTGAGGCCTTCGTTGGAAACGGGATTTCTTCATAGAACGCTAGAAAGAAGAATACTGAGTAAGTACTTTGTGTTGCCTCTATTCAACTCACAGAGGTGAACTGTCCTTTAGACAGAGCAGATGTGAAACCCTCTTTTTCTGATATTTGCAGGTGGAGATTTCAAGCGCTTTTAGGCCAAATGTAGAAAAGGAAATATCTTCGTATAAAAACTAGACACAATCATTCTCAGAAACTACTTTGTGATGTGTGCGTTCAATTTACAGAGTATAACCTTTCTTTTGATGGAGGAGTTTGGAGACACTGTCTTTGTAAAGTCTGCAAGTGGATATTTGGACCTCTTTGAGGCCTTCGTTGGAAACGGGATTTCCTCATATAATGTTACACAGAAGAATTCTCAGTAACTTATTTGTGGTTTGTGTATTCAACTCACAGAGTTGAACCTTCCTTCAGAAAGAGCAGATTTGAAACACTCTTTTTGTGGAGTTTCCATGTGGAGATTTCAATCGCTTTGAGACCAAAGGTAGAAAAGGAAACATCTTCGTATAAAAACTAGACAGAATCATTCACAGCAAACTACTTTTTGATGTGTGTGTTCAGCTCACAGAGTTTAACCTTTCTTTTGATGGAGCAGTTGGGAAACACACTGTTTGTAATGTCTGCAAGTGGATATTTGGACCTCTTTGAGGCCTTCGTTGGAAACGGGATTTCTTCCTCTAATGTTCGACAGAAGAAGTCTCAGTAACTTCTTTGTGCTGTGTGTATTCAACTCACAGAGCTGAACTTTACTTTAGACAGAGCAGATGTTAAACACACTTTTTGTGGAATTTGCAGCTGGAGATTTCTAGCGCTTTGAGGCCTATGGTAGAAAAGGAAACATCTTCTTATAAAATCTAGACAGAATCATTCACAGAAACTTCTTTTTGATGTGTGTGTTCATCTCACAGGGTTTAACCTTTCTTTTCACGGAGCAGTTTGCAAACACTGTGTTTGCCATGTCGGCAAGTGGATATTTGGACCTCTTTGAGGCCTTCGTTGGAAACGGGATTTCTTCATGAAATGTTCGACAGAAGAATTCTCAGTAACTTATTTGTGGTGTGTGTATTCAACTCACAGAGTTGAACCTTCCTTTAGACAGAGCAGATTTGAAACACCCTGTTTGTGCAGTTTCCAGTTGGGGATTTCAATCGCTTTGAGGCCAATCGTAGAAACGGAAATATCTTCGTATAAAAACAAGACAGAATCATTCTCAGAAACTACTTTGTGATGTGTGCGTTCAACTCAAGGAGTTTAAGCTTTCTTTTCATAGAGTAGCTTGGAAACACTCTGTCTGTAAAGTCTGCAAGCAGATATTTGGACCTCTTTGAGGCCTTCGTTGGAAACGGGATTTCTTCATATAACGCTAGAAAGAAGAATACTGAGTAAGTTCTTTGTGTTGCCTCTATTCAACTCACAGAGGTGAACTGTCCTTTAGACAGAGCAGATGTGAAACCCTCTTTTTGTGATATTTGCAGGTGGAGATTTCAAGCCCTTTTAGGCCAAATGTAGAAAAGGAAATATCTTCGTATAAAAACTAGACAGAATCATTCTCAGAAACTACTTTGTGATGTGTGCGTTCAATTCACAGAGTATCACTTTTCTTTTGATGGAGGAGTTTGGAGACACTGTCTTTGTAAAGTCTGCAAGTGGATATTTGGACCTCTTTGAGGCCTTCGTTGGAAACGGGATTTCCTCATATAATGTTACACAGAAGAATTCTCAGTAACTTATTTGTGGTGTGTGTATTCAACTCACAGAGTTGAACCTTCCTTCAGAAAGAGCAGATTTGAAACACTCTTTTTGTGGAGTTTCCATGTGGAGATTTCAATCGCATTGAGACCAAAGGTAGAAAAGGAAACATCTTCGTATAAAAACTAGACAGAATCATTCACAGAAACTACTTTGTGATGTGTGTGTTCAACTCAAGGAGTTTAACCTTTCTTTTGATGGAGCAGTTTGGAAACACTCTGTCTGTAAAGTCTGCAAGCAGATATTTGGACCTCTTTGAGGCCTTCGTTGGAAACGGGATTTCTTCATATAATGTTTGATAGGAGAAGTCTCAGTAACTTCTTTGTGCTGTGTGTATTCAACTCATAGAGTTGAACTTTCCTTTAGAAGAGCAGATGTTAAACACCCTTTTTGTGGAATTTGCAGCTGGAGATTTCAAGCGCTTTGAGGCCTACGGTAGAAAAGGAAACATCTTCTTATAAAATCTAGACAGAATCATTCACAGAAACTTCTTTTTGATGTGTGTGTTCAGCTCACAGAGTTTAACCTTTCTTTTGATGGAGCAGTTGGGAAACACACTGTTTGTAATGTCTGCAAGTGGATATTTGGACCTCTTTGACGCCTTCGTTGGAAACGGGATTTCTTCCTGTAATGTTCGACAGAAGAATTCTCAGTAACTTATTTGTGGTGTGTGTATTCAACTCACAGAGTTCAACCCTCTTTTAGACAGAGCAGATTTGAAACAGCCTATTTGTGCAGTTTCCAGTTGGAGATTTCAATCGCTTTGAGACCAATTGTAGAAAGGGAAACATCTTCGTATAAAAGCTAGACAGAATCATTCTCAGAAACTACTTTGTGATGTGTGCGTTCAACTCAAGGAGTTTAAGCTTTCTTTTCATAGAGTAGTTTGGAAACACTCTGTCTGTAAAGTCTGCAAGCAGATATTTGACCTCTTTGAGGCCTTCGTTGGAAACGGGATTTCTACATAGAACGCTAGAAAGAAGAATACTGAGTAAGTTCTTTGTGTTGCCTCTATTCAACTCACAGAGGTGAACTGTCCTTTAGACAGAGCAGATGTGAAACCCTCTTTTTGTGATATTTGCAGGTGGAGATTTCAAGCGCTTTTAGGCCAAATGTAGAAAAGGAAATATCTTCGTATAAAAACTAGACAGAATCATTCTCAGAAACTACTTTGTGATGTGTGCGTACAATTCACAGAGTATAACCTTTCTTTTGATGGAGGAGTTTGGAGACACTGTCTTTGTAAAGTCTGCGTGTGGATATTTGGACCTCTTTGAGGCCTTCGTTGGAAACGGGATTTCCTCATATAATGTTACACAGAAGAATTCTCAGTAACTTATTTGTGGTGTGTGTATTCAACTCACAGAGTTGAACCTTCCTTCAGAAAGAGCAGATTTGAAACACTCTTTTTGTGGAGTTTCCATGTGGAGATTTCAATCGCTTTGAGACCAAAGGTAGAAAAGGAAACATCTTCGTATAAAAACTAGACAGAATCATTCACAGAAACTACATTGTGATGTGTGTGTTCAACTCAAGGAGTTTAACCTTTCTTTTGATGGAGCAGTTTGGAAAAACTCTGTCTGTAAAGTCTGCAAGCAGATATTTGGACCTCTTTGAGGCCTTCGTTGGAAACGGGATTTCTTCATATAATGTTTGATAGGAGAAGTCTCAGTAACTTCTTTGTGCTGTGTGTATTCAACGCATAGTGTTGAACTTTCCTTTAGAAGAGCAGATGTTAAACACCCTTTTTGTGGAATTTGCAGCTGGAGATTTCAAGCGCTTTGTGGCCTACGGTAGAAAAGCAAACATCTTCTTATAAAATCTAGACAGAATCATTCACAGAAACTTCTTTTTGATGTGTGTGTTCAGCTCACAGAGTTTAACCTTTCTTTTGATGGAGCAGTTTGGAAACACTCTGTTTGTAATGTCTGCAAGTGGATATTTGGACCTCTTTGAGGCCTTCGTTGGAAACGGGATTTCTTCAAGTAATGTTCGACAGAAGAATTCTCAGTAACTTATTTGTGGTGTGTGTATTCAACACACAGAGTTGAACCTACCTTTAGACAGAGCAGATTTGAAACACCCTATTTGTGCAGTTTCCAGTTGGAGATTTCAATCGCTTTGAGACCAAATGTAGAAAAGGAAACATCTTCGTATAAAAACTAGACAGAATCATTCTCAAAAACTACTTTGT
The DNA here is from genome assembly GCF_000001405.40 of Homo sapiens. Lineage (NCBI taxonomy): Eukaryota > Metazoa > Chordata > Mammalia > Primates > Hominidae > Homo > Homo sapiens. The sequence goes on from NC_000012.12 coordinate 35,090,779, forward strand.
GATGTCTGCGTTCAACTCAAGGAGTTTAAGCTTTCTTTTCATAGAGTAGTTTGGAAACACTCTGTCTGTAAAGTGTGCAAGCAGATATTTGGACCTCTTTGGGGCCTTCGTTGGAAACGGGATTTCTTCATAGAACGCAAGAAAGAAGAATACTGAGTAAGTTCTTTGTGTTGCCTCTATTCAACTCACAGAGGTGAACTGTCCTTTAGACAGAGCAGATGTGAAACCCTCTTTTTGTGATATTTGCAGGTGGAGATTTCAAGCACTTTTAGGCCAAATGTAGAAAAGGAAATATCTTCGTATAAAAACTAGACAGAATCATTCTCAGAAACTACTTTGTGATGTGTGCGTTCAATTCACAGAGTATAACCTTTCTTTTGATGGAGGAGTTTGGAGACACTGTCTTTGTAAAGTCTGCAATTAGATATTTGGACCTCTTTGAGGCCTTCGTTGGAAACGGGATTTCCTCATATAATGTTACACAGAAGAATTCTCAGTAACTTATTTGTGGTGTGTGTATTCAACTCACAGAGTTGAACCTTCCTTCAGAAAGAGCAGATTTGAAACACTCTTTTTGTGGAGTTTCCATGTGGAGATTTCAATCGCTTTGAGACCAAAGGTAGAAAAGGAAACATCTTCGTATAAAAACTAGACAGATCATTCACAGCAAACTACTTTGTGATGTGTGTGTTCAACTCAAGGAGTTTAACCTTTCTTTTGATGGAGCACTTTGGAAACACTCTGTCTGTAAAGTCTGCAAGCAGATATTTGGACCTCTTTGAGGCCTTCGTTGGAAACGGGATTTCTTCATATAATGTTTGATAGGAGAAGTCTCAGTAACTTCTTTGTGCTGTGTGTATTCAACTCATAGAGTTGAACTTTCCTTTAGAAGAGCAGATGTTAAACACCCTTTTTGTGGAATTTGCAGCTGGAGATTTCAAGCGCTTTGAGGCCTACGGTAGAAAAGGAAACATCTTCTTATAAAATCTAGACAGAATCATTCACAGAAACTTCTTTTTGATGTGTGTGTTCAGGTCACAGAGTTTAACCTTTCCTTTGATGGAGCAGTTTGGAAACACTCTGTTTGTCACGTCTGCAAGTGGATATTTGGACCTCTTTGAGGCCTTCTTTGGAAACGGGATTTCTTCATATAATGTTTGATAGGAGAATTCTCAGTAACTTATTTATGGTGTGTGTATTCAACTCACAGAGTTGAACCTTCCTTTAGACAGAGCAGATTTGAAACACCCTATTTGTGCAGTTTCCAGTTGGAGATTTCAATGGCTTTGAGACCAAATGTAGAAAAGGAAACATCTTCGTACAAAAACTAGACAGCATCATTCTCAGAAACTACTTGGTGATGTGTGCGTTCAACTCAAGGAGTTTAAGATTTCTTTTCATAGAGTAGTTTGGAAACACTCTGTCTGTAAAGTCTGCAAGCAGATATTTGGACCTCATTGGGGTCTTCATTGGAAACGGGATTTCTTCATAGAACGCTAGAAAGAAGAATACTGAGTAAGTTCTTTGTGTTGCCTCTATTCAACTCACAGAGGTGAACTGTCCTTTAGACAGAGCAGATGTGAAACCCTCTTTTTGTGATATTTGCAGGTGGAGATTTCAAGCGCTTTTAGGCCAAATGTAGAAAAGGAAATATCTTCTTATAAAAACTAGACAGAATCATTCTCAGAAACTACTTTGTGATGTGTGCGTTCAATTCACAGAGTATAACCTTTCTTTTGATGGAGGAGTTTGGAGACACTGTCTTTGTAAAGTCTGCAAGTGGATATTTGGACCTCTTTGAGGCCTTCGTTGGAAACGGGATTTCCTCATATAATGTTACACAGAAGAATTCTCAGTAACTTATTTGTGGTGTGTGTATTCAACTCACAGAGTTGAACCTTCCTTCAGAAAGAGCAGATTTGAAACACTCTTTTTGTGGAGTTTCCATGTGGAGATTTCAATCGCTTTGAGACCAAAGGTAGAAAAGGAAACATCTTCGTATAAAAACTAGACAGAATCATTCACAGAAACTACTTTGTGATGTGTGTGTTCAACTCAAGGAGTTTAACCTTTCTTTTGATGGAGCAGTTTGGAAACACTCTGTCTGTAAAGTCTGCAAGCAGATATTTGGACCTCTTTGAGGCCTTCGTTGGAAATGGGATTTCTTCATATAATGTTTGATAGGAGAAGTCTCAGTAACTTCTTTGTGCTGTGTGTATTCAACTCATAGAGTTGAACTTTCCTTTAGAAGAGCAGATGTTAAACACCCTTTTTGTGGAATTTGCAGCTGGAGATTTCAAGCGCTTTGAGGCCTACGGTAGAAAAGGAAACATCTTCTTATAAAATCTAGACAGAATCATTCACAGAAACTTCTTTTTGATGTGTGTGTTCAGCTCACAGAGTTTAACCTTTCTTTTGATGGAGCAGTTTGGAAACACTCTGTTTGTAACGTCTGCAAGTGGATATTTGGACCTCTTTGAGGCCTTCGTTGGAAACGGGATTTCTTCAAGTAATGTTCGACAGAAGAATTCTCAGTAACTTATTTGTGGTGTGTGTATTCAACTCACAGAGTTGAACCTTCCTTTAGACAGAGCAGATTTGAAACAGCCTATTTGTGCAGTTTCCAGTTGGAGATTTCAAGAGCTTTGAGACCAAATGTAGAAAAGGAAACATCTTCGTATAAAAACTAGACAGAATCATTCTCAGAAACTACTTTGTGATGTGTGCGTTCAACTCAAGGAGTTTAAGCTTTCTTTTCATAGAGTAGTTTGGAAACACTCTGTCTGTAAAGTCTGCAAGCAGATATTTGAGCTCTTTGAGGCCTTCGTTGGAAACGGGATTTCTTCATAGAACGCTAGAAAGAAGAATACTGAGTAAGTTCTTTGTGTTGCCTCTATTCAACTCACAGAGGTGAACTGTCCTTTAGACAGAGCAGATGTGAAACCCTCTTTTTGTGATATTTGCAGGTGGAGATTTCAAGCGCTTTTAGGCCAAATGTAGAAAAGGAAATATCTTCGTATAAAAACTAGACAGAATCATTCTCAGAAACTACTTTGTGATGTGTGCGTTCAATTCACAGAGTATAACCTTTCTTTTGATGGAGGAGTTTGGAGACACTGTCTTTGTAAAGTCTGCAAGTGGATATTTGGACCTCTTTGAGGCCTTCGTTGGAAACGGGATTTCCTCATATAATGTTACACAGAAGAATTCTCAGTAACTTATTTGTGGTGTGTGTATTCAACTCACAGAGATGAACCTTCCTTCAGAAAGAGCAGATTTGAAACACTCTTTTTGTGGAGTTTCCATGTGGAGATTTCAATCGCTTTGAGACCAAAGGTAGAAAAGGAAACATCTTCGTATAACAACTAGACAGAATCATTCACAGAAACTACTTTGTGATGTGTGTGTTCAACTCAAGGAGTTTAACCTTTCTTTTGATGGAGCAGTTTGGAAACACTCTGTCTGTAAAGTCTGCAAGCAGATATTTGGACCTCTTTGAGGCCTTCGTTGGAAACGGGATTTCTTCATATAATGTTTGATAGGAGAAGTCTCAGTAACTTCTTTGTGCTGTGTGTATTCAACTCATAGAGTTGAACTTTCCTTTAGAAGAGCAGATGTTAAACACCCTTTTTGTGGAATTTGCAGCTGGAGATTTCAAGCGCTTTGAGGCCTACGGTAGAAAAGGAAACATCTTCTTATAAAATCTAGACAGAATCATTCACAGAAACTTCTTTTTGATGTGTGTGTTCAGCTCACAGAGTTTAACCTTTCCTTTGATGGAGCAGTTTGGAAACACTCTGTTTGTAATGTCTGCAAGTGGATATTTGGACCTCTTTGAGGCCTTCGTTGGAAACGGGATTTCTTCATGTAATGTTCAACAGAAGAATTCTCAGTAACTTATTTGTTGTGTGTGTATTCAACTCACAGAGTTGAACCTTCCTTTAGACAGAGCAGATTTGAAACACCCTATTTGTGCAGTTTCCAGTTGGAGATTTCAATCGCTTTGAGGCCAATCATAGAAACGGAAAGATCTTGGTATAAAAACAAGACAGAATCATTCTCAGAAACTATTTTGTGATGTGTGCGTTCAACTCAAGGATTTAAGCTTTCTTTTCATAGAGTAGTTTGGAAACACTCTGTCTGTAAAGTCTGCAAGCAGATATTTGGACCTCTTTGAGGCCTTCGTTGGAAACGGGATTTCTTCATAGAACGCTAGAAAGAAGAATACTGAGTAAGTTCTTTGTGTTGCCTCTATTCAACTCACAGAGGTGAACTGTCCTTTAGACAGAGCAGATGTGAAACCCTCTTTTTGTGATATTTGCAGGTGGAGATTTCAAGCACTTTTAGGCCAAATGTAGAAAAGGAAATATCTTCGTATAAAAACTAGACAGAATCATTCTCAGAAACTACTTTGTGATGTGTGCGTTCAATTCACAGAGTATAACCTTTCTTTTGATGGAGGAGTTTGGAGACACTGTCTTTGTAAAGTCTGCAAGTGGATATTTGGACCTCTTTGAGGCCTTCGTTGGAAACGGGATTTCCTCATATAATGTTACACAGAAGAATTCTCAGTAACTTAATTGTGGTGTGTGTATTCAACTCACAGAGTTGAACCTTCCTTCAGAAAGAGCAGATTTGAAACACTCTTTTTGTGGAGTTTCCATGTGGAGATTTCAATCGCTTTGAGACCAAAGGTAGAAAAGGAAATATCTTCGTATAAAAACTAGACAGAATCATTCACAGAAACTACTTTGTGATGTGTGTGTTCAACTCAAGGAGTTTAACCTTTCTTTTGATGGAGCAGTTTGGAAACACTCTGTCTGTAAAGTCTGCAAGCAGATATTTGGACCTCTTTGAGGCCTTCGTTGGAAACGGGATTTCTTCATATAATGTTTGATAGGAGAAGTCTCAGTAACTTCTTTGTGCTGTGTGTATTCAACTCGTAGAGTTGAACTTTCCTTTAGAAGGGCAGATGTTAAACACCCTTTTTGTGGAATTTGCAGCTGGAGATTTCAAGCGCTTTGAGGCCTACGGTAGAAAAGGAAACATCTTCTTATAAAATCTAGACAGAATCATTCACAGAAACTTCTTTTTGATGTGTGTGTTCAGCTCACAGAGTTTAACCTTTCTTTTGATGGAGCAGTTGGGAAACACACTGTTTGTAATGTCCGCAAGTGGATATTTGGACCTCTTTGAGGCCTTCGTTGGAAACGGGAATTCTTCCTGTAATGTTCGACAGAAGAATTCTCAGTAACTTATTTGTGGTGTGTGTATTCAACTCACAGAGCTGAACCTTCCTTTAGACAGAGCAGATTTGAAACCGCCTATTTGTGCAGTTTCCAGTTGGAGATTTCAATCGCTTTCAGACCAAATGTAGAAAAGGAAACATCTTCGTATAAAAACTAGACAGAATCATTCTCAGAAACTACTTTGTGATGTGTGCGTTCAACTCAAGGAGTTTAAGCTTTCTTTTCATAGAGTAGTTTGGAAACACTCTGTCTGTAAAGTCTGCAAGCAGATATTTGACCTCTTTGAGGCCTTCGTTGGAAACGGGATTTCTTCATAGAATGCTAGAAAGAAGAATACTGAGTAAGTTCTTTGTGTTGCCTCTATTCAACTCACAGAGGTGAACTGTCCTTTAGACAGAGCAGATGTGAAACCCTCTTTTTGTGATATTTGCAGGTGGAGATTTCAAGCACTTTTAGGCCAAATGTAGAAAAGGAAATATCTTCGTATAAAAACTAGACAGAATCATTCTCAGAAACTACTTTGTGATGTGTGCGTTCAATTCACAGAGTATAACCTTTCTTTTGATGGAGGAGTTTGGAGACACTGTCTTTGTAAAGTCTGCAAGTGGATATTTGGACCTCTTTGAGGCCTTCGTTGGAAACGGGATTTCCTCATATAATGTTACCCAGAAGAATTCTCAGTAACTTATTTGTGGTGTGTGTATTCAACTCACAGAGTTGAAACTTCCTTCAGAAAGAGCAGATTTGAAACACTCTTTTTGTGGAGTTTCCATGTGGAGATTTCAATCGCTTTGAGACCAAAGGTAGAAAAGGAAACATTCTTCGTATAAAAACTAGACAGAATCATTCACAGAAAATACTTTGTGATGTGTGTGTTCAACTCAAGGAGTTTAACCTTTCTTTTGATGGAGCAGTTTGGAAAAACTCTGTCTGTAAAGTCTGCAAGCAGATATTTGTACCTCTTTGAGGCCTTCGTTGGAAACGGGATTTCTTCATCTAATGTTTGATAGGAGAAGTCTCAGTAACTTCTTTGTGCTGTGTGTATTCAACTCATAGAGTTGAACTTTCCTTTAGAAGAGCAGATGTTAAACACCCTTTTTGTGGAATTTGCAGCTGGAGATTTCAAGCGCTTTGAGGCCTACGGTAGAAAAGGAAACATCTTCTTATAAAATCTAGACAGAATCATTCACAGAAACTTCTTTTTGATGTGTGTGTTCAGCTCACAGAGTTTAACCTTTCTTTTGATGGAGCAGTTGGGAAACACACTGTTTGTAATGTCTGCAAGTGGATATTTGGACCTCTTTGAGGCCTTCGTTGGAAACGGGATTTCTTCCTGTAATGTTCGACAGAAGAATTCTCAGTAACTTATTTGTGGTGTGTGTATTCAACTCACAGAGTTGAACCTTCCTTTAGACAGAGCAGATTTGAAACAGCCTATTTGTGCAGTTTCCAGTTGGAGATTTCAATCGCTTTGAGACCAAATGTAGAAAGGGAAACATCTTCGTATAAAAACTAGACAGAATCATTCTCAGAAACTACTTTGTGATGTGTGCGTTCAACTCAAGGAGTTTAAGCTTTCTTTTCATAGAGTAGTTTGGAAACACTCTGTCTGTAAAGTCTGCAAGCAGATATTTGACCTCTTTGAGGCCTTCGTTGGAAACGGGATTTCTTCATAGAACGCTAGAAAGAAGAATACTGAGTAAGTTCTTTGTGTTGCCTCTATTCAACTCACAGAGGTGAACTGTCCTTTAGACAGAGCAGATGTGAAACCCTCTTTTTGTGATATTTGCAGGTGGAGATTTCAAGCGCTTTTAGGCCAAATGTAGAAAAGGAAATATCTTCGTATAAAAACTAGACAGAATCATTCTCAGAAACTACTTTGTGATGTGTGCGTTCAATTCACAGAGTATAACCTTTCTTTTGATGGAGGAGTTTGGAGACACTGTCTTTGTAAAGTCTGCAAGTGGATATTTGGACCTCTTTGAGGCCTTCGTTGGAAACGGGATTTCCTCATATAATGTTACACAGAAGAATTCTCAGTAACTTATTTGTGGTGTGTGTATTCAACTCACAGAGTTGAACCTTCCTTCAGAAAGATCAGATTTGAAACCCTCTTTTTGTGGAGTTTCCATGTGGAGATTTCAATCGCTTTGAGACCAAAGGTAGAAAAGGAAACATCTTCGTATAAAAACTAGACAGAATAATTCACGGAAACTACTTTGTGATGTGTGTGTTCAACTCACAGAAGTTTAAACTTTCTTTTGATGCAGCAGTTTGGAAACACTCTGTTTGTCACTTCTGCAAGTGGATATTTGGACCTCTTTGAGGCCTTCGTTGGAAACGGGATTTCTTCATATAATGTTTGATAGGAGAAGTCTCAGTAACTTCTTTGTGCTGTGTGTATTCAACTCATAGAGTTGAACTTTCCTTTAGAAGAGCAGATGTTAAACACCCTTTTTGTGGAATTTGCAGCTGGAGATTTCAAGCGCTTTGAGGCCTACGGTAGAAAAGGAAACATCTTCTTATAAAATCTAGACAGAATCATTCACAGAAACTTCTTTTCGATGTGTGTGTTCAGCTCACAGAGTTTAACCTTTCTTTTGATGGAGCAGTTTGGAAACACTCTGTTTGTAATGTCTGCAAGTGGATATTTGGACCTCTTTGAGGCCTTCGTTGGAAACGGGATTTCTTCAAGTAATGTTCGACAGAAGAATTCTCAGTAACTTATTTGTGGTGTGTGTATTCAACTCACAGAGTTGAACCTTCCTTTAGACAGAGCAGATTTGAAACACCCTATTTGTGCAGTTTCCAGTTGGAGATTTCAATCGCTTTGAGACCAAATGTAGAAAAGGAAACATCTTCGTATAAAAACTAGACAGAATCATTCTCAGAAACTACTTTGTGATGTGTGCGTTCAACTCAAGGAGTTTAAGCTTTCTTTTCATAGAGTAGTTTGGAAACACTCTGTCTGTAAACTCTGCAAGCAGATATTTGGACCTCTTTGGGGCCTTCGTTGGAAACGGGATTTCTTCATAGAACGCTAGAAAGAAGAATACTGAGTAAGTTCTTTGTGTTGCCTCTATTCAACTCACAGAGGTGAACTGTCCTTTAGACAGAGCAGATGTGAAACCCTCTTTTTGTGATATTTGCAGGTGGAGATTTCAAGCGCTTTTAGGCCAAATGTAGAAAAGGAAATATCTTCGTATAAAAACTAGACAGAATCATTCTCAGAAACTACTTTGTGATGTGTGCGTTCAATTCACACAGTATAACCTTTCTTTTGATGGAGGAGTTTGGAGACACTGTCTTTGTAAAGTCTGCAAGTGGATATTTGGACCTCTTTGAGGCCTTCGTTGGAAACGGGATTTCCTCATATAATGTTACACAGAAGAATTCTCAGTAACTTATTTGTGGTGTGTGCATTCAACTCACAGAGTTGAACCTTCCTTCAGAAAGAGCAGATTTGAAACACTCTTTTTGTGGAGTTTCCATGTGGAGATTTCAATCGCTTTGAGACCAAAGGTAGAAAAGGAAACATCTTCTTATAAAAACTAGACAGAGAATCATTCACAGGAAACTACTTTGTGATGTGTGTGTTCAACTCAAGGAGTTTAACCTTTCTTTTGATGGAGCAGTTTGGAAAAACTCTGTCTGTAAAGTCTGCAAGCAGATATTTGGACCTCTTTGGGGCCTTCGTTGGAAACGGGATTTCTTCATAGAATGCTAGAAAGAAGAATACTGAGTAAGTTCTTTGTGTTGCCTCTATTCAACTCACAGAGGTGAACTGTCCTTTAGACAGAGCAGATGTGAAACCCTCTTTTTGTGATATTTGCAGGTGGAGATTTCAAGCGCTTTTAGGCCAAATGTAGAAAAGGAAATATCTTCGTATAAAAACTAGACAGAATCATTCTCAGAAACTACTTTGTGATGTGTGCGTTCAATTCACAGAGTATAACCTTTCTTTTGATGGAGGAGTTTGGAGACACTGTCTTTGTAAAGTCTGCAAGTGGATATTTGGACCTCTTTGAGGCCTTCGATGGAAACGGGATTTCCTCATATAATGTTACACAGAAGAATTCTCAGTAACTTATTTGTGGTGTGTGTATTCAACTCACAGAGTTGAACCTTCCTTCAGAAAGAGCAGATTTGAAACACTCTTTTTGAGGAGTTTCCATGTGGAGATTTCAATCGCTTTGAGACCAAAGGTAGAAAAGGAAACATCTTCTTATAAAAACTAGACAGAATCATTCACAGAAACTACTTTGTGATGTGTGTGTTCAACTCAAGGAGTTTAACCTTTCTTTTGATGGAGCAGTTTGGAAAAACTCTGTCTGTAAAGTCTGCAAGCAGATATTTGGATCTCTTTGGGGCCTTCGTTGGAAACGGGATTTCTTCATAGAATGCTAGAAAGAAGAATACTGAGTAAGTTCCTTGTGTTGCCTCTATTCAACTCACAGAGGTGAACTGTCCTTTAGACAGAGCAGATGTGAAACCCTCTTTTTGTGATATTTGCAGGTGGAGATTTCAAGCGCTTTTAGGCCAAATGTAGAAAAGGAAATATCTTCGTATAAAAACTAGACAGAATCATTCTCAGAAACTACTTTGTGATGTGTGCGTTCAATTCACAGAGTATAACCTTTCTTTTGATGGAGGAGTTTGGAGACTCTGTCTTTGTAAAGTCTGCAAGTGGATATTTGGACCTCTTTGAGGCCTTCGTTGGAAACGGGATTTCCTCATATAATGTTACACAGAAGAATTCTCAGTAACTTATTTGTGGTGTGTGTATTCAACTCACAGAGTTGAACCTTCCTTCAGAAAGAGCAGATTTGAAACACTCTTTTTGTGGAGTTTCCATGTGGAGATTTCAATCGCTTTGAGACCAAAGGTAGAAAAGGAAACATCTTCGTATAAAAACTAGACAGAATCATTCACAAAAACTACTTTGTGATGTGTGTGTTCAACTCAAGGAGTTTGACCTTTCTTTTGATGGAGCAGTTTGGAAACACTCTGTCTGTAAAGTCTGCAAGCAGATATTTGGACCTCTTTGAGGCCTTCGTTGGAAACGGGATTTCTTCATATAATGTTTGATAGGAGAAGTCTCAGTAACTTCTTTGTGCTGTGTGTATTCAACGCATAGAGTTGAACTTTCCTTTAGAAGAGTAGATGTTAAACACCCTTTTTGTGGAATTTGCAGCTGGAGATTTCAAGCGCCTTGAGGCCTACGGTAGAAAAGGAAACATCTTCTTATAAAATCTAGACAGAATCATTCACAGAAACTTCTTTTTGATGTGTGTGTTCAGCTCACAGAGTTTAACCTTTCTTTTGATGGAGCAGTTGGGAAACACACTGTTTGTAATGTCTGCAAGTGGATATTTGGACCTCTTTGAGGCCTTCGTTGGAAACGGGATTTCTTCCTGTAATGTTCGACAGAAGAATTCTCAGTAACTTATTTGTGGTGTGTGTATTCAACTCACAGAGTTGAACCTTCCTTTAGACAGAGCAGATTTGAAACACCCTATTTGTGCAGTTTCCAGTTGGAGATTTCAATCGCTTTGAGACCAAATGTAGAAAAGGAAACATCTTCGTATAAAAACTAGACAGAATCATTCTCAGAAACTACTTTGTGATGTGTGCGTTCAACTCAAGGAGTTTAAGCTTTCTTTTCATAGAGTAGTTTGGAAACACTCTGTCTGTAAAGTCTGCAAGCAGATATTTGACCTCTTTGAGGCCTTCGTTGGAAACGGGATTTCTTCATAGAACGCTAGAAAGAAGAATACTGAGTAAGTTCTTTGTGTTGCCTCTATTCAACTCACAGAGGTGAACTGTCCTTTAGACAGAGCAGATGTGAAACCCTCTTTTTGTGATATTTGCAGGTGGAGATTTCAAGCGCTTTTAGGCCAAATGTAGAAAAGGAAATATCTTCGTATAAAAACTAGACAGAATCATTCTCAGAAACTACTTTGTGATGTGTGCGTTCAATTCACAGAGTATAACCTTTCTTTTGATGGAGGAGTTTGGAGACACTGTCTTTGTAAAGTCTGCAAGTGGATATTTGGACCTCTTTGAGGCCTTCGTTGGAAACGGGATTTCCTCATATAATGTTACACAGAAGAATTCTCAGTAACTTATTTGTGGTGTGTGTATTCAACTCACAGAGTTGAACCTTCCTTCAGAAAGAGCAGATTTGAAACACTCTTTTTGTGGAGTTTCCATGTGGAGATTTCAATCGCTTTGAGACCAAAGGTAGAAAAGGAAACATCTTCGTATAAAAACTAGACAGAATCATTCACAGAAACTACTTTGTGATGTGTGTGTTCAACTCAAGGAGTTTAACCTTTCTTTTGATGGAGCAGTTTGGAAAAACTCTGTCTGTAAAGTCTGCAAGCAGATATTTGGACCTCTTTGAGGCCTTCGTTGGAAACGGGATTTCTTCATATAATGTTTGATAGGAGAAGTCTCAGTAACTTCTTTGTGCTGTGTGTATTCAACGCATAGAGTTGAACTTTCCTTTAGAAGAGCAGATGTTAAACACCCTTTTTGTGGAATTTGCAGCTGGAGATTTCAAGCGCTTTGAGGCCTACGGTAGAAAAGGAAACATCTTCTTATAAAATCTAGACAGAATCATTCACAGAAACTTCTTTTTGATGTGTGGGTTCAGCTCACAGAGTTTAACCTTTCTTTTGATGGAGCAGTTTGGAAACACTCTGTTTGTAATGTCTGCAAGTGGATATTTGGACCTCTTTGAGGCCTTCGTTGGAAACGGGATTTCTTCAAGTAATGTTCGACAGAAGAATTCTCAGTAACTTATTTGTGGTGTGTGTATTCAACTCACAGAGTTGAACCTTCCTTTAGACAGAGCAGATTTGAAACACCCTATTTGTGCAATTTCCAGTTGGAGATTTCAATCGCTTTGAGACCAAATGTAGAAAAGGAAACATCTTCGTATAAAAACTAGACAGAATCATTCTCAGAAACTACTTTGTGATGTGTGCGTTCAACTCAAGGAGTTTAAGCTTTCTTTTCATAGAGTAGTTTGGAAACACTCTGTCTGTAAAGTCTGCAAGCAGATATTTGGACCTCTTTGAGGCCTTCGTTGGAAACGGGATTTCTTCATAGAACGCTAGAAAGAAGAATACTGAGTAAGTTCTTTGTGTTGCCTCTATTCAACTCACAGAGGTGAACTGTCCTTCAGACAGAGCAGATGTGAAACCCTCTTTTTGTGATATTTGCAGGTGGAGATTTCAAGCGCTTTTAGGCCAAATGTAGAAAAGGAAATATCTTCGTATAAAAACTAGACAGAATCATTCTCAGAAACTACTTTGTGATGTGTGCGTTCAATTCACAGAGTATAACCTTTCTTTTGATGGAGGAGTTTGGAGACACTGTCTTTGTAAAGTCTGCAAGTGGATATTTGGACCTCTTTGAGGCCTTCGTTGGAAACGGGATTTCCTCATATAATGTTACACAGAAGAATTCTCAGTAACTTATTTGTGGTGTGTGTATTCAACTCACAGAGATGAACCTTCCTTCAGAAAGAGCAGATTTGAAACACTCTTTTTGTGGAGTTTCCATGTGGAGATTTCAATCGCTTTGAGACCAAAGGTAGAAAAGGAAACATCTTCGTATAAAAACTAGACAGAATCATTCACAGAAACTACTTTGTGATGTGTGTGTTCAACTCAAGGAGTTTAACCTTTCTTTTGATGGAGCAGTTTGGAAACACTCTGTCTGTAAAGTCTGCAAGTAGATATTTGGACCTCTTTGAGGCCTTCGTTGGAAACGGGATTTCTTCATATAATGTTTGATAGGAGAAGTCTCAGTAACTTCTTTGTGCTGTGTGTATTCAACTCATAGAGTTGAACTTTCCTTTAGAAGAGCAGATGTTAAACACCCTTTTTGTGGAATTTGCAGCTGGAGATTTCAAGCGCTTTGAGGCCTACGGTAGAAAAGGAAACATCTTCTTATAAAATCTAGACAGAATCATTCACAGAAACTTCTTTTTGATGTGTGTGTTCAGCTCACAGAGTTTAACCTTTCTTTTGATGGAGCAGTTTGGAAACACTCTGTTTTTAATGTCTGCAAGTGGATATTTGGACCTCTTTGAGGCCTTCGTTGGAAACGGGATTTCTTCAAGTAATGTTCGACAGAAGAATTCTCAGTAACTTATTTGTGGTGTGTGTATTCAACTCACAGAGTTGAACCTTCCTTTAGACAGAGCAGATTTGAAACAGCCTATTTGTGCAGTTTCCAGTTGGAGATTTCAATCGCTTTGAGACCAAATGTAGAAAAGGAAACATCTTCGTATAAAAACTAGACAGAATCATTCTCCGAAACTACTTTGTGATGTGTGCGTTCAACTCAAGGAGTTTAAGCTTTCTTTTCATAGAGTAGTTTGGAAACACTCTGTCTGTAAAGTCTGCAAGCAGATATTTGGACCTCTTTGGGGCCTTCGTTGGAAACGGGATTTCTTCATAGAACGCTAGAAAGAAGAATACTGAGTAAGTTCTTTGTGTTGCCTCTATTCAACTCACAGAGGTGAACTGTCCTTTAGACAGAGCAGATGTGAAACCCTCTTTTTGTGATATTTGCAGGTGGAGATTTCAAGCGCTTTTAGGCCAAATGTAGAAAAGGAAATATCTTCGTATAAAAACTAGACAGAATCATTCTCAGAAACTACTTTGTGATGTGTGCGTTCAATTCACAGAGTATAACCTTTCTTTTGATGGAGGAGTTTGGAGACACTGTCTTTGTAAAGTCTGCAAGTGGATATTTGGACCTCTTTGAGGCCTTCGTTGGAAACGGGATTTCCTCATATAATGTTACACAGAACAATTCTCAGTAACTTATTTGTGGTGTCTGTATTCAACTCACAGAGTTGAACCTTCCTTCAGAAAGAGCAGATTTGAAACACTCTTTTGGTGGAGTTTCCATGTGGAGATTTCAATCGCTTTGAGACCAAAGGTAGAAAAGGAAACATCTTCGTATAAAAACTAGACAGAATCATTCACAGAAACTACTTTGTGATGTGTGTGTTCAACTCAAGGAGTTTAACCTTTGTTTTGATGGAGCAGTTTGGAAAAACTCTGTCTGTAAAGTCTGCAAGCAGATATTTGGACCTCTTTGAGGCCTTCGTTGGAAACGGGATTTCTTCATAGAATGCTAGAAAGAAGAATACTGAGTAAGTTCTTTGTGTTGCCTCTATTCAACTCACAGAGGTGAACTGTCCTTTAGACAGAGCAGATGTGAAACCCTCTTTTTGTGATATTTGCAGGTGGAGATTTCAAGCGCTTTTAGGCCAAATGTATAAAAGGAAATATCTTCGTATAAAAACTAGACAGAATCATTCTCAGAAACTACTTTGTGATGTGTGCGTTCAATTCACAGAGTATAACCTTTCTTTTGATGGAGGAGTTTGGAGACACTGTCTTTGTAAAGTCTGCAAGTGGATATTTGGACCTCTTTGAGGCCTTCGTTGGAAACGGGATTTCCTCATATAATGTTACCCAGAAGAATTCTCAGTAACTTATTTGTGGTGTGTGTATTCAACTCACAGAGATGAACCTTCCTTCAGAAAGAGCAGATTTGAAACACTCTTTTTGTGGAGTTTCCATGTGGAGATTTCAATCGCTTTGAGACCAAAGGTAGAAAAGGAAACATCTTCGTATAACAACTAGACAGAATCATTCACAGAAACTACTTTGTGATGTGTGTGTTCAACTCAAGGAGTTTAACCTTTCTTTTGATGGAGCAGTTTGGAAACACTCTGTCTGTAAAGTCTGCAAGTAGATATTTGGACCTCTTTGAGGCCTTCGTTGGAAACGGGATTTCTTCATATAATGTTTGATAGGAGAAGTCTCAGTAACTTCTTTGTGCTGTGTGTATTCAACTCATAGAGTTGAACTTTCCTTTAGAAGAGCAGATGTTAAACACCCTTTTTGTGGAATTTGCAGCTGGAGATTTCAAGCGCTTTGAGGCCTACGGTAGAAAAGGAAACATCTTCTTATAAAATCTAGACAGAATCATTCACAGAAACTTCTTTTTGATGTGTGTGTTCAGCTCACAGAGTTTAACCTTTCTTTTGATGGAGCAGTTTTGGAAACACTCTGTTTGTAATGTCTGCAAGTGGATATTTGGACCTCTTTGAGGCCTTCGTTGGAAACGGGATTTCTTCAAGTAATGTTCGACGGAAGAATTCTCAGTAACTTATTTGTGGTGTGTGTATTCAACTCACAGAGTTGAACCTTCCTTTAGACAGAGCAGATTTGAAACAGCCTATTTGTGCAGTTTCCAGTTGGAGATTTCAATCGCTTTGAGACCAAATGTAGAAAAGGAAACATCTTCGTATAAAAACTAGACAGAATCATTCTCAGAAACTACTTTGTGATGTGTGCGTTCAACTCAAGGAGTTTAAGCTTTCTTTTCATAGAGTAGTTTGGAAACACTCTGTCTGTAAAGTCTGCAAGCAGATATTTGGACCTCTTTGAGGCCTTCGTTGGAAACGGGATTTCTTCATAGAACGGTAGAAAGAAGAATACTGGGTAAGTTCTTTGTGTTGCCTCTATTCAACTCACAGAGGTGAACTGTCCTTTAGACAGAGCAGATGTGAAACCCTCTTTTTGTGATATTTGCAGGTGGAGATTTCAAGCGCTTTTAGGCCAAATGTAGAAAAGGAAATATCTTCGTATAAAAACTAGACAGAATCATTCTCAGAAACTACTTTGTGATGTGTGCGTTCAATTCACAGAGTATAACCTTTCTTTTGATGGAGGAGTTTGGAGACACTGTCTTTGTAAAGTCTGCAAGTGGATATTTGGACCTCTTTGAGGCCTTCGTTGGAAACGGGATTTCCTCATATAATGTTACACAGAAGAATTCTCAGTAACTTATTTGTGGCGTGTGTATTCAACTCACAGAGTTGAACCTTCCTTCAGAAAGAGCAGATTTGAAACACTCTTTTTGTGGAGTTTCCATGTGGAGATTTCAATCGCTTTGAGACCAAATGTAGAAAAGGAAACATCTTCGTATAAAAACTAGACAGAATCATTCACAGAAACTACTTTGTGATGTGTGTGTTCAACTCAAGGAGTTTAACCTTTCTTTTGATGGAGCAGTTTGGAAACACTCTGTCTGTAAAGTCTGCAAGCAGATATTTGGACCTCTTTGAGGCCTTCGTTGGAAACGGGATTTCTTCATATAATGTTTGATAGGAGAAGTCTCAGTAACTTCTTTGTGCTGTGTGTATTCAACTCATAGAGTTGAACTTTCCTTTAGAAGAGCAGATGTTAAACACCCTTTTTGTGGAATTTGCAGCTGGAGATTTCAAGCGCTTTGAGGCCTATGGTAGAAAAGGAAACATCTTCTTATAAAATCTAGACAGAATCATTCACAGAAACTTCTTTTTGATGTGTGTGTTCAGCTCACAGAGTTTAACCTTTCTTTTGATGGAGCAGTTGGGAAACACACTGTTTGTAATGTCTGCAAGTGGATATTTGGACCTCTTTGAGGCCTTCGTTGGAAACGGGATTTCTTCCTGTAATGTTCGACAGAAGAATTCTCAGTAACTTATTTGTGGTGTGTGTATTCAACTCACAGAGTTGAACCTTCCTTTAGACAGAGCAGATTTGAAACACCCTATTTGTGCAGTTTCCAGTTGGAGATTTCAATCGCTTTGGGACCAAATGTAGAAAAGGAAACATCTTCGTATAAAAACTAGACAGAATCATTCTCAGAAACTACTTTGTGATGTGTGCGTTCAACTCAAGGAGTTTAAGCTTTCTTTTCATAGAGTAGTTTGGAAACACTCTGTCTGTAAAGTCTGCAAGCAGATATTTGACCTCTTTGAGGCCTTCGTTGGAAACGGGATTTCTTCATAGAACGCTAGAAAGAAGAATACTGAGTAAGTTCTTTGTGTTGCCTCTATTCAACTCACAGAGGTGAACTCTCCTTTAGATAGAGCAGATGTGAAACCCTCTTTTTGTGATATTTGCAGGTGGAGATTTCAAGCGCTTTTAGGCCAAATGTAGAAAAGGAAATATCTTCGTATAAAAACTAGACAGAATCATTCTCAGAAACTACTTTGTGATGTGTGCGTTCAATTCACAGAGTATAACCTTTCTTTTGATGGAGGAGTTTGGAGACACTGTCTTTGTAAAGTCTGCAAGTGGATATTTGGACCTCTTTGAGGCCTTCGTTGGAAACGGGATTTCCTCATATAATGTTACACAGAAGAATTCTCAGTAACTTATTTGTGGTGTGTGTATTCAACTCACAGAGTTGAACCTTCCTTCAGAAAAAGCAGATTTGAAACACTCTTTTTGTGGAGTTTCCATGTGGAGATTTCAATCGCTTTGAGACCAAAGGTAGAAAAGGAAACATCTTCGTATAAAAACTAGACAGAATCATTCACAGAAACTACTTTGTGATGTGTGTGTTCAACTCAAGGAGTTTAACCTTTCTTTTGATGGAGCAGTTTGGAAATACTCTGTCTGTAAAGTCTGCAAGCAGATATTTGGACCTCTTTGAGGCCTTCGTTGGAAACGGGATTTCTTCATATAATGTTTGATAGGAGAAGTCTCAGTAACTTCTTTGTGCTGTGTGTATTCAACTCATAGAGTTGAACTTTCCTTTAGAAGAGCAGATGTTAAACACCCTTTTTGTGGAATTTGCAGCTGGAGATTTCAAGCGCTTTGAGGCCTACGGTAGAAAAGGAAACATCTTCTTATAAAATCTAGACAGAATCATTCACAGAAACTTCTTTTTGATGTGTGTGTTCAGCTCACAGAGTTTAACCTTTCTTTTGATGGAGCAGTTTGGAAACACTCTGTTGTAATGTCTGCAAGTGGATATTTGGACCTCTTTGAGGCCTTCGTTGCAAACGGGATTTCTTCAAGTAATGTTCGACAGAAGAATTCTCAGTAACTTATTTGTGGTGTGTGTATTCAACTCACAGAGTTGAACCTTCCTTTAGACAGAGCAGATTTCAAACACCCTATTTGTGCAGTTTCCAGTTGGAGATTTCAATCGCTTTGAGACCAAAAGTAGAAAAGGAAACATCTTCGTATAAAAACTAGACAGAATCATTCTCAGAAACTACTTTGTGATGTGTGCGTTCAACTAAAGGAGTTTAAGCTTTCTTTTCATAGAGTAGTTTGGAAACACTCTGTCTGTAAAGTCTGCAAGCAGATATTTGGACCTCTTTGAGGCCTTCGTTGGAAACGGGATTTCTTCATAGAACGCTAGAAAGAAGAATACTGAGTAAGTTCTTTGTGTTGCCTCTATTCAACTCACAGAGGTGAACTGTCCTTTAGACAGAGCAGATGTGAAACCCTCTTTTTGTGATATTTGCAGGTGGAGATTTCAAGCGCTTTTAGGCCAAATGTAGAAAAGGAAATATCTTCGTATAAAAACTAGACAGAATCATTCTCAGAAACTACTTTGTGATGTGTGCGTTCAATTCACAGAGTATAACCTTTCTTTTGATGGAGGAGTTTGGAGACACTGTCTTTGTAAAGTCTGCAAGTGGATATTTGGACCTCTTTGAGGCCTTCGTTGGAAACGGGATTTCCTCATATAATGTTACACAGAAGAATTCTCAGTAACTTATTTGTGGTGTGTGTATTCAACTCACAGAGATGAACCTTCCTTCAGAAAGAGCAGATTTGAAACACTCTTTTTGTGGAGTTTCCATGTGGAGATTTCAATCGCTTTGAGACCAAAGGTAGAAAAGGAAACATCTTCGTATAAAAACTAGACAGAATCATTCACAGAAACTACTTTGTGATGTGTGTGTTCAACTCAAGGAGGTTAACCTTTCTTTTGATGGAGCAGTTTTGAAACACTCTGTCTGTAACGTCTGCAAGCAGATATTTGGACCTCTTTGAGGCCTTCGTTGGAAACGGGATTTCTTCATATAATGTTTGATAAGAGAAGTCTCAGTAACTTCTTTGTGCTGTGTGTATTCAACTCATAGAGTTGAACTTTCCTTTAGAAGAGCAGATGTTAAACACCCTTTTTGTGGAATTTGCAGCTGGAGATTTCAAGCGCTTTGAGGCCTACGGTAGAAAAGGAAACATCTTCTTATAAAATCTAGACAGAATCATTCACAGAAACTTCTTTTTGATGTGTGTGTTCAGCTCACAGAGTTTAACCTTTCTTTTGATGGAGCAGTTTGGAAACACTCTGTTTGTAACGTCTGCAAGTGGATATTTGGACCTCTTTGAGGCCTTCGTTGGAAACGGGATTTCTTCAAGTAATGTTCGACAGAAGAATTCTCAGTAACTTATTTGTGGTGTGTGTATTCAACTCACAGAGTTGAACCTTCCTTTAGACAGAGCAGATTTGAAACAGCCTATTTGTGCAGTTTCCAGTTGGAGATTTCAAGAGCTTTGAGACCAAATGTAGAAAAGGAAACATCTTCGTATAAAAACTAGACAGAATCATTCTCAGAAACTACTTTGTGATGTGTGCGTTCAACTCAAGGAGTTTAAGCTTTCTTTTCATAGAGTAGTTTGGAAACACTCTGTCTGTAAAGTCTGCAAGCAGATATTTGACCTCTTTGAGGCCTTCGTTGGAAACGGGATTTCTTCATAGAACGCTAGAAAGAAGAATACTGAGTAAGTTCTTTGTGTTGCCTCTATTCAACTCACAGAGGTGAACTGTCCTTTAGACAGAGCAGATGTGAAACCCTCTTTTTGTGATATTTGCAGGTGGAGATTTCAAGCGCTTTTAGGCCAAATGTAGAAAAGGAAATATCTTCGTATAAAAACTAGACAGAATCATTCTCAGAAACTACTTTGTGATGTGTGCGTTCAATTCACAGAGTATAACCTTTCTTTTGATGGAGGAGTTTGGAGACACTGTCTTTGTAAAGTCTGCAAGTGGATATTTGGACCTCTTTGAGGCCTTCGTTGGAAACGGGATTTCCTCATATAATGTTACACAGAAGAATTCTCAGTAACTTATTTGTGGTGTGTGTATTCAGCTCACAGGGTTGAACCTTCCTTCAGAAAGAGCAGATATGAAACACTCTTTTTGTGGAGTTTCCATGTGGAGATTTCAATCGCTTTGAGACCAAAGGTAGAAAAGGAAACATCTTCGTATAAAAACTAGACAGAATCATTCACAGAAACTACTTTGTGATGTGTGTGTTCAACTCAAGGAGTTTAACCTTTCTTTTGATGGAGCAGTTTGGAAAAACTCTGTCTGTAAAGTCTGCAAGCAGATATTTGGACCTCTTTGAGGCCTTCGTTGGAAACGGGATTTCTTCATATAATGTTTGATAGGAGAAGTCTCAGTAACTTCTTTGTGCTGTGTGTATTCAACTCATAGAGTTGAACTTTCCTTTAGAAGAGCAGATGTTAAACACCCTTTTTGTGGAATTTGCAGCTGGAGATTTCAAGCGCTTTGAGGCCTACGGTAGAAAAGGAAACATCTTCTTATAAAATCTAGACAGAATCATTCACAGAAACTTCTTTTTGATGTGTGTGTTCAGCTCACAGAGTTTAACCTTTCTTTTGATGGAGCAGTTTGGAAACACACTGTTTGTAATCTCTGCAAGTGGATATTTGGACCTCTTTGAGGCCTTCGTTGGAAACGGGATTTCTTCATGTAATGTTCGACAGAAGAATTCTCAGTAACTTATTTGTGGTGTGTGTATTGAACTCACAGAGTTGAACCTTCCTTTAGACAGAGCAGATTTGAAACACCCTATTTGTGCAGTTTCCAGTTGGAGATTTCAATCGCTTTGAGACAAATGTAGAAATGGAAACATCTTCGTATAAAAACTAGACAGAATCATTCTCAGAAACTACTTTGTGATGTGTGCGTTCAACTCAAGGAGTTTAAGCTTTCTTTTCATAGAGTAGTTTCGAAACACTCTGTCTGTAAAGTCTGCAAGCAGATATTTGGACCTCTTTGAGGCCTTCGTTGGAAACGGGATTTCTTCATAGAACGCTAGAAAGAAGAATACTGAGGAAGTTCTTTGTGTTGCCTCTATTCAACTCACAGAGGTGAACTGTCCTTTAAACAGAGCAGGTGTGAAACCCTCTTTTTGTGATATTTGCACGTGGAGATTTCAAGCGCTTTTAGGCCAAATGTAGAAAAGGAAATATCTTCGTATAAAAACTAGACAGAATCATTCTCAGAAACTACTTTGTGATGTGTGTGTTCAATTCACAGAGTATAACCTTTCTTTTGATGGAGGAGTTTGGAGACACTGTCTTTGTAAAGTCTGCAAGTGGATATTTGGACCTCTTTGAGGCCTTCGTTGGAAACGGGATTTCCTCATATAATATTACACAGAAGAATTCTCAGTAACTTATTTGTGGTGTGTGTATTCAACTCACAGAGTTGAACCTTCCTTCAGAAAGAGCAGATTTGAAACACTCTTTTTGTGGAGTTTCCATGTGGAGATTTCAATCGCTTTGAGACCAAAGGTAGAAAAGGAAACATCTTCGTATAAAAACTAGACAGAATCATTCACAGAAACTACTTTGTGATGTGTGTGTTCAACTCAAGGAGTTTAACCTTTCTTTTGATGGAGCAGTTTGGAAAAACTCTGTCTTTAAAGTCTGCAAGCAGATATTTGGACCTCTTTGAGGCCTTCGTTGGAAACGGGATTTCTTCATATAATGTTTGATAGGAGAAGTCTCAGTAACTTCTTTGTGCTGTGTGTATTCAACTCATTGAGTTGAACTTTCCTTTAGAAGAGCAGATGTTAAACACCCTTTTTGTGGAATTTGCAGCTGGAGATTTCAAGCGCTTTGAGGCCTACGGTAGAAAAGGAAACATCTTCTTAGAAAATCTAGACAGAATCATTCACAGAAACTTCTTTTTGATGTGTGTGTTCAGCTCACAGAGTTTAACCTTTCTTTTGATGTAGCAGTTTGGAAACACTCTGTTTGTAATGTCTCCAAGTGGATATTTGGACCTCTTTGAGGCCTTCGTTGGAAACGGGATTTCTTCCAGTAATGTTCGACAGAAGAATTCTCAGTAACTTATTTGTGGTGTGTGTATTCAACTCACAGAGTTGAACCTTCCTTTAGACAGAGCAGATTTGAAACACCCTATTTGTGCAGTTTCCAGTTGGAGATTTCAATCGCTTTGAGACCAAATGTAGAAAAGGAAACATCTTCGTATAAAAACTAGACAGAATCATTCTCAGAAACTACTTTGTGATGTGTGCGTTCAACTCAAGGAGTTTAAGCTTTCTTTTCATAGAGTAGTTTGGAAACACTCTGTCTGTAAAGTCTGCAAGCAGATATTTGAACCTCTTTGAGGCCTTCGTTGGAAACGGGATTTCTTCATAGAACGCTAGAAAGAAGAATACTAAGTTCTTTGTGTTGCCTCTATTCTACTCACAGAGGTGAACTGTCCTTTAGACAGAGCAGATGTGAAACCCTCTTTTTGGGATATTTGCAGGTGGAGATTTCAAGTGCTTTTAGGCCAAATGTAGAAAAGGAAATATCTTCGTATAAAAACTAGACAGAATCATTCTCAGAAACTACTTTGTGATGTGTGCGTTCAATTCACAGAGTATAACCTTTCTTTGATGGAGGAGTTTGGAGACACTGTCTTTTTAAAGTCTGCACGTGGATATTTGGACCTCTTTGAGGCCTTCGTTGGAAACGGGATTTCCTCATATAATGTTACACAGAAGAATTCTCAGTAACTTATTAGTGGTGTGTGTATTCAACTCACAGAGTTGAACCTTCCTTCAGAAAGAGCAGATTTGAAACACTCTTTTTGTGGAGTTTCCATGTGGAGATTTCAATCGCATTGAGACCAAAGGTAGAAAAGGAAACATCTTCGTATAAAAACTAGACAGAATCATTCACAGAAACTACTTTGTGATGTGTGTGTTCAACTCAAGGAATTTAACCTTTCTTTTGATGGAGCAGTTTGGAAACACTCTGTCTGTAAAGTCTGCAAGCAGATATTTGGACCTCTTTGAGGCCTTCGTTGGAAACGGGATTTCTTCATATAATGTTTGATAGGAGAAGTCTCAGTAACTTCTTTGTGCTGTGTGTATTCAACGCATAGAGTTGAACTTTCCTTTAGAAGAGCAGATGTTAAACACCCTTTTTGTGGAATTTGCAGCTGGAGATTTCAAGCGCTTTGTGGCCTACAGTAGAAAAGGAAACATCTTCTTATAAAATCTAGACAGAATCATTCACAGAAACTTCTTTTTGATGTGTGTTCAGCTCACAGAGTTTAACCTTTCTTTTGATGGAGCAGTTTGGAAACACACTGTTTGTAATGTCTGCAAGTGGATATTTGGACCTCTTTGAGGCCTTCGTTGGAAACGGGATTTCTTCAAGTAATGTTCGACAGAAGAATTCTCAGTAACTTATTTGTGGGTGTGTGTATTCAACTCACAGAGTTGAACCTTCCTTTAGAAAGAGCAGATTTGAAACACCCTATTTGTGCAGTTTCCAGTTGGAGATTTCAATCGCTTTGAGACCAAATGTAGAAAAGGAAACATCTTCGTATAAAAACTAGACAGAATCATTCTCAGAAACTACTTTGTGATGTGTGCGTTCAACTCAAGGAGTTTAAGCTTTCTTTTCATAGAGTACTTTGGAAACACTCTGTCTCTGAAGTCTGCAAGCAGATATTTGGACCTCTTTGAGGCATTCGTTGGAAACGGGATTTCTTCATAGAGCGCTAGAAAGAAGAATACTGAGTAAGTTCTTTGTGTTGCCTCTATTCAACTCACAGAGGTGAACTGTCCTTTAGACAGAGCAGATGTGAAACCCTCTTTTTGTGATATTTGCAGGTGGAGATTTCAAGCACTTTTAGGCCAAATGTAGAAAAGGAAATATCTTCGTATAAAAACTAGACAGAATCATTCTCAGAAACTACTTTGTGATGTGTGCGTTCAATTCACAGAGTATAACCTTTCTTTTGATGGAGGAGTTTGGAGACACTGTCTTTGTAAAGTCTGCAAGTGGATATTTGGACCTCTTTGAGGCCTTCGTTGGAAACGGGATTTCCTCATATAATGTTACCCAGAAGAATTCTCAGTAACTTATTTGTGGTGTGTTTATTCAACTCACAGAGGTGAACCTTCCTTCAGAAAGAGCAGATTTGAAACACTCTTTTTGTGGAGTTTCCATGTGGAGATTTCAATCGCTTTGAGACCAAAGGTAGAAAAGGAAACATCTTCGTATAAAAACTAGACAGAATCACTCACAGAAACTACTTTGTGATGTGTGTGTTCAACTCAAAGAGTTTAACCTTTCTTTTGATGGAGCAGTTTGGAAAAACTCTGTCTGTAAAGTCTGCAAGCAGATATTTGGACCTCTTTGAGGCCTTCGTTGGAAACGGGATTTCTTCATATAATGTTTGATAGGAGAAGTCTCAGTAACTTCTTTGTGCTGTGTGTATTCAACTCATAGAGTTGAACTTTCCTTTAGAAGAGCAGATGTTAAACACCCTTTTTGTGGAATTTGCAGCTGGAGATTTCAAGCGCTTTGAGGCCTACGGTAGAAAAGGAAACATCTTCTTATAAAATCTAGACAGAATCATTCACAGAAACTTCTTTTTGATGTGTGTGTTCAGCTCACAGAGTTTAACCTTTCTTTTGATGGAGCAGTTTGAAAACACTCTGTTTGTAATGTCTGCAAGTGGATATTTGGACCTCTTTGAGGCCTTCGTTGAAAACGGGATTTCTTCCTGTAATGTTCGACAGAAGAATTCTCAGTAACTTATTTGTGGTGTGTGTATTCAACTCACAGAGTTGAACCTTCCTTTAGACAGAGCAGATTTGAAACACCCTATTTGTGCAGTTTCCAGTTGGAGATTTCAATCGCTTTGAGACCAAATGTAGAAAACGAAACATCTTCGTATAAAAACTAGACAGAATCATTCTCAGAAACTACTTTGTGATGTGTGCGTTCAACTCAAGGAGTTTAAGCTTTCTTTTCATAGAGTAGTTTGGAAACACTCTGTCTGTAAAGTCTGCAAGCAGATATTTGGACCTCTTTGAGGCCTTCGTTGGAAACGGGATTTCTTCATAGAACGCTAGAAAGAAGAATACTGAGTAAGTTCTTTGTGTTGCCTCTATTCAACTCAC
Source organism: Homo sapiens (assembly GCF_000001405.40). Taxonomy (NCBI): domain Eukaryota; kingdom Metazoa; phylum Chordata; class Mammalia; order Primates; family Hominidae; genus Homo; species Homo sapiens. The sequence goes on from NC_000012.12 coordinate 35,116,102, forward strand.
AGAGGTGAACTGTCCTTTAGACAGAGCAGATGTGAAACCCTCTTTTTGTGATATTTGCAGGTGGAGATTTCAAGGGCTTTTAGGCCAAATGTAGAAAAGGAAATATCTTCGTATAAAAACTAGACAGAATCATTCTCAGAAACTACTTTGTGATGTGTGCGTTCAATTCACAGAGTATAACCTTTCTTTTGATGGAGGAGTTTGGAGACACTGTCTTTGTAAAGTCTGCAAGTGGATATTTGGACCTCTTTGAGGCCTTCGTTGGAAACGGGATTTCCTCATATAATGTTACACAGAAGAATTCTCAGTAACTTATTTGTGGTGTGTGTATTCAACTCACAGAGATGAACCTTCCTTCAGAAAGAGCAGATTTGAAACACTCTTTTTGTGGAGTTTCCATGTGGAGATTTCAATCGCTTTGAGACCAAAGGTAGAAAAGGAAACATCTTCGTATAACAACTAGACAGAATCATTCACAGAAACTACTTTGTGATGTGTGTGTTCAACTCAAGGAGTTTAACCTTTCTTTTGATGGAGCAGTTTGGAAACACTCTGTCTGTAAAGTCTGCAAGCAGATATTTGGACCTCTTTGAGGCCTTCGTTGGAAACGGGATTTCTTCATATAATGTTTGATAGGAGAAGTCTCAGTAACTTCTTTGTGCTGTGTGTATTCAACTCATAGAGTTGAACTTTCCTTTAGAAGAGCAGATGTTAAACACCCTTTTTGTGGAATTTGCAGATGGAGATTTCAAGCGCTTTGAGGCCTACGGTAGAAAAGGAAACATCTTCTTATAAAATGCTAGACAGAATCATTCACAGGAAACTTCTTTTTGATGTGTGTGTTCAGCTCACAGAGTTTAACCTTTCTTTTGATGGAGCAGTTGGGAAACACACTGTTTGTAATGTCTGCAAGTGGATATTTGGACCTCTTTGAGGCCTTCGTTGGAAACGGGATTTCTTCCTGTAATGTTCGACAGAAGAATTCTCAGTAACTTATTTGTGGTGTGTGTATTCAACTCACAGAGTTGAACCTTCCTTTAGACAGAGCAGATTTGAAACACCCTATTTGTGCAGTTTCCAGTTGGAGATTTCAATCGCTTTGAGACCAAATGTAGAAAAGGAAACATCTTCGTATAAAAACTAGACAGAATCATTCTCAGAAACTACTTTGTGATGTGTGCGTTCAACTCAAGGAGTTTAAGCTTTCTTTTCATAGAGTAGTTTGGAAACACTGTGTCTGTAAAGTCTGCAAGCAGATATTTGGACCTCTTTGGGGCCTTCGTTGGAAACGGGATTTCTTCATAGAACGCTAGAAAGAAGAATACTGAGTAAGTTCTTTGTGTTGCCTCTATTCAACTCACAAAGGTGAACTGTCCTTTAGACAGAGCAGATGTGAAACCCTCTTTTTGTGATATTTGCAGGTGGAGACTTCAAGCGCTTTTAGGCCAAATGTAGAAAAGGAAATATCTTCGTATAAAAACTAGACAGAATCATTCTCAGAAACTACTTTGTGATGTGTGCGTTCAATTCACAGAGTATAACCTTTCTTTTGATGGAGGAGTTTGGAGACACTGTCTTTGTAAAGTCTGCAAGCAGATATTTGGACCTCTTTGAGGCCTTCGTTGGAAACGGGATTTCTTCATATAATGTTTGATAGGAGAAGTCTCAGTAACTTCTTTGGGCTGTGTGTATTCAACTCATTGAGTTGAACTTTCCTTTAGAAGAGCAGATGTTAAACACCCTTTTTGTGGAATTTGCAGCTGGAGATTTCAAGCGCTTTGAGGCCTACGGTAGAAAAGGAAACATCTTCTTATAAAATCTAGACAGAATCATTCACAGAAACTTCTTTTTGATGTGTGTGTTCAGCTCACAGAGTTTAACCTTTCTTTTGATGGAGCAGTTTGGAAACACTCTGTTTGTAATGTCTGCAAGTCGATATTTGGACCTCTTTGAGGCTTTCGTTGGAAACGGGATTTCTTCAAGTAATGTTCGACAGAAGAATTCTCAGTAACTTATTTGTGGTGTGTGTATTCAACTCAAAGAGTTGAACCTTCCTTTAGACAGAGCAGATTTGAAACACCCTATTTGTGCAGTTTCCAGTTGGAGATTTCAATCGCTTTGAGACCAAATGTAGAAAAGGAAACATCTTCGTATAAAAACTAGACAGAATCATTCTCAGAAACTACTTTGTGATGTGTGCGTTCAACTCAAGAAGTTTAAGCTTTCTTTTCATAGAGTAGTTTGGAAACACTCTGTCTGTAAAGTCTGCAAGCAGATATTTGGACCTCATTGGGGCCTTCGTTGGAAACGTGATTTCTTCATAGAACGCTAGAAAGAAGAATACTGAGTAAGTTCTTTGTGTTGCCTCTACTCAACTCACAGAGGTGAACTGTCCTTTAGACAGAGCAGATGTGAAACCCTCTTTTTGTGATATTTGCAGGTGGAGATTTCAAGCGCTTTTAGGCCAAATGTAGAAAAGGAAATATCTTCGTATAAAAACTAGACAGAATCATTCTCAGAAACTACTTTGGGATGTGTGCGTTCAATTCACAGAGTATAACCTTTCTTTTGATGGAGGAGTTTGGAGACACTGTCTTTGTAAAGTCTGCAAGTGGATATTTGGACCTGCTTTGAGGCCTTCGTTGGAAACGGGATTTCCTCATATAATGTTACACAGAAGAATTCTCAGTAACTTATTTGTGGTGTGTGTATTCAACTCACAGAGTTGAACCTTCCTTCAGAAAGAGCAGATTTGAAACACTCTTTTTGTGGAGTTTCCATGTGGAGATTTCAATCGCTTTGAGACCAAAGGTAGAAAAGGAAACATCTTCGTATAGAAACTAGACAGAATCATTCACAGAAACTACTTTGTGATGTGTGTGTTCAACTCAAGGAGTTTAACCTTTCTTTTGATGGAGCAGTTTGGAAAAACTCTGTCTTTAAAGTCTGCAAGCAGATATTTGGACCTCTTTGAGGCCTTCGTTGGAAACGGGATTTCTTCATATAATGTTTGATAGGAGAAGTCTCAGTAACTTCTTTGTGCTGTGTGTATTCAACTCATAGAGTTGAACTTTCCTTTAGAAGAGCAGATGTTAAACACCCTTTTTGTGGAATTTGCAGCTGGAGATTTCAAGCGCTTTGAGTCCTACGGTAGAAATGGAAACATCTTATAAAATCTTGACAGAATCATTCACAGAAACTTCTTTTTGATGTGTGTGTTCAGCTCACAGAGTTTAACCTTTCTTTTGATGGAGCAGTTTGGAAACACTCTGTTTGTAATATCTGCAAGTGAATATTTGGACCTCTTTGAGGCCTTCGTTGGAAACGGGATTTCTTCAAGTAATGTTCGACACAAGAATTCTCAGTAACTTATTTGTGGTGTGTGTATTCAACTCACAGAGTTGAACCTTCCTTTAGACAGAGCAGATTTGAAACACCCTATTTGTGCAGTTTCCAGTTGGAGATTTCAATCGCTTTGAGACCAAATGTAGAAAAGGAAACATCTTCGTATAAAAACTGGACAGAATCATTCTCAGAAACTACTTTGTGATGTGTGCGTTCAACTCAAGGAGTTTAAGCTTTCTTTTCATAGAGTAGTTTGGAAACACTCTGTCTGTAAAGTGTGCAAGCAGATATTTGGACCTCTTTGGGGCCTTCGTTGGAAACGGGATTTCTTCATAGAACGCAAGAAAGAAGAATACTGAGTAAGTTCTTTGTGTTGCCTCTATTCAACTCACAGAGGTGAACTGTCCTTTAGACAGAGCAGATGTGAAACCCTCTTTTTGTGATATTTGCAGGTGGAGATTTCAAGCGCTTTTAGGCCAAATGTAGAAAAGGAAATATCTTCGTATAAAAACTAGACAGAATCATTCTCAGAAACTACTTTGTGATGTGTGCGTTCAATTCACAGAGTATAACCTTTCTTTTGATGGAGGAGTTTGGAGACACTGTCTTTGTAAAGTCTGCAAGTGGATATTTGGACCTCTTTGAGGCCTTCGTTGGAAACGGGATTTCCTCATATAATGTTACACAGAAGAATTCTCAGTAACTTATTTGTGGTGTGTGTATTCAACTCACAGAGTTGAACCTTCCTTCAGAAAGAGCAGATTTGAAACACTCTTTTTGTGGAGTTTCCATGTGGAGATTTCAATCGCTTTGAGACCAAAGGTAGAAAAGGAAACATCTTCGTATAAAAACTAGACAGAATCATTCACAGAAACTACTTTGTGATGTGTGTGTTCAACTCAAGGAGTTTAACCTTTCTTTTGATGGAGCAGTTTGGAAACACTCTGTCTGTAAAGTCTGCAAGCAGATATTTGGACCTCTTTGAGGCCCTCGTTGGAAACGGGATTTCTTCATATAATGTTTGATAGGAGAAGTCTCAGTAACTTCTTTGTGCTGTGTGTATTCAACTCATAGAGTTGAACTTTCCTTTAGAAGAGCAGATGTTAAACACCCTTTTTGTGGAATTTGCAGCTGGAGATTTCAAGCGCTTTGAGGCCTACGGTAGAAAAGGAAACATCTTCTTATAAAATCTAGACAGAATCATTCACAGAAACTTCTTTTTGATGTGTGTGTTCAGCTCACAGAGTTTAACCTTTCTTTTGATGGAGCAGTTGGGAAACACACTGTTTGTAATGTCTGCAAGTGGATATTTGGACCTCTTTGAGGCCTTCGTTGGAAACGGGATTTCTTCCTGTAATGTTCGACAGAAGAATTCTCAGTAACTTATTGTGGTGTGTGTATTCAACTCACAGAGTTGAACCTTCCTTTAGACAGAGCAGATTTGAAACACCCTATTTGTGCAGTTTCCAGTTGGAGATTTCAAACGCTTTGAGACCAAATGTAGAAAAGGAAACATCTTCGTATAAAAACTAGACAGAATCATTCTCAGAAACTACTTTGTGATCTGTGCGTTCAACTCAAGGAGTTTAAGCTTTCTTTTCATAGAGTAGTTTGGAAACACTCTGTCTGTAAAGTCTGCAAGCAGATATTTGGACCTCTTTGGGGCCTTCGTTGGAAACGGGATTTCTTCATAGAACGATAGAAAGAAGAATACTGAGTAAGTTCTTTGTGTTGCCTCTATTCAACTCACAGAGGTGAACTGTCCTTTAGACAGAGCAGATGTGAAACCCTCTTTTTGTGATATTTGCAGGTGGAGATTTCAAGCGCTTTGAGGCCAAATGTAGAAAAGGAAATATCTTCGTATAAAAACTAGACAGAATCATTCTCAGAAACTACTTTGTGATGTGTGCGTTCAATTCACAGAGTATAACCTTTCTTTTGATGGAGGAGTTTGGAGACACTGTCGTTGTAAAGTCTGCACGTGGATATTTGGACCTCTTTGAGGCCTTCGTTGGAAACGGGATTTTCTCATATAATGTTACACAGAAGAATTCTCAGTAACTTATTTGTGGTGTGTGTATTCAACTCACAGAGATGAACCTTCCTTCAGAAAGAGCAGATTTGAAACACTCTCTTTGTGGAGTTTCCATGTGGAGATTTCAATCGCATTGAGACCAAAGGTAGAAAAGGAAACATCTTCGTATAAAAACTAGACAGAATCATTCACAGAAACTACTTTGTGATGTGTGTGTTCAACTCAAGGAGTTTAACCTTTCTTTTGATGGAGCAGTTTGGAAACACTCTGTCTGTAAAGTCTGCAAGCAGATATTTGGACCTCTTTGAGGCCTTCGTTGGAAACGGGATTTCTTCATATAATGTTTGATAGGAGAAGTCTCAGTAACTTCTTTGTGCTGTGTGTATTCAACTCATAGAGTTGAACTTTCCTTTAGAAGAGCAGATGTTAAACACCCTTTTTGTGGAATTTGCAGCTGGAGATTTCAAGCGCTTTGAGGCCTACGGTAGAAAAGGAAACATCTTCTTATAAAATCTAGACAGAATCATTCACAGAAACTTCTTTTTGATGTGTGTGTTCAGCTCACAGAGTTTAACCTTTCTGTTGATGGAGCAGTTTGGAAACACTCTGTTTGTAATGTCTGCAAGTGGATATTTGGACCTCTTTGAGGCCTTCGTTGGAAACGGGATTTCTTCAAGTAATGTTCGACAGAAGAATTCTCAGTAACTTATTTGTGGTGTGTGTATTCAACTCACAGAGTTGAACCTTCCTTTAGACAGAGCAGATTTGAAACACCCTATTTGTGCAGTTTCCAGTTGGAGATTTCAATCGCTTTGAGACCAAATGTAGAAAAGGAAACATCTTCGTATAAAAACTAGACAGAATCATTCTCAGAAACTACTTTGTGATGTGTGCGTTCAACTCAAGGAGTTTAAGCTTTCTTTTCATAGAGTAGTTTGGAAACACTCTGTCTGTAAAGTCTGCAAGCAGATATGTGGACCTCTTTGGGGCCTTCGTTGGAAACGGGATTTCTTCATAGAACGCTAGAAAGAAGAATACTGAGTAAGTTCTTTGTGTTGCCTCTATTCAACTCACAGAGGTGAACTGTCCTTTAGACAGAGCAGATGTGAAACCCTCTTTTTGTGATATTTGCAGGTGGAGATTTCAAGCGCTTTTAGGCCAAATGTAGAAAAGGAAATATCTTCGTATAAAAACTAGACAGAATCATTCTCAGAAACTACTTTGTGATGTGTGCGTTCAATTCACAGAGTATAACCTTTCTTTTGATGGAGGAGTTTGGAGACACTGTCTTTGTAAAGTCTGCAAGTGGATATTTGGACCTCTTTGAGGCCTTCGTTGGAAACGGGATTTCCTCATATAATGTTACACAGAAGAATTCTCAGTAACTTATTTGTGGTGTGTGTATTCAACTCACAGAGATGAACCTTCCTTCAGAAAGAGCAGATTTGAAACACTCTTTTTGTGGAGTTTCCATGTGGAGATTTCAATCGCTTTGAGACCAAAGGTAGAAAAGGAAACATCTTCGTATAAAAACTAGACAGAATCATTCACAGAAACTACTTTGTGATGTGTGTGTTCAACTCAAGGAGGTTAACCTTTCTTTTGATGGAGCAGTTTGGAAACACTCTGTCTGTAAAGTCTGCAATCAGATATTTGGACCTCTTTGAGGCCTTCGTTGGAAACGGGATTTCTTCATATAATGTTTGATAGGAGAAGTCTCAGTAACTTCTTTGTGCTGTGTGTATTCAACGCATAGAGTTTAACTTTCCTTTAGAAGAGCAGATGTTAAACACCCTTTTTGTGGAATTTGCAGCTGGAGATTTCAAGCGCTTTGTGGCCTACGGTAGAAAAGGAAACATCTTCTTATAAAATCTAGACAGAATCATTCACAGAAACTTCTTTTTGATGTGTGTGTTCAGCTCACAGAGTTTAACCTTTCTTTTGATGGAGCAGTTTGGAAACACTCTGTTTGTAATGTCTGCAAGTGGATATTTGGACCTCTTTGAGGTCTTCGTTGGAAACGGGATTTCTTCAAGTAATGTTCGACAGAAGAATTCTCAGTAACTTATTTGTGGTGTGTGTATTCAACTCACAGAGTTGAACCTTCCTTTAGACAGAGCAGATTTGAAACACCCTATTTGTGCAGTTTCCAGTTGGAGATTTCAATCGCTTTGAGACAAATGTAGAAAAGGAAATATCTTCGTATAAAAACTAGACAGAATCATTCTCAGAAACTACTTTGTGATGTGTGCGTTCAACTCAAGGAGTTTAAGCTTTCTTTTCATAGAGTAGTTTGGAAACACTCTGTCTGTAAAGTCTGCAAGCAGATATTTGGACCTCTTTGAGGCCTTCGTTGGAAACGGGATTTCTTCATAGAACGCTAGAAAGAAGAATAGTGAGTAAGTTCTTTGTGTTGCCTCTATTCAACTCACAGAGGTGAACTGTCCTTTAGACAGAGCAGATGTGAAACCCTCTTTTTGTGATATTTGCAGGTGGAGATTTCAAGCGCTTTTAGGCCAAATGTAGAAAAGGAAATATCTTCGTATAAAAACTAGACAGAATCATTCTCAGAAAGTACTTTGTGATGTGTGCATTCAATTCACAGAGTATAACCTTTCTTTTGATGGACGAGTTTGGAGACACTGTCTTTGTAAAGTCTGCAAGTGGATATTTGGACCTCTTTGAGGCCTTCGTTGGAAACGGGATTTCCTCATATAATGTTACACAGAAGAATTCTCAGTAACTTATTTGTGGTGTGTGTATTCAACTCACAGAGATGAACCTTCCTTCAGAAAGAGCAGATTTGAAACACTCTTTTTGTGGAGTTTCCATGTGGAGATTTCAATCGCTTTGAGACCAAAGGTAGAAAAGGAAACATCTTCGTATAACAACTAGACAGAATCATTCACAGAAACTACTTTGTGATGTGTGTGTTCAACTCAAGGAGTTTAACCTTTCTTTTGATGGAGCAGTTTGGAAACACTCTGTCTGTAAAGTCTGCAAGCAGATATTTGGACCTCTTTGAGGCCTTCGTTGGAAACGGGATTTCTTCATATAATGTTTGATAGGAGAAGTCTCAGTAACTTCTTTGTGCTGTGTGTATTCAACTCATAGAGTTGAACTTTCCTTTAGAAGAGCAGATGTTAAACACCCTTTTTGTGGAATTTGCAGCTGGAGATTTCAAGCGCTTTGAGGCCTACGGTAGAAAAGGAAACATCTTCTTATAAAATCTAGACAGAATCATTCACAGAAACTTCTTTTTGATGTGTGTGTTCAGCTCACAGAGTTTAACCTTTCTTTTGATGGAGCAGTTTGGAAACATTCTGTTTGTAATGTCTGCAAGTGGATAGTTGGACCTCTTTGAGGCCTTCGTTGGAAACGGGATTTCTTCAAGTAATGTTCGACAGAAGAATTCTCAGTAACTTATTTGTGGTGTGTGTATTCAACTCACAGAGTTGAACCTTCCTTTAGACAGAGCAGATTTGAAACACCCTATTTGTGCAGTTTCCAGTTGGAGATTTCAATCGCTTCGAGACCAAATGTAGAAAAGGAAACATCTTCGTATAAAAACTAGACAGAATCATTCTCAGAAACTACTTTGTGATGTGTGCGTTCAACTCAAGGAGTTTAAGCTTTCTTTTCATAGAGTAGTTTGGAAACACTCTGTCTGTAAAGTCTGCAAGCAGATATTTGGACCTCTTTGAGGCCTTCGTTGGAAACGGGATTTCTTCATAGAACGCTAGAAAGAAGAATAATGAGTAAGTTCTTTGTGTTGCCTCTATTCAACTCACAGAGGTGAACTGTCCTTTAGACAGAGCAGATGTGAAACCCTCTTTTTGTGATATTTGCAGGTGGAGATTTCAAGCGCTTTTAGGCCAAATGTAGAAAAGGAAATATCTTCGTATAAAAACTAGACAGAATCATTCTCAGAAACTACTTTGTGATGTGTGCGTTCAATTCACAGAGTATAACCTTTCTTTTGATGGAGGAGTTTGGAGACACTGTCTTTGTAAAGTCTGCAAGTGGATATTTGGACCTCTTTGAGGCCTTCGTTGGAAACGGGATTTCCTCATATAATGTTACCCAGAAGAATTCTCAGTAACTTATTTGTGGTGTGTGTATTCAACTCACAGAGTTGAACCTTCCTTCAGAAAGAGCAGATTTGAAACACTCTTTTTGTGGAGTTTCCATGTGGAGATTTCAATCGCTTTGAGACCAAAGGTAGAAAAGGAAACATCTTCGTATAAAAACTAGACAGAATCATTCACAGAAACTACTTTGTGATGTGTGTGTTCAACTCAAGGAGTTTAACCTTTCTTTTGATGGAGCAGTTTGGAAATACTCTGTCTGTAAAGTCTGCAAGCAGATATTTGGACCTCTTTGAGGCCTTCGTTGGAAACGGGATTTCTTCATATAATGTTTGATAGGAGAAGTCTCAGTAACTTCTTTGTGCTGTGTGTATTCAACTCATAGAGTTGAACTTTCCTTTAGAAGAGCAGATGTTAAACACCCTTTTTGTGGAATTTGCAGCTGGAGATTTCAAGCGCTTTGAGGCCTACGGTAGAAAAGGAAACATCTTCTTATAAAATCTAGACAGAATCATTCACAGAAACTTCTTTTTGATGTGTGTGTTCAGCTCACAGAGTTTAACCTTTCTTTTGATGGAGCAGTTTGGAAACACTCTGTTTGTAATGTCTGCAAGTGGATATTTGGACCTCTTTGAGGCCTTCGTTGGAAACGGGATTTCTTCAAGTAATGGTCGACAGAAGAATTCTCAGTAACTTATTTGTGGTGTGTGTATTCAACTCACAGAGTTGAACCTTCCTTTAGACAGAGCAGATTTGAAACACCCTATTTGTGCAGTTTCCAGTTGGAGATTTCAATCGCTTTGAGACCAAATGTAGAAAAGGAAACATCTTCGTATAAAAACTAGACAGAATCATTCTCAGAAACTACTTTGTGATGTGTGCGTTCAACTCAAGGAGTTTAAGCTTTCTTTTCATAGAGTAGTTTGGAAACACTCTGTCTGTAAAGTCTGCAAGCAGATATTTGGACCTCTTTGGGGCCTTCGTTGGAAACGGGATTTCTTCATAGAACGCTAGAAAGAAGAATACTGAGTAAGTTCTTTGTGTTGCCTCTATTCAACTCACAGAGGTGAACTGTCCTTTAGACAGAGCAGATGTGAAACCCTCTTTTTGTGATATTTGCAGGTGGAGATTTCAAGCGCTTTTAGGCCAAATGTAGAAAAGGAAATATCTTCGTATAAAAACTAGACAGAATCATTCTCAGAAACTACTTTGTGATGTGTGCGTTCAATTCACAGAGTATAACCTTTCTTTTGATGGAGGAGTTTGGAGACACTGTCTTTGTAAAGTCTGCAAGTGGATATTTGGACCTCTTTGAGGCCTTCGTTGGAAACGGGATTTCCTCATATAATGTTACACACAAGAATTCTCACTAACTTATTTGTGGTGTGTGTATTCAACTCACAGAGATGAACCTTCCTTCAGAAAGAGCAGATTTGAAACACTCTTTTTGTGGAGTTTCCATGTGGAGATTTCAATCGCTTTGAGACCAAAGGTAGAAAAGGAAACATCTTCGTATAACAACTAGACAGAATCATTCACAGAAACTACTTTGTGATGTGTGTGTTCAACTCAAGGAGTTTAACCTTTCTTTTGATGGAGCAGTTTGGAAACACTCTGTCTGTAAAGTCTGCAAGCAGATATTTGGACCTCTTTGAGGCCTTCGTTGGAAACGGGATTTCTTCATATAATGTTTGATAGGAGAAGTCTCAGTAACTTCTTTGTGCTGTGTGTATTCAACTCATAGAGTTGAACTTTCCTTTAGAAGAGCAGATGTTAAACACCCTTTTTGTGGAATTTGCAGCTGGAGATTTCAAGCGCTTTGAGGCCTACGGTAGAAAAGGAAACATCTTCTTATAAAATCTAGACAGAATCATTCACAGAAACTTCTTTTCGATGTGTGTGTTCAGCTCACAGAGTTTAACCTTTCTTTTGATGGAGCAGTTTGGAAACACTCTGTTTGTAATGTCTGCAAGTGGATATTTGGACCTCTTTGAGGCCTTCGTTGGAAACGGGATTTCATCAAGTAATGGTCGACAGAAGAATTCTCAGTAACTTATTTGTGGTTTGTGTATTCAACTCACAGAGTTGAACCTTCCTTTAGACAGAGCAGATTTGAAACACCCTATTTGTGCAGTTTCCAGTTGGAGATTTCAATCGCTTTGAGACCAAATGTAGAAAAGGAAACATCTTCGTATAAAAACTAGACAGAATCATTCTCAGAAACTACTTTGTGATGTGTGCGTTCAACTCAAGGAGTTTAAGCTTTCTTTTCATAGAGTAGTTTGGAAACACTCTGTCTGTAAAGTCTGCAAGCAGATATTTGGACCTCTTTGGGGCCTTCGTTGGAAACGGGATTTCTTCATAGAACGCTAGAAAGAAGAATACTGAGTAAGTTCTTTGTGTTGCCTCTATTCAACTCACAGAGGTGAACTGTCCTTTAGACAGAGCAGATGTGAAACCCTCTTTTTGTGATATTTGCACGTGGAGATTTCAAGCGCTTTTAGGCCAAATGTAGAAAAGGAAATATCTTCGTATAAAAACTAGACAGAATCATTCTCAGAAACTACTTTGTGATGTGTGCGTTCAATTCACAGAGTATAACCTTTCTTTTGATGGAGGAGTTTGGAGACACTGTCTTTGTAAAGTCTGCAAGTGGATATTTGGACCTCTTTGAGGCCTTCGTTGGAAACGGGATTTCCTCATATAATGTTACACAGAAGAATTCTCAGTAACTTATTTGTGGTGTGTGTATTCAACTCACAGAGATGAACCTTCCTTCAGAAAGAGCAGATTTGAAACACTCTTTTTGTGGAGTTTCCATGTGGAGATTTCAATCGCTTTGAGACCAAAGGTAGAAAAGGAAACATCTTCGTATAACAACTAGACAGAATCATTCACAGAAACTACTTTGTGATGTGTGTGTTCAACTCAAGGAGTTTAACCTTTCTTTTGATGGAGCAGTTTGGAAACACTCTGTCTGTAAAGTCTGCAAGCAGATATTTGGACCTCTTTGAGGCCTTCGTTGGAAACGGGATTTCTTCATATAATGTTTGATAGGAGAAGTCTCAGTAACTTCTTTGTGCTGTGTGTATTCAACTCATAGAGTTGAACTTTCCTTTAGAAGAGCAGATGTTAAACACCCTTTTTGTGGAATTTGCAGCTGGAGATTTCAAGCGCTTTGAGGCTTACGGTAGAAAAGGAAACATCTTCTTATAAAATCTAGACAGAATCATTCACAGAAACTTCTTTTCGATGTGTGTGTTCAGCTCACAGAGTTTAACCTTTCTTTTGATGGAGCAGTTTGGAAACACTCTGTTTGTAATGTCTGCAAGTGGATATTTGGACCTCTTTGAGGCCTTCGTTGGAAACGGGATTTCTTCAAGTAATGTTCGACAGAAGAATTCTCAGTAACTTCTTTGTGGTGTGTGTATTCAACTCACAGAGTTGAACCTTCCTTTAGACAGAGCAGATTTGAAACACCCTATTTGTGCAGTTTCCAGTTGGAGATTTCAATCGCTTTGAGACCAAATGTAGAAAAGGAAACATCTTCGTATAAAAACTAGACAGAATCATTCTCCGAAACTACTTTGTGATGTGTGCGTTCAACTCAAGGAGTTTAAGCTTTCTTTTCATAGAGTAGTTTGGAAACACTCTGTCTGTAAAGTCTGCAAGCAGATATTTGGACCTCTTTGGGGCCTTCGTTGGAAACGGGATTTCTTCATAGAACGCTAGAAAGAAGAATACTGAGTAAGTTCTTTGTGTTGCCTCTATTCAACTCACAGAGGTGAACTGTCCTTTAGGCAGAGCAGATGTGAAACCCTCTTTTTGTGATATTTGCAGGTGGAGATTTCAAGCGCTTTTAGGCCAAATGTAGAAAAGGAAATATCTTCGTATAAAAACTAGACAGAATCATTCTCAGAAACTACTTTGTGATGTGTGCGTTCAATTCACAGAGTATAACCTTTCTTTTGATGGAGGAGTTTGGAGACACTGTCTTTGTAAAGTCTGCAAGTGGATATTTGGACCTCTTTGAGGCCTTCGTTGGAAACGGGATTTCCTCATATAATGTTACACAGAAGAATTCTCAGTAACTTATTTGTGGTGTGTGTATTCAACTCACAGAGATGAACCTTCCTTCAGAAAGAGCAGATTTGAAACACTCTTTTTGTGGAGTTTCCATGTGGAGATTTCAATCGCTTTGAGACCAAAGGTAGAAAAGGAAACATCTTCGTATAAAAACTAGACAGAATCATTCACAGAAACTTCTTTGTGACGTGTGTGTTCAACTCAAGGAGGTTAACCTTTCTTTTGATGGAGCAGTTTGGAAACACTCTGTCTGTAAAGTCTGCAAGCAGATATTTGGACCTCTTTGAGGCCTTCGTTGGAAACGGGATTTCTTCATATAATGTTTGATAGGACAAGTCTCAGTAACTTCTTTGTGCTGTGTGTATTCAACTCATAGAGTTGAACTTTCCTTTAGAAGAGCAGATGTTAAACACCCTTTTTGTGGAATTTGCAGCTGGAGATTTCAAGCGCTTTGAGGCCTACGGTAGAAAAGGAAACATCTTCTTATAAAATCTAGACAGAATCATTCACAGAAACTTCTTTTTGATGTGTGTGTTCAGCTCACAGAGTTTAACCTTTCTTTTGATGGAGCAGTTTGGAAACACTCTGTTTGTAATGTCTGCAAGTGGATATTTGGACCTCTTTGAGGCCTTCGTTGGAAACGGGATTTCTTCAAGTAATGTTCCACAGAAGAATTCTCAGTAACTTATTTGTGGTGTGTGTATTCAACTCACAGAGTTGAACCTTCCTTTAGACAGAGCAGATTTGAAACACCCTATTTGTGCAGTTTCCAGTTGGAGATTTCAATCGCTTTGAGACCAAATGTAGAAAAGGAAACATCTTCGTATAAAAACTAGACAGAATCATTCTCAGAAACTACTTTGTGATGTGTGCGTTCAACTCAAGGAGTTTAAGCTTTCTTTTCATAGAGTAGTTTGGAAACACTCTGTCTGTAAAGTCTGCAAGCAGATATTTGGACCTCTTTGGGGCCTTCGTTGGAAACGGGATTTCTTCATAGAACGCTAGAAAGAAGAATACTGAGTAAGTTCTTTGTGTTGCCTCTATTCAACTCACAGAGGTGAACTGTCCTTTAGACAGAGCAGATGTGAAACCCTCTTTTTGTGATATTTGCAGGTGGAGATTTCAAGCGCTTTTAGGCCAAATGTAGAAAAGGAAATATCTTCGTATAAAAACTAGACAGAATCATTCTCAGAAACTACTTTGTGATGTGTGCGTTCAATTCACAGAGTATAACCTTTCTTTTGATGGAGGAGTTTGGAGACACTGTCTTTGTAAAGTCTGCAAGTGGATATTTGGACCTCTTTGAGGCCTTCGTTGGAAACGGGATTTCCTCATATAATGTTACACAGAAGAATTCTCAGTAACTTATTTGTGGTGTGTGTATTCAACTCACAGAGTTGAACCTTCCTTTAGACAGAGCAGATTTGAAACACCCTATTTGTGCAGTTTCCATGTGGAGATTTCAATCGCTTTGAGACCAAATGTAGAAAAGGAAACATCTTCGTATAAAAACTAGACAGAATCATTCACAGAAACTACTTTGTGATGTGTGTGTTCAACTCAAGGAGTTTAACCTTTCTTTTGATGGAGCAGTTTGGAAACACTCTGTCTGTAAAGTCTGCAGGCAGATATTTGGACCTCTTTGAGGCCTTCGTTGGAAACGGGATTTCTTCATATAATGTTAGACAGAAGAAGTCTCAGTAACTTCTTTGTGCTGTGTGTATTCAACTCATAGAGTTGAACTTTCCTTTAGAAGAGCAGATGTTAAACACCCTTTTTGTGGAATTTGCAGCTGGAGATTTCAAGCGCTTTGAGGCCTACGGTAGAAAAGGAAACATCTTCTTATAAAATCTAGACAGAATCATTCACAGAAACTTCTTTTTGATGTGTGTGTTCAGCTCACAGAGTTTAACCTTTCTTTTGATGGAGCAGTTTGGAAACACTCTGTTTGTAATGTCTGCAAGTGGATATTTGGACGTCTTTGAGGCCTTCGTTGGAAACGGGATTTCTTCATGTAATGTTCGACAGAAGAATTCTCAGTAACTTATTTGTGGTGTGTGTATTCAACTCACAGAGTTGAACCTTCCTTTAGACAGAGCAGATTTGAAACACCCTATTTGTGCAGTTTCCAGTTGGAGATTTCAATCGCTTTGAGACCAAATGTAGAAAAGGAAACATCTTCGTATAAAAACTAGACAGAATCATTCTCAGAAACTACTTTGTGATGTGTGCGTTCAACTCAAGGAGTTTAAGCTTTCTTTTCATAGAGTAGTTTGGAAACACTCTGTCTGTAAAGTCTGCAAGCAGATATTTGGACCTCTTTGGGGCCTTCGTTGGAAACGGGATTTCTTCATAGAACGCTAGAAAGAAGAATACTGAGTAAGTTCTTTGTGTTGCCTCTATTCAACTCACAGAGGTGAACTGTCCTTTAGACAGAGCAGATGTGAAACCCTCTTTTTGTGATATTTGCAGGTGGAGATTTCAAGCGCTTTTAGGCCAAATGTAGAAAAGGAAATATCTTCGTATAAAAACTAGACAGAATCATTCTCAGAAACTACTTTGTGATGTGTGCGTTCAATTCACAGAGTATAACCTTTCTTTTGATGGAGGAGTTTGGAGACACTGTCTTTGTAAAGTCTGCAAGTGGATATTTGGACCTCTTTGAGGCCTTCGTTGGAAACGGGATTTCCTCATATAATGTTACACAGAAGAATTCTCAGTAACTTATTTGTGGTGTGTGTATTCAACTCACAGAGTTGAACCTTCCTTCAGAAAGAGCAGATTTGAAACACTCTTTTTGTGGAGTTTCCATGTGGAGATTTCAATCGCTTTGAGACCAAAGGTAGAAAAGGAAACATCTTCGTATAAAAACTAGACAGAATCATTCACAGAAACTACTTTGTGATGTGTGTGTTCAACTCAAGGAGTTTAACCTTTCTTTTGATGGAGCAGTTTGGAAACACTCTGTCTGTAAAGTCTGCAAGCAGATATTTGGACCTCTTTGAGGCCTTCGTTGGAAACGGGATTTCTTCATATAATGTTTGATAGGAGAAGTCTCAGTAACTTCTTTGTGCTGTGTGTATTCAACTCATAGAGTTGAACTTTCCTTTAGAAGAGCAGATGTTAAACACCCTTTTTGTGGAATTTGCAGCTGGAGATTTCAAGCGCTTTGAGGCCTACGGTAGAAAAGGAAACATCTTCTTATAAAATCTAGACAGAATCATTCACAGAAACTTCTTTTTGATGTGTGTGTTCAGCTCACAGAGTTTAACCTTTCTTTTGATGGAGCAGTTTGGAAACACTCTGTTTGTAATGTCTGCAAGTGGATATTTGGACCTCTTTGAGGCCTTCGTTGGAAACAGGATTTCTTCAAGTAATGTTCGACAGAAGAATTCTCAGTAACTTATTTGTGGTGTGTGTATTCAACTCACAGAGTTGAACCTTCCTTTAGACAGAGCAGATTTGAAACACCCTATTTGTGCAGTTTCCAGTTGGAGATTTCAATCGCTTTGAGACCAAATGTAGAAAAGGAAACATCTTCGTATAAAAACTAGACAGAATCATTCTCAGAAACTACTTTGTGATGTGTGCGTTCAACTCAAGGAGTTTAAGCTTTCTTTTCATAGAGTAGTTTGGAAACACTCTGTCTGTAAAGTCTGCAAGCAGATATTTGGACCTCTTTGGGGCCTTCGTTGGAAACGGGATTTCTTCATAGAACGCTAGAAAGAAGAATACTGAGTAAGTTCTTTGTGTTGCCTCTATTCAACTCACAGAGGTGAACTGTCCTTTAGACAGAGCAGATGTGAAACCCTCTTTTTGGGATATTTGCAGGTGGAGATTTCAAGCGCTTTTAGGCCAAATGTAGAAAAGGAAATATCTTCGTATAAAAACTAGACAGAATCATTCTCAGAAACTACTTTGTGATGTGTGCGTTCAATTCACAGAGTATAACCTTTCTTTTGATGGAGGAGTTTGGAGACACTGTCTTTGTAAAGTCTGCAAGTGGATATTTGGTCCTCTTTGAGGCCTTCGTTGGAAACGGGATTTCCTCATATAATGTTACACAGAAGAATTCTCAGTAACTTATTTGTGGTGTGTGTATTCAACTCACAGAGTTGAACCTTCCTTCAGAAAGAGCAGATTTGAAACACTCTTTTTGTGGAGTTTCCATGTGGAGATTTCAATCGCTTTGAGACCAAAGGTAGAAAAGGAAACATCTTCGTATAAAAACTAGACAGAATCATTCACAGAAACTACTTTGTGATGTGTGTGTTCAACTCAAGGAGTTTAACCTTTCTTTTGATGGAGCAGTTTGGAAACACTCTGTCTGTAAAGTCTGCAAGCAGATATTTGGACCTCTTTGAGGCCTTCGTTGGAAACGGGATTTCTTCATATAATGTTTGATAGGAGAAGTCTCAGTAACTTCTTTGTGCTGTGTGTATTCAACTCATAGAGTTGAACTTTCCTTTAGAAGAGCAGATGTTAAACACCCTTTTTGTGGAATTTGCAGCTGGAGATTTCAAGCGCTTTGAGGCCTACGGTAGAAAAGGAAACATCTTCTTATAAAATCTAGACAGAATCATTCACAGAAACTTCTTTTCGATGTGTGTGTTCAGCTCACAGAGTTTAACCTTTCTTTTGATGGAGCAGTTTGGAAACACTCTGTTTGTAATGTCTGCAAGTGGATATTTGGACCTCTTTGAGGCCTTCGTTGGAAACGGGATTTCATCAAGTAATGGTCGACAGAAGAATTCTCAGTAACTTATTTGTGGTGTGTGTATTCAACTCACAGAGTTGAACCTTCCTTTAGACAGAGCAGATTTGAAACACCCTATTTGTGCAGTTTCCAGTTGGAGATTTCAATCGCTTTGAGACCAAATGTAGAAAAGGAAACATCTTCGTATAAAAACTAGACAGAATCATTCTCAGAAACTACTTTGTGATGTGTGCGTTCAATTCACAGAGTATAACCTTTCTTTTGACGGAGGAGTTTGGAGACACTGTCTTTGTAAAGTCTGCAAGCAGATATTTGGACCTCTTTGGGGCCTTCGTTGGAAACGGGATTACTTCATAGAATGCTAGAAAGAAGAATACTGAGTAAGTTCTTTGTGTTGCCTCTATTCAACTCACAGAGGTGAACTGTCCTTTAGACAGAGCAGATGTGAAACCCTCTTTTTGTGATATTTGCAGGTGGAGATTTCAAGCGCTTTTAGGCCAAATGTAGAAAAGGAAATATCTTCGTATAAAAACTAGACAGAATCATTCTCAGAAACTACTTTGTGATGTGTGCGTTCAATTCACAGAGTATAACCTTTCTTTTGATGGAGGAGTTTGGAGACACTGTCTTTGTAAAGTCTGCAAGTGGATATTTGGACCTCTTTGAGGCCTTCGTTGGAAACGGGATTTCCTCATATAATGTTACACAGAAGAATTCTCAGTAACTTATTTGTGGTGTGTGTATTCAACTCACAGAGATGAACCTTCCTTCAGAAAGAGCAGATTTGAAACACTCTTTTTGTGGAGTTTCCATGTGGAGATTTCAATCGCTTTGAGACCAAAGGTAGAAAAGGAAACATCTTCGTATAACAACTAGACAGAATCATTCACAGAAACTACTTTGTGATGTGTGTGTTCAACTCAAGGAGTTTAACCTTTCTTTTGATGGAGCAGTTTGGAAACACTCTGTCTGTAAAGTCTGCAAGCAGATATTTGGACCTCTTTGAGGCCTTCGTTGGAAACGGGATTTCTTCATATAATGTTTGATAGGAGAAGTCTCAGTAACTTCTTTGTGCTGTGTGTATTCAACTCATAGAGTTGAACTTTCCTTTAGAAGAGCAGATGTTAAACACCCTTTTTGTGGAATTTGCAGCTGGAGATTTCAAGCGCTTTGAGGCTTACGGTAGAAAAGGAAACATCTTCTTATAAAATCTAGACAGAATCATTCACAGAAACTTCTTTTCGATGTGTGTGTTCAGCTCACAGAGTTTAACCTTTCTTTTGATGGAGCAGTTTGGAAACACTCTGTTTGTAATGTCTGCAAGTGGATATTTGGACCTCTTTGAGGCCTTCGTTGGAAACGGGATTTCTTCAAGTAATGTTCGACAGAAGAATTCTCAGTAACTTATTTGTGGTGTGTGTATTCAACTCACAGAGTTGAACCTTCCTTTAGACAGAGCAGATTTGAAACACCCTATTTGTGCAGTTTCCAGTTGGAGATTTCAATCGCTTTGAGACCAAATGTAGAAAAGGAAACATCTTCGTATAAAAACTAGACAGAATCATTCTCCGAAACTACTTTGTGATGTGTGCGTTCAACTCAAGGAGTTTAAGCTTTCTTTTCATAGAGTAGTTTGGAAACACTCTGTCTGTAAAGTCTGCAAGCAGATATTTGGACCTCTTTGGGGCCTTCGTTGGAAACGGGATTTCTTCATAGAACGCTAGAAAGAAGAATACTGAGTAAGTTCTTTGTGTTGCTTCTATTCAACTCACAGAGGTGAACTGTCCTTTAGACAGAGCAGATGTGAAACCCTCTTTTTGTGATATTTGCAGGTGGAGATTTCAAGCGCTTTTAGGCCAAATGTAGAAAAGGAAATATCTTCGTATAAAAACTAGACAGAATCATTCTCAGAAACTACTTTGTGATGTGTGCGTTCAATTCACAGAGTATAACCTTTCTTTTGATGGAGGAGTTTGGAGACACTGTCTTTGTAAGTCTGCAAGTGGATATTTGGACCTCTTTGAGGCCTTCGTTGGAAACGGGATTTCCTCATATAATGTTACACAGAAGAATTCTCAGTAACTTATTTGTGGTGTGTGTATTCAACTCACAGAGATGAACCTTCCTTCAGAAAGAGCAGATTTGAAACACTCTTTTTGTGGAGTTTCCATGTGGAGATTTCAATCGCTTTGAGACCAAAGGTAGAAAAGGAAACATCTTCGTATAAAAACTAGACAGAATCATTCACAGAAACTACTTTGTGATGTGTGTGTTCAACTCAGGAGGTTAACCTTTCTTTTGATGGAGCAGTTTGGAAACACTCTGTCTGTAAAGTCTGCAAGCAGATATTTGGACCTCTTTGAGGCCTTCGTTGGAAACGGGATTTCTTCATATAATGTTTGATAGGAGAAGTCTCAGTAACTTCTTTATGCTGTGTGTATTCAACTCATAGAGTTGAACTTTCCTTTAGAAGAGCAGATGTTAAACACCCTTTTTGTGGAATTTGCAGCTGGAGATTTCAAGCGCTTTGAGGCCTACGGTAGAAAAGGAAACATCTTCTTATAAAATCTAGACAGAATCATTCACAGAAACTTCTTTTTGATGTGTGTGTTCAGCTCACAGAGTTTAACCTTTCTTTTGATGGAGCAGTTTGGAAACACTCTGTTTGTAATGTCTGCAAGTGGATATTTGGACCTCTTTGAGGCCTTCGTTGGAAACGGGATTTCTTCAAGTAATGTTCGACAGAAGAATTCTCAGTAACTTATTTGTGGTGTGTGTATTCAACTCACAGAGTTGAGCCTTCCTTTAGACAGAGCAGATTTGAAACACTCTTTTTGTGGAGTTTCCAGTTGGAGATTTCAATCACTTTGAGACCAAATGTAGAAAAGGAAACATCTTCGTATAAAAACTAGACAGAATCATTCTCAGAAACTACTTTGTGATGTGTGCGTTCAACTCAAGGAGTTTAAGCTTTCTTTTCATAGAGTAGTTTGGAAACACTCTGTCTGTAAAGTCTGCAAGCAGATATTTGGACCTCTTTGGGGCCTTCGTTGGAAACGGGATTTCTTCATAGAACGCTAGAAAGAAGAATACTGAGTAAGTTCTTTGTGTTGCCTCTATTCAACTCACAGAGGTGAACTGTCCTTCAGACAGAGCAGATGTGAAACCCTCTTTTTGTGATATTTGCAGGTGGAGATTTCAAGCGCTTTTAGGCCAAATGTAGAAAAGGAAATATCTTCGTATAAAAACTAGACAGAATCATTCTCAGAAACTACTTTGTGATGTGTGCGTTCAATTCACAGAGTATAACCTTTCTTTTGATGGAGGAGTTTGGAGACACTGTCTTTGTAAAGTCTGCAAGTGGATATTTGGACCTCTTTGAGGCCTTCGTTGGAAACGGGATTTCCTCATATAATGTTACACAGAAGAATTCTCAGTAACTTATTTGTGGTGTGTGTATTCAACTCACAGAGATGAACCTTCCTTCAGAAAGAGCAGATTTGAAACACTCTTTTTGTGGAGTTTCCATGTGGAGATTTCAATCGCTTTGAGACCAAAGGTAGAAAAGGAAACATCTTCGTATAACAACTAGACAGAATCATTCACAGAAACTACTTTGTGATGTGTGTGTTCAACTCAAGGAGTTTAACCTTTCTTTTGATGGAGCAGTTTGGAAACACTCTGTCTGTACAGTCTGCAAGCAGATATTTGGACCTCTTTGAGGCTTTCGTTGGAAACGGGATTTCTTCATATAATGCTTGATAGGAGAAGTCTCAGTAACTTCTTTGTGCTGTGTGTATTCAACTCATAGAGTTGAACTTTCCTTTAGAAGAGCAGATGTTAAACACCCTTTTTGTGGAATTTGCAGCTGGAGATTTCAAGCGCTTTGAGGCCTACGGTAGAAAAGGAAACATCTTCTTATAAAATCTAGACAGAATCATTCACAGAAACTTCTTTTCGATGTGTGTGTTCAGCTCACAGAGTTTAACCTTTCTTTTGATGGAGCAGTTTGGAAACACTCTGTTTGTAATGTCTGCAAGTGGATATTTGGACCTCTTTGAGGCCTTCGTTGGAAACGGGATTTCTTCAAGTAATGTTCGACAGAAGAATTCTCAGTAACTTATTTGTGGTGTGTGTATTCAACTCACAGAGTTGAACCTTCCTTTAGACAGAGCAGATTTGAAACACCCTATTTGTGCAGTTTCCAGTTGGAGATTTCAATCGCTTTGAGACCAAATGTAGAAAAGGAAACATCTTCGTATAAAAACTAGACAGAATCATTCTCAGAAACTACTTTGTGATGTGTGCGTTCAACTCAAGGAGTTTAAGCTTTCTTTTCATAGAGTAGTTTGGAAACACTCTGTCTGTAAAGTCTGCAAGCAGATATTTGGACCTCTTTGAGGCCTTCGTTGGAAACGGGATTTCTTCATAGAACGGTAGAAAGAAGAATACTGAGTAAGTTCTTTGTGTTGCCTCTATTCAACTCACAGAGATGAACTGTCCTTTAGACAGAGCAGATGTGAAACCCTCTTTTTGTGATATTTGCACGTGGAGATTTCAAGCGCTTTTAGGCCAAATGTAGAAAAGGAAATATCTTCGTATAAAAACTAGACAGAATCATTCTCAGAAACTACTTTGTGATGTGTGCGTTCAATTCACAGAGTATAACCTTTCTTTTGATGGAGGAGTTTGGAGACACTGTCTTTGTAAAGTCTGCAAGTGGATATTTGGACCTCTTTGAGGCCTTCGTTGGAAACGGGATTTCCTCATATAATGTTACCCAGAAGAATTCTCAGTAACTTATTTGTGGTGTGTGTATTCAACTCACAGAGATGAACCTTCCTTCAGAAAGAGCAGATTTGAAACACTCTTTTTGTGGAGTTTCCATGTGGAGATTTCAATCGCTTTGAGACCAAAGGTAGAAAAGGAAACATCTTCGTATAACAACTAGACAGAATCATTCACAGAAACTACTTTGTGATGTGTGTGTTCAACTCAAGGAGTTTAACCTTTCTTTTGATGGAGCAGTTTGGAAACACTCTGTCTGTAAAGTCTGCAAGCAGATATTTGGACCTCTTTGAGGCCTTCGTTGGAAACGGGATTTCTTCATATAATGTTTGATAGGAGAAGTCTCAGTAACTTCTTTGTGCTGTGTGTATTCAACTCATAGAGTTGAACTTTCCTTTAGAAGAGCAGATGTTAAACACCCTTTTTGTGGAATTTGCAGCTGGAGATTTCAAGCGCTTTGAGGCCTACGGTAGAAAAGGAAACATCTTCTTATAAAATCTAGACAGAATCATTCACAGAAACTTCTTTTTGATGTGTGTGTTCAGCTCACAGAGTTTAACCTTTCCTTTGATGGAGCAGTTTGGAAACACTCTGTTTGTAATGTCTGCAAGTGGATATTTGGACCTCTTTGAGGCCTTCGTTGGAAACGGGATTTCTTCAAGTAATGTTCGACAGAAGAATTCTCAGTAACTTATTTGTGGTGTGTGTATTCAACTCACAGAGTTGAACCTTCCTTTAGACAGAGCAGATTTGAAACACCCTATTTGTGCAGTTCCCAGTTGCAGATTTCAATCGCTTTGAGACCAAATGTAGAAAAGGAAACATCTTCGTATAAAAACTAGACAGAATCATTCTCAGAAACTACTTTGTGATGTGTGCCTTCAACTCAAGGAGTTTAAGCTTTCTCTTCATACAGTAGTTTGGAAACACTCTGTCTGTAAAGTCTGCAAGCAGATATTTGGACCTCTTAGGGGCCTTCGTTGGAAACGGGATTTCTTCATAGAACGCTAGAAAGAAGAATACTGAGTAAGTTCTTTGTGTTGCCTCTATTCAACTCACAGAGGTGAACTGTCCTTTAGACAGAGCAGATGTGAAACCCTCTTTTTGTGATATTTGCAGGTGGAGATTTCAAGCGCTTTTAGGCCAAATGTAGAAAAGGAAATATCTTCGTATAAAAACTAGACAGAATCATTCTCAGAAACTACTTTGTGATGTGTGCGTTCAATTCACAGAGTATAACCTTTCTTTTGATGGAGGAGTTTGGAGACACTGTCTTTGTAAAGTCTGCAAGTGGATATTTGGACCTCTTTGAGGCCTTCGTTGGAAACGGGATTTCCTCATATAATGTTACCCAGAAGAATTCTCAGTAACTTATTTGTGGTGTGTGTATTCAACTCACAGATTTGAACCTTCCTTCAGAAAGAGCAGATTTGAAACACTCTTTTTGTGGAGTTTCCATGTGGAGATTTCAATCACTTTGAGACCAAAGGTAGAAAAGGAAACATCTTCGTATAAAAACTAGACAGAATCATTCACAGAAACTACTTTGTGATGTGTGTGTTCAACTCAAGGAGTTTAACCTTTCTTTTGATGGAGCAGTTTGGAAACACTCTGTCTGTAAAGTCTGCAAGCAGATATTTGGACCTCTTTGAGGCCTTCGTTGGAAACGGGATTTCTTCATATAATGTTTGATAGGAGAAGTCTCAGTAACTTCTTTGTGCTGTGTGTATTCAACTCATAGAGTTGAACTTTCCTTTAGAAGAGCAGATGTTAAACACCCTTTTTGTGGAATTTGCAGCTGGAGATTTCAAGCGCTTTGAGGCCTACGGTAGAAAAGGAAACATCTTCTTATAAAATCTAGACAGAATCATTCACAGAAGCTTCTTTTTCATGTGTGTGTTCAGCTCACCGAGTTTAACCTTTCTTTTGATGGAGCAGTTTGCAAACCCTCTGTTTATAATGTCTGCAAGTGGATATTTGGACCTCTTTGAGGCCTTCCTTGGAAACGGGATTTCTTCATGTAATGTTCGACAGAAGAATTCTCAGTAACTTATTTGTGGTGTGTGTATTCAACTCACAGAGTTGAACCTTCCTTTAGACAGAGCAGATTTGAAACACCCTATTTGTGCAGTTTCCAGTTGGAGATTTCAATCGCTTTGAGACCAAATGTAGAAAAGGAAACATCTTCGTATAAAAACTAGACAGAATCATTCTCAGAAACTACTTTGTGATGTGTGCGTTCAACTCAAGGAGTTTAAGCTTTCTTTTCATAGAGTAGTTTGGAAACACTCTGTCTGTAAAGTCTGCAAGCAGATATTTGGACCTCTTTGGGGCCTTCGTTGGAAACGGGATTTCTTCATAGAACGCTAGAAAGAAGAATACTGAGTAAGTTCTTTGTGTTGCCTCTATTCAACTCACAGAGGTGAACTGTCCTTTAGACAGAGCAGATGTGAAACCCTCTTTTTGTGATATTTGCAGGTGGAGATTTCAAGCGCTTTGAGGCCAAATGTAGAAAAGGAAATATCTTCGTATAAAAACTAGACAGAATCGTTCTCAGAAACTACTTTGTGATGTGTGCGTTCAATTCACAGAGTATAACCTTTCTTTTGATGGAGGAGTTTGGAGACACTGTCTTTGTAAAGTCTGCAAGTGGATATTTGGACCTCTTTGAGGCCTTTGTTGGAAACGGGATTTCCTCATATAATGTTACACAGAAGAATTCTCAGTAACTTATTTGTGGTGTGTGTATTCAACTCACAGAGTTGAAACTTCCTTCAGAAAGAGCAGATTTGAAACACTCTTTTTGTGGAGTTTCCATGTGGAGATTTCAGTCGCTTTGAGACCAAAGGTAGAAAAGGAAACATCTTCGTATAAAAACTAGACAGAATCATTCACAGAAACTACTTTGTGATGTGTGTGTTCAACTCAAGGAGTTTAACCTTTCTTTTGATGGAGCAGTTTGGAAACACTCTGTCTGTAAAGTCTGCAAGTAGATATTTGGACCTCTTTGAGGCCTTCGTTGGAAACGGGATTTCTTCATATAATGTTTGATAGGAGAAATCTCAGTAACTTCTTTGTGCTGTGTGTATTCAACTCATAGAGTTGAACTTTCCTTTAGAAGAGCAGATGTTAAACACCCTTTTTGTGGAATTTGCAGCTGGAGATTTCAAGCGCTTTGAGGCCTACGGTAGAAAAGGAAACATCTTATAAAATCTAGGCAGAATCATTCACAGAAACTTCTTTTTGATGTGTGTGTTCAGCTCACAGAGTTTAACCTTTCTTTTGATGGAGCAGTTTGGAAACACTCTGTAATGTCTGCAAGTGGATATTTGGACCTCTTTGAGGCCTTCGTTGGAAACGGGATTTCTTCATGTAATGTTCGACAGAAGAATTTTCAGTAACTTATATGTGGTGTGTGTATTCAACTCACAGGGTTGAACCTTCCTTTAGACAGAGCAGATTTGAAACACCCTATTTGTGCAGTTTCCAGTTGGAGATTTCAATCGCTTTGAGACCAAATGTAGAAAAGGAAACATCTTCGTATAAAAATTAGACAGAATCATTCTCAGAAACTACTTTGTGATGTGTGCGTTCAACTCAAGGAGTTTAAGCTTTCTTTTCATAGAGTAGTTTGGAAACACTCTGTAAAGTCTGCAAGCAGATATTTGGACCTCCTTGAGGCCTTCGTTGGAAACGGGATTTCTTCATAGAACGCTAGAAAGAAGAATACTGAGTAAGTTCTTTGTGTTGCCTCTATTCAACTCACAGAGGTGAACTGTCCTTTTGACAGAGCAGATCTGAAACCCTCTTTTTGTGATATTTGCAGGTGGAGATTTCAAGCGCTTTTAGGCCAAATGTAGAAAAGGAAATATCTTCGTGTAAAAACTAGACAGAATCATTCTCAGAAACTACTTTGTGATGTGTGCGTTCAATTCACAGAGTATAACCTTTCTTTTGATGGAGGAGTTTGGAGACACTGTCTTTGTAAAGTCTGCAAGTGGATATTTGGACCTCTTTGAGGCCTTCGTTGGAAACGGGATTTCCTCATATAATGTTACACAGAAGAATTCTCAGTAACTTATTTGTGGTGTGTGTATTCAACTCACAGAGTTGAACCTTCCTTCAGAAAGAGCAGATTTGAAACACTCTTTTTGTGGAGTTTCCATGTGGAGATTTCAATCGCTTAGAGACCAAAGGTAGAAAAGGAAACATCTTCGTATAAAAACTAGACAGAATCATTCACAGAAACTACTTTGTGATGTGTGTGTTCAACTCAAGGAGTTTAACCTTTCTTTTGATGGAGCAGTTTGGAAACACTCTGTCTGTAAAGTCTGCAAGCAGATATTTGGACCTCTTTGAGGCCTTCGTTGGAAACGGGATTTCTTCATATAATGTTTGATAGGAGAAGTCTCAGTAACTTCTTTGTGCTGTGTGTATTCAACTCGTAGAGTTGAACTTTCCTTTAGAAGGGCAGATGTTAAACACCATTTTTGTGGAATTTGCAGCTGGAGATTTCAAGCGCTTTGAGGCCTACGGTAGAAAAGGAAACATCTTCTTATAAAATCTAGACAGAATCATTCACAGAAACGTCTTTTTGATGTGTGTGTTCAGCTCACAGAGTTTAACCTTTCTTTTGATGGAGCAGTTGGGAAACACACTGTTTGTAATGTCCGCAAGTGGATATTTGGACCTCTTTGAGGCCTTCGTTGGAAACGGGAATTCTTCCTGTAATGTTCGACAGAAGAATTCTCAGTAACTTATTTGTGGTGTGTGTATTCAACTCACAGAGCTGAACCTTCCTTTAGACAGAGCAGATTTGAAACAGCCTATTTGTGCAGTTTCCAGTTGGAGATTTCAATCGCTTTGAGACCAAATGTAGAAAAGGAAACATCTTCGTATAAAAACTAGACAGAATCATTCTCAGAAACTACTTTGTGATGTGTGCGTTCAACTCAAGGAGTTTAAGCTTTCTTTTCATAGAGTAGTTTGGAAACACTCTGTCTGTAAAGTCTGCAAGCAGATATTTGACCTCTTTGAGGCCTTCGTTGGAAACGGGATTTCTTCATAGAATGCTAGAAAGAAGAATACTGAGTAAGTTCTTTGTGTTGCCTCTATTCAACTCACAGAGGTGAACTGTCCTTTAGACAGAGCAGATGTGAAACCCTCTTTTTGTGATATTTGCAGGTGGAGATTTCAAGCGCTTTTAGGCCAAATGTAGAAAAGGAAATATCTTCGTATAAAAACTAGACAGAATCATTCTCAGAAACTACTTTGTGATGTGTGCGTTCAATTCACAGAGTATAACCTTTCTTTTGATGGAGGAGTTTGGAGACACTGTCTTTGTAAAGTCTGCAAGTGGATATTTGGACCTCTTTGAGGCCTTCGTTGGAAACGGGATTTCCTCATATAATGTTACCCAGAAGAATTCTCAGTAACTTATTTGTGGTGTGTGTATTCAACTCACAGAGTTGAACCTTCCTTCAGAAAGAGCAGATTTGAAACACTCTTTTTGTGGAGTTTCCATGTGGAGATTTCAATCGCTTTGAGACCAAAGGTAGAAAAGGAAACATCTTCGTATAAAAACTAGACAGAATCATTCACAGAAACTACTTTGTGATGTGTGTGTTCAACTCAAGGAGTTTAACCTTTCTTTTGATGGAGCAGTTTGGAAACACTCTGTCTGTAAAGTCTGCAAGCAGATATTTGGACCTCTTTGAGGCCTTCGTTGGAAACGGGATTTCTTCATATAATGTTTGATAGGAGAAGTCTCAGTAACTTCTTTGTGCTGTGTGTATTCAACTCATAGAGTTGAACTTTCCTTTAGAAGAGCAGATGTTAAACACCCTTTTTGTGGAATTTGCAGCTGGAGATTTCAAGCGCTTTGAGGCCTACGGTAGAAAAGGAAACATCTTCTTATAAAATCTAGACAGAATCATTCACAGAAACTTCTTTTTGATGTGTGTGTTCAGCTCACAGAGTTTAACCTTTCTTTTGATGGAGCAGTTTGGAAACACTCTGTTTGTAATGTCTGCAAGTGGATATTTGGACCTCTTTGAGGCCTTCGTTGGAAACGGGATTTCTTCAAGTAATGTTCGACAGAAGAATTCTCAGTAACTTATTTGTGGTGTGTGTATTCAACTCACAGAGTTGAACCTTCCTTTAGACAGAGCAGATTTGAAACACCCTATTTGTGCAGTTTCCAGTTGGAGATTTCAATCGCTTTGAGACCAAATGTAGAAAAGGAAACATCTTCGTATAAAAACTAGACAGAATCATTCTCAGAAACTACTTTGTGATGTGTGCGTTCAACTCAAGGAGTTTAAGCTTTCTTTTCATAGAGTAGTTTGGAAACACTCTGTCTGTAAAGTCTGCAAGCAGATATTTGGACCTCATTGGGGCCTTCGTTGGAAACGGGATTTCTTCATAGAACGCTAGAAAGAAGAATACTGAGTAAGTTCTTTGTGTTGCCTCTATTCAACTCACAGAGGTGAACTGTCCTTTAGACAGAGCAGATGTGAAACCCTCTTTTTGTGATATTTGCAGGTGGAGATTTCAAGCGCTTTTAGGCCAAATGTAGAAAAGGAAATATCTTCGTATAAAAACTAGACAGAATCATTCTCAGAAACTACTTTGTGATGTGTGCGTTCAATTCACAGAGTATAACCTTTCTTTTGATGGAGGAGTTTGGAGACACTGTCTTTGTAAAGTCTGCAAGTGGATATTTGGACCTCTTTGAGGCCTTCGTTGGAAACGGGATTTCCTCATATAATGTTACACAGAAGAATTCTCAGTAACTTATTTGTGGTGTGTGTATTCAACTCACAGAGATGAACCTTCCTTCAGAAAGAGCAGATTTGAAACACTCTTTTTGTGGAGTTTCCATGTGGAGATTTCAATCGCTTTGAGACCAAAGGTAGAAAAGGAAACATCTTCGTATAACAACTAGACAGAATCATTCACAGAAACTACTTTGTGATGTGTGTGTTCAACTCAAGGAGTTTAACCTTTCTTTTGATGGAGCAGTTTGGAAACACTCTGTCTGTAAAGTCTGCAAGCAGATATTTGGACCTCTTTGAGGCCTTCGTTGGAAACGGGATTTCTTCATATAATGTTTGATAGGAGAAGTCTCAGTAACTTCTTTGTGCTGTGTGTATTCAACTCATAGAGTTGAACTTTCCTTTAGAAGAGCAGATGTTAAACACCCTTTTTGTGGAATTTGCAGCTGGAGATTTCAAGCGCTTTGAGGCCTCCGGTAGAAAAGGAAACATCTTCTTATAAAATCTAGACAGAATCATTCACAGAAACTTCTTTTTGATGTGTGTGTTCAGCTAACAGAGTTTAACCTTTCTTTTGATGGAGCAGTTGGGAAACACACTGTTTGTAATGTCTGCAAGTGGATATTTGGACCTCTTTGAGGCCTTCGTTGGAAACGGGATTTCTTCCTGTAATGTTCGACAGAAGAATTCTCAGTAACTTGTTTGTGGTTTGTGTATTCAACTCACAGAGTTGAACCTTCCTTTAGACAGAGCAGATTTGAAACACCCTATTTGTGCAGTTTCCAGTTGGAGATTTCAATCGCTTTGAGACCAAATGTAGAAAAGGAAACATCTTCGTATAAAAACTAGACAGAATCATTCTCAGAAACTACTTTGTGATGTGTGCGTTCAACTCAAGGAGTTTAAGCTTTCTTTTCATAGAGTAGTTTGGAAACACTCTGTCTGTAAAGTCTGCAAGCAGATATTTGGACCTCATTGGGGTCTTCGTTGGAAACGGGATTTCTTCATAGAACGCTAGAAAGAAGAATACTGAGTAAGTTCTTTGTGTTGCCTCTATTCAACTCACAGAGGTGAACTGTCCTTTAGACAGAGCAGATGTGAAACCCTCTTTTTGTGATATTTGCAGGTGGAGATTTCAAGCGCTTTTAGGCCAAATGTAGAAAAGGAAATATCTTCGTATAAAAACTAGACAGAATCATTCTCAGAAACTACTTTGTGATGTGTGCGTTCAATTCACAGAGTATAACCTTTCTTTTGATGGAGGAGTTTGGAGACACTGTCTTTGTAAAGTCTGCAAGTGGATATTTGGACCTCTTTGAGGCCTTCGTTGGAAACGGGATTTCCTCATATAATGTTACACAGAAGAATTCTCAGTAACTTATTTGTGGTGTGTGTATTCAACTCACAGAGTTGAACCTTCCTTCAGAAAGAGCAGATTTGAAACACTCTTTTTGTGGAGTTTCCATGTGGAGATTTCAATCGCTTTGAGACCAAAGGTAGAAAAGGAAACATCTTCGTATAAAAACTAGACAGAATCATTCACAGAAACTACTTTGTGATGTGTGTGTTCAACTCAAGGAGTTTAACCTTTCTTTTGATGGAGCAGTTTGGAAATACTCTGTCTGTAAAGTCTGCAAGCAGATATTTGGACCTCTTTGAGGCCTTCGTTGGAAACGGGATTTCTTCATATAATGTTTGATAGGAGAAGTCTCAGTAACTTCTTTGTGCTGTGTGTATTCAACTCACAGAGTTGAACTTTCCTTTAGAAGAGCAGATGTTAAACACCCTTTTTGTGGAATTTGCAGCTGGAGATTTCAAGCGCTTTGAGGCCTACGGTAGAAAAGGAAACATCTTCTTATAAAATCTAGACAGAATCATTCACAGAAACTTCTTTTTGATGTGTGTGTTCAGCTCACAGAGTTTAACCTTTCTTTTGATGGAGCAGTTGGGAAACACACTGTTTGTAATGTCTGCAAGTGGATATTTGGACCTCTTTGAGGCCTTCGTTGGAAACGGGATTTCTTCCTGTAATGTTCGACAGAAGAATTCTCAGTAACTTATTTGTGGTGTGTGTATTCAACTCACAGAGTTGAACCTTCCTTTAGACAGAGCAGATTTGAAACAGCCTATTTGTGCAGTTTCCAGTTGGAGATTTCAATCGCTTTGAGACCAAATGTAGAAAGGGAAACATCTTCGTATAAAAACTAGACAGAATCATTCTCAGAAACTACTTTGTGATGTGTGCGTTCAACTCAAGGAGTTTACGCTTTCTTTTGATGGAGCAGTTTGGAAACACTCTGTCTGTAAAGTCTGCAAGCAGATATTTGGACCTCTTTGGGGCCTTCGTTGGAAACGGGATTTCTTCATAGAATGCAAGAAAGAAGAATACTGAGTAAGTTCTTTGTGTTGCCTCTATTCAACTCACAGAGGTGAACTGTCCTTTAGACAGAGCAGATGTGAAACCCACTTTTTGTGATATTTGCAGGTGGAGATTTCAAGCGCTTTTAGGCCAAATGTAGAAAAGGAAATATCTTCGTATGAAAACTAGACAGAATCATTCTCAGAAACTACTTTGTGATGTGTGCGTTCAATTCACAGAGTATAACCTTTCTTTTGATGGGAGGAGTTTGGAGACACTGTCTTTGTAAAGTCTGCAAGTGGATATTTGGATCTCTTTGAGGCCTTCGTTGGAAACGGGATTTCCTCATATAATGTTACACAGAAGAATTCTCACTAACTTATTTGTGGTGTGTGTATTCAACTCACAGAGATGAACCTTCCTTCAGAAAGAGCAGATTTGAAACACTCTTTTTGTGGAGTTTCCATGTGGAGATTTCAATCGCTTTGAGACCAAAGGTAGAAAAGGAAACATCTTCGTATAACAACTAGACAGAATCATTCACAGAAACTACTTTGTGATGTGTGTGTTCAACTCAAGGAGTTTAACCTTTCTTTTGATGGAGCAGTTTGGAAACACTCTGTCTGTAAAGTCTGCAAGCAGATATTTGGACCTCTTTGAGGCCTTCGTTGGAAACGGGATTTCTTCATATAATGTTTGATAGGAGAAGTCTCAGTAACTTCTTTGTGCTGTGTGTATTCAACTCATAGAGTTGAACTTTCCTTTAGAAGAGCAGATGTTAAACACCCTTTTTGTGGAATTTGCAGCTGGAGATTTCAAGCGCTTTGAGGCCTACGGTAGAAAAGGAAACATCTTCTTATAAAATCTAGACAGAATCATTCACAGAAACTTCTCTTTTGATGTGTGTGTTCAGCTCACAGAGTTTAACCTTTCTTTTGATGGAGCACATTTGGAAACACACTGTTTGTAATGTCTGCAAGTGGATATTTGGACCTCTTTGAGGCCTTCGTGGGAAACGGGATTTCTTCATGTAATGTTCGACAGAAGAATTCTCAGTAACTTATTTGTGGTGTGTGTATTCAACTCACAGATTTGAACCTTCCTTTAGACAGAGCAGATTTGAAACACCCTGTTTGTGCAGTTTCCAGTTGCAGATTTCAATCGCTTTGAAGCCAATCGTAGAAACGGAAATATCTTCGTATAAAAACAAGACAGAATCATTCTCAGAAGCTACTTTGTGATGTGTGCGTTCAACTCACGGAGTTTAAGCTTTCTTTTCATAGAGTAGTTTGGAAACACTCTGTCTGTAATGTCTGCAAGCAGATATTTGGACCTATTTGAGGCCTTCGTTGGAAACGGGATTTCTTCATATAACGCTAGAAAGAAGAATACTGAGTAAGTTCTTTGTGTTGCCTCTATTCAACTCACAGAGGTGAACTGTCCTTTAGACAGAGCAGATGTGAAACCCTCTTTTTGTGATATTTGCAGGTGGAGATTTCAAGCGCTTTTAGGCCAAATGTAGAAAAGGAAATATCTTCGTATAAAAACTAGACAGAATCATTCTCAGAAACTACTTTGTGATGTGTGCGTTCAATTCACAGAGTATAACCTTTCTTTTGATGGAGGAGTTTGGAGACACTGTCTTTGTAAAGTCTGCAAGTGGATATTTGGACCTCTTTGAGGCCTTCGTTGGAAACGGGATTTCCTCATATAATTTTACACAGAAGAATTCCCAGTAACTTATTTGTGGTGCGTGTATTCAACTCACAGAGTTGAACCTTCCTTCAGAAACAGCAGATTTGAAGCACTCTTTTTGTGGAGTTTCCATGTGGAGATTTCAATCGCTTTGAGACCAAAGCTAGAAAAGGAAACATCTTCGTATAAAAACTAGACAGAATCATTCACAGAAACTACTTTGTGATGTGTGTGTTCAACTCAAGGAGTTTAACCTTTCTTTTGATGGAGCAGTTTGGAAACACTCTCTGTAAAGTCTGCAAGCAGATATTTGGACCTCTTTGAGGCCTTCGTTGGAAACGGGATTTCTTCATATAATGTTTGATAGGAGAAGTCTCAGTAACTTCTTTGTGCTGTGTGTATTCAACTCATAGAGTTGAACTTTCCTTTAGAAGAGCAGATGTTAAACACCCTTTTTGTGGAATTTGCAGCTGGAGATTTCAAGCGCTTTGAGGCCTACGGTAGAAAAGGAAACATCTTCTTATAAAATCTAGACAGAATCATTCACAGAAACTTCTTTTTGATGTGTGTGTTCAGCTCACAGAGTTTAACCTTTCTTTTGATGGAGCAGTTGGGAAACACACTGTTTGTAATGTCTGCAAGTGGATATTTGGACCTCTTTGAGGCCTTCGTTGGAAACGGGATTTCTTCCTGTAATGTTCGACAGAAGAATTCTCAGTAACTTATTTGTGGTGTGTGTATTCAACTCACAGAGTTGAACCTTCCTTTAGACAGAGCAGATTTGAAACACCCTATTTGTGCAGTTTCCAGTTGGAGATTTCAATCGCTTTGAGACCAAATGTAGAAAAGGAAACATCTTCGTATAAAAACTAGACAGAATCATTCTCAGAAACTACTTTGTGATGTGTGCGTTCAACTCAAGGAGTTTAAGCTTTCTTTTCATAGAGTAGTTTGGAAACACTCTGTCTGTAAAGTCTGCAAGCAGATATTTGACCTCTTTGAGGCCTTCGTTGGAAACGGGATTTCTTCATAGAACGCTAGAAAGAAGAATACTGAGTAAGTTCTTTGTGTTGCCTCTATTCAACTCACAGAGGTGAACTGTCCTTTAGACAGAGCAGATGTGAAACCCTCTTTTTGTGATATTTGCAGGTGGAGATTTCAAGCGCTTTTAGGCCAAATGTAGAAAAGGAAATATCTTCGTATAAAAACTAGACAGAATCATTCTCAGAAACTACTTTGTGATGTGTGTGTTCAATTCACAGAGTATAACCTTTCTTTTGATGGAGGAGTTTGGAGACACTGTCTTTGTAAAGTCTGCAAGTGGATATTTGGACCTCTTTGAGGCCTTCGTTGGAAACGGGATTTCCTCATATAATGTTACACAGAAGAATTCTCAGTAACTTATTTGTGGTGTGTGTATTCAACTCACAGAGTTGAACCTTCCTTCAGAAAGAGCAGATTTGAAACACTCTTTTTGTGGAGTTTCCATGTGGAGATTTCAATCGCATTGAGACCAAAGGTAGAAAAGGAAACATCTTCGTATAAAAACTAGACAGAATCATTCACAGAAACTACTTTGTGATGTGTGTGTTCAACTCAAGGAGTTTAACCTTTCTTTTGATGGAGCAGTTTGGAAATACTCTGTCTGTAAAGTCTGCAAGCAGATATTTGGACCTCTTTGAGGCCTTCGTTGGAAACGGGATTTCTTCATATAATGTTTGATAGGAGAAGTCTCAGTAACTTCTTTGTGCTGTGTGTATTCAAGTCATAGAGTTGAACTTTCCTTTAGAAGAGCAGATGTTAAACACCCTTTTTGTGGAATTTGCAGCTGGAGATTTCAAGCGCTTTGAGGCCTACGGTAGAAAAGGAAACATCTTCTTATAAAATCTAGACAGAATCATTCACAGAAACTTCTTTTTGATGAGTGTGTTCAGCTCACAGAGTTTAACCTTTCTTTTGATGGAGCAGTTTGGAAACACTCTGTTTGTAATGTCTGCAAGTGGATATTTGGACCTCTTTGAGGCCTTCGTTGGAAACGGGATTTCTTCATGTAATGTTCGACAGAAGAATTCTCAGTAACTTATTTGTGGTGTGTGTATTCAACTCACAGAGTTGAACCTTCCTTTAGACAGAGCAGATTTGAAACACCCTATTTGTGCAGTTTCCAGTTGGAGATTTCAATCGCTTTGAGACCAAATGTAGAAAAGGAAACATCTTCGTATAAAAACTAGACAGAATCATTCTCCGAAACTACTTTGTGATGTGTGCGTTCAACTCAAGGAGTTTAAGCTTTCTTTTCATAGAGTAGTTTGGAAACACTCTGTCTGTAAAGTCTGCAAGCAGATATTTGGACCTCTTTGGGGCCTTCGTTGGAAACGGGATTTCTTCATAGAACGCTAGAAAGAAGAATACTGAGTAAGTTCTTTGTGTTGCCTCTATTCAACTCACAGAGGTGAACTGTCCTTTAGACAGAGCAGATGTGAAACCCTCTTTTTGTGATATTTGCAGGTGGAGATTTCAAGCGCTTTTAGGCCAAATGTAGAAAAGGAAATATCTTCGTATAAAAACTAGACAGAATCATTCTCAGAAACTACTTTGTGATGTGTGCGTTCAATTCACAGAGTATAACCTTTCTTTTGATGGAGGAGTTTGGAGACACTGTCTTTGTAAAGTCTGCAAGTGGATATTTGGACCTCTTTGAGGCCTTCGTTGGAAACGGGATTTCCTCATATAATGTTACACAGAAGAATTCTCAGTAACTTATTTGTGGTGTGTGTATTCAACTCACAGAGTTGAACCTTCCTTCAGAAAGAGCAGATTTGAAACACTCTTTTTGTGGAGTTTCCATGTGGAGATTTCAATCGCTTTCAGACCAAAGGTAGAAAAGGAAACATCTTCGTATAAAAACTAGACAGAATCATTCACAGAAACTACTTTGTGATGTGTGTGTTCAACTCAAGGAGTTTAACCTTTCTTTTGATGGAGCAGTTTGGAAACACTCTGTCTGTAAAGTCTGCAAGCAGATATTTGGACCTCTTTGAGGCCTTCGTTGGAAACGGGATTTCTTCATATAATGTTTGATAGGAGAAGTCTCAGTAACTTCTTTGTGCTGTGTGTATTCAACTCATAGAGTTGAACTTTCCTTTAGAAGAGCAGATGTTAAACACCCTTTTTGTGGAATTTGCAGCTGGAGATTTCAAGCGCTTTGAGGCCTACGGTAGAAAAGGAAACATCTTCTTATAAAATCTAGACAGAATCATTCACAGAAACTTCTTTTTGATGTGTGTGTTCAGCTCACAGAGTTTAACCTTTCTTTTGATGGAGCAGTTTGGAAACACTCTGTTTGTAATGTCTGCAAGTGGATATTTGGACCTCTTTGAGGCCTTCGTTGGAAACGGGATTTCTTCCTGTAATGTTCGACAGAAGAATTCTCAGTAACTTATTTGTGGTGTGTGTATTCAACTCACAGAGTTGAAACTTCCTTTAGACAGAGCAGAGTTGAAACACCCTGTTTGTGCAGCTTCCTGTTGGAGATTTCAATGGCTTTGAGGCCAATCATAGAAACGGAAATATCTTCGTATAAAAACAAGACAGAATCATTCTCAGAAACTACTTTGTGATGTGTGCGTTCAACTCAAGGAGTTTAAGCTTTCTTTTCATAGAGTAGTTTGGAAACACTCTGTCTGTAAAGTCTGCAAGCAGATATTTGGACCTCTTTGAGGCCTTCGTTGGAAACGGGATTTCTTCATAGAACGCTAGAAAGAAGAATACTGAGTACGTTCTTTGTGTTGCCTCTATTCAACTCACAGAGGTGAACTGTCCTTTAGACAGAGCAGATGTGAAACCCTCTTTTTGTGATATTTGCAGGTGGAGATTTCAAGCGCTTTTAGGCCAAATGTAGAAAAGGAAATATCTTCGTATAAAAACTAGACAGAATCGTTCTCAGAAACTACTTTGTGATGTGTGCGTTCAATTCACAGAGTATAACCTTTCTTTTGATGGAGGAGTTTGGAGACACTGTCTTTGTAAAGTCTGCAAGTGGATATTTGGACCTCTTTGAGGCCTTCATTGGAAACGGGATTTCCTCATATAATGTTACACAGAAGAATTCTCAGTAACTTATTTGTGGTGTGTGTATTCAACTCACAGAGTTGAACCTTCCTTCAGAAAGAGCAGATTTGAAACACTCTTTTTGTGGAGTTTCCATGTGGAGATTTCAATCGCTTTGAGACCAAAGGTAGAAAAGGAAACATCTTCGTATAAAAACTAGACAGAATCATTCACAGAAACTACTTTGTGATGTGTGTGTTCAACTCAAGGAGTTTAACCTTTCTTTTGATGGAGCAGTTTGGAAAAACTCTGTCTGTAAAGTCTGCAAGCAGATATTTGGACCTCTTTGAGGCCTTCGTTGGAAACGGGATTTCTTCATATAATGTTTGATAGGAGAAGTCTCAGTAACTTCTTTGTGCTGTGAGTATTCAACTCATAGAGTTGAACTTTCTTTTAGAAGAGCAGATGTTAAACACCCTTTTTGTGGAATTTGCAGCTGGAGATTTCAAGCGCTTTGAGGCCTACAGTAGAAAAGGAAACATCTTCTTATAAAATCTAGACAGAATCATTCACAGAAACTTCTTTTTGATGTGTGTGTTCAGCTCACAGAGTTTAACCTTTCTTTTGATGGAGCAGTTTGGAAACACTCTGTTTGTAATATCTGCAAGTGGATATTTGGACCTCTTTGAGGCCTTCGTTGGAAACGGGATTTCTTCAAGTAATGTTCGACAGAAGAATTCTCAGTAACTTATTTGTGGTGTGTGTATTCAACTCACAGAGTTGAACCTTCCTTTAGACAGAGCAGATTTGAAACACCCTATTTGTGCAGTTTCCAGTTGGAGATTTCAATCGCTTTGAGACCAAATGTAGAAAAGGAAACATCTTCGTATAAAAACTAGACAGAATCATTCTCAGAAACTACTTTGTGATGTGTGCGTTCAACTCAAGGAGTTTAAGCTTTCTTTTCATAGAGTAGTTTGGAAACACTCTGTCTGTAAAGTCTGCAAGCAGATATTTGGACCTCTTTGAGGCCTTCGTTGGAAACGGGATTTCTTCATAGAACGCTAGAAAGAAGAATACTGAGTAAGTTCTTTGTGTTGCCTCTATTCAACTCACAGAGGTGAACTGTCCTTCAGACAGAGCAGATGTGAAACCCTCTTTTTGTGATATTTGCAGGTGGAGATTTCAAGCGCTTTTAGGCCAAATGTAGAAAAGGAAATATCTTCGTATAAAAACTAGACAGAATCTTTCTCAGAAACTACTTTGTGATGTGTGCGTTCAATTCACACAGTATAACCTTTCTTTTGATGGAGGAGTTTGGAGACACTGTCTTTGTAAAGTCTGCAAGTGGATATTTGGACCTGTTTCAGGCCTTCGTTGGAAACGGGATTTCCTCACATAATGTTACACAGAAGAATTCTCAGTAACTTATTTGTGGTGTGTGTATTCAATTCACAGAGTTGAACCTTCCTTCAGAAAGAGCAGATTTGAAACACTCTTTTTGTGGAGTTTCCATGTGGAGATTTCAATCGCTTTGAGACCAAAGGTAGAAAAGGAAACATCTTCGTATAAAAACTAGACAGAATCATTCACAGAAACTACTTTGTGATGTGTGTGTTCAACTCACAGAGTTTAACCTTTCTTTTGATGGAGCAGTTTGGAAACACTCTGTTTGTCACGTCTGCAAGTGGATATTTGGACCTCTTTGAGGCCTTCGTTGGAAACGGGATTTCTTCATATAATGTTTGATAGGAGAAGTCTCAGTAACTTCTTTGTGCTGTGTGTATTCAACTCATAGAGTTGAACTTTCCTTTAGAAGAGCAGATGTTAAACACCCTTTTTGTGGAATTTGCAGCTGGAGATTTCAAGCGCTTTGAGGCCTACGGTAGAAAAGGAAACATCTTCTTATAAAATCTAGACAGAATCATTCACAGAAACTTCTTTTTGATGTGTGTGTTCAGCTCACAGAGTTTAACCTTTCTTTTGATGGAGCAGTTTGGAAACACTCTGTAATGTCTGCAAGTGGATATTTGGACCTCTTTGAGGCCTTCGTTGGAAACGGGATTTCTTCATGTAATGTTCGACAGAAGAATTCTCAGTAACTTATTTGTGGTGTGTGTATTCAACTCACAGAGTTGACCCTTCCTTTAGACAGATCAGATTTGAAACTCCCTATTTGTGCAGTTTCCAGTTGGAGATTTCAATCGCTTTGAGACCAAATGTAGAAAAGGAAACATCTTCGTATAAAAACTAGACAGAATCATTCTCAGAAACTACTTTGTGATGTGTGCGTTCAACTCAAGGAGTTTAAGCTTTCTTTTCATAGAGTAGTTTGGAAACACTCTGTCTGTAAAGTCTGCAAGCAGATATTTGGACCTCTTTGAGGCCTTCGTTGGAAACGGGATTTCTTCATAGAACGCTAGAAAGAAGAATACTGAGTAAGTTCTTTGTGTTGCCTCTATTCAACTCACAGAGGTGAACTGTCCTTTAGACAGAGCAGATGTGAAACCCTCTTTTTGTGATATTTGCAGGTGGAGATTTCAAGCGCTTTTAGGCCAAATGTAGAAAAGGAAATATCTTCGTATAAAAACTAGACAGAATCATTCTCAGAAACTACTTTGTGATGTGTGCGTTCAATTCACAGAGTATAACCTTTCTTTTGATGGAGGAGTTTGGAGACACTGTCTTTGTAAAGTCTGCAAGTGGATATTTGGACCTCTTTGAGGCCTTCGTTGGAAACGGGATTTCCTCATATAATGTTACACAGAAGAATTCTCAGTAACTTATTTGTGGTGTGTGTATTCAACTCACAGAGTTGAACCTTCCTTCAGAAAGAGCAGATTTGAAACACTCTTTTTGTGGAGTTTCCATGTGGAGATTTCAATCGCTTTGAGACCAAAGGTAGAAAAGGAAACATCTTCGTATAAAAACTAGACAGAATCATTCACAGAAACTACTTTGTGATGTGTGTGTTCAACTCAAGGAGTTTAACCTTTCTTTTGATGGAGCAGTTTGGAAACACTCTGTCTGTAAAGTCTGCAAGCAGACATTTGGACCTCTTTGAGGCCTTCGTTGGAAACGGGATTTCTTCATATAATGTTTGATAGGAGAAGTCTCAGTAACTTCTTTGTGCTGTGTGTATTCAACTCATAGAGTTGAACTTTCCTTTAGAAGAGCAGATGTTAAACACCCTTTTTGTGGAATTTGCAGCTGGAGATTTCAAGCGCTTTGAGGCCTACGGTAGAAAAGGAAACATCTTCTTATAAAATCTAGACAGAATCATTCACAGAAACTTCTTTTTGATGTGTGTGTTCAGCTCACAGAGTTTAACCTTTCTTTTGATGGAGCAGTTGGGAAACACACTGTTTGTAATGTCCGCAAGTGGATATTTGGACCT
Source organism: Homo sapiens (assembly GCF_000001405.40). Classification (NCBI taxonomy): domain Eukaryota; kingdom Metazoa; phylum Chordata; class Mammalia; order Primates; family Hominidae; genus Homo; species Homo sapiens. Next base: position 35,157,438 of record NC_000012.12, read on the forward strand.
CTTTGAGGCCTTCGTTGGAAACGGGAATTCTTCCTGTAATGTTCGACAGAAGAATTCTCAGTAACTTATTTGTGGTGTGTGTATTCAACTCACAGAGTTGAACCTTCCTTTAGACAGAGCAGATTTGAAACAGCCTATTTGTGCAGTTTCCAGTTGGAGATTTCAATCGCTTTGAGACCAAATGTAGAAAAGGAAACATACTTCGTATAAAAACTAGACAGAATCATTCTCAGAAACTACTTTGTGATGTGTGCGTTCAACTCAAGGAGTTCAAGCTTTCTTTTCATAGAGTAGTTTGGAAACACTCTGTCTGTAAAGTCTGCAAGCAGATATTTGGACCTCTTTGGGGCCTTCGTTGGAAACGGGATTTCTTCATAGAACGCTAGAAAGAAGAATACTGAGTAAGTTCTTTGTGTTGCCTCTATTCAACTCACAGAGGTGAACTGTCCTTTAGACAGAGCAGATGTGAAACCCTCTTTTTGTGATATTTGCAGGTGGAGATTTCAAGCGCTTTTAGGCCAAATGTAGAAAAGGAAATATCTTCGTATAAAAACTAGACAGAATCATTCTCAGAAACTACTTTGTGATGTGTGCGTTCAATTCACGGAGTATAACCTTTCTTTTGATGGAGGAGTTTGGAGACACTGTCTTTGTAAAGTCTGCAAGTGGATATTTGGATCTCTTTGAGGCCTTCGTTGGAAACGGGATTTCCTCATATAATGTTACACAGAAGAATTCTCAGTAACTTATTTGTGGTGTGTGTATTCAACTCACAGAGATGAACCTTCCTTCAGAAAGAGCAGATTTGAAACACTCTTTTTGTGGAGTTTCCATGTGGAGATTTCAATAGCTTTGAGACCAAAGGTAGAAAAGGAAACATCTTCGTATAAAAACTGGACAGAATCATTCACAGAAACTACTTTGTGATGTGTGTGTTCAACTCAAGGAGTTTAACCTTTCTTTTGATGGAGCAGTTTGGAAACACTCTGTCTGTAAAGTCTGCAAGCAGATATTTGGACCTCTTTGAGGCCTTCGTTGGAAACGGGATTTCTTCATATAATGTTTGATAGGAGAAGTCTCAGTAACTTCTTTGTGCTGTGTGTATTCAACTCATAGAGTTGAACTTTCCTTTAGAAGAGCAGATGTTAAACACCCTTTTTGTGGAATTTGCAGCTGGAGATTTCAAGCGCTTTGAGGCCTACGGTAGAAAAGGAAATATCTTCTTATAAAATCTAGACAGAATCATTCACAGAAACTTCTTTTTGATGTATGTGTTCAGCTCACAGAGTTTAACCTTTCTTTTGATGGAGCAGGTTGGAAACAATCTGTTTGTAATGTCTGCAAGTGGATATTTGGACCTCTTTGAGGCCTTCGTTGGAAACGGGATTTCTTCAAGTAATGTTCGACAGAAGAATTCTCAGTAACTTATTTGTGGTGTGTGTATTCAACTCACAGAGTTGAACCTTCCTTTAGACAGAGCAGATTTGAAACAGCCTATTTGTGCAGTTTCCAGTTGGAGATTTCAATCGCTTTGAGACCAAACGTAGAAAAGGAAACATCTTCGTATAAAAACTAGACAGAATCATTCTCAGAAACTACTTTGTGATGTGTGCGTTCAACTCAAGGAGTTTAAGCTTTCTTTTCATAGAGTAGTTTGGAAACACTCTGTCTGTAAAGTCTGCAAGCAGATATTTGGACCTCTTTGGGGCCTTCGTTGGAAACGGGATTTCTTCATAGAACGCTAGAAAGAAGAATACTGAGTAAGTTCTTTGTGTTGCCTCTATTCAACTCACAGAGGTGAACTGTCCTTTAGACAGAGCAGATGTGAAACCCTCTTTTTGTGATATTTGCAGGTGGAGATTTCAAGCGCTTTTAGGCCAAATGTAGAAAAGGAAATATCTTCGTATAAAAACTAGACAGAATCATTCTCAGAAACTACTTTGTGATGTGTGCGTTCAATTCACAGAGTATAACCTTTCTTTTGATGGAGGAGTTTGGAGACACTGTCTTTGTAAAGTCTGCAAGTGGATATTTGGACCTCTTTGAGGCCTTCGTTGGAAACGGGATTTCCTCATATAATGTTACACAGAAGAATTCTCAGTAACTTATTTGTGGTGTGTGTATTCAACTCACAGAGTTGAACCTTCCTTCAGAAAGAGCAGATTTGAAACACTCTTTTTGTGGAGTTTCCATGTGGAGATTTCAATCGCTTTGAGACCAAAGGTAGAAAAGGAAACATCTTCGTATAAAAACTAGACAGAATCATTCACAGAAACTACTTTGTGATGTGTGTGTTCAACTCAAGGAGTTTAACCTTTCTTTTGATGGAGCAGTTTGGAAAAACTCTGTCTGTAAAGTCTGCAAGCAGATATTTGGACCTCTTTGAGGCCTTCGTTGGAAACGGGATTTCTTCATATAATGTTTGATAGGAGAAGTCTCAGTAACTTCTTTGTGCTGTGTGTATTCAACTCATAGAGTTGAACTTTCCTTTAGAAGAGCAGATGTTAAACACCCTTTTTGTGGAATTTGCAGCTGGAGATTTCAAGCGCTTTGAGTCCTACGGTAGAAATGGAAACATCTTATAAAATCTTGACAGAATCATTCACAGAAACTTCTTTTTGATGTGTGTGTTCAGCTCACAGAGTTTAACCTTTCTTTTGATGGAGCAGTTTGGAAACACTCTTTTTCTAATGTCTGCAAGTGGATATTTGGACCTCTTTGAGGCCTTCGTTGGAAACGGGATTTCTTCAACTAATGTTCGACAGAAGAATTCTCAGTAACTTATTTGTGGTGTGTGTATTCAACTCACAGAGTTGAACCTTCCTTTAGACAGAGCAGATTTGAAACACCCTATTTGTGCAGTTTCCAGTTGGAGATTTCAATCGCTTTGAGACCAAATGTAGAAAAGGAAACATCTTCGTATAAAAACTAGACAGAATCATTCTCAGAAACTACTTTGTGATGTGTGCGTTCAACTCAAGGAGTTTAAGCTTTCTTTTCATAGAGTAGTTTGGAAACACTCTGTCTGTAAAGTCTGCAAGCAGATATTTGGACCTCTTTAGGGCCTTCGTTGGAAACGGGATTTCTTCATATAACGCTAGAAAGAAGAATACTGAGTAAGTTCTTTGTGTTCCCTCTATTCAACTCACAGAGGTGAACTGTCCTTTAGACAGAGCAGATGTGAAACCCTCTTTTTGTGATATTTGCAGGTGGAGATTTCAAGCGCTTTTAGGCCAAATGTAGAAAAGGAAATATACTTCGTATAAAAACTAGACAGAATCATTCTCAGAAACTACTTTGTGATGTGTGCGTTCAATTCACAGAGTATAACCTTTCTTTTGATGGAGGAGTTTGGAGACACTGTCTTTGTAAAGTCTGCAAGTGGATATTTGGACCTCTTTGAGGCCTTTGTTGGAAACGGGATTTCCTCATATAATGTTACACAGGGAGAATTCTCAGTAACTTATTTGTGGTGTGTGTATTCAACTCACAGAGTTGAACCTTCCTTCAGAAAGAGCAGATTTGAAACACTCTTTTTGTGGAGTTTCCATGTGGAGATTTCAATCGCTTTGAGACCAAAGGTAGAAAAGGAAACATCTTCTTGTAAAAACTAGACAGAATCATTCACAGAAACTACTTTGTGATGTGTGTGTTCAACTCAAGGAGTTTAACCTTTCTTTTGATGGAGCAGTTTGGAAACACTCTGTCTGTAAAGTCTGCAAGCAGATATTTGGACCTCTTTGAGGCCTTCGTTGGAAACGGGATTTCTTCATATAATGTTTGATAGGAGAAGTCTCAGTAACTTCTTTGTGCTGTGTGTATTCAACTCATAGAGTTGAACTTTCCTTTAGAAGAGCAGATGTTAAACACCCTTTTTGTGGAATTTGCAGCTGGAGATTTCAAGCGCTTTGAGGCCTACGGTAGAAAAGGAAACATCTTCTTATAAAATTCTAGACAGAATCATTCACAGAAACTTCTTTTTGATGTGTGTGTTCAGCTCACAGAGTTTAACCTTTCTTTTGATGGAGCAGTTTGGAAACACTCTGTTTGTAACGTCTGCAAGTGGATATTTGGACCTCTTTGAGGCCTTCGTTGGAAACGGGATTTCTTCAAGTAATGTTCGACAGAAGAATTCTCAGTAACTTATTTGTGGTGTGTGTATTCAACTCACAGAGTTGAACCTTCCTTTAGACAGAGCAGATTTGAAACACCCTATTTGTGCAGTTTCCAGTTGGAGATTTCAATCGCTTTGAGACCAAATGTAGAAAAGGAAACATCTTCGTATAAAAACTAGACAGAATCATTCTCAGAAACTACTTTGTGATGTGTGCGTTCAACTCAAGGAGTTTACGCTTTCTTTTCATAGAGTAGTTTGGAAACACTCTGTCTGTAAAGTCTGCAAGCAGATCTTTGACCTCTTTGAGGCCTTCGTTGGAAACGGGATTTCTTCATAGAACGCTAGAAAGAAGTATACTGAGTAACTTCTTTGTGTTGCCTCTATTCAACTCACAAAGGTGAACTGTCCTTTAGACAGAGCAGATGTGAAACCCTCTTTTTGTGATATTTGCAGGTGGAGATTTCAAGCGCTTTTAGGCCAAATGTAGAAAAGGAAATATCTTCGTATAAGAACTAGACAGAATCATTCTCAGAAACTACTTTGTGATGTGTGCGTTCAATTCACAGAGTATAACCTTTCTTTTGATGGAGGAGTTTGGAGACACTGTCTTTGTAAAGTCTGCAAGTGGATATTTGGACCTCTTTGAGGCCTTCGTTGGAAACGGGATTTCCTCATATAATGTTACACAGAAGAATTCTCAGTAACTTATTTGTGGTGTGTGTATTCAACTCACAAAGATGAACCTTCCTTCAGAAAGAGCAGATTTGAAACACTCTTTTTGTGGAGTTTCCATGTGGAGATTTCAATCGCTTTGAGACCAAAGGTAGAAAAGGAAACATCTTCGTATAAAAACTAGACAGAATCATTCACAGAAACTACTTTGTGATGTGTGTGTTCAACTCAGGAGGTTAACCTTTCTTTTGATGGAGCAGTTTGGAAACACTCTGTCTGTAAAGTCTGCAAGCAGATATTTGGACCTCTTTGAGGCCTTCGTTGGAAATGGGATTTTTTCATATAATGTTTGATAGGAGAAGTCTCAGTAACTTCTTTCTGCTGTGTGTATTCAACTCATAGAGTTGAACTTTCCTTTAGTAGAGCAGATGTTAAACACCCTTTTTGTGGAATTTGCAGCTGGAGATTTCAAGCGCTTTGAGGCCTACGGTAGAAAAGGAAACATCTTCTTATAAAATCTAGACAGAATCATTCACAGAAACTTCTTTTTGATGTGTGTGTTCAGCTCACAGAGTTTAACCTTTCTTTTGATGGAGCAGTTTGGAAACACACTGTTTGTAATGTCTGCAAGTGGATATTTGGACCTCTTTGAGGCCTTCGTTGGAAACGGGATTTCTTCATGTAATGTTCGACCGAAGAATTCTCAGTAACTTATTTGTGGTGTGTGTATTCAACTCACAGAGTTGAACCTTCCTTTAGACAGAGCAGATTTGAAACACCCTATTTGTGCAGTTTCCAGTTGGAGATTTCAATCGCTTTGAGACCAAATGTAGAAAAGGAAACATCTTCGTATAAAAACTAGACAGAATCATTCTCAGAAACTACTTTGTGATGTGTGCGTTCAACTCAAGGAGTTTAAGCTTTCTTTTCATAGAGTAGTTTGGAAACACTCTGTCTGTAAAGTCTGCAAGCAGATATTTGGACCTATTTCAGGCCTTCGTTGGAAAAGGGATTTCTTCATAGAACGCTGGAAAGAAGAATACTGAGTAAGTTCTTTGTGTTGCCTCTATTCAACTCACAGAGGTGAACTGTCCTTTAGACAGAGCAGATGTGAAACCCTCTTTTTGTGATATTTGCAGGTGGAGATTTCAATCGCTTTTAGGCCAAATGTAGAAAAGGAAATATCTTCGTATAAAAACTAGACAGAATCATTCTCAGAAACTACTTTGTGATGTGTGCGTTCAATTCACAGAGTATAACCTTTCTTTTGATGGAGGAGTTTGGAGACACTGTCTTTGTAAAGTCTGCAAGTGGATATTTGGACCTCTTTGAGGCCTTCGTTGGAAACGGGATTTCCTCATATAATGTTACCCAGAAGAATTCTCAGTAACTTATTTGTGGTGTGTGTATTCAACTCACAGAGATGAACTTTCCTTCAGAAAGAGCAGATTTGAAACACTCTTTTTGTGGAGTTTCCATGTGGAGATTTCAATCGCTTTGAGACCAAAGGTAGAAAAGGAAACATCTTCGTATAACAACTAGACAGAATCATTCACAGAAACTACTTTGTGATGTGTGTGTTCAACTCAAGGAGTTTAACCTTTCTTTTGATGGAGCAGTTTGGAAAAACTCTGTCTGTAAAGTCTGCAAGCAGATATTTGGACCTCTTTGAGGCCTTCGTTGGAAACGGGATTTCTTCATATAATGTTTGATAGGAGAAGTCTCAGTAACTTCTTTGTGCTGTGTGTATTCAACGCATAGAGTTGAACTTTCCTTTAGAAGAGCAGATGTTAAACACCCTTTTTGTGGAATTTGCAGCTGGAGATTTCAAGCGCTTTGAGGCCAAATGTAGAAAAGGAAACATCTTTTTATAAAATCTAGACAGAATCATTCACAGAAACTTCTTTTTGATGTGTGTGTTCAGCTCACAGAGTTTAACCTTTCTGTTGATGGAGCAGTTTGGAAACACTCTGTCTGTAAAGTCTGCAAGCAGATATTTGGACCTCTTTGGGGCCTTCGTTGGAAACGGGATTTCTTCATAGAACGCTAGAAAGAAGAATACTGAGTAAGTTCTTTGTGTTGCCTCTATTCAACTCACAGAGGTGAACTGTCCTTTAGACAGAGCAGATGTGAAACCCTCTTTTTGTGATATTTGCAGGTGGAGATTTCAAGCGCTTTTAGGCCAAATGTAGAAAAGGAAATATCTTCGTATAAAAACTAGACAGAATCATTCTCAGAAACTACTTTGTGATGTGTGCGTTCAATTCACAGAGTATAACCTTTCTTTTGATGGAGGAGTTTGGAGACACTGTCTTTGTAAAGTCTGCAAGTGGATATTTGGACCTCTTTGAGGCCTTCGTTGGAAACGGGATTTCCTCATATAATGTTACACAGAAGAATTCTCAGTAACTTATTTGTGGTGTGTGTATTCAACTCACAGAGTTGAACCTTCCTTCAGAAAGAGCAGATTTGAAACACTCTTTTTGTGGAGTTTCCATGTGGAGATTTCAATCGCTTTGAGACCAAAGGTAGAAAAGGAAACATCTTCGTATAAAAACTAGACAGAATCATTCACAGAAACTACTTTGTGATGTGTGTGTTCAACTCAAGGAGTTTAACCTTTCTTTTGATGGAGCAGTTTGGAAATACTCTGTCTGTAAAGTCTGCAAGCAGATATTTGGACCTCTTTGAGGCCTTCGTTGGAAACGGGATTTCTTCATATAATGTTTGATAGGAGAAGTCTCAGTAACTTCTTTGTGCTGTGTGTATTCAACTCATAGAGTTGAACTTTCCTTTAGAAGAGCAGATGTTAAACACCCTTTTTGTGGAATTTGCAGCTGGAGATTTCAAGCGCTTTGAGGCCTACGGTAGAAAAGGAAACATCTTCTTATAAAATCTAGACAGAATCATTCACAGAAACTTCTTTTTGATGTGTGTGTTCAGCTCACAGAGTTTAACCTTTCTTTTGATGGAGCAGTTTGGAAACACTCTGTTTGTAATGTCTGCAAGTGGATATTTGGACCTCTTTGAGGCCTTCGTTGGAAACGGGATTTCTTCATGTAATGTTCGACAGAAGAATTCTCAGTAACTTATTTGTGGTGTGTGTATTCAACTCACAGAGTTGAACCTTCCTTTAGACAGAGCAGATTTGAAACACCCTATTTGTGCAGTTTCCAGTTGGAGATTTCAATCGCTTTGAGACCAAATGTAGAAAAGGAAACATCTTCGTATAAAAACTAGACAGAATCATTCTCAGAAACTACTTTGTGATGTGTGCGTTCAACTCAAGGAGTTTAAGCTTTCTTTTCATAGAGTAGTTTGGAAACACTCTGTCTGTAAAGTCTGCAAGCAGATATTTGGACCTCTTTGAGGCCTTCGTTGGAAACGGGATTTCTTCATAGAACGGTAGAAAGAAGAATACTGAGTAAGTTCTTTGTGTTGCCTCTATTCAACTCACAGAGATGAACTGTCCTTTAGACAGAGCAGATGTGAAACCCTCTTTTTGTGATATTTGCACGTGGAGATTTCAAGCGCTTTTAGGCCAAATGTAGAAAAGGAAATATCTTCGTATAAAAACTAGACAGAATCATTCTCAGAAACTACTTTGTGATGTGTGCGTTCAATTCACAGAGTATAACCTTTCTTTTGATGGAGGAGTTTGGAGACACTGTCTTTGTAAAGTCTGCAAGTGGATATTTGGACCTCTTTGAGGCCTTCGTTGGAAACGGGATTTCCTCATATAATGTTACACAGAAGAATTCTCAGTAACTTATTTGTGGTGTGTGTATTCAACTCACAGAGTTGAACCTTCCTTCAGAAAGAGCAGATTTGAAACACTCTTTTTGTGGAGTTTCCATGTGGAGATTTCAATCGCTTTGAGACCAAAGGTAGAAAAGGAAACATCTTCGTATAAAAACTAGACAGAATCATTCACAGAAACTACTTTGTGATGTGTGTGTTCAACTCAAGGAGTTTAACCTTTCTTTTGATGGAGCAGTTTGGAAATACTCTGTCTGTAAAGTCTGCAAGCAGATATTTGGACCTCTTTGAGGCCTTCGTTGGAAACGGGATTTCTTCATATAATGTTTGATAGGAGAAGTCTCAGTAACTTCTTTGTGCTGTGTGTATTCAACTCATAGAGTTGAACTTTCCTTTAGAAGAGCAGATGTTAAACACCCTTTTTGTGGAATTTGCAGCTGGAGATTTCAAGCGCTTTGAGGCCTACGGTAGAAAAGGAAACATCTTCTTATAAAATCTAGACAGAATCATTCACAGAAACTTCTTTTTGATGTGTGTGTTCAGCTCACAGAGTTTAACCTTTCTTTTGATGGAGCAGTTGGGAAACACACTGTTTGTAATGTCTGCAAGTGGATATTTGGAGCTCTTTGAGGCCTTCGTTGGAAACGGGATTTCTTCCTGTAATGTTCGACAGAAGAATTCTCAGTAACTTATTTGTGGTGTGTGTATTCAACTCACAGAGCTGAACCTTCCTTTAGACAGAGCAGATTTGAAACAGCCTATTTGTGCAGTTTCCAGTTGGAGATTTCAATCGCTTTGAGACCAAATGTAGAAAAGGAAACATCTTCGTATAAAAACTAGACAGAATCATTCTCAGAAACTACTTTGTGATGTGTGTGTTCAACTCAAGGAGTTTAACCTTTCTTTTGATGGAGCAGTTTGGAAACACTCTGTCTGTAAAGTCTGCAAGGAGACATTTGGACCTCTTTGAGGCCTTCGTTGGAAACGGGATTTCTTCATATAATGTTTGATAGGAGAAGTCTCAGTAACTTCTTTGTGCTGTGTGTATTCAACTCATAGAGTTGAACTTTCCTTTAGAAGAGCAGATGTTAAACACCCTTTTTGTGGAATTTGCAGCTGGAGATTTCAAGCGCTTTGAGGCCTACGGTAGAAAAGGAAACATCTTCTTATAAAATCTAGACAGAATCATTCACAGAAACTTCTTTTTGATGTGTGTGTTCAGCTCACAGAGTTTAACCTTTCTTTTGATGGAGCAGTTGGGAAACACACTGTTTGTAATGTCCGCAAGTGGATATTTGGACCTCTTTGAGGCCTTCGTTGGAAACGGGATTTCCTCATATAATGTTACACAGAAGAATTCTCAGTAACTTATTAGTGGTTTGTGTATTCAACTCACAGAGTTGAACCTTCCTTCAGAAAGAGCAGATTTGAAACACTCTTTTTGAGGAGTTTCCATGTGGAGATTTCAATCGCTTTGAGACCAAAGGTAGAAAAGGAAACATCTTCTTATAAAAACTAGACAGAATCATTCACAGAAACTACTTTGTGATGTGTGTGTTCAACTCAAGGAGTTTAACCTTTCTTTTGATGGAGCAGTTTGGAAAAACTCTGTCTGTAAAGTCTGCAAGCAGATATTTGGACCTCTTTGGGGCCTTCGTTGGAAACGGGATTTCTTCATAGAATGCTAGAAAGAAGAATCCTCAGTAACTTCTTTGTGTTGCCTCTATTCAACTCACAGAGGTGAACTGTCCTTTAGACAGAGCAGATGTGAAACCCTCTTTTTGTGATATTTGCAGGTGGAGATTTCAAGCACTTTTAGGTCAAATGTAGAAAAGGAAATATCTTCGTATAAAAACTAGACAGAATCATTCTCAGAAACTACTTTGTGATGTGTGCATTCAATTCACAGAGTATAACCTTTCTTTTGATGGAGGAGTTTGGAGACACTGTCTTTGTAAAGTCTGCAAGTGGATATTTGGACCTCTTTGAGGCCTTCGTTGGAAACGGGATTTCCTCATATAATGTTACACAGAAGAATTCTCAGTAACTTATTTGTGGTGTGTGTATTCAACTCACAGAGTTGAACCTTCCTTCAGAAAGAGCAGATTTGAAACACTCTTTTTGTGGAGTTTCCATGTGGAGATTTCAATCGCTTTGAGACCAAAGGTAGAAAAGGAAACATCTTCGTATAAAAACTAGACAGAATCATTCACAGAAACTACTTTGTGATGTGTGTGTTCAACTCAAGGAGTTTAACCTTTCTTTTGATGGAGCAGTTTGGAAACACTCTGTCTGTAAAGTCTGCAAGCAGATATTTGGACCTCTTTGAGGCCTTCGTTGGAAACGGGATTTCTTCATATAATGTTTGATAGGAGAAGTCTCAGTAACTTCTTTGTGCTGTGTGTATTCAACTCATAGAGTTGAACTTTCCTTTAGAAGAGCAGATGTTAAACACCCTTTTTGTGGAATTTGCAGCTGGAGATTTCAAGCGCTTTGAGGCCTACGGTAGAAAAGGAAACATCTTCTTATAAAATCTAGACAGAATCATTCACAGAAACTTCTTTTTGATGTGTGTGTTCAGCTCACAGAGTTTAACCTTTCTTTTGATGGAGCAGTTGGGAAACACACTGTTTGTAATGTCTGCAAGTGGATATTTGGAGCTCTTTGAGGCCTTCGTTGGAAACGGGATTTCTTCCTGTAATGTTCGACAGAAGAATTCTCAGTAACTTATTTGTGGTGTGTGTATTCAACTCACAGAGCTGAACCTTCCTTTAGACAGAGCAGATTTGAAACAGCCTATTTGTGCAGTTTCCAGTTGGAGATTTCAATCGCTTTGAGACCAAATGTAGAAAAGGAAACATCTTCGTATAAAAACTAGACAGAATCATTCTCAGAAACTACTTTGTGATGTGTGCGTTCAACTCAAGGAGTTTAAGCTTTCTTTTCATAGAGTAGTTTGGAAACACTCTGTCTGTAAAGTCTGCAAGCAGATATTTGACCTCTTTGAGGCCTTCGTTGGAAACGGGATTTCTTCATAGAACGCTAGAAAGAAGAATACTGAGTAAGTTCTTTGTGTTGCCTCTATTCAACTCACAGAGGTGAACTGTCCTTTAGACAGAGCAGATGTGAAACCCTCTTTTTGTGATATTTGCAGGTGGAGATTTCAAGCGCTTTTAGGCCAAATGTAGAAAAGGAAATATTCTTCGTATAAAAACTAGACAGAATCATTCTCAGAAACTACTTTGTGATGTGTGCGTTCAATTCACAGAGTATAACCTTTCTTTTGATGGAGGAGTTTGGAGACACTGTCTTTGTAAAGTCTGCAAGTGGATATTTGGACCTCTTTGAGGCCTTTGTTGGAAACGGGATTTCCTCATATAATGTTACACAGGGAGAATTCTCAGTAACTTATTTGTGGTGTGTGTATTCAACTCACAGAGTTGAACCTTCCTTCAGAAAGAGCAGATTTGAAACACTCTTTTTGTGGAGTTTCCATGTGGAGATTTCAATCGCTTTGAGACCAAAGGTAGAAAAGGAAACATCTTCGTATAAAAACTAGACAGAATCATTCACAGAAACTAGCATTTGTGATGTGTGTGTTCAACTCAAGGAGTTTAACCTTTCTTTTGATGGAGCAGTTTGGAAAAACTCTGTCTGTAAACTCTGCAAGCAGATATTTGGACCTCTTTTAGGCCTTCGTTGGAAACGGGATTTCTTCATATAATGTTTGATAGGAGAAGTCTCAGTAACTTCTTTGTGCTGTGTGTATTCAACGCATAGAGTTGAACTTTCCTTTAGAAGAGCAGATGTTAAACACCCTTTTTGTGGAATTTGCAGCTGGAGATTTCAAGCGCTTTGAGGCCTACGGTAGAAAAGCAAACATCTTCTTATAAAATCTAGACAGAATCATTCACAGAAACTTCTTTTTGATGTGTGTGTTCAGCTCACAGAGTTTAACCTTTCTTTTGATGGAGCAGTTTGGAAACACTCTGTTTGTAATGTCTGCAAGTGGATATTTGGACCTCTTTGAGGCCTTCGTTGGAAACGGGATTTCTTCAAGTAATGTTCGACAGAAGAATTCTCAGTAACTTGTTTGTGGTTTGTGTATTCAACTCACAGAGTTGAACCTTCCTTTAGACAGAGCAGATTTGAAACACCCTATTTGTGCAGTTTCCAGTTGGAGATTTCAATCGCTTTGAGACCAAATGTAGAAAAGGAAACATCTTCGTATAAAAACTAGACAGAATCATTCTCAGAAACTACTTTGTGATGTGTGCGTTCAACTCAAGGAGTTTAAGCTTTCTTTTCATAGAGTAGTTTGGAAACACTCTGTCTGTAAAGTCTGCAAGCAGATATTTGGACCTCATTGGGGTCTTCGTTGGAAACGGGATTTCTTCATAGAACGCTAGAAAGAAGAATACTGAGTAAGTTCTTTGTGTTGCCTCTATTCAACTCACAGAGGTGAACTGTCCTTTAGACAGAGTAGATGTGAAACCCTCTTTTTGTGATATTTGCAGGTGGAGATTTCAAGCGCTTTTAGGCCAAATGTAGAAAAGGAAATAACTTCGTATAAAAACTAGACAGAAGCATTCTCAGAAACTACTTTGTGATGTGTGCGTTCAATTCACAGAGTATAACCTTTCTTTTGATGGAGGAGTTTGGAGACACTGTCTTTGTAAAGTCTGCAAGTGGATATTTGGACCTCTTTGAGGCCTTCGTTGGAAACGGGATTTCCTCATATAATGTTACACAGAAGAATTCTCAGTAACTTATTTGTGGTGTGTGTATTCAACTCACAGAGTTGAACCTTCCTTCAGAAAGAGCAGATTTGAAACACTCTTTTTGTGGAGTTTCCATGTGGAGATTTCAATCGCTTTGAGACCAAAGGTAGAAAAGGAAACATCTTCGTATAAAAACTAGACAGAATCATTCACAGAAACTACTTTGTGATGTGTGTGTTCAACTCAAGGAGTTTAACCTTTCTTTTGATGGAGCAGTTTGGAAACACTCTGTCTGTAAAGTCTGCAAGCAGATATTTGGACCTCTTTGAGGCCTTCGTTGGAAACGGGATTTCTTCATATAATGTTTGATAGGAGAAGTCTCAGTAACTTCTTTGTGCTGTGTGTATTCAACTCATAGAGTTGAACTTTCCTTTAGAAGAGCCGATGTTAAACACCCTTTTTGTGGAATTTGCAGTTGGAGATTTCAAGCGCTTTGAGGCCTACGGTAGAAAAGGAAACATCTTCTTATAAAATCTAGACAGAATCATTCACAGAAACTTCTTTTCGATGTGTGTGTTCAGCTCACAGAGTTTAACCTTTCTTTTGATGGAGCAGTTTGGAAACACTCTGTTTGTAATGTCTGCAAGTGGATATTTGGACCTCTTTGAGGCCTTCGTTGGAAACGGGATTTCTTCAAGTAATGTTCGACAGAAGAATTCTCAGTAACTTATTTGTGGTGTGTGTATTCAACTCACAGAGTTGAACCTTCCTTTAGACAGAGCAGATTTGAAACACCCTATTTGTGCAGTTTCCAGTTGGAGATTTCAATCGCTTTGAGACCAAATGTAGAAAAGGAAACATCTTCGTATAAAAACTAGACAGAATCATTCTCAGAAACTACTTTGTGATGTGTGCGTTCAACTCAAGGAGTTTAAGCTTTCTTTTCATAGAGTAGTTTGGAAACACTCTGTCTGTAAAGTCTGCAAGCAGATATTTGGACCTCTTTGGGGCCTTCGTTGGAAACGGGATTTCTTCATAGAACGCTAGAAAGAAGAATACTGAGTAAGTTCTTTGTGTTGCCTCTATTCAACTCACAGAGGTGAACTGTCCTTTAGACAGAGCAGATGTGAAACCCTCTTTTTGTGATATTTGCAGGTGGAGATTTCAAGCGCTTTTAGGCCAAATGTAGAAAAGGAAATATCTTCGTATAAAAACTAGACAGAATCATTCTCAGAAACTACTTTGTGATGTGTGCGTTCAATTCACAGAGTATAACCTTTCTTTTGATGGAAGAGTTTGGAGACACTGTCTTTGTAAGTCTGCAAGTGGATATTTGGACCTCTTTGAGGCCTTCGTTGGAGACGGGATTTCCTCATATAATGTTACACAGAAGAATTCTCAGTAACTTATTTGTGGTGTGTGTATTCAACTCACAGAGTTGAACCTTCCTTCAGAAAGAGCAGATTTGAAACACTCTTTTTGTGGAGTTTCCATGTGGAGATTTCAATCGCATTGAGACCAAAGGTAAAAAAGGAAACATCTTCGTATAAAAACTAGACAGAATCATTCACAGAAACTACTTTGTGATGTGTGTGTTCAACTCAAGGAGTTTAACCTTTCTTTTGATGGAGCAGTTTGGAAAAACTCTGTCTGTAAAGTCTGCAAGCAGATATTTGGACCTCTTTGAGGCCTTCGTTGCAAACGGGATTTCTTCATATAATGTTTGATAGGAGAAGTCTCAGTAACTCCTTTGTGCTGTGTGTATTCAACTCATAGAGTTGAACTTTCCTTTAGAAGAGCAGATGTTAAACACCCTTTTTGTGGAATTTGCAGCTGGAGATTTCAAGCGCTTTGAGGCCTACGGTAGAAAAGGAAACATCTTCTTATAAAATCTAGACAGAATCATTCACAGAAACTTCTTTTTGATGTGTGTGTTCAGCTCACAGAGTTTAACCTTTCTTTTGATGGAGCAGTTGGGAAACACACTGTTTGTAATGTCTGCAAGTGGATATTTGGACCTCTTTGAGGCCTTCGTTGGAAACGGGATTTCTTCCTGTAATGTTCGACAGAAGAATTCTCAGTAACTTATTTGTGGTGTGTGTATTCAACTCACAGAGTTGAACCTTCCTTTAGACAGAGCAGATTTGAAACAGCCTATTTGTGCAGTTTCCAGTTGGAGATTTCAATCGCTTTGAGACCAAATGTAGAAAAGGAAACATCTTCGTATAAAAACTAGACAGAATCATTCTCAGAAACTACTTTGTGATGTGTGCGTTCAACTCAAGGAGTTTAAGCTTTCTTTTCATAGAGTAGTTTGGAAACACTCTGTCTGTAAAGTCTGCAAGCAGATATTTGACCTCTTTGAGGCCTTCGTTGGAAACGGGATTTCTTCATAGAACGCTAGAAAGAAGAATACTGAGTAAGTTCTTTGTGTTGCCTCTATTCAACTCACAGAGGTGAACTCTCCTTTAGATAGAGCAGATGTGAAACCCTCTTTTTGTGATATTTGCAGGTGGAGATTTCAAGCGCTTTTAGGCCAAATGTAGAAAAGGAAATATCTTCGTATAAAAACTAGACAGAATCATTCTCAGAAACTACTTTGTGATGTGTGCGTTCAATTCACAGAGTATAACCTTTCTTTTGATGGAGGAGTTTGGAGACACTGTCTTTGTAAAGTCTGCAAGTGGATATTTGGACCTCTTTGAGGCCTTCGTTGGAAACGGGATTTCCTCATATAATGTTACACAGAAGAATTCTCAGTAACTTATTTGTGGTGTGTGTATTCAACTCACAGAGTTCAACCTTCCTTCAGAAAGAGCAGATTTGAAACACTCTTTTTGTGGAGTTTCCATGTGGAGATTTCAATCGTTTTGAGACCAAAGGTAGAAAAGGAAACATCTTCGTATAAAAACTAGACAGAATCATTCACAGAAACTACTTTGGGATGTGTGTGTTCAACTCAAGGAGTTTAACCTTTCTTTTGATGGAGCAGTTTGGAAACACTCTGTCTGTAAAGTCTGCAAGCAGATATTTGGACCTCTTTGAGGCCTTCGTTGGAAACGGGATTTCTTCATATAATGTTTGATAGGAGAAGTCTCAGTAACTTCTTTGTGCTGTGTGTATTCAACTCATAGAGTTGAACTTTCCTTTAGAAGAGCAGATGTTAAACACCCTTTTTGTGGAATTTGCAGCTGGAGATTTCAAGCGCTTTGAGGCCTACGGTAGAAAAGGAAACATCTTCTTATAAAATCTAGACAGAATCATTCACAGAAACTTCTTTTTGATGTGTGTGTTCAGCTCAAAGAGTTTAACCTTTCTTTTGATGGAGCAGTTTGGAAACCCACTGTTTGTAATGTCTGCAAGTGGATATTTGGACCACTTTGAGGCCTTCGTTGGAAACGGGATTTCTTCAACTAATGTTCGACAGAAGAATTCTCAGTAACTTATTTGTGGTGTGTGTATTCAACTCACAGAGTTGAACCTTCCTTTAGACAGAGCAGATTTGAAACACCCTATTTGTGCAGTTTCCAGTTGGAGATTTCAATCGCTTTGAGACCAAATGTAGAAAAGGAAACATCTTCGTATAAAAACTAGACAGAATCATTCTCAGAAACTACTTTGTGATGTGTGCGTTCAACTCAAGGAGTTTAAGCTTTCTTTTCATAGAGTAGTTTGGAAACACTCTGTCTGTAAAGTCTGCAAGCAGATATTTGGACCTCTTTGGGGCCTTCGTTGGAAACGGGATTTCTTCATAGAACGCTAGAAAGAAGAATACTGAGTAAGTCCTTTGTGTTGCCTCTATTCAACTCACAGAGGTGAACTGTCCTTTAGACAGAGCAGATGTGAAACCCTCTTTTTGTGATATTTGCAGGTGGAGATTTCAAGCGCTTTTAGGCCAAATGTAGAAAAGGAAATATCTTCGTATAAAAACTAGACAGAATCATTCTCAGAAACTACTTTGTGATGTGTGCGTTCAATTCACAGAGTATAACCTTTCTTTTGATGGAGGAGTTTGGAGACACTGTCTTTGTAAAGTCTGCAAGTGGATATTTGGACCTCTTTGAGGCCTTCGTTGGAAACGGGATTTCCTCATATAATGTTACACAGAAGAATTCTCAGTAACTTATTTGTGGTGTGTGTATTCAACTCACAGAGTTGAACCTTCCTTCAGAAAGAGCAGATTTGAAACACTCTTTTTTTGGAGTTTCCATGTGGAGATTTCAATCGCTTTGAGACCAAAGGTAGAAAAGGAAACATCTTCGTATAGAAACTAGACAGAATCATTCACAGAAACTACTTTGTGATGTGTGTGTTCAACTCAAGGAGTTTAACCTTTCTTTTGATGGAGCAGTTTGGAAACACTCTGTCTGTAAAGTCTGCAAGCAGATATTTGGACCTCTTTGAGGCCTTCGTTGGAAACGGGATTTCTTCATATAATGTTTGATAGGAGAAGTCTCAGTAACTTCTTTGTGCTGTGTGTATTCAACTCATAGAGTTGAACTTTCCTTTAGAAGAGCAGATGTTAAACACCCTTTTTGTGGAATTTGCAGCTGGAGATTTCAAGCGCTTTGAGGCCTACGGTAGAAAAGGAAACATCTTCTTATAAAATCTAGACAGAATCATTCACAGAAACTTCTTTTTGATGTGTGTGTTCAGCTCACAGAGTTTAACCTTTCTTTTGATGGAGCAGTTTGGAAACACTCTGTTTGTAATGTCTGCAAGTGGATATTTGGACCTCTTTGAGGCCTTCGTTGGAAACGGGATTTCTTCATGTAATGTTCGACAGAAGAATTCTCAGTAACTTATTTGTGGTGTGTGTATTCAACTCACAGAGTTGAACCTTCCTTTAGACAGAGCAGATTTGAAACACCCTATTTGTGCAGTTTCCAGTTGGAGATTTCAATCGCTTTGAGGCCAATCATAGAAACAGAAATAACTTTGTATAAAAACAAGACAGAATCATTCTCAGAAACTACTTTGTGATGTGTGCGTTCAACTCAAGGAGTTTAAGCTTTCTTTTCATAGAGTAGTTTGGAAACACTCTGTCTGTAAAGTCTGCAAGCAGATATTTGGACCTCTTTGAGGCCTTCGTTGGAAACGGGATTTCTTCATATAACGCTAGAAAGAAGAATATTGAGTAAGTTCTATGTGTTGCCTCAATTCAACTCACAGAGGTGAACTGTCCTTTAGACAGAGCAGATGTGAAACCCTCTTTTTGTGATATTTCCACGTGGAGATTTCAAGCGCTTTTAGGCCAAATGTAGAAAAGGAAATATCTTCGTATAAAAACTAGACAGAATCATTCTCAGAAACTACTTTGTGATGTGTGCGTTCAATTCACAGAGTATAAGCTTTCTTTTGATGGAGGAGTTTGGAGACACTGTCTTTGTAAAGTCTGCAAGTGGATATTTGGACCTCTTTGAGGCCTTCGTTGGAAACGGGATTTCCTCATATAATGTTACACAGAAGAATTCTCAGTAACTTATTTGTGGTGTGTGTATTCAACTCACAGAGATGAACCTTCCTTCAGAAAGAGCAGATTTGAAACACTCTTTTTGTGGAGTTTCCATGTGGAGATTTCAATCGCTTTGAGACCAAAGGTAGAAAAGGAAACATCTTCGTATAAAAACTAGACAGAATCATTCACAGAAACTACTTTGTGATGTGTGTGTTCAACTCAAGGAGTTTAACCTTTCTTTGGATGGAGCAGTTTGGAAACACTCTGTCTGTAAAGTCTGCAAGCAGATATTTGGACCTCTTTGAGGCCTTCGTTGGAAACGGGATTTCTTCATATAATGTTTGATAGGAGAAGTCTCAGTAACTTCTTTGTGCTGTGTGTATTCAACTCATAGAGTTGAACTTTCCTTTAGAAGAGCAGATGTTAAACACCCTTTTTGTGGAATTTGCAGCTGGAGATTTCAAGCGCTTTGAGGCCTACCGTAGAAAAGGAAACATCTTCTTATAAAATCTAGACAGAATCATTCACAGAAACTTCTTTTTGATGTGTGTGTTCAGCTCACAGAGTTTAACCTTTCTTTTGATGGAGCAGTTTGGAAACACTCTGTTTGTAATGTCTCCAAGTGGATATTTGGACCTCTTTGAGGCCTTCGTTGGAAACGGGATTTCTTCAAGTAATGTTCGACAGAAGAATTCTCAGTAACTTATTTGTGGTGTGTGTATTCAACTCACAGAGTTGAACCTTCCTTTAGACAGAGCAGATTTGAAACAGCCTATTTGTGCAGTTTCCAGTTGGAGATTTCAATCGCTTTGAGACCAAATGTAGAAAAGGAAACATCTTCGTATAAAAACTAGACAGAATCATTCTCAGAAACTACTTTGTGATGTGTGCGTTCAACTCAAGGAGTTTAAGCTTTCTTTTCATAGAGTAGTTTGGAAACACTCTGTCTGTAAAGTCTGCAAGCAGATATTTGGACCTCTTTGGGGCCTTCGTTGGAAACGGGATTTCTTCATAGAACGCTAGAAAGAAGAATACTGAGTAAGTTCTTTGTGTTGCCTCTATTCAACTCACAGAGGTGAACTGTCCTTTAGACAGAGCAGATGTGAAACCCTCTTTTTGTGATATTTGCAGGTGGAGATTTCAAGCGCTTTGAGGCCAAATGTAGAAAAGGAAATATCTTCGTATAAAAACTAGACAGAATCATTCTCAGAAACTACTTTGTGATGTGTGCGTTCAATTCACAGAGTATAACCTTTCTTTTGATGGAGGAGTTTGGAGACACTGTCTTTGTAAAGTCTGCAAGTGGATATTTGGACCTCTTTGAGGCCTTCGTTGGAAACGGGATTTCCTCATATAATGTTACCCAGAAGAATTCTCAGTAACTTATTTGTGGTGTGTGTATTCAACTCACAGAGTTGAACCTTCCTTCAGAAAGAGCAGATTTGAAACACTCTTTTTGTGGAGTTTCCATGTGGAGATTTCAATCGCTTTGAGACCAAAGGTAGAAAAGGAAACATCTTCGTATAAAAACTAGACAGAATCATTCACAGAAACTACTTTGTGATGTGTGTGTTCAACTCAAGGAGTTTAACCTTTCTTTTGATGGAGCAGTTTGGAAAAACTCTGTCTGTAAAGTCTGCAAGCAGATATTTGGACCTCTTTGAGGCCTTCGTTGGAAACGGGATTTCTTCATAGAATGCTAGAAAGAAGAATACTGAGTAAGTTCTTTGTGTTGCCTCTATTCAACTCACAGAGGTGAACTGTCCTTTAGACAGAGCAGATGTGAAACCCTCTTTTTGTGATATTTGCAGGTGGAGATTTCAAGCGCTTTTAGGCCAAATGTAGAAAAGGAAATATCTTCGTATAAAAACTAGACAGAATCATTCTCAGAAACTACTTTGTGATGTGTGCGTTCAATTCACAGAGTATAACCTTTCTTTTGATGGAGGAGTTTGGAGACACTGTCTTTGTAAAGTCTGCAAGTGGATATTTGGACCTCTTTGAGGCCTTCGTTGGAAACGGGATTTCCTCATATAATGTTACACAGAAGAATTCTCAGTAACTTATTTGTGGTGTGTGTATTCAACTCACAGAGTTGAACCTTCCTTCAGAAAGAGCAGATTTGAAACACTCTTTTGGTGGAGTTTCCATGTGGAGATTTCAATCGCTTTGAGACCAAAGGTAGAAAAGGAAACATCTTCGTATAAAAACTAGACAGAATCATTCACAGAAACTACTTTGTGATGTGTGTGTTCAACTCAAGGAGTTTAACCTTTCTTTTGATGGAGCAGTTTGGAAACACTCTGTCTGTAAAGTCTGCAAGCAGATATTTGGACCTCTTTGAGGCCTTCGTTGGAAACGGGATTTCTTCATATAATGTTTGATAGGAGAAGTCTCAGTAACTTCTTTGTGCTGTGTGTATTCAACTCATAGAGTTGAACTTTCCTTTAGAAGAGCAGATGTTAAACACCCTTTTTGTGGAATTTGCAGCTGGAGATTTCAAGCGCTTTGAGGCCTACGGTAGAAAAGGAAACATCTTCTTATAAAATCTAGACAGAATCATTCACAGAAACTTCTTTTTGATGTGTGTGTTCAGCTCACAGAGTTTAACCTTTCTTTTGATGGAGCAGTTTGGAAACACTCTGTTTGTAATGTCTGAAAGTGGATATTTGGACCTCTTTGAGGCCTTCGTTGGAAACGAGATTTCTTCATGTAATGTTCGACAGAAGAATTCTCAGTAACTTATTTGTGGTGTGTGTATTCAACTCACAGAGTTGAACCTTCCTTTAGACAGAGCAGATTTGAAACACCCTATTTGTGCAGTTTCCAGTTGGAGATTTCAATCGCTTTGAGACCAAATGTAGAAAAGGAAACATCTTCGTATAAAAACTAGACAGAATCATTCTCAGAAACTACTTTGTGATGTGTGCGTTCAACTCAAGGAGTTTAAGCTTTCTTTTCATAGAGTAGTTTGGAAACACTCTGTCTGTAAAGTCTGCAAGCAGATATTTGGACCTCTTTGAGGCCTTCGTTGGAAACGGGATTTCTTCATAGAACGCTAGAAAGAAGAATACTGAGTAAGTTCTTTGTGTTGCCTCTATTCAACTCACAGAGGTGAACTGTCCTTTAGACAGAGCAGATGTGAAACCCTCTTTTTGTGATATTTGCAGGTGGAGATTTCAAGCGCTTTTAGGCCAAATGTAGAAAAGGAAATATCTTCGTATAAAAACTAGACAGAATCATTCTCAGAAACTACTTTGTGATGTGTCCGTTCAATTCACATAGTATAACCTTTCTTTTGATGGAGGAGTTTGGAGACACTGTCTTTGTAAAGTCTGCAAGTGGATATTTGGACCTCTTTGAGGCCTTCGTTGGAAACGGGATTTCCTCATATAATGTTACACAGAAGAATTCTCAGTAACTTATTTGTGGTGTGTGTATTCAACTCACAGAGTTGAACATTCCTTCAGAAAGAGCAGATTTGAAACACTCTTTTTTGTGGAGTTTCCATGTGGAGATTTCAATCGCTTTGAGACCAAAGGTAGAAAAGGAAACATCTTCGTATAAAAACTAGACAGAATCATTCACAGAAACTACTTTGTGATGTGTGTGTTCAACTCAAGGAGTTTAAACTTCCTTTTGATGGAGCAGTTTGGAAACACTCTGTCTGTAAAGTCTGCAAGCAGATATTTGGACCTCTTTGAGGCCTTCGTTGGAAACGGGATTTCTTCATATAATGTTTGATAGGAGAAGTCTCAGTAACTTCTTTGTGCTGTGTGTATTCAACTCATAGAGTTGAACTTTCCTTTAGAAGAGCAGATGTTAAACACCCTTTTTGTGGAATTTGCAGCTGGAGATTTCAAGCGCTTTGAGGCCTACGGTAGAAAAGGAAACATCTTCTTATAAAATCTAGACAGAATCATTCACAGAAACTTCTTTTCGATGTGTGTGTTCAGCTCACAGAGTTTAACCTTTCTTTTGATGGAGCAGTTTGGAAATACTCTGTTTGTAATGTCTGCAAGTGGATATTTGGACCTCTTTGAGGCCTTCGTTGGAAACGGGATTTCTTCAAGTAATGTTCGACAGAAGAATTCTCAGTAACTTATTTGTGGTGTGTGTATTCAACTCACAGAGTTGAACCTTCCTTTAGACAGAGCAGATTTGAAACACCCTATTTGTGCAGTTTCCAGTTGGAGATTTCAATCGCTTTGAGACCAAATGTAGAAAAGGAAACATCTTCGTATAAAAACTAGACAGAATCATTCTCAGAAACTACTTTGTGATGTGTGCGTTCAACTCAAGGAGTTTAAGCTTTCTTTTCATAGAGTAGTTTGGAAACACTCTGTCTGTAAAGTCTGCAAGCAGATATTTGGACCTCTTTGGGGCCTTCGTTGGAAACGGGATTTCTTCATAGAACGCTAGAAAGAAGAATACTGAGTAAGTTCTTTGTGTTGCCTCTATTCAACTCACAGAGGTGAACTGTCCTTTAGACAGAGCAGATGTGAAACCCTCTTTTTGTGATATTTGCAGGTGGAGATTTCAAGCGCTTTTAGGCCAAATGTAGAAAAGGAAATATCTTCGTATAAAAACTAGACAGAATCATTCTCAGAAACTACTTTGTGATGTGTGCGTTCAATTCACAGAGTATAACCTTTCTTTTGATGGAGGAGTTTGGAGACACTGTCTTTGTAAAGTCTGCAAGTGGATATTTGGACCTCTTTGAGGCCTTCGTTGGAAACGGGATTTCCTCATATAATGTTACACAGAAGAATTCTCAGTAACTTATTTGTGGTGTGTGTATTCAACTCACAGAGATGAACCTTCCTTCAGAAAGAGCAGATTTGAAACACTCTTTTTGTGGAGTTTCCATGTGGAGATTTCAATCGCTTTGAGACCAAAGGTAGAAAAGGAAACATCTTCGTATAACAACTAGACAGAATCATTCACAGAAACTACTTTGTGATGTGTGTGTTCAACTCAAGGAGTTTAACCTTTCTTTTGATGGAGCAGTTTGGAAACACTCTGTCTGTAAAGTCTGCAAGCAGATATTTGGACCTCTTTGAGGCCTTCGTTGGAAACGGGATTTCTTCATATAATGTTTGATAGGAGAAGTCTCAGTAACTTCTTTGTGCTGTGTGTATTCAACTCATAGAGTTGAACTTTCCTTTAGAAGAGCAGATGTTAAACACCCTTTTTGAGGAATTTGCAGCTGGAGATTTCAAGCGCTTTGAGGCCTACGGTAGAAAAGGAAACATCTTCTTATAAAATCTAGACAGAATCATTCACAGAAACTTCTTTTCGATGTGTGTGTTCAGCTCACAGAGTTTAACCTTTCTTTTGATGGAGCAGTTTGGAAACACTCTGTTTGTAATGTCTGCAAGTGGATATTTGGACCTCTTTGAGGCCTTCGTTGGAAACGGGATTTCCTCAAGTAATGTTCGACAGAAAGAATTCTCAGTAACTTATTTGTGGTGTCTGTATTCAACTCACAGAGTTGAACCTTCCTTTAGACAGAGCAGATTTGAAACACCCTATTTGTGCAGTTTCCATTTGGAGATTTCAATCGCTTTGAGGCCAATCGTAGAAACGGAAATATCTTCGTATAAAAACAAGACAGAATCATTCTCAGAAACTACTTTGTGATGTGTGCGTTCAACTCAAGGAGTTTAAGCTTTCTTTTCATAGAGTAGTTTGGAAACACTCTGTCCGTAACGTCTGCAAGCAGATATTTGGACCTCTTTGAGGCCTTCGTTGGAAACGGGATTTCTTCATAGAACGCTAGAAAGAAGAATACTGAGTAAGTTCTTTGTGTTGCCTCTATTCAACTCACAGAGGTGAACTGTCCTTTAGACAGAGCAGATGTGAAACCCTCTTTTTGTGATATTTGCAGGTGGAGATTTCAAGTGCTTTTAGGCCAAATGTAGAAAAGGAAATATCTTCGTATAAAAACTAGACAGAATCATTCTCAGAAACTACTTTGTGATGTGTGCGTTCAATTCACAGAGTATAACCTTTCTTTTGATGGAGGAGTTTGGAGACACTGTCTTTGTAAAGTCTGCAAGTGGATATTTGGACCTCTTTGAGGCCTTCGTTGGAAACGGGATTTCCTCATATAATGTTACACAGAAGAATTCTCAGTAACTTATTTGTGGTGTGTGTATTCAACTCACAGAGATGAACCTTCCTTCAGAAAGAGCAGATTTGAAACACTCTTTTTGTGGAGTTTCCATGTGGAGATTTCAATCGCTTTGAGACCAAAGGTAGAAAAGGAAACATCTTCGTATAACAACTAGACAGAATCATTCACAGAAACTACTTTGTGATGTGTGTGTTCAACTCAAGGAGTTTAACCTTTCTTTTGATGGAGCAGTTTGGAAACACTCTGTCTGTAAAGTCTGCAAGCAGATATTTGGACCTCTTTGAGGCCTTCGTTGGAAACGGGATTTCTTCATATAATGTTTGATAGGAGAAGTCTCAGTAACTTCTTTGTGCTGTGTGTATTCAACTCATAGAGTTGAACTTTCCTTTAGAAGAGCAGATGTTAAACACCCTTTTTGTGGAATTTGCAGCTGGAGATTTCAAGCGCTTTGAGGCCTACGGTAGAAAAGGAAACATCTTCTTATAAAATCTAGACAGAATCATTCACAGAAACTTCTTTTTGATGTGTGTGTTCAGCTCACAGAGTTTAACCTTTCTTTTGATGGAGCAGTTTGGAAACACTCTGTTTGTAACGTCTGCAAGTGGATATTTGGACCTGTTTGAGGCCTTCGTTGGAAACGGGATTTCTTCAAGTAATGTTCGACAGAAGAATTCTCAGTAACTTATTTGTGGTGTGTGTATTCAACTCACAGAGTTGAACCTTCCTTTAGACAGAGCAGATTTGAAACAGCCTATTTGTGCAGTTTCCAGTTGGAGATTTCAAGAGCTTTGAGACCAAATGTAGAAAAGGAAACATCTTCGTATAAAAACTAGACAGAATCATTCTCAGAAACTACTTTGTGATGTGTGCGTTCAACTCAAGGAGTTTAAGCTTTCTTTTCATAGAGTAGTTTGGAAACACTCTGTCTGTAAAGTCTGCAAGCAGATATTTGAGCTCTTTGAGGCCTTCGTTGGAAACGGGATTTCTTCATAGAACGCTAGAAAGAAGAATACTGAGTAAGTTCTTTGTGTTGCCTCTATTCAACTCACAGAGGTGAACTGTCCTTTAGACAGAGCAGATGTGAAACCCTCTTTTTGTGATATTTGCAGGTGGAGATTTCAAGCGCTTTTAGGCCAAATGTAGAAAAGGAAATATCTTCGTATAAAAACTAGACAGAATCATTCTCAGAAACTACTTTGTGATGTGTGCGTTCAATTCACAGAGTATAACCTTTCTTTTGATGGAGGAGTTTGGAGACACTGTCTTTGTAAAGTCTGCAAGTGGATATTTGGACCTCTTTGAGGCCTTCGTTGGAAACGGGATTTCCTCATATAATGTTACCCAGAAGAATTCTCAGTAACTTATTTGTGGTGTGTGTATTCAACTCACAGAGATGAACCTTCCTTCAGAAAGAGCAGATTTGAAACACTCTTTTTGTGGAGTTTCCATGTGGAGATTTCAATCGCTTTGAGACCAAAGGTAGAAAAGGAAACATCTTCGTATAACAACTAGACAGAATCATTCACAGAAACTACTTTGTGATGTGTGTGTTCAACTCAAGGAGTTTAACCTTTCTTTTGATGGAGCAGTTTGGAAACACTCTGTCTGTAAAGTCTGCAAGCAGATATTTGGACCTCTTTGAGGCCTTCGTTGGAAACGGGATTTCTTCATATAATGTTTGATAGGAGAAGTCTCAGTAACTTCTTTGTGCTGTGTGTATTCAACTCATAGAGTTGAACTTTCCTTTAGAAGAGCAGATGTTAAACACCCTTTTTGTGGAATTTGCAGCTGGAGATTTCAAGCGCTTTGAGGCCTACGGTAGAAAAGGAAACATCTTCTTATAAAATCTAGACAGAATCATTCACAGAAACTTCTTTTTGATGTGTGTGTTCAGCTCACAGAGTTTAACCTTTCTTTTGATGGAGCAGTTGGGAAACACACTGTTTGTAATGTCCGCAAGTGGATATTTGGACCTCTTTGAGGCCTTCGTTGGAAACGGGATTTCTTCCTGTAATGTTCGACAGAAGGATTCTCAGTAACTTATTTGTGGTGTGTGTATTCAACTCACAGAGTTGAACCTTCCTTTAGACAGAGCAGATTTAAAACAGCCTATTTGTGCAGTTTCCAGTTGGAGATTTCAAGAGCTTTGAGACCAAATGTAGAAAAGGAAACATCTTCGTATAAAAACTAGACAGAATCATTCTCAGAAACTACTTTGTGATGTGTGCGCTCAACTCAAGGAGTTTAAGCTTTCTTTTCATAGAGTAGTTTGGAAACACTCTGTCTGTAAAGTCTGCAAGCAGATATTTGACCTCTTTGAGGCCTTCGTTGGAAACGGGATTTCTTCATAGAACGCTAGAAAGAAGAATACTGAGTAAGTTCCTTGTGTTGCCTCTATTCAACTCACAGAGGTGAACTGTCCTTTAGACAGAGCAGATGTGAAACCCTCTTTTTATGATATTTGCAGGTGGAGATTTCAAGCGCTTTTAGGCCAAATGTAGAAAAGGAAATATCTTCGTATAAAAACTAGACAGAATCATTCTCAGAAACTACTTTGTGATGTGTGCGTTCAATTCACAGAGTATAACCTTTCTTTTGATGGAGGAGTTTGGAGACACTGTCTTTGTAAAGTCTGCAAGTGGATATTTGGACCTCTTTGAGGCCTTCGTTGGAAACGGGATTTCCTCATATAATGTTACACAGAAGAATTCTCAGTAACTTATTTGTGGTGTGTGTATTCAACTCACAGAGTTGAACCTTCCTTCAGAAAGAGCAGATTTGAAACACTGTTTTTGTGGACTTTCCACGTGGAGATTTCAATCGCATTGAGACCAAAGGTAGAAAAGGAAACATCTTCGTATAAAAACTAGACAGAATCATTCACAGAAACTACTTTGTGATGTGTGTGTTCAACTCAAGGAGTTTAACCTTTCTTTTGATGGAGCAGTTTGGAAACACTCTGTCTGTAAAGTCTGCAAGCAGATATTTGGACCTCTTTGAGGCCTTCGTTGGAAACGGGATTTCTTCATATAATGTTTGATAGGAGAAGTCTCAGTAACTTCTTTCTGCTGTGTTTATTTAACTCATAGAGTTGAACTTTCCTTTAGAAGAGCAGATGTTAAACACCCTTTTTGTGGAATTTGCAGCTGGAGATTTCAAGCGCTTTGTGGCCTACGGTAGAAAAGGAAACATCTTCTTATAAAATCTAGACAGAATCATTCACAGAAACTTCTTTTTGATGTGTGTTCAGCTCACAGAGTTTAACCTTTCTTTTGATGGAGCAGTTTGGAAACACACTGTTTGTAATGTCTGCAAGTGGATATTTGGACCTCTTTGAGGCCTTCGTTGGAAACGGGATTTCTTCATGTAATGTTCGACAGAAGAATTCTCAGTAACTTATTTGTGGTGTGTGTATTCAACTCACAGAGTTGAACCTTCCTTTAGAAAGAGCAGATTTGAAACACCCTATTTGTGCAGTTTCCAGTTGGAGATTTCAATCGCTTTCAGACCAAATGTAGAAAAGGAAACATCTTCGTATAAAAACTAGACAGAATCATTCTCAGAAACTACTTTGTGATGTGTGCGTTCAACTCAAGGAGTTTAAGCTTTCTTTTCATAGAGTACTTTGGAAACACTCTGTCTGTGAAGTCTGCAAGCAGATATTTGGACCTCTTTGAGGCCTTCGTTGGAAACGGGATTTCTTCATAGAACGCTAGAAAGAAGAATACTGAGTAAGTTCTTTGTGTTGCCTCTATTCAACTCACAGAGGTGAACTGTCCTTTAGACAGAGCAGATGTGAAACCCTCTTTTTGTGATATTTGCAGGTGGAGATTTCAAGCGCTTTTAGGCCAAATGTAGAAAAGGAAATATCTTCGTATAAAAACTAGACAGAATCATTCTCAGAAACTACTTTGTGATGTGTGCGTTCAATTCACAGAGTATAACCTTTCTTTTGATGGAGGAGTTTGGAGACACTGTCTTTGTAAAGTCTGCAAGTGGATATTTGGACCTCTTTGAGGCCTTCGTTGGAAACGGGATTTCCTCATATAATGTTACACAGAAGAATTCTCAGTAACTTATTTGTGGTGTGTGTATTCAACTCACAGAGTTGAACCTTCCTTCAGAAAGAGCAGATTTGAAACACTCTTTTTGTGGAGTTTCCATGTGGAGATTTCAATCGCTTTGAGACCAAAGGTAGAAAAGGAAACATCTTCGTATAAAAACTAGACAGAATCATTCACAGAAACTACTTTGTGATGTGTGTGTTCAACTCAAGGAGTTTAACCTTTCTTTTGATGGAGCTGTTTGGAAAAACTCTGTCTGTAAAGTCTGCAAGCAGATATTTGGACCTCTTTGGGGCCTTCGTTGGAAACGGGATTTCTTCATATAATGTTTGATAGGAGAAGTCTCAGTAACTTCTTTGTGCTGTGTGTATTCAACTCATAGAGTTGAACTTTCCTTTAGAAGAGCAGATGTTAAACACCCTTTTTGTGGAATTTGCAGCTGGAGATTTCAAGCGCTTTGAGGCCTACGGTAGAAAAGGAAACATCTTCTTATAAAATCTAGACAGAATCATTCACAGAAACTTCTTTTTGATGTGTGTGTTCAGCTCACAGAGTTTAACCTTTCTTTTGATGGAGCAGTTTGGAAACACTCTGTTTGTAATGTCTGCAAGTGGATATTTGGACCTCCTTTGAGGCCTTCGTTGGAAACGGGATTTCTTCAAGTAATGTTCGACAGAAGAATTCTCAGTAACTTATTTGTGGAGTGTGTATTCAACTCACAGAGTTGAACCTTCCTTTAGACAGAGCAGATTTGAAACACCCTATTTGTGCAGTTCCCAGTTGGACATTTCAATCGTTTTGAGACCAAATGTAGAAAAGGAAACATCTTCGTATAAAAACTAGACAGAAATCATTCTCAGAAACTACTTTGTGATGTGTGCGTTCAACCCAAGGAGTTTAAGCTTTCTTTTCATAGAGTAGTTTGGAAACACTCTGTCTGTAAAGTCTGCAAGCAGATATTTGGACCTCTTTGGGGCCTTCGTTGGAAACGGGATTTCTTCATAGAACGCTAGAAAGACGAATACTGAGTAAGTTCTTTGTGTTGCCTCTATTCAACTCACAGAGGTGAACAGTCCTTTAGACAGAGCAGATGTGAAACCCTCTTTTTGTGATATTTGCAGGTGGAGATTTCAAGGGCTTTTAGGCCTAATGTAGAAAAGGAAATATCTTCGTATAAAAACTAGACAGAATCATTCTCAGAAACTACTTTGTGATGTGTGCGTTCAATTCACAGAGTATAACCTTTCTTTTGATGGAGGAGTTTGGAGACACTGTCTTTGTAAAGTCTGCAAGTGGATATTTGGACCTCTTTGAGGCCTTCGTTGGAAACGGGATTTCCTCATATAATGTTACACAGAAGAATTCTCAGTAACTTATTTGTGGTGTGTGTATTCAACTCACAGAGTTGAACCTTCCTTCAGAAAGAGCAGATTTGAAACACTCTTTTTGTGGAGTTTCCATGTGGAGATTTCAATCGCTTTGAGACCAAAGGTAGAAAAGGAAACATCTTCGTATAAAAACTAGACAGAATCATTCACAGAAACTACTTTGTGATGTGTGTGTTCAACTCAAGGAGTTTAACCTTTCTTTTGATGGAGCAGTTTGGAAAAACTCTGTCTTTAAAGTCTGCAAGCAGATATTTGGACCTCTTTGAGGCCTTCGTTGGAAACGGGATTTCTTCATATAATGTTTGATAGGAGAAGTCTCAGTAACTTCTTTGTGCTGTGTGTATTCAACTCATAGAGTTGAACTTTCCTTTAGAAGAGCAGATGTTAAACACCCTTTTTGTGGAATTTGCAGCTGGAGATTTCAAGCGCTTTGAGTCCTACGGTAGAAATGGAAACATCTTATAAAATCTTGACAGAATCATTCACAGAAACTTCTTTTTGATGTGTGTGTTCAGCTCACAGAGTTTAACCTTTCTTTTGATGGAGCAGTTTGGAAACACTCTTTTTCTAATGTCTGCAAGTGGATATTTGGACCTCTTTGAGGCCTTCGTTGGAAACGGGATTTCTTCAAGTAATGTTCGACAGAAGAATTCTCAGTAACTTATTTGTGGTGTGTGTATTCAACTCACAGAGTTGAACCTTCCTTTAGACAGAGCAGATTTGAAACACCCTATTTGTGCAGTTTCCAGTTGGAGATTTCAATCGCTTTGAGACCAAATGTAGAAAAGGAAACATCTTCGTATAAAAACTAGACAGAATCATTCTCAGAAACTACTTTGTGATGTGTGCATTCAACTCAAGGAGTTTAAGCTTTCTTTTCATAGAGTAGTTTGGAAACACTCTGTCTGTAAAGTCTGCAAGCAGATATTTGGACCTCTTTGAGGCCTTCGTTGGAAACGGGATTTCTTCAGAGAACGCTGGAAAGAAGAATACTGAGTAAGTTCTTTGTGTTGCCTCTATTCAACTCACAGAGGTGAACTGTCCTTTAGACAGAGCAGATGTGAAACCCTCTTTTTGTGATATTTGCAGGTGGAGATTTCAAGCGCTTTTAGGCCAAATGTAGAAAAGGAAATATCTTCGTATAAAAACTAGACAGAATCATTCTCAGAAACTACTTTGTGATGTGTGCGTTCAATTCACAGAGTATAACCTTTCTTTTGATGGAGGAGTTTGGAGACACTGTCTTTGTAAAGTCTGCAAGTGGATATTTGGACCTCTTTGAGGCCTTCGTTGGAAACGGGATTTCCTCATATAATGTTACACAGAAGAATTCTCAGTAACTTATTTGTGGTGTGTGTATTCAACTCACAGAGATGAACCTTCCTTCAGAAAGAGCAGATTTGAAACACTCCTTTTGTGGAGTTTCCATGTGGAGATTTCAATCGCTTTGAGACCAAAGGTAGAAAAGGAAACATCTTCGTATAACAACTAGACAGAATCATTCACAGAAACTACTTTGTGATGTGTGTGTTCAACTCAAGGAGTTTAAACTTCCTTTTGATGGAGCAGTTTGGAAACACTCTGTCTGTAAAGTCTGCAAGCAGATATTTGGACCTCTTTGAGGCCTTCGTTGGAAACGGGATTTCTTCATATAATGTTTGATAGGAGAAGTCTCAGTAACTTCTTTGTGCTGTGTGTATTCAACTCATAGAGTTGAACTTTCCTTTAGAAGAGCAGATGTTAAACACCCTTTTTGTGGAATTTGCAGCTGGAGATTTCAAGCGCTTTGAGGCCTACGGTAGAAAAGGAAACATCTTCTTATAAAATCTAGACAGAATCATTCACAGAAACTTCTTTTTGATGTGTGTGTTCAGCTCACAGAGTTTAACCTTTCTTTTGATGGAGCAGTTGGGAAACACACTGTTTGTAATGTCTGCAAGTGGATATTTGGACCTCTTTGAGGCCTTCGTTGGAAACGGGATTTCTTCCTGTAATGTTCGACAGAAGAATTCTCAGTAACTTATTTGTGGTGTGTGTATTCAACTCACAGAGCTGAACCTTCCTTTATACAGAGCAGATTTGAAACAGCCTATTTGTGCAGTTTCCAGTTGGAGATTTCAATCGCTTTGAGACCAAATGTAGAAAAGGAAACATCTTCGTATAAAAACTAGACAGAATCATTCTCAGAAACTACTTTGTGATGTGTGCGTTCAACTCAAGGAGTTTAAGCTTTCTTTTCATAGAGTAGTTTGGAAACACTCTGTCTGTAAAGTCTGCAAGCAGATATTTGACCTCTT
Organism: Homo sapiens; assembly: GCF_000001405.40. Taxonomy (NCBI): domain Eukaryota; kingdom Metazoa; phylum Chordata; class Mammalia; order Primates; family Hominidae; genus Homo; species Homo sapiens. Next base: position 35,190,053 of record NC_000012.12, read on the forward strand.
TGAGGCCTTCGTTGGAAACGGGATTTCTTCATAGAACGCTAGAAAGAAGAATACTGAGTAAGTTCTTTGTGTTGCCTCTATTCAACTCACAGAGGTGAACTGTCCTTTAGACAGAGCAGATGTGAAACCCTCTTTTTGTGATATTTGCAGGTGGAGATTTCAAGCGCTTTTAGGCCAAATGTAGAAAAGGAAATATCTTCGTATAAAAACTAGACAGAATCATTCTCAGAAACTACTTTGATGTGTGCGTTCAATTCACAGAGTATAACCTTTCTTTTGATGGAGGAGTTTGGAGACACTGTCTTTGTAAAGTCTGCAAGTGGATATTTGGACCTCTTTGAGGCCTTCGTTGGAAACGGGATTTCCTCATATAATGTTACACAGAAGAATTCTCAGTAACTTATTTGTGGTGTGTGTATTCAACTCACAGAGTTGAACCTTCCTTCAGAAAGAGCAGATTTGAAACACTCTTTTTGTGGAGTTTCCATGTGGAGATTTCAATCGCTTTGAGACCAAAGGTAGAAAAGGAAACATCTTCGTATAAAAACTAGACAGAATCATTCACAGAAACTACTTTGTGATGTGTGTGTTCAACTCAAGGAGTTTAACCTTTCTTTTGATGGAGCAGTTTGGAAACACTCTGTCTGTAAAGTCTGCAAGCAGATATTTGGACCTCTTTGAGGCCTTCGTTGGAAACGGGATTTCTTCAAGTAATGTTCGACAGAAGAATTCTCAGTAACTTATTTGTGGTGTGTGTATTCAACTCACAGAGTTGAACCTTCCTTTAGAGAGAGCAGATTTGAAACACCCTATTTGTGCAGTTTCCAGTTGGAGATTTCAATCGCTTTGAGACCAAATGTAGAAAAGGAAACATCTTCGTATTAAAACTAGACAGAATCATTCTCAGAAACTACTTTGTGATGTGTGCTGTTCAACTCAAGGAGTTTAAGCTTTCTTTTCATAGAGTAGTTTGGAAACACTCTGTCTGTAAAGTCTGCAAGCAGATATTTGGACCTCTTTGGGGCCTTCGTTGGAAACGGGATTTCTTCATAGAACGCTAGAAAGAAGAATACTGAGTAAGTTCTTTGTGTTGCCTCTATTCAACTCACAGAGGTGAACTGTCCTTTAGACAGAGCAGATGTGAAACCCTCTTTTTGTGATATTTGCAGGTGGAGATTTCAAGCGCTTTTAGGCCAAATGTAGAAAAGGAAATATCTTCGTATAAAAACTAGACAGAATCATTCTCAGAAACTACTTTGTGATGTGTGCGTTCAATTCACAGAGTATAACCTTTCTTTTGATGGAGGAGTTTGGAGACACTGTCTTTGTAAAGTCTGCAAGTGGATATTTGGACCTCTTTGAGGCCTTCGTTGGAAACGGGATTTCCTCATATAATGTTACACAGAAGAATTCTCAGTAACTTATTTGTGGTGTGTGTATTCAACTCACAGAGTTGAACCTTCCTTCAGAAAGAGCAGATTTGAAACACTCTTTTTGTGGAGTTTCCATGTGGAGATTTCAATCGCTTTGAGACCAAAGGTAGAAAAGGAAACATCTTCGTATAAAAACTAGACAGAATCATTCACAGAAACTACTTTGTGATGTGTGTGTTCAACTCAAGGAGTTTAACCTTTCTTTTGATGGAGCAGTTTGGAAAAACTCTGTCTTTAAAGTCTGCAAGCAGATATTTGGACCTCTTTGAGGCCTTCGTTGGAAACGGGATTTCTTCATATAATGTTTGATAGGAGAAGTCTCAGTAACTTCTTTGTGCGGTGTGTATTCAACGCATAGAGTTGAACTTTCCCTTAGAAGAGCAGATGTTAAACACCCTTTTTCTGGAATTTGCAGCTGGAGATTTCAAGCGCTTTGTGGCCTACGGTAGAAAAGGAAACATCTTCTTATAAAATCTAGACAGAATCATTCACAGAAACTTCTTTTTGATGTGTGTGTTCAGCTCACAGAGTTTAACCTTTCTTTTGATGGAGCATTTTGGAAACACTCTGTTTGTAATGTCTGCAAGTGGATATTTGGACCTCTTTGAGGCCTTCGTTGGAAACGGGATTTCTTCAAGTAATGTTCGACAGAAGAATTCTCAGTAACTTATTTGTGGTGTGTGTATTCAACTCACAGAGTTGAACCTTCATTTAGACAGAGCAGATTTGAAACAGCCTATTTGTGCAGTTTCCAGTTGGAGATTTCAATCGCTTTGAGACCAAATGTAGAAAGGGAAACATCTTCGTATAAAAACTAGACAGAATCATTCTCAGAAACTACTTTGTGATGTGTGCGTTCAACTCAAGGAGTTTAAGCTTTCTTTTCATAGAGTAGTTTGGAAACACTCTGTCTGTAAAGTCTGCAAGCAGATATTTGACCTCTTTGAGGCCTTCGTTGGAAACGGGATTTCTTCATAGAACGCTAGAAAGAAGAATACTGAGTAAGTTCTTTGTGTTGCCTCTATTCAACTCACAGAGGTGAACTGTCCTTTAGACAGAGCAGATGTGAAACCCTCTTTTTGTGATATTTGCAGGTGGAGATTTCAAGCGCTTTTAGGCCAAATGTAGAAAAGGAAATATCTTCGTATAAAAACTAGACAGAATCATTCTCAGAAACTACTTTGTGATGTGTGCGATCAATTCACAGAGTATAACCTTTCTTTTGATGGAGGAGTTTGGAGACACTGTCTTTGTAAAGTCTGCAAGTGGATATTTGGACCTCTTTGAGGCCTTCCTTGGAAAAGGGATTTCCTCATATAATTTTACACAGAAGAATTCTCAGTAACTTATTTGTGGTGTGTGTATTCAACTCACAGAGTTGAACCTTCCTTCAGAAAGAGCAGATTTGAAACACTCTTTTTGTGGAGTTTCCATGTGGAGATTTCAATCGCTTTGAGACCAAAGGTAGAAAAGGAAACATCTTCGTATAAAAACTAGACAGAATCATTCACAGAAACTACTTTGTGATGTGTGTGTTCAACTCAAGGAGTTTAACCTTTCTTTTGATGGAGCAGTTTGGAAACACTCTGTTTGTAAAGTCTGCAAGCAGACATTTGGACCTCTTTGAGGCCTTCGTTGGAAACGGGATTTCTTCATATAATGTTTGATAGGAGAAGTCTCAGTAACTTCTTTGTGCTGTGTGTATTCAACTCATAGAGTTGAACTTTCCTTTAGAAGAGCAGATGTTAAACACCCTTTTTGTGGAATTTGCAGCTGGAGATTTCAAGCGCTTTGAGGCCTACGGTAGAAAAGGAAACATCTTCTTATAAAATCTAGACAGAATCATTCACAGAAACTTCTTTTTGGTGTGTGTGTTCAGCTCACAGAGTTTAACCTTTCTTTTGATGGAGCAGTTTGGAAACACTCTGTTTGTAATGTCTGCAAGTGGATATTTGGACCTCTTTGAGGCCTTCGTTGGAAACGGGATTTCTTCAAGTAATGTTCGACAGAAGAATTCTCAGTAACTTATTTGTGGTGTGTGTATTCAACTCACAGAGTTGAACCTTCCTTTAGACAGAGCAGATTTGAAACACCCTATTTGTGCAGTTTCCAGTTGGAGATTTCAATCGCTTTGAGACCAAATGTAGAAAAGGAAACATCTTCGTATAAAAACTAGACAGAATCATTCTCAGAAACTACTTTGTGATGTGTGCGTTCAACTCAAGGAGTTTAAGCTTTCTTTTCATAGAGTAGTTTGGAAACACTCTGTCTGTAAAGTGTGCAAGCAGATATTTGGACCTCTTTGGGGCCTTCGTTGGAAACCGGATTTCTTCATAGAACGCTAGAAAGAAGAATACTGAGTAAGTTCTTTGTGTTGCCTCTATTCAACTCACAGAGGTGAACTGTCCTTTAGACAGAGCAGATGTGAAACCCTCTTTTTGTGATATTTGCAGGTGGAGATTTCAAGCACTTTTAGGCCAAATGTAGAAAAGGAAATATCTTCGTATAAAAACTAGACAGAATCATTCTCAGAAACTACTTTGTGATGTGTGCGTTCAATTCACAGAGTATAACCTTTCTTTTGATGGAGGAGTTTGGAGACACTGTGTTTGTAAAGTCTGCAAGTGGATATTTGGACCTCTTTGAGGCCTTCGTTGGAAACGGGATTTCCTCATATAATGTTACACAGAAGAATTCTCAGTAACTTATTTGTGGTGTGTGTATTCAACTCACAGAGTTGAACCTTCCTTCAGAAAGAGCAGATTTGAAACACTCTTTTTGTGGAGTTTCCATGTGGAGATTTCAATCGCTTTGAGACCAAAGGTAGAAAAGGAAACATCTTCGTATAAAAACTAGACAGAATCATACACAGAAACTACTTTGTGATGTGTGTGTTCAACTCAAGGAGTTTAACCTTTCTTTTGGTGGAGCAGTTTGGAAACACTCTGTCTGTAAAGTCTGCAAGCAGATATTTGGACCTCTTTGAGGCCTTCGTTGGAAACGGGATTTCTTCATATAATGTTTGATAGGAGAAGTCTCAGTAACGTCTTTGTGCTGTGTGTATTGAACTCATAGGGTTGAACTTTCCTTTAGAAGAGCAGATGTGAAACACCCTTTTTGTGGAATTTGCAGCTGGAGATTTCAAGCGCTTTGAGGCCTACGGTAGAAAAGGAAACATCTTCTTATAAAATCTAGACAGAATCATTCACAGAAACTACTTTGTGATGTGTGTGTTCAGCTCACAGAGTTTAACCTTTCTTTTGATGGTGCAGTTTGGAAACACTCCGTTTGACAAGTCTGCAAGTGGATATTTGGACCTCTTTGAGGCCTTCGTTGGAAAAGGGATTTCCTCATATAATGTTAGACAGAAGAATTCTCAGTAACTTATTTGTGGTGTGTGTATTCAACTCACAGAGTTGAACCTTCCTTTAGACAGAGCAGATTTGAAACACCCTATTTGTGCAGTTTCCAGTTGGAGATTTCAATCGCTTTGAGACCAAATGTAGAAAAGGAAACATCTTCGTATAAAAACTAGACAGAATCATTCTCCGAAACTACTTTGTGATGTGTGCGTTCAACTCAAGGAGTTTAAGCTTTCTTTTCATAGAGTAGTTTGGAAACACTCTGTCTGTAAAGTCTGCAAGCAGATATCTGGACCTCTTTGGGGCCTTCGTTGGAAACGGGATTTCTTCATAGAATGCTAGAAAGAAGAATACTGAGTAAGTTCTTTGTGTTGCCTCTATTCAACTCACAGAGGTGAACTGTCCTTTAGACAGAGCAGATGTGAAACCCTCTTTTTGTGATATTTGCAGGTGGAGATTTCAAGCGCTTTTAGGCCAAATGTAGAAAAGGAAATATCTTCGTATAAAAAGTAGACAGAATCATTCTCAGAAACTACTTTGTGATGTGTGCGTTCAATTCACAGAGTATAACCTTTCTTTTGATGGAGGAGTTTGGAGACACTGTCTTTGTAAAGTCTGTAAGCAGATATTTGGACCTCTTTGAGGCCTTCGTTGGAAACGGGATTTCTTCATATAATGTTTGATAGGAGAAGTCTCAGTAACTTCTTTGTGCTGTGTGTATTCAACTCATAGAGTTGAACTTTCCTTTAGAAGAGCAGATGTTAAACACCCTTTTTGTGGAATTTGCAGCTGGAGATTTCAAGCGCTTTGAGTCCTACGGTAGAAATGGAAACATCTTATAAAATCTTGACAGAATCATTCACAGAAACTTCTTTTTGATGTGTGTGTTCAGCTCACAGAGTTTAACCTTTCTTTTGATGGAGCAGTTTGGAAACACTCTGTTTGTAATATCTGCAAGTGAATATTTGGACCTCTTTGAGGCCTTCGTTGGAAACGGGATTTCTTCAAGTAATGTTCGACACAAGAATTCTCAGTAACTTATTTGTGGTGTGTGTATTCAACTCACAGGGTTGAACCTTCCTTTAGACAGAGCAGATTTGAAACACCCTATTTGTGCAGTTTCCAGTTGGAGATTTCAATCGCTTTGAGACCAAATGTAGAAAAGGAAACATCTTCGTATAAAAACTGGACAGAATCATTCTCAGAAACTACTTTGTGATGTGTGCGTTCAACTCAAGGAGTTTAAGCTTTCTTTTCATAGAGTAGTTTGGAAACACTCTGTCTGTAAAGTCTGCAAGCAGATATTTGGACCTCTTTGGGGCCTTCGTTGGAAACGGGATTTCTTCATACAACGCTAGAAAGAAGAATACTGAGTAAGTTCTTTGTGTTGCCTCTATTCAACTCACAGAGGTGAACTGTCCTTTAGACAGAGCAGATGTGAAACCCTCTTTTTGTGATATTTGCAGGTGGAGATTTCAAGCGCTTTTAGGCCAAATGTAGAAAAGGAAATATCTTCGTATAAAAACTAGACAGAATCATTCTCAGAAACTACTTTGTGATGTGTGCGTTCAATTCACAGAGTATAACCTTTCTTTTGATGGAGGAGTTTGGAGACACTGTCTTTGTAAAGTCTGCAAGTGGATATTTGGGACCTCTTTGAGGCCTTCGTTGGAAACGGGATTTCCTCATATAATGTTACACAGAAGAATTCTCAGTAACTTATTTGTGGTGTGTGTATTCAACTCACAGAGTTGAACCTTCCTTCAGTAAGAGCAGATTTGAAACACTCTTTTTGTGGAGTTTCCATGTGGAGATTTCAATCGCATTGAGACCAAAGGTAGAAAAGGAAACATCTTCGTACAAAAACTAGACAGAATCATTCACAGAAACTACTTTGTGATGTGTGTGTTCAACTCAAGGAGTTTAACCTTTCTTTGGATGGAGCAGTTTGGAAACACTCTGTCTGTAAAGTCTGCAAGCAGATATTTGGACCTCTTTGAGGCCTTCGTTGGAAACGGGATTTCTTCATATAATGTTTGATAGGAGAAGTCTCAGTAACTTCTTTGGGCTGTGTGTATTCAACTCATTGAGTTGAACTTTCCTTTAGAAGAGCAGATGTTAAACACCCTTTTTGTGGAATTTGCAGCTGGAGATTTCAAGCACTTTGAGGCCTACAGTAGAAAAGGAAACATCTTCTTATAAAATCTAGACAGAATCATTCACAGAAACTTCTTTTTGATGTGTGTGTTCAGCTCACAGAGTTTAACCTTTCTTTTGATGGAGCAGTTTGGAAACACTCTGTTTGTAATGTCTGCAAGTCGATAATTGGACCTCTTTGAGGCCTTCGTTGGAAACGGGATTTCTTCAAGTAATGTTCGACAGAAGAATTCTCAGTAACTTATTTGTGGTGTGTGTATTCAACTCAAAGAGTTGAACCTTCCTTTAGACAGAGCAGATTTGAAACACCCTATTTGTGCAGTTTCCAGTTGGAGATTTCAATCGCTTTGAGACCAAATGTAGAAAAGGAAACATCTTCGTATAAAAACTAGACAGAATCATTCTCAGAAACTACTTTGTGATGTGTGCGTTCAACTCAAGGAGTTTAAGCTTTCTTTTCATAGAGTAGTTTGGAAACACTCTGTCTGTAAAGTCTGCAAGCAGATATTTGGACGTCTTTGGGGCCTTCATTGGAAACGGGATTTCTTCATAGAACGCTAGAAAGAAGAATACTGAGTAAGTTCTTTGTGTTGCCTCTATTCAACTCACAGAGGTGAACTGTCCTTTAGACAGAGCAGATGTGAAACCCTCTTTTTGTGATATTTGCAGGTGGAGATTTCAAGCGCTTTTAGGCCAAATGTAGAAAAGGAAATATCTTCGTATAAAAACTAGACAGAATCATTCTCAAAAACTACTTTGTGATGTGTGCATTCAATTCACAGAGTGTAACCTTTCTTTTGATGGAGGAGTTTGGAGACACTGTCTTTGAAAAGTCTGCAAGTGGATATTTGGACCTCTTTGAGGCCTTCGTTGGAAACGGGATTTCCTCATATAATGTTACACAGAAGAATTCTCAGTAACTTATTTGTGGTGTGTGTATTCAACTCACAGAGTTGAACCTTCCTTCAGAAAGAGCAGATTTGAAACACTCTTTTTGTGGAGTTTCCATGTGGAGATTTCAATCGCTTTGAGACCAAAGGTAGAAAAGGAAACATCTTCGTATAAAAACTAGACAGAATCATTCACAGAAACTACTTTGTGATGTGTGTGTTCAACTCAAGGAGTTTCACCTTTCTTTTGATGGAGCAGTTTGGAAACACTCTGTCTGTAAAGTCTGCAAGCAGATATTTGGACCTCTTTGAGGCCTTCGTTGGAAACGGGATTTCTTCATATAATGTTTGATAGGAGAAGTCTCAGTAACTTCTTTGTGCTGTGTGTATTGAACTCATAGAGTTGAACTTTCCTTTAGAAGAGCAGATGTTAAACACCCTTTTTGTGGAATTTGCAGCTGGAGATTTCAAGCGCTTTGAGGCCTACGGTAGAAAAGGAAACATCTTCTTATAAAATCTGGACAGAATCATTCACAGAAACTTCTTTTTGATGTGTGTGTTCAGCTCACAGAGTTTAACCTTTCTTTTGATGGAGCAGTTGGGAAACACACTGTTTGTAATGTCCGCAAGTGGATATTTGGACCTCTTTGAGGCCTTCATTGGAAACGGGATTTCTTCCTGTAATGTTCGACAGAAGAATTCTCAGTAACTTATTTGTGGTGTGTGTATTCAACTCACAGAGCTGAACCTTCCTTTAGACAGAGCAGATTTGAAACAGCCTATTTGTGCAGTTTCCAGTTGGAGATTTCAATCGCTTTGAGACCAAATGTAGAAAAGGAAACATCTTCGTATAAAAACTAGACAGAATCATTCTCAGAAACTACTTTGTGATGTGTGCGTTCAACTCAAGGAGTTTAAGCTTTCTTTTCATAGAGTAGTTTGGAAACACTCTGTCTGTAAAGTCTGCAAGCAGATATTTGACCTCTTTGAGGCCTTCGTTGGAAACGGGATTTCTTCATAGAACGCTAGAAAGAAGAATACTGAGTAAGTTCTTTGTGTTGCCTCTATTCAACTCACAGAGGTGAACTGTCCTTTAGACAGAGCAGATGTGAAACCCTCTTTTTGTGATATTTGCAGGTGGAGATTTCAAGCACTTTTAGGCCAAATGTAGAAAAGGAAATATCTTCGTATAAAAACTAGACAGAATCATTCTCAGAAACTACTTTGTGATGTGTGCGTTCAATTCACAGAGTATAACCTTTCTTTTGATGGAGGAGTTTGGAGACACTGTCTTTGTAAAGTCTGCAAGTGGATATTTGGACCTCTTTGAGGCCTTCGTTGGAAACGGGATTTCCTCATATAATGTTACCCAGAAGAATTCTCAGTAACTTATTTGTGGTGTGTGTATTCAACTCACAGAGTTGAACCTTCCTTCAGAAAGAGCAGATTTGAAACACTCTTTTTGTGGAGTTTCCATGTGGAGATTTCAATCGCTTTGAGACCAAAGGTAGAAAAGGAAACATCTTCGTATAAAAACTAGACAGAATCATTCACAGAAACTTCTTTGTGATGTGTGTGTTCAGCTCACAGAGTTTAACCTTTCCTTTGATGGTGCAGTTTGCAAACACTCTGTTTGACAAGTCTGCAAGTGGATATTTGGACCTCTTTGAGGCCTTCTTTGGAAAAGGGATTTCTTCATATAATGTTAGACAGAAGAAGTCTCAGTAACTTCTTTGTGCTGTGTGTATTCAACTCACAGAGCTGAACTTTATTTTAGACAGAGCAGATGTTAAACACACTTTTTGTGGAATTTGGAGCTGGAGATTTCTAGCGCTTTGAGGCCTATGGTAGAAAAGGAAACAGCTTCTTATAAAATCTAGACAGAATCATTCACAGAAACTTCTTTTTGATGTGTGTGTTCATCTCACAGAGTTTAACCTTTCTTTTGACGGAGCAGTTTGCAAACACTGTGTTTGACATGTCGGCAAGTGGATATTTGGACCTCTTTGCGGCCTTCGTTGGAAACGGGATTTCTTCATGTAATGTTCGAGAGAAGAATTCTCAGTAACTTATTTGTGGTGTGTGTATTCAACTCACAGAGTTGAACCTTCCTTTAGACAGAGCAGATTTGAAACACCCTATTTGTGCAGTTTCCAGTTGGAGATTTCAATCGCTTTGAGGCCAATCGTAGAAACGGAAATATCTTCGTATAAAAACAAGACAGAATCATTCTCAGAAACTACTTTGTGATGTGTGCGTTCAACTCACGGAGTTTAAGCTTTCTTTTCATAGAGTAGTTTGGAAACACTCTGTCTGTAAAGTCTGCAAGCAGATATTTGGACCTCTTTGAGGCCTTCGTTGGAAACGGGATTTCATCATATAACGCTAGAAAGAAGAATACTGAGTGAGTTCTTTGTGTTGCCTCTATTCAACTCACAGAGGTGAACTGTCCTTTAGACAGAGCAGATGTGAAACCCTCTGTTTGTGATATTTGCAGGTGGAGATTTCAAGCGCTTTTAGGCCAAATGTAGACAAGGAAATATCTTCGTATAAAAACTAGACAGAATCATTCTCAGAAACTACTTTGTGATGTGTGCGTTCAATTCACAGAGTATAACCTTTCTTTTGATGGAGGAGTTTGGAGACACTGTCTTTGTAAAGTCTGCAAGTGGATATTTGGACCTCTTTGAGGCCTTCGTTGGAAACGGGATTTCCTCATATAATGTTACACAGAAGAATTCTCAGTAACTGATTTGTGGTGTGTGTATTCAACTCACAGAGTTGAACCTTCCTTCAGAAAGAGCAGATTTGAAACACTCTTTTTGTGGAGTTTCCATGTGGAGATTTCAATCGCTTTGAGACCAAAGGTAGAAAAGGAAACATGTTCGTATAAAACTAGACAGAATCATTCACAGAAACTACTTTGTGATGTGTGTGTTCAACTCAAGGAAGTTTAACCTTTCTTTTGATGGAGCAGTTTAAAAACACTCTGTCTGTAAAGTCTGCAAGCAGATATTTGGACCTCTTTGAGGCCTTCGTTGGAAACGGGATTTCTTCATAGAACGCTAGAAAGAAGAAGTCTCAGTAACTTCTTTGTGCTGTGTGTATTCAACTCATAGAGTTGAACTTTCCTTTAGAAGAGCAGATGTTAAACACCCTTTTTGTGGAATTTGCAGCTGGAGATTTCAAGCGCTTTGAGGCCTACGGTAGAAAAGGAAACATCTTCTTATAAAATCTAGACAGAATCATTCACAGAAACTGCTTTTTGATGTGTGTGTTCAGCTCACAGAGTTTAACCTTTCTTTTGATGGAGCAGTTTGGAAACACTCTGTTTGTAATGTCTGGAAGTGGATATTTGGACCTCTTTGAGGCCTTCGTTGGAAACAGGATTTCTTCAAGTAATGTTCGACAGAAGAATTCTCAGTAACTTATTTGTGGTGTGTGTATTCAACTCACAGAGTTGAACCTTCCTTTAGACAGAGCAGATTTGAAACAGCCTATTTGTGCAGTTTCCAGTTGGAGATTTCAAGAGCTTTGAGACCAAATGTAGAAAAGGAAACATCTTCGTATAAAAGCTAGACAGAATCATTCTCAGAAACTACTTTGTGATGTGTGCGTTCAACTGAAGGAGTTTAAGCTTTCTTTTCATAGAGTAGTTTGGAAACACTCTGTCTGTAAAGTCTGCAAGCAGATATTTGACCTCTTTGAGGCCTTCGTTGGAAACGGGATTTCTTCATAGAACGCTAGAAAGAAGAATACTGAGTAAGTTCTTTGTGTTGCCTCTATTCAACTCACAGAGGTGAACTGTCCTTTAGACAGAGCAGATGTGAAACCCTCTTTTTGTGATATTTGCAGGTGGAGATTTCAAGCGCTTTTAGGCCAAATGTAGAAAAGGAAATATCTTCGTATAAAAACTAGACAGAATCATTCTCAGAAACTACTTTGTGATGTGTGCGTTCAATTCACAGAGTATAAACTTTCTTTTGATGGAGGAGTTTGGAGACACTGTCTTTGTAAAGTCTGCAAGTGGATATTTGGACCTCTTTGAGGCCTTCGTTGGAAACGGGATTTCCTCATATAATGTTACACAGAAGAATTCTCAGTAACTTATTTGTGGTGTGTGTATTCAACTCACAGAGTTGAACCTTCCTTCAGAAAGAGCAGATTTGAAACACTCTTTTTGTGGAGTTTCCATGTGGAGATTTCAATCGCTTTGAGACCAAAGGTAGAAAAGGAAACATCTTCGTATAAAAACTAGACAGAATCATTCACAGAAACTACTTTGTGATGTGTGTGTTCAACTCCAGGAGTTTAACCTTTCTTTTGATGGAGCAGTTTGGAAATACTCTGTCTGTAAAGTCTGCAAGCAGATATTTGGACCTCTTTGGGGCCTTCGTTGGAAACGGGATTTCTTCATAGAACGCTAGAAAGAAGAATACTGAGTACGTTCTTTGTGTTGCCTCTATTCAACTCACAGAGGTGAACTGTCCTTTAGACAGAGCAGATGTGAAACCCTCTTTTTGTGATATTTGCAGGTGGAGATTTCAAGCGCTTTTAGGCCAAATGTAGAAAAGGAAATATCTTCGTATAAAAACTAGACAGAATCATTCTCAGAAACTACTTTGTGATGTGTGCGTTCAATTCACAGAGTATAACCTTTCTTTTGATGGAGGAGTTTGGAGACACTGTCTTTGTAAAGTCTGCAAGTGGATATTTGGACCTCTTTGAGGCCTTCGTTGGAAACGGGATTTCCTCATATAATGTTACACAGAAGAATTCTCAGTAACTTATTTGTGGTGTGTGTATTCAACTCACAGAGATGAACCTTCCTTCAGAAAGAGCAGATTTGAAACACTCTTTTTGTGGAGTTTCCATGTGGAGATTTCAATCGCTTTGAGACCAAAGGTAGAAAAGGAAACATCTTCGTATAACAACTAGACAGAATCATTCACAGAAACTACTTTGTGATGTGTGTGTTCAACTCAAGGAGTTTAACCTTTCTTTTGATGGAGCAGTTTGGAAACACTCTGTCTGTAAAGTCTGCAAGCAGATATTTGGACCTCTTTGAGGCCTTCGTTGGAAACGGGATTTCTTCATATAATGTTTGATAGGAGAAGTCTCAGTAACTTCTTTGTGCTGTGTGTATTCAACTCATAGAGTTGAACTTTCCTTTAGAAGAGCAGATGTTAAACACCCTTTTTGTGGAAGTTGCAGCTGGAGATTTCAAGCGCTTTGAGGCCTACGGTAGAAAAGGAAACATCTTCTTATAAAATCTAGACAGAATCATTCACAGAAACTTCTTTTCGATGTGTGTGTTCAGCTCACAGAGTTTAACCTTTCTTTTGATGGAGCAGTTTGGAAACACTCTGTTTGTAATGTCTGCAAGTGGATATTTGGACCTCTTTGAGGCCTTCGTTGGAAACGGGATTTCTTCAAGTAATGGTCGACAGAAGAATTCTCAGTAACTTATTTGTGGTGTGTGTATTCAACTCACAGAGTTGAACCTTCCTTTAGACAGAGCAGATTTGAAACACCCTATTTGTGCAGTTTCCAGTTGGAGATTTCAATCGCTTTGAGACCAAATGTAGAAAAGGAAACATCTTCGTATAAAAACTAGACAGAATCATTCTCAGAAACTACTTTGTGATGTGTGCGTTCAACTCAAGGAGTTTAAGCTTTCTTTTCATAGAGTAGTTTGGAAACACTCTGTCTGTAAAGTCTGCAAGCAGATATTTGGACCTCTTTGGGGCCTTCGTTGGAAACGGGATTTCTTCATAGAACGCTAGAAAGAAGAATACTGAGTAAGTTCTTTGTGTTGCCTCTATTCAACTCACAGAGGTGAACTGTCCTTTACACAGAGCAGATGTGAAACCCTCTTTTTGTGATATTTGCAGGTGGAGATTTCAAGCGCTTTTAGGCCAAATGTAGAAAAGGAAATATCTTCGTATAAAAACTAGACAGAATCATTCTCAGAAACTACTTTGTGATGTGTGCGTTCAATTCACAGAGTATAACCTTTCTTTTGATGGAGGAGTTTGGAGACACTGTCTTTGTAAAGTCTGCAAGTGGATATTTGGACCTCTTTGAGGCCTTCGTTGGAAACGGGATTTCCTCATATAATGTTACCCAGAAGAATTCTCAGTAACTTATTTGTGGTGTGTGTATTCAACTCACAGAGTTGAACCTTCCTTCAGAAAGAGCAGATTTGAAACACTCTTTTTGTGGAGTTTCCATGTGGAGATTTCAATCGCTTTGAGACCAAAGGTAGAAAAGGAAACATCTTCAGTATAGAAACTAGACAGAATCATTCACAAAAACTACTTTGTGATGTGTGTGTTCAACTCAAGGAGTTTAACCTTTCTTTTGATGGAGCAGATTGGAAACACTCTGTCTGTAAAGTCTGCAAGCAGATATTTGGACCTCTTTGAGGCCTTCGTTGGAAACGGGATTTCTTCAAGTAATGTTCGACAGAAGAAGTCTCAGTAACTTCTTTGTGCTGTGTGTATTCAACTCATAGAGTTGAACTTTCCTTTAGAAGAGCAGATGTTAAACACCCTTTTTGTGGAATTTGCAGCTGGAGATTTCAAGCGCTTTGAGGCCTACGGTAGAAAAGGAAACATCTTCTTATAAAATCTAGACAGAATCATTCACAGAAACTTCTTTTCGATGTGTGTGTTCAGCTCACAGAGTTTAACCTTTCTTTTGATGGAGCAGTTTGGAAACACTCTGTTTGTAATGTCTGCAAGTGGATATTTGGACCTCTTTGAGGCCTTCGTTGGAAACGGGATTTCTTCAAGTAATGTTCGACAGAAGAATTCTCAGTAACTTATTTGTGGTGTGTGTATTCAACTCACAGAGTTGAACCTTCCTTTAGACAGAGCAGATTTGAAACAGCCTATTTGTGCAGTTTCCAGTTGGAGATTTCAATCGCTTTGAGACCAAATGTAGAAAAGGAAACATCTTCGTATAAAAACTAGACAGAATCATTCTCAGAAACTACTTTGTGATGTGTGCGTTCAACTCAAGGAGTTTAAGCTTTCTTTTCATAGAGTAGTTTGGAAACACTCTGTCTGTAAAGTCTGCAAGCAGATATTTGGACCTCTTTGGGGCCTTCGTTGGAAACGGGATTTCTTCATAGAACGCTAGAAAGAAGAATACTGAGTAAGTTCTTTGTGTTGCCTCTATTCAACTCACAGAGCTGAACTGTCCTTTAGACAGAGCAGATGTGAAACCCGCTTTTTGTGATATTTGCAGGTGGAGATTTCAAGCGCTTTTAGGCCAAATGTAGAAAAGGAAATATCTTCGTATAAAAACTAGACAGAATCATTCTCAGAAACTACTTTGTGATGTGTGCGTTCAATTCACAGAGTATAACCTTTCTTTTGATGGAGGAGTTTGGAGACACTGTCTTTGTAAAGTCTGCAAGTGGATATTTGGACCTCTTTGAGGCCTTCGTTGGAAACGGGATTTCCTCATATAATGTTACACAGAAGAATTCTCAGTAACTTATTTGTGGTGTGTGTATTCAACTCACAGAGTTGAACCTTCCTTCAGAAAGAGCAGATTTGAAACACTCTTTTTGTGGAGTTTCCATGTGGAGATTTCAATCGCTTTGAGACCAAAGGTAGAAAAGGAAACATCTTCGTATAAAAACTAGACAGAATCATTCACAGAAACTACTTTGTGATGTGTGTGTTCAACTCAAGGAGTTTAACCTTTCTTTTGATGGAGCAGTTTGGAAACACTCTGTCTGTAAAGTCTGCAAGCAGATATTTGGACCTCTTTGAGGCCTTCGTTGGAAACGGGATTTCTTCATATAATGTTTGATAGGAGAAGTCTCAGTAACTTCTTTGTGCTGTGTGTATTCAACTCATAGAGTTGAACTTTCCTTTAGAAGACCAGATGTTAAACACCCTTTTTGTGGAATTTGCAGCTGGAGATTTCAAGCGCTTTGAGGCCTACGGTAGAAAAGGAAACATCTTCTTATAAAATCTAGACAGAATCATTCACAGAAACTTCTTTTTGATGTGTGTGTTCAGCTCACAGAGTTTAACCTTTCTTTTGATGGAGCAGTTTGCAAACACACTGTTTGTAATGTCTGCAAGTGGATATTTGGACCTCTTTGAGGCCTTCGTTGGTAACGGGATTTCTTCCTGTAATGTTCGACAGAAGAATTCTCAGTAACTTATGTGTGGTGTGTGTATTCAACTCACAGAGTTGAACCTTCCTTTAGACAGAGCAGATTTGAAACACCCTATTTGTGCAGTTTCCAGTTGGAGATTTCAATCGCTTTGAGACCAAATGTAGAAAAGGAAACATCTTCGTATAAAAACTAGACAGAATCATTCTCAGAAACTACTTTGTGATGTGTGCGTTCAACTCAAGGAGTTTAAGCTTTCTTTTCATAGAGTAGTTTGGAAACACTCTGTCTGTAAAGTCTGCAAGCAGATATTTGGACCTCTTTGGGGCCTTCGTTGGAAACGGGATTTCTTCATAGAACGCTAGAAAGAAGAATACTGAGTAAGTTCTTTGTGTTGCCTCTATTCAACTCACAGAGGTGAACTGTCCTTTAGACAGAGCAGATGTGAAACCCTCTTTTTGTGATATTTGCAGGTGGAGATTTCAAGCGCTTTGAGGCCAAATGTAGAAAAGGAAATATCTTCGTATAAAAACTAGACACAATCATTCTCAGAAACTACTTTGTGATGTGTGCGTTCAATTCACAGAGTATAACCTTTCTTTTGACGGAGGAGTTTGGAGACACTGTCTTTGTAAAGTCTGCAAGCAGATATTTGGACCTCTTTGAGGCCTTCGTTGGAAACGGGATTTCTTCATAGAACGCTAGAAAGAAGAATACTGAGTAAGTTCTTTGTGTTGCCTCCATTCAAATCACAGAGGTGAACTGTCCTTTAGACAGAGCAGATGTGAAACCCTCTTTTTGTGATATTTGCAGGTGGAGATTTCAAGCGCTTTTAGGCCAAATGTAGAAAAGGAAATATCTTCGTATAAAAACTAGACAGAATCATTCTCAGAAACTACTTTGTGATGTGTGCGTTCAATTCACAGAGTATAACCTTTCTTTTGATGGAGGAGTTTGGAGACACTGTCTTTGTAAAGTCCGCAAGTGGACATTTGGACCTCTTTGAGGCCTTCGTTGGAAACGGGATTTCCTCATATAATGTTACACAGAAGAATTCTCAGTAACTTATTTGTGGTGTGTGTATTCAACTCACAGAGTTGAACCTTCCTTCAGAAAGAGCAGATTTGAAACACTCTTTTTGTGGAGTTTCCATGTGGAGATTTCAATCGCTTTGAGACCAAAGGTAGAAAAGGAAACATCTTCGTATAAAAACTAGACAGTATCATTCACAGAAACTACTTTGTGATGTGTGTGTTCAACTCAAGGAGTTTAACCTTTCTTTTGATGGAGCAGTTTGGAAACACTCTGTCTGTAAAGTCTGCAAGCAGATATTTGGACCTCTTTGAGGCCTTCGTTGGAAACGGGATTTCTTCATATAATGTTTGATAGGGAGAATTCTCAGTAACTTATTTGTGGTGTGTGTATTCATCTCACAGAGTAGAACCTTCCTTTAGACAGAGCAGATTTGAAACACCCTATTTGTGCAGTTTCCAGTGGGAGATTTCAATCGCTTTGAGACCAAATGTAGAAAAGGAAACATCTTCGTATAAAAACTAGACAGAATCATTCTCATAAACTACTTTGTGACGTGTGCGTTCAACTCAAGGAGTTTAAGCTTTCTTTTCATAGAGTAGTTTGGAAACACCCTGTCTGTAAAGTCTGCAAGCAGATATTTGGACCTCCTTGAGGCCTTCGTTGGAAACGGGATTTCTTCATAGAACGCTAGAAAGAAGAATACTGAGTAAGTTCTTAGTGTTGCCTCTATTCAACTCACAGAGGTGAACTGTCCTTTAGACAGAGCAGATGTGAAACCCTCTTTTTGTGATATTTGCAGGTGGAGATTTCAAGCGCTTTTAGGCCAAATGTAGAAAAGGAAATATCTTCGTATAAAAACTAGACAGAATCATTCTCAGAAACTACTTTGTGATGTGTGCGTTCAATTCACAGAGTATAACCTTTCTTTTGATGGAGGTGTTTGGAGACACTGTCTTTGTAAAGTCTGCAAGTGGATATTTGGACCTCTTTGAGGCCTTCGTTGGAAACGGGATTTCCTCATATAATTTTACACAGAAGAATTCTCAGTAACTTATTTGTGGTGTGTGTATTCAACTCACAGAGTTGAACCTTCCTTCAGAAAGAGCAGATTTGAAACACACTTTTTGTGGAGTTTCCATGTGGAGATTTCAATCGCTTTGAGACCAAAGGTAGAAAAGGAAACATCTTCGTATAAAAACTAGACAGAATCATTCACAGAAACTACTTTGTGATGTGTGTGTTCAACTCACAGAGTTTAACCTTTCTTTTGATGGAGCAGTTTGGAAACACTCTGTTTGTCACGTCTGCAAGTGGATATTTGGACCTCTTTGAGGCCTTCGTTGGAAACGGGATTTCTTCATATAATGTTTGATAGGAGAAGTCTCAGTAACTTCTTTGTGCTGTGTGTATTCAACTCATGGAGTTGAACTTTCCTTTAGAAGAGCAGATGTTAAACACCCTTTTTGTGGAATTTGCAGCTGGAGATTTCAAGCGCTTTGAGGCCTACGGTAGAAAAGGAAACATCTTCTTCTAAAGTCTAGACAGAATCATTCACAGAAACTTCTTTTTGATGTGTGTGTTCAGCTCACAGAGTTTAACCTTTCTTTTGATGGAGCAGTTTGGAAACACTCTGTTTGTAATGTCTGCAAGTGGATATTTGGACTTCTTTGAGGCCTTCGTTGGAAACGGGATTTCTTCATGTAATGTTCGACAGAAGAATTCTCAGTAACTTATTTTTGGTGTGTGTATTCAACTCACAGAGTTGAACCTTCCTTTAGACAGAGCAGATTTGAAACACCCTATTTGTGCAGTTTCCAGTTGGAGATTTCAATCGCTTGGAGGCCAATCATAGAAACGGAAATATCTTCGTATAAAAACAAGACAGAATCATTCTCAGAAACTACTTTGTGATGTGTGCGTTCAACTCAAAGAGTTTAAGCTTTCTTTTCATAGAGTAGTTTGGAAACACTCTGTCTGTAAAGTCTGCAAGCAGATATTTGGACCTCTTTGAGGCCTTCGTTGGAAACGGGATTTCTTCATGTAACGCTAGAAAGAAGAATACTCAGTAACTTCTTTGTGCTGCCTCTATTCAACTCACAGAGGTGAACTGTCCTTTCGACAGAGCAGATGTGAAATCCTGTTTTTGTGATATTTGCAGGTGGAGATTTCAAGCGCTTTTAGGCCAAATGTAGAAAAGGAAATATCTTCGTATAAAAACTAGACAGAATCATTCTCAGAAACTACTTTGTGATGTGTGCGTTCAATTCACAGAGGATAAGCTTTCTTTTGATGGAGGAGTTTGGAGACACTGTCTTTGTAAAGACTGCAAGTGGATATTTGGACCTCTTTGAGGCCTTCGTTGGAAACGGGATTTCCTCCTATAATGTTACACAGAAGAATTCTCAGTAACTTATTTGTGGTGTGTGTATTCAACTCACAGAGTTGAACCTTCCTTCAGAAAGAACAGATTTGAAACCCTCTTTTTGTGGAGTTTCCATGTGGAGATTTCAATGGCTTTGAGACAAGACGTAGAAAAGGAAACATCTTCGTATGAAAACTAGACAGAATCATTCACAGAAACTACTTTGTGATGTGTGTGTTCAACTCACAGAGTTTAACCTTTCTTTTGATGGAGCAGTTTGGAAACACTCTGTTTGTCACGTCTGCAAGTGGATATTTGGACCTCTTTGAGGCCTTCGTTGGAAACGGGATTTCTTCATATAATGTTTGATAGGAGAAGTCTCAGTAACTTCTTTGTGCTGTGTGTATTCAACTCATGGAGTTGAACTTTCCTTTAGAAGAGCAGATGTTAAACTCCCTTTTTGTGGAATTTGCAGCTGGAGATTTCAAGCGCTTTGAGGCCTACAGTAGAAAAGGAAACATCTTCTTCTAAAGTCTAGACAGAATCATTCACAGAAACTTCTTTTTGATGTGTTTGTTCAGCTCACAGGGTTTAAACTTTCTTTTGATGGAGCAGTTTGGAAACACTCTGTTTGTAATGTCTGCAAGTGGATATTTGGACCTCTTTGAGGCCTTCGTTGGAAACGGGATTTCTTCATGTAATGTTCGACAGAAGAATTCTCAGTAACTTATTTGTGGTGTGTGTATTCAACTCACAGAGTTGAACCTTCCTTTAGACAGAGCAGATTTGAAACACCCTATTTGTGCAGTTTCCAGTTGGAGATTTCAATCGCTTGGAGGCCAATCATAGAAACGGAAATATCTTCGTATAAAAACAAGACAGAATCATTCTCAGAAACTACTTTGTGATGTGTGCGTTCAACTCAAGGAGTTTAAGCTTTCTTTTCATAGAGTAGTTTGGAAACACTCTGTCTGTAAAGTCTGCAAGCAGATATTTGGACCTCTTTGAGGCCTTCGTTGGAAACGGGATTTCTTCATGTAACGCTAGAAAAAAAAATACTCAGTAACTTCTTTGTGCTGCCTCTATTCAACTCACAGAGGTGAACTGCCCTTTAGACAGAGCAGATGTGAAACCCTCTTTTTGTGATATTTGCAGGTGGAGATTTCAAGCGCTTTTAGGCCAAATGTAGAAAAGGAAATATCTTCGTATAAAAACTACACAGAAATCATTCTCAGAAACTACTTTGTGATGTGTGCGTTCAATTCACAGAGGATAACCTTTCCTTTGATGGAGGAGTTTGGAGACACTGTCTTTGTAAAGTCTGCAAGTGGATATTTGGACCTCTTTGAGGCCTTCGTTGGAAACGGGATTTCCTCATATAATGTTACACAGAAGAATTCTCAGTAACTTATTTGTGGTGTGTGTATTCAACTCACAGAGTTGAACCTTCCTTCAGAAAGAGCAGATTTGAAACACTCTTTTTGTGGAGTTTCCATGTGGAGATTTCAATCGCTTTGAGACCAAAGGTAGAAAAGGAAACATCTTCGTATAAAAACTAGACAGAATCATTCACAGAAACTACTTTGTGATGTGTGTGTTCAACTCAAGGAGTTTAACCTTTCTTTTGATGGAGCAGTTTGGAAACACTCTGTCTGTAAAGTCTGCAAGCAGATATTTGGACCTCTTTGAGGCCTTCGTTGGAAACGGGATTTCTTCATATAATGTTTGATAGGAGAAGTCTCAGTAACTTCTTTGTGCTGTGTGTATTCAACTCATAGAGTTGAACTTTCCTTTAGAAGAGCAGATGTTAAACACCCTTTTTGTGGAATTTGCAGCTGGAGATTTCAAGCGCTTTGAGGCCTACAGTAGAAAAGGAAACATCTTCTTATAAAATCTAGACAGAATCATTCACAGAAACTTCTTTTTGATGTGTGTGTTCAGCTCACAGTGTTTAACCTTTCTTTTGTTGGAGCAGTTTGGAAACACACTGTTTGTAATGTCTGCAAGTGGATATTTGGACCTCTTTGAGGTCTTCGTTGGAAACGGGATTTCTTCATGTAATGTTCGACAGAAGAATTCTCAGTAACTTATTTGTGGTGTGTGTATTCAACTCACAGAGTTGAACCTTCCTTTAGACAGAGCAGATTTGAAACACCCTATTTGTGCAGTTTCCAGTTGGAGATTTCAATCGCTTTGAGACCAAATGTAGAAAAGGAAACATCTTCGTATAAAAACTAGACAGAATCATTCTCAGAAACTGCTTTGTGATGTGTGCGTTCAACTCAAGGAGTTTAAGCTTTCTTTTCATAGAGTAGTTTGGAAACACTTTGTCTGTAAAGTCTGCAAGCAGATATTTGGACCTCTTTGAGGCCTTCGTTGGAAACGGGATTTCTTCATAGAACGCTAGAAAGAAGAATACTAAGTTCTTTGTGTTGCCTCTATTCTACTCACAGAGGAGAACTGTCCTTTAGACAGAGCAGATGTGAAACCCTCTTTTTGGGATATTTGCAGGTGGAGATTTCAAGTGCTTTTAGGCCAAATGTAGAAAAGGAAATATCTTCGTATAAAAACTAGACAGAATCATTCTCAGAAACTACTTTGTGATGTGTGCGTTCAATTCACAGAGTATAACCTTTCTTTTGATGGAGGAGTTTGGAGACACTGTCTTTGTAAAGTCTGCAAGTGGATATTTGGACCTCTTTGAGGCCTTCGTTGGAAACGGGATTTCCTCATATAATGTTACACAGAAGAATTCTCAGTAACTTATTAGTGGTGTGTGTATTCAACTCACAGAGTTGAACCTTCCTTCAGAGAGAGCAGATTTGAAACACACTTTTTGTGGAGTTTCCATGTGGAGATTTCAATCGCTTTGAGAACAAAGGTAGAAAAGGAAACATCTTCGTATAAAAACTAGACAGAATCATTCACAGAAACTACTTTGTGATGTGTGTGTTCAACTCAAGGAGTTTAACCTTTCTTTTGATGGAGCAGTTTGGAAACACTCTGTCTGTAAAGTCTGCAAGCAGATATTTGGACCTCTTTGAGGCCTTCGTTGGAAACGGGATTTCTTCATGTGATGTTTGATAGGAGAAGTCTCAGTAACTTCTTTGTGCTGTGTGTATTCAACTCATAGAGTTGAACTTTGCTTTAGAAGAGCAGATGTTAAACACCCTTTTTGTGGAATTTGCAGCTGGAGATTTCAAGCGCTTTGAGGCCTACGGTAGAAAAGGAAACATCTTCTTATAAAATCTAGACAGAATCATTCACAGAAACTTCTTTTTGATGTGTGTGTTCAGCTCACAGAGTTTAACCTTTCTTTTGATGGAGCAGTTTGGAAACACTCTGTAATGTCTGCAAGTGGATATTTGGACCTCTTTGAGGCCTTCGTTGGAAACGGGATTTCTTCATGTAATGTTCGACAGAAGAATTCTCAGTAACTTATTTGTGGTGTGTGTATTCAACTCACAGAGTTGAACCTTCCTTTAGACAGAGCAGATTTGAAACACCCTATTTGTGCAGTTTCCAGTTGGAGATTTCAATCGCTTTGAGACCAAATGTAGAAAAGGAAACATCTTCGTATAAAAACTAGACAGAATCATTCTCAGAAACTACTTTGTGATGTGTGCGTTCAACTCAAGGAGTTTAAGCTTTCTTTTCATAGAGTAGTTTGGAAACACTCTGTCTGTAAAGTCTGCAAGCAGATATTTGGACCTCTTTGAGGCCTTCGTTGGAAACGGGATTTCTTCATATAACGCTAGAAAGAAGAATACTGAGTAAGTTCTTTGTGTTGCCTCTATTCAACTCACAGAGGTGAACTGTCCTTTAGACAGAGCAGATGTGAAACCCTCTTTTTGTGATATTTGCAGGTGGAGATTTCAAGCGCTTTTAGGCCAAATGTAGAAAAGGAAATATCTTCGTATAAAAACTAGACAGAATCATTCTCAGAAACTACTTTGTGATGTGTGCGTTCAATTCACAGAGTATAACCTTTCTTTTGATGGAGGAGTTTGGAGACACTGTCTTTGTAAAGTCTGCAAGTGGATATTTGGACCTCTTTGAGGCCTTCGTTGGAAACGGGATTTCCTCATATAATGTTACACAGAAGAATTCTCAGTAACTTATTTGTGGTGTGTGTATTCAACTCACAGAGATGAACCTTCCTTCAGAAAGAGCAGATTTGAAAAACTCTTTTTGTGGAGTTTCCATGTGGAGATTTCAATCGCTTTGAGACCAAAGGTAGAAAAGGAAACATCTTCGTATAACAACTAGACAGAATCATTCACAGAAACTACTTTGTGATGTGTGTGTTCAACTCAAGGAGTTTAACCTTTCTTTTGATGGAGCAGTTTGGAAACACTCTGTCTGTAAAGTCTGCAAGCAGATATTTGGACCTCTTTGAGGCCTTCGTTGGAAACGGGATTTCTTCATATAATGTTTGATAGGAGAAGTCTCAGTAACTTCTTTGTGCTGTGTGCATTCAACTCATAGAGTTGTAATTTCCTTTAGAAGAGCAGATGTTAAACACCCTTTTTGTGGAATTTGCAGCTGGAGATTTCAAGCGCTTTGAGGCCTACTGTAGAAAAGGAAACATCTTCTTATAAAATCTAGACAGAATCATTCACAGAAACTTCTTTTCGATGTGTGTGTTCAGCTCACAGAGTTTAACCTTTCTTTTGATGGAGCAGTTTGGAAACACTCTGTTTGTAATGTCTGCAAGTGGATAATTGGACCTCTTTGAGGCCTTCGTTGGAAACGGGATTTCTTCAAGTAATGTTCGACAGAAGAATTCTCAGTAACTTATTTGTGGTGTGTGTATTCAACTCACAGAGTTGAACCTTCCTTTAGACAGAGCAGATTTGAAACACCCTATTTGTGCAGTTTCCAGTTGGAGATTTCAATCGCTTTGAGACCAAATGTAGAAAAGGAAACATCTTCGTATAAAAACTAGACAGAATCATTCTCAGAAACTACTTTGTGATGTGTGCGTTCAACTCAAGGAGTTTAAGCTTTCTTTTCATAGAGTAGTTTGGAAACACTCTGTCTGTAAAGTCTGCAAGCAGATATTTGGACCTCTTTGGGGCCTTCGTTGGAAACGGGATTTCTTCATAGAACGCTAGAAAGAAGAATACTGAGTAAGTTCTTTGTGTTGCCTCTATTCAACTCACAGAGGTGAACTGTCCTTTAGACAGAGCAGATGTGAAACCCTCTTTTTGTGATATTTGCAGGTGGAGATTTCAAGCGCTTTTAGGCCAAATGTAGAAAAGGAAATATCTTCGTATAAAAACTAGACAGAATCATTCTCAGAAACTACTTTGTGATGTGTGCGTTCAATTCACAGAGTAGAACCTTTCTTTTGATGGAGGAGTTTGGAGACACTGTCTTTGTAAAGACTGCAAGTGGATATTTGGACCTCTTTGAGGCCTTCGTTGGAAACGGGATTTCCTCATATAATGTTACACAGAAGAATTCTCAGTAACTTATTTGTGGTGTGTGTATTCAACTCACAGAGATGAACCTTCCTTCAGAAAGAGCAGATTTGAAACACTCTTTTTGTGGAGTTTCCATGTGGAGATTTCAATCGCTTTGAGACCAAAGGTAGAAAAGGAAACATCTTCGTATAACAACTAGACAGAATCATTCACAGAAACTACTTTGTGATGTGTGTGTTCAACTCAAGGAGTTTAACCTTTCTTTTGATGGAGCAGTTTGGAAACACTCTGTCTGTAAAGTCTGCAAGCAGATATTTGGACCTCTTTGAGGCCTTCGTTGGAAACGGGATTTCTTCATATAATGTTTGATAGGAGAAGTCTCAGTAACTTCTTTCTGCTGTGTGTATTCAACTCATTGAGTTGAACTTTCCTTTAGAAAAGCAGATGTTAAACACCCTTTTTGTGGAATTTGCAGCTGGAGATTTCAAGCGCTTTGAGGCCTACGGTAGAACAGGAAACATCTTCTTATAAAATCTAGACAGAATCATTCACAGCAAACTTCTTTTTGATGTGTGTGTTCAGCTCACAGAGTTTAACCTTTCTTTTGATGGAGCAGTTTGGAAACACTCTGTTTGTAATGTCTGCAAGTGGATATTTGGACCTTTTTGAGGCCTTCATTGGAAACGGGATTTCTTCAAGTAATGGTCGACAGAAGAATTCTCAGTAACTTATTTGTGGTGTGTGTATTCAACTCACAGAGTTGAACCTTCCTTTAGACAGAGCAGATTTGAAACACCCTATTTGTGCAGTTTCCAGTTGGAGATTTCAATCGCTTTGAGACCAAATGTAGAAAAGGAAACATCTTCGTATAAAAACTAGACAGAATCATTCTCAGAAACTACTTTGTGATGTGTGCGTTCAACTCAAGGAGTTTAAGCTTTCTTTTCATAGAGTAGTTTGGAAACACTCTGTCTGTAAAGTCTGCAAGCAGATATTTGGACCTCTTTGGGGCCTTCGTTGGAAACGGGATTTCTTCATAGAACGCTAGAAAGAAGAATACTGAGTAAGTTCTTTGTGTTGCCTCTATTCAACTCACAGAGGTGAACTGTCCTTTGGACAGAGCAGATGTGAAACCCTCTTTTTGTGATATTTGCAGGTGGAGATTTCAAGCGCTTTTAGGCCAAATGTAGAAAAGGAAATATCTTCGTATAAAAACTAGACAGAATCATTCTCAGAAACTACTTTGTGATGTGTGCGTTCAATTCACAGAGTATAACCTTTCTTTTGATGGAGGAGTTTGGAGACACTGTCTTTGTAAAGTCTGCAAGTGGATATTTGGACCTCTTTGAGGCCTTCGTTGGAAACGGGATTTCCTCATATAATGTTACACAGAAGAATTCTCAGTAACTTATTTGTGGTGTGTGTATTCAACTCACAGAGTTGAACCTTCCTTCAGAAAGAGCAGATTTCAAACACACTTTTTGTGGAGTTTCCATGTGGAGATTTCAATCGCATTGAGACCAAAGGTAGAAAAGGAAACATCTTCGTATAAAATCTAGACAGAATCATTCACAGAAACTTCTTTTTCATGTGTGTGTTCAGCTCACAGAGTTTAATCTTTCTTTTGATGGAACAGTTTGGAAACACTCTGTTTGTAATGTCTGCAAGTGGATATTTGGACCTCTTTGAGGCCTTCGTTGGAAACGGGATTTCTTCATATAATGTTTGATAGGAGAAGTCTCAGTAACTTCTTTGTGCTGTGTGTATTCAACTCATAGAGTTGAACTTTCCTTTAGAAGAGCAGATGTTAAACACCCTTTTTGTGGAATTTGCAGCTGGAGATTTCAAGCGCTTTGTGGCCTACGGTAGAAAAGGAAATATGTTCTTATAAAATCTAGACAGAATCATTCACAGAAACTTCTTTTTGATGTGTGTGTTCAGCTCACAGAGTTTAACCTTTCTTTTGATGGAGCAGTTTGGAAACACTCTGTTTGTAATGCCTGCAAGTGGATATTTGGACCTCTTTGAGGCCTTCGTTGGAAACGGGAATTCTTCATGTAATGTTCGACAGAAGAATTCTCAGTAACTTATTTGTGGTGTGTGTATTCAACTCACAGAGTTGAACCTTCCTTTAGACAGAGCAGATTTGAAACACCCTATTTGTGCAGTTTCCAGTTGGAGATTTCAATCGCTTTGAGGCCAATCGTAGAAACGGAAATATCTTCGTATAAAAACAAGACAGAATCATTCTCAGAAACTATTTTGTGATGTGTGCGTTCAACTCAAGGAGTTTAAGCTTTCTTTTCATAGAGTAGTTTGGAAACACTCTGTGTGTAAAGTCTGCAAGCAGATATTTGGACCTCTTTGAGGCCTTCGTTGGAAACGGGATTTCTTCATATAACGCTAGAAAGAAGAATACTGAGTAAGTTCTTTGTGTTGCCTCTATTCAACTCACAGAGGTGAACTGTCCTTTAGACAGAGCAGATGTGAAACCCTCTTTTTGTGATATTTGCAGGTGGAGATTTCAAGCACTTTCAGGCCAATTGTAGAAAAGGAAATATCTTCATATAAAAACTAGTCAGAATCATTCTCAGAAACTACTTTGTGATGTGTGCGTTCAATTCACAGAGTATAACTTTTCTTTTGATGGAGGAGTTTGGAGACACTGTCTTTGTAAAGTCTGCAAGTGGATATTTGGACCTCTTTGAGGCCTTCGTTGGAAACGGGATTTCCTCATATAATGTTACACAGAAGAATTCTCAGTAACTTATTTGTGGTGTGTTTATTCAACTCACAGAGTTGAACCTTCCTTCAGAAAGAGCAGATTTGAAACACTCTTTTTGTGGAGTTTCCATGTGGAGATTTCAATCGCTTTGAGACCAAAGGTAGAAAAGGAAACATCTTCGTATAAAAACTAGACAGAATCATTCACAGAAACTACTTTGTGATGTGTGTGTTCAACTCAAGGAGTTTAACCTTTCTTTTGATGGAGCAGTTTGGAAAAACTCTGTCTGTAAAGTTTGCAAGCAGATATTTGGACCTCTTTGAGGCCTTCGTTGGAAACGGGATTTCTTCATATAATGTTTGATAGGAGAAGTCTCAGTAACTTCTTTGTGCTGTGTGTATTCAACTCATAGAGTTGAACTTTCCTTTAGAAGAGCAGATGTTAAACACCCTTTTTGTGGAATTTGCAGCTGGAGATTTCAAGCGCTTTGAGGCCTACGGTAGAAAAGGAAACATCTTCTTATAAAATCTAGACAGAATCATTCACAGAAACTTCTTTTCGATGTGTGTGTTCAGCTCACAGAGTTTAACCTTTCTTTTGATGGAGCAGTTTGGAAACACTCTGTTTGTAATGTCTGCAAGTGGATATTTGGACCTCTTTGAGGCCTTCGTTGGAAACGGGATTTCTTCAAGTAATGTTCGACAGAAGAATTCTCAGTAACTTATTTGTGATGTGTGTATTCAACTCACAGAGTTGAACCTTCCTTTAGACAGAGCAGATTTGAAACACCCTATTTGTGCAGTTTCCAGTTGGAGATTTCAATCGCTTTGAGACCAAATGTAGAAAAGGAAACATCTTCGTATAAAAACTAGACAGAATCATTCTCAGAAACTACTTTGTGATGTGTGCGTTCAACTCAAGGAGTTTAAGCTTTCTTTTCATAGAGTACTTTGGAAACACTCTGTCTGTAAAGTCTGCAAGCAGATATTTGGACCTCTTTGGGGTCTTCGTTGGAAACGGGATTTCTTCATAGAACGCTAGAAAGAAGAATACTGAGTAAGTTCTTTGTGTTGCCTCTATTCAACTCACAGAGTTGAACTGTCCTTTAGACAGAGCAGATGTGAAACCCTCTTTTTGTGATATTTGCAGGTGGAGATTTCAAGCGCTTTTAGGCCAAATGTAGAAAAGGAAATATCTTCGTATAAAAACTAGACAGAATCATTCTCAGAAACTACTTTGTGATGTGTGCGTTCAATTCACAGAGTATAACCTTTCTTTTGATGGAGGAGTTTGGAGACACTGTCTTTGTAAAGTCTGCATGTGGATATTGGGACCTCTTTGAGGCCTTCGTTGGAAATGGGATTTCCTCATATAATGTTACACAGAAGAATTCTCAGTAACTTATTTGTGGTGTGTGTATTCAACTCACAGAGTTGAACCTTCCTTCAGAAAGAGCAGATTTGAAACACTCTTTTTGTGGTGTTTCCATGTGGAGATTTCAATCGCTTTGAGACCAAAGGTAGAAAAGGAAACATCTTCGTATAAAAACTAGACAGAATCATTCACAGAAAGTACTTTGTGATGTGTGTGTTCAACTCAAGGAGTTTAACCTTTCTTTTGATGGAGCAGTTTGGAAACACTCTGTCTGTAAAGTCTGCAAGCAGATATTTGGACCTCTTTGAGGCCTTCGTTGGAAACGGGATTTCTTCATATAATGTTTGATAGGAAGAAGTCTCAGTAACTTCTTTGTGCTGTGTGTATTCAACTCATAGAGTTGAACTTTCCTTTAGAAGAGCAGATGTTAAACACCCTTTTTGTGGAATTTGCAGCTGGAGATTTCAAGCGCTTTGAGGCCTACGGTAGAAAAGGAAACATCTTCTTATAAAATCCAGACAGAATCATTCACAGAAACTTCTTTTTGATGTGTGTGTTCAGCTCACAGAGTTTAACCTTTCTTTTGATGGAGCAGTTTGGAAACAAACTGTTTGTAATGTCTGCAAGTGGATATTTGGACCTCTTTGAGGCCTTCTTTGGAAACGGGATTTCTACAAGTAATGTTCGACAGAAGAATTCTCAGTAACTTATTTGTGGTGTGTGTATTCAACTCACAGAGTTGAACCTTCCTTTAGACAGAGCAGATTTGAAACACCCTATTTGTGCAGTTTCCAGTTGGAGATTTCAATCGCTTTGAGACCAAATGTAGAAAAGGAAACATCTTCGTATAAAAACTAGACAGAATCATTCTCAGAAACTACTTTGTGATGTGTGCGTTCAACTCAAGGAGTTTAAGCTTTCTTTTCATAGAGTAGTTTGGAAACACTCTGTCTGTAAAGTCTGCAAGCAGATATTTGGACCTCTTTGGGGCCTTCGTTGGAAACGGGATTTCTTCATAGAACGCTAGAAACAAGAATACTGAGTAAGTTCTTTGTGTTGCCTCTATTCAACTCACAGAGGTGAACTGTCCTTTAGACAGAGCAGATGTGAAACCCTCTTTTTGTGATATTTGCAGGTGGAGATTTCAAGCGCTTTTAGGCCAAATGTAGAAAAGGAAATATCTTCGTATAAAAACTAGACAGAATCATTCTCAGAAACTACTTTGTGATGTGTGCGTTCAATTCACAGAGTATAACCTTTCTTTTGATGGAGGAGTTTGGAGACACTGTCTTTGTAAAGTCTGCAAGTGGATATTTGGACCTCTTTGAGGCCTTCGTTGGAAACGGGATTTCCTCATATAATGTTACACAGAAGAATTCTCAGTAACTTATTTGTGGTGTGTGTATTCAACTCACAGAGTTGAACCTTCCTTCAGAAAGAGCAGATTTGAAACACTCTTTTAGTGGAGTTTCCATGTGGAGATTTCAATCGCTTTGAGACCAAAGGTAGAAAAGGAAACATCTTCGTATAAAAACTAGACAGAATCATTCACAGAAACTACTTTGTGATGTGTGTGTTCAACTCAAGGAGTTTAACCTTTCTTTTGATGGAGCAGTTTGGAAACACTCTGTCTGTAAAGTCTGCAAGCAGATATTTGGACCTCTTTGAGGCCTTCGTTGGAAACGGGATTTCTTCATATAATGTTTGATAGGAGAAGTCTCAGTAACTTCTTTGTGCTGTGTGTATTCAACGCATAGAGTTGAACTTTCCTTTAGAAGAGCAGATGTTAAACACCCTTTTTGTGGAATTTGCAGCTGGAGATTTCAAGCGCTTTGAGGCCTACGGTAGAAAAGGAAACATCTTATAAAATCTAGACAGAATCATTCACAGAAACTTCTTTTTGATGTGTGTGTTCAGCTCACAGAGTTTAACCTTTCTTTTGATGGAGCAGTTTGGAAACACTCTGTTTGTAATGTCTGCAAGTGGATATTTGGACCTCTTTGAGGCCTTCGTTGGAAACGGGATTTCTTCCTGTAATGTTCGACAGAAGAATTCTCAGTAACTTATTTGTGGTGTGTGTATTCAACTCACAGAGTTGAACCTTCCTTTAGACAGAGCAGATTTGAAACACCCTATTTGTGCAGTTTCCAGTTGGAGATTTCAATCGCTTTGAGACCAAATGTAGAAAAGGAAACATCTTCGTATAAAAACTAGACAGAATCATTCTCAGAAACTACTTTGTGATGTGTGCGTTCAACACAAGGAGTTTAAGCTTTCTTTTCATAGAGTAGTTTGGAAACACTCTGTCTGTAAAGTCTGCAAGCAGATATTTGGACCTCATTGGGGTCTTCGTTGGAAACGGGATTTCTTCATAGAACGCTTGAAAGAAGAATACTGAGTAAGTTCTTTGTGTTGCCTCTATTCAACTCACAGAGGTGAACTGTCCTTTAGACAGAGCAGATGTGAAACCCTCTTTTTGTGATATTTGCAGGTGGAGATTTCAAGCGCTTTTAGGCCAAATGTAGAAAAGGAAATATCTTCGTATAAAAACTAGACAGAATCATTCTCAGAAACTACTTTGTGATGTGTGCGTTCAATTCACAGAGTATAACCTTTCTTTTGATGGAGGAGTTTGGAGACACTGTCTTTGTAAAGTCTGCAAGTGGATATTTGGACCTCTTTGAGGCCTTCGTTGGAAACGGGATTTCCTCATATAATGTTACACAGAAGAATTCTCAGTAACTTATTTGTGGTGTGTGTATTCAACTCACAGAGATGAACCTTCCTTCAGAAAGAGCAGATTTGAAACACTCTTTTTGTGGAGTTTCCATGTGGAGATTTCAATCGCTTTGAGACCAAAGGTAGAAAAGGAAACATCTTCGTATAAAAACTAGACAGAATCATTCACAGAAACTACTTTGTGATGTGTGTGTTCAACTCAAGGAGGTTAACCTTTCTTTTGATGGAGCAGTTTGGAAACACTCTGTCTGTAAAGTCTGCAGGCAGATATTTGGACCTCTTTGAGGCCTTCGTTGGAAACGGGATTTCTTCATATAATGTTAGACAGAAGAAGTCTCAGTAACTTCTTTGTGCTGTGTGTATTCAACTCATAGAGTTGAACTTTCCTTTAGAAGAGCAGATGTTAAACACCCTTTTTGTGGAATTTGCAGCTGGAGATTTCAAGCGCTTTGAGGCCTACGGTAGAAAAGGAAACATCTTCTTATAAAATCTAGACAGAATCATTCACAGAAACTTCTTTTTGATGTGTGTGTTCAGCTCACAGAGTTTAACCTTTCTTTTGAAGGAGCAGGTTGGAAACACTCTGTTTGTAATGTCTGCAAGTGGATATTTGGACCTCTTTGAGGCCTTCGTTGGAAACGGGATTTCTTCAAGTAATGTTCGACAGAAGAATTCTCAGTAACTTATTTGTGGTGTGTGTATTCAACTCACAGAGTTGAACCTTCCTTTAGACAGAGCAGATTTGAAACACCCTATTTGTGCAGTTTCCAGTTGGAGATTTCAATCGCTTTGAGACCAAATGTAGAAAAGGAAACATCTTCGTATAAAAACTAGACAGAATCATTCTCAGAAACTACTTTGTGATGTGTGCGTTCAACTCAAGGAGTTTAAGCTTTCTTTTCATAGAGTAGTTTGGAAACACTCTGTCTGTAAAGTCTGCAAGCAGATATTTGGACCTCTTTGGGGCCTTCGTTGGAAACGGGATTTCTTCATAGAACGCTAGAAAGAAGAATACTGAGTAAGTTCTTTGTGTTGCCTCTATTCAACTCACAGAGGTGAACTGTCCTTTAGACAGAGCAGATGTGAAACCCTCTTTTTGTGATATTTGCAGGTGGAGATTTCAAGCACTTTTAGGCCAAATGTAGAAAAGGAAATATCTTCGTATAAAAACTAGACAGAATCATTCTCAGAAACTACTTTGTGATGTGTGCGTTCAATTCACAGAGTATAACCTTTCTTTTGATGGAGGAGTTTGGAGACACTGTCTTTGTAAAGTCTGCAAGTGGATATTTGGACCTCTTTGAGGCCTTCGTTGGAAACGGGATTTCCTCATATAATGTTACCCAGAAGAATTCTCAGTAACTTATTTGTGGTGTGTGTATTCAACTCACAGATTTGAACCTTCCTTCAGAAAGAGCAGATTTGAAACACTCTTTTTGTGGAGTTTCCATGTGGAGATTTCAATCACTTTGAGACCAAAGGTAGAAAAGGAAACATCTTCGTATAAAAACTAGACAGAATCATTCACAGAAACTACTTTGTGATGTGTGTGTTCAACTCAAGGAGTTTAACCTTTCTTTTGATGGAGCAGTTTGGAAACACTCTGTCTGTAAAGTCTGCAAGCAGATATTTGGACCTCTTTGAGGCCTTCGTTGGAAACGGGATTTCTTCATATAATGTTTGATAGGAGAAGTCTCAGTAACTTCTTTGTGCTGTGTGTATTCAACTCATAGAGTTGAACTTTCCTTTAGAAGAGCAGATGTTAAACACCCTTTTTGTGGAATTTGCAGCTGGAGATTTCAAGCGCTTTGAGGCCTACGGTAGAAAAGGAAACATCTTCTTATAAAATCTAGACAGAATCATTCACAGAAACTTCTTTTCGATGTGTGTGTTCAGCTCACAGAGTTTAACCTTTCTTTTGATGGAGCAGTTTGGAAACACTCTGTGTGTAATGTCTGCAAGTGGATATTTGGACCTCTTTGAGGCCTTCGTTGGAAACGGGATTTCTTCAAGTAATGTTCGACAGAAGAATTCTCAGTAACTTATTTGTGGTGTGTGTATTCAACTCACAGAGTTGAGCCTTCCTTTAGACAGAGGAGGTTTGAAACACCCTATTTGTGCAGTTTCCAGTTGGAGATTTCAATCGCTTTGAGACCAAATGTAGAAAAGGAAACATCTTCGTATAAAAACTAGACAGAATCATTCTCAGAAACTACTTTGTGATGTGTGCGTTCAACTCAAGGAGTTTAAGCTTTCTTTTCATAGAGTAGTTTGGAAACACTCTGTCTGTAAAGTGTGCAAGCAGATATTTGGACCTCTTTGGGGCCTTCGTTGGAAACCGGATTTCTTCATAGAACGCTAGAAAGAAGAATACTGAGTAAGTTCTTTGTGTTGCCTCTATTCAACTCACAGAGGTGAACTGTCCTTTAGACAGAGCAGATGTGAAACCCTCTTTTTGTGATATTTGCAGGTGGAGATTTCAAGCGCTTTTAGGCCAAATGTAGAAAAGGAAATATCTTCGTATAAAAACTAGACAGAATCATTCTCAGAAACTACTTTGTGATGTGTGCGTTCAATTCACAGAGTATAACCTTTCTTTTGATGGAGGAGTTTGGAGACACTGTCTTTGTAAAGTCTGCAAGTGGATATTTGGACCTCTTTGAGGCCTTCGTTGGAAACGGGATTTCCTCATATAATGTTACACAGAAGAATTCTCAGTAACTTATTTGTGGTGTGTGTATTCAACTCACAGAGTTGAACCTTCCTTCAGAAAGAGCAGATTTGAAACACTCTTTTTGTGGAGTTTCCATGTGGAGATTTCAATCGCTTTGAGACCAAAGGTAGAAAAGGAAACATCTTCGTATAAAAACTAGACAGAATCATTCACAGAAACTACTTTGTGATGTGTGTGTTCAACTCAAGGAGTTTAACCTTTCTTTTGATGGAGCAGTTTGGAAAAACTCTGTCTGTAAAGTCTGCAAGAAGATATTTGGACCTCTTTGAGGCCTTCGTTGGAAACGGGATTTCTTCATATAATGTTTGATAGGAGAAGTCTCAGTAACTTCTTTGTGCTGTGTGTATTCAACTCATAGAGTTGAACTTTCCTTCAGAAGAGCAGATGTTAAACACCCTTTTTGTGGAATTTGCAGCTGGAGATTTCAAGCGCTTTGAGGCCGACGGTAGAAAAGGAAACATCTTCTTATAAAATCTAGACAGAATCATTCACAGTAAACTTCTTTTTGATGTGTGTGTTCAGCTCACAGAGTTTAACCTTTCTTTTGATGGAGCAGTTGGGAAACACACTGTTTGTAATGTCCGCAAGTGGATATTTGGACCTCTTTGAGGCCTTCGTTGGAAACGGGATTTCTTCCTGTAATGTTCGACAGAAGAATTCTCAGTAACTTATTTGTGGTGTGTGTATTCAACTCACAGAGTTGAACCTTCCTTTAGACAGAGCAGATTTGAAACACCCTATTTGTGCAGTTTCCAGTTGGAGATTTCAATCGCTTTGAGACCAAATGTTGAAAAGGAAACATCTTCGTATAAAAACTAGACAGAATCATTCTCAGAAACTACTTTGTGATGTGTGCGTTCAACTCAAGGAGTTTAAGCTTTCTTTTCATAGAGTAGTTTGGAAACACTCTGTCTGTAAAGTCTGCAAGCAGATATTTGGACCTCTTTGGGGCCTTCGTTGGAAACGGGATTTCTTCATAGAACGCTAGAAAGAAGAATACTGAGTAAGTTCTTTGTGTTGCCTCTATTCAACTCACAGAGGTGAACTGTCCTTCAGACAGAGCAGATGTGAAACCCTCTTTTTGTGATATTTGCAGGTGGAGATTTCAAGCGCTTTTAGGCCAAATGTAGAAAAGGAAATATCTTCGTATAAAAACTAGACAGAATCATTCTCAGAAACTACTTTGTGATGTGTGCGTTCAATTCACAGAGTATAACCTTTCTTTTGATGGAGGAGTTTGGAGACACTGTCTTTGTAAAGTCTGCAAGTGGATATTTGGACCTCTTTGAGGCCTTCGTTGGAAACGGGATTTCCTCATATAATGTTACACAGAAGAATTCTCAGTAACTTATTTGTGGTGTGTGTATTCAACTCACAGAGTTGAACCTTCCTTCAGAAAGAGCAGATTTGAAACACTCTTTTTGTGGAGTTTCCATGTGGAGATTTCAATCGCATTGAGACCAAAGGTAGAAAAGGAAACATCTTCGTATAAAAACTAGACAGAATCATTCACAGAAACTACTTTGTGATGTGTGTGTTCAACTCAAGGAGTTTAACCTTTCTTTTGATGGAGCAGTTTGGAAACACTCTGTCTGTAAAGTCTGCAAGCAGATATTTGGACCTCTTTGAGGCCTTCGTTGGAAACGGGATTTCTTCATATAATGTTTGATAGGAGAAGTCTCAGTAACTTCTTTGTGCTGTGTGTATTCAACGCATAGAGTTGAACTTTCCTTTAGAAGAGCAGATGTTAAACACCCTTTTTGTGGAATTTGCAGCTGGAGATTTCAAGCGCTTTGAGGCCTACGGTAGAAAAGGAAACATCTTCTTATAAAATCTAGACAGAATCATTCACAGAAACTTCTTTTTGATGTGTGTGTTCAGCTCACAGAGTTTAACCTTTCTTTTGATGGAGCAGTTTGGAAACACTCTGTTTGTAATGTCTGCAAGTGGATATTTGGACCTCTTTGAGGCCTTCGTTGGAAACGGGATTTCTTCAAGTAATGTTCGACAGAAGAATTCTCAGTAACTTATTTGTGGTGTGTGTATTCAACTCACAGAGTTGAACCTTCCTTTAGACAGAGCAGATTTGAAACACCCTATTTGTGCAGTTTCCAGTTGGAGATTTCAATCGCTTTGAGACCAAATGTAGAAAAGGAAACATCTTCGTATAAAAACTAGACAGAATCATTCTCAGAAACTACTTTGTGATGTGTGCGTTCAACTCAAGGAGTTTAAGCTTTCTTTTCATAGAGTACTTTGGAAACACTCTGTCTGTAAAGTCTGCAAGCAGATATTTGGACCTCTTTGAGGCCTTCGTTGGAAACGGGATTTCTGCATAGAACGCTAGAAAGAAGAATACTGAGTAAGTTCTTT
The DNA here is from genome assembly GCF_000001405.40 of Homo sapiens. Lineage (NCBI taxonomy): Eukaryota > Metazoa > Chordata > Mammalia > Primates > Hominidae > Homo > Homo sapiens. The sequence goes on from NC_000012.12 coordinate 35,226,806, forward strand.
GTGTTGCCTCTATTCAACTCACAGAGGTGAACTGTCCTTTAGACAGAGCAGATGTGAAACCCTCTTTTTGTGATATTTGCACGTGGAGATTTCAAGCGCTTTCAGGCCAAATGTAGAAAAGGAAATATCTTCGTATAAAAACTAGACAGAATCATTCTCAGAAACTACTTTGTGATGTGTGCGTTCAATTCACAGAGTATAACCTTTCTTTTGATGGCGGAGTTTGGAGACACTGTCTTTGTAAAGTCTGCAAGTGGATATTTGGACCTCTTTGAGGCCTTCGTTGGAAACGGGATTTCCTCATATAATGTTACACAGAAGAATTCTCAGTAACTTATTTGTGGTGTGTGTATTCAACTCACAGAGTTGAACCTTCCTTCAGAAAGAGCAGATTTGAAACACTCTTTTTGTGGAGTTTCCATGTGGAGATTTCAATCGCATTGAGACCAAAGGTAGAAAAGGAAACATCTTCGTATAAAAACTAGACAGAATCATTCACAGAAACTACTTTGTGATGTGTGTGTTCAACTCAAGGGAGTTTAACCTTTCTTTTGATGGAGCAGTTTGGAAAAACTCTGTCTGTAAAGTCTGCAAGCAGATATTTGGACCTCTTTGAGGCCTTCGTTGGAAACGGGATTTCTTCATATAATGTTTGATAGGAGAAGTCTCAGTAACTTCTTTCTGCTGTGTTTATTTAACTCATAGAGTTGAACTTTCCTTTAGAAGAGCAGATGTTAAACACCCTTTTTGTGGAATTTGCAGCTGGAGATTTCAAGCGCTTTGTGGCCTACGGTAGAAAAGGAAACATCTTCTTATAAAATCTAGACAGAATCATTCACAGAAACTTCTTTTTGATGTGTGTTCAGCTCACAGAGTTTAACCTTTCTTTTGATGGAGCAGTTTGGAAACACACTGTTTGTAATGTCTGCAAGTGGATATTTGGACCTCTTTGAGGCCTTCGTTGGAAACGGGATTTCTTCATGTAATGTTCGACAGAAGAATTCTCAGTAACTTATTTGTGGTGTGTGTATTCAACTCACAGAGTTGAACCTTCCTTTAGAAAGAGCAGATTTGAAACACCCTATTTGTGCAGTTTCCAGTTGGAGATTTCAATCGCTTTGAGACCAAATGTAGAAAAGGAAACATCTTCGTATAAAAACTAGACAGAATCATTCTCAGAAACTACTTTGTGATGTGTGCGTTCAACTCAAGGAGTTTAAGCTTTCTTTTCATAGAGTACTTTGGAAACACTCTGTCTCTGAAGTCTGCAAGCAGATATTTGGACCTCTTTGAGGCATTCGTTGGAAACGGGATTTCTTCATAGAGCGCTAGAAAGAAGAATACTGAGTAAGTTCTTTGTGTTGCCTCTATTCAACTCACAGAGGTGAACTGTCCTTTAGACAGAGCAGATGTGAAACCCTCTTTTTGTGATATTTGCAGGTGGAGATTTCAAGCGCTTTTAGGCCAAATGTAGAAAAGGAAATATCTTCGTGTAAAAACTAGACAGAATCATTCTCAGAAACTACTTTGTGATGTGTGCGTTCAATTCACAGAGTATAACCTTTCTTTTGATGGAGGAGTTTGGAGACACTGTCTTTGTAAAGTCTGCAAGTGGATATTTGGACCTCTTTGAGGCCTTCGTTGGAAACGGGATTTCCTCATATAATGTTACACAGAAGAATTCTCAGTAACTCATTTGTGGTGTGTGTATTCAACTCACAGAGTTGAACCTTCCTTCAGAAAGAGCAGATTTGAAACACTCTTTTTGTGGAGTTTCCATGTGGAGATTTCAATCGCTTTGAGACCAAAGGTAGAAAAGGAAACATCTTCGTATAAAAACTAGACAGAATCATTCACAGAAACTACTTTGTGATGTGTGTGTTCAACTCAAGGAGTTTAACCTTTCTTTTGATGGAGCAGTTTGGAAACACTCTGTCTGTAAAGTCTGCAAGCAGACATTTGGACCTCTTTGAGGCCTTCGTTGGAAACGGGATTTCTTCATATAATGTTTGATAGGAGAAGTCTCAGTAACTTCTTTGTGCTGTGTGTATTCAACTCATAGAGTTGAACTTTCCTTTAGAAGAGCAGATGTTAAACACCCTTTTTGTGGAATTTGCAGCTGGAGATTTCAAGCGCTTTGAGGCCTACGGTAGAAAAGGAAACATCTTCTTATAAAATCTAGACAGAATCATTCACAGAAACTTCTTTTTGATGTGTGTGTTCAGCTCACAGAGTTTAACCTTTCTTTTGATGGAGCAGTTGGGAAACACACTGTTTGTAATGTCCGCAAGTGGATATTTGGACCTCTTTGAGGCCTTCGTTGGAAACGGGATTTCTTCCTGTAATGTTCGACAGAAGAATTCTCAGTAACTTATTTGTGGTGTGTGTATTCAACTCACAGAGCTGAACCTTCCTTTAGACAGAGCAGATTTGAAACAGCCTATTTGTGCAGTTTCCAGTTGGAGATTTCAATCGCTTTGAGACCAAATGTAGAAAAGGAAACATCTTCGTATAAAAACTAGACAGAATCATTCTCAGAAACTACTTTGTGATGTGTGCGTTCAACTCAAGGAGTTTAAGCTTTCTTTTCATAGAGTAGTTTGGAAACACTCTGTCTGTAAAGTCTGCAAGCAGATATTTGACCTCTTTGAGGCCTTCGTTGGAAACGGGATTTCTTCATAGAACGCTAGAAAGAAGAATACTGAGTAAGTTCTTTGTGTTGCCTCTATTCAACTCACAGAGGTGAACTGTCCTTTAGACAGAGCAGATGTGAAACCCTCTTTTTGTGATATTTGCAGGTGGAGATTTCAAGCGCTTTTAGGCCAAATGTAGAAAAGGAAATATCTTCGTATAAAAACTAGACAGAATCATTCTCAGAAACTATTTTGTGATGTGTGCGTTCAATTCACAGAGTATAACCTTTCTTTTGATGGAGGAGTTTGGAGACACTGTCTTTGTAATGTCTGCAAGTGGATATTTGGACCTCTTTGAGGCCTTCGTTGGAAACGGGATTTCTTCATATAATGTTTGATAGGAAGAATTCTCAGTAACTTATTTGTGGTGTGTGTATTCAACTCACAGAGTTGAACCTTCCTTCAGAAAGAGCAGATTTGAAACACTCTTTTTGTGGAGTTTCCATGTGGAGATTTCAATCGCTTTGAGACCAAAGGTAGAAAAGGAAACATCTTCGTATAAAAACTAGACAGAATCATTCACAGAAACTACTTTGTGATGTGTGTGTTCAACTCAAGGAGTTTAACCTTTCTTTTGATGGAGCAGTTTGGAAACACTCTGTCTGTAAAGTCTGCAAGTAGATATTTGGACCTCTTTGAGGCCTTCGTTGGAAACGGGATTTCTTCATATAATGTTTGATAGGAGAAGTCTCAGTAACTTCTTTGTGCTGTGTGTATTCAACTCATAGAGTTGAACTTTCCTTTAGAAGAGCAGATGTTAAACACCCTTTTTGTGGAATTTGCAGCTGGAGATTTCAAGCGCTTTGAGGCCTACGGTAGAAAAGGAAACATCTTCTTATAAAATCTAGACAGAATCATTCACAGAAACTTCTTTTTGATGTGTGTGTTCAGCTCACAGAGTTTAACCTTTCTTTTGATGGAGCAGTTGGGAAACACACTGTTTGTAATGTCCGCAAGTGGATATTTGGACCTCTTTGAGGCCTTCGTTGGAAACGGGATTTCTTCCTGTAATGTTCGACAGAAGAATTCTCAGTAACTTATTTGTGGTGTGTGTATTCAACACACAGAGCTGAACCTTCCTTTAGACAGAGCAGATTTGAAACAGCCTATTTGTGCAGTTTCCAGTTGGAGATTTCAATCGCTTTGAGACCAAATGTAGAAAAGGAAACATCTTCGTATAAAAACTAGACAGAATCATTCTCAGAAACTACTTTGTGATGTGTGCGTTCAACTCAAGGAGTTTAAGCTTTCTTTTCATAGAGTAGTTTGGAAACACTCTGTCTGTAAAGTCTGCAAGCAGATATTTGGAACTCTTTGAGGCCTTCGTTGGAAACGGGATTTCTTCATAGAACGCTAGAAAGAAGAATACTGAGTAAGTTCTTTGTGTTGCCTCTATTCAACTCACAGAGGTGAACTGTCCTTTAGACAGAGCAGATGTGAAACCCTCTTTTTGTGATATTTGCAGGTGGAGATTTCAAGCGCTTTTAGGCCAAATGTAGAAAAGGAAATATCTTCGTATAAAAACTAGACAGAATCATTGTCAGAAACTACTTTGTGATGTGTGCGTTCAATTCACAGAGTATAACCTTTCTTTTGATGGAGGAGTTTGGAGACACTGTCTTTGTAAAGTCTGCAAGTGGATATTTGGACCTCTTTGAGGCCTTCGTTGGAAACGGGATTTCCTCATATAATGTTACACAGAAGAATTCTCAGTAACTTATTTGTGGTGTGTATATTCAACTCACAGAGATGAACCTTCCTTCAGAAAGAGCAGATTTGAAACACTCTTTTTGTGGAGTTTCCATGTGGAGATTTCAATCGCTTTGAGACCAAAGGTAGAAAAGGAAACATCTTCGTATAACAACTAGACAGAATCATTCACAGAAACTACTTTGTGATGTGTGTGTTCAACTCAAGGAGTTTAACCATTCTTTTGATGGAGCAGTTTGGAAACACTCTGTCTGTAAAGTCTGCAAGCAGATATTTGGACCTCTTTGAGGCCTTCGTTGGAAACGGGATTTCTTCATATAATGTTAGATAGGAGAAGTCTCAGTAACTTCTTTGTGCTGTGTGTATTCAACTCATAGAGTTGAACTTTCCTTTAGAAGAGCAGATGTTAAACACCCTTTTTGTGGAATTTGCAGCTGGAGATTTCAAGCGCTTTGAGGCCTACGGTAGAAAAGGAAACATCTTCTTATAAAATCTAGACAGAATCATTCACAGAAACTTCTTTTTGATGTGTGTGTTCAGCTCACAGAGTTTAACCTTTCTTTTGATGGAGCAGTTTGGAAACACTCTGTTTGTAATGTCTGCAAGTGGATATTTGGACCTCTTTGAGGCCTTCTTTGGAAACGGGATTTCTTCAAGTAATGTTCGACAGAAGAATTCTCAGTAACTTATTTGTGGTGTGTGTATTCAACTCACAGAGTTGAACCTTCCTTTAGACAGAGCAGATTTGAAACACCCTATTTGTGCAGTTTCCAGTTGGAGATTTCAATCGCTTTGAGACCAAATGTAGAAAAGGAAACATCTTCGTATAAAAACTAGACAGAATCATTCTCAGAAACTACTTTGTGATGTGTGCGTTCAACTCAAGGAGTTTAAGCTTTCTTTTCATAGAGTAGTTTGGAAACACTCTGTCTGTTAAGTCTGCAAGCAGATATTTGGACCTCTTTGGGGCCTTCGTTGGAAACGGGATTTCTTCATAGAACGCTAGAAAGAAGAATACTGAGTAAGTTCTTTGTGTTGCCTCTATTCAACTCACAGAGCTGAACTGTCCTTTAGACAGAGCAGATGTGAAACCCTCTTTTTGTGATATTTGCAGGTGGAGATTTCAAGCGCTTTTAGGCCAAATGTAGAAAAGGAAATATCTTCGTATAAAAACTAGACAGAATCATTCTCAGAAACTACTTTGTGATGTGTGCGTTCAATTCACAGAGTATAACCTTTCTTTGATGGAGGAGTTTGGAGACACTGTCTTTGTAAAGTCTGCAAGTGGATATTTGGACCTCTTTGAGGCCTTCGTTGGAAACGGGATTTCCTCATATAATGTTACACAGAAGAATTCTCAGCAACTTATTTGTGGTGTGTGTATTCAACTCACAGAGTTGAACCTTCCTTCAGAAAGAGCAGATTTGAAACACTCATTTTGTGGAGTTTCCATGTGGAGATATCCATCGCTTTGAGACCAAAGGTAGAAAAGGAAACATCTTCGTATAAAAACTAGACAGAATCATTCACAGAAACTACTTTGTGATGTGTGTGTTCAGCTCACAGAGTTTAACCTTTCTTTTGATATGGCAGTTTGGAAACACTCTGTTTTTCACGTCTGCAAGTGGATATTTGGACTGCTTTGGGGCCTTCTTTGGAAACGGGATTTCTTCATATAATGTTTGATAGGAGAAGTCTCAGTAACTTCTTTGTGCTGTGTGTATTCAACTCATAGAGTTAAATTTTCCTTTAGAAGAGCAGATGTTAAACACCCTTTCTGTGGAATTTGCAGCTGGAGATTTCAAGCGCTTTGAGGCCTACGGTAGAAAAGGAAACATCTTCTTCTAAAATCTAGACAGAATCATTCACAGAAACTTCTTTTCGATGTGTGTGTTCAGCTCACAGTGTTTAACCTTTCTTTTGATGGAGCAGTTTGGAAACACTCTGTTTGTAATGTCTGCAAGTGGATATTTGGACCTCTTTGAGGCCTTCGTTGGAAACGGGATTTCATCAAGTAATGGTCGACAGAAGAATTCTCAGTAACTTACCTGTAGTGTGTGTATTCAACTCACAGAGTTGAACCTTCCTTTAGACAGAGCAGATTTGAAATACCCTATTTGTGCAGCTTCCAGTTGGAGATTTCAATCGCTTTGAGGCCAATCATAGAAACGGAAATATCTTCGTATAAAAACAAGACAGAATCATTCTCAGAAACTACTTTGCGATCTGTGCGTTCAACTCAAGGAGTTTAAGCTTTCTTTTCATAGAGTAGTTTGGAAACACTCTGTCTGTAAAGTCTGCAAGCAGATATTTGGACCTCTTTGAGGCCTTCGTTGGAAAAGAGATTTCTTCATAGAACGCTAGAAAGAATAATACTGAGTAAGTTCTTTCTGTTGCCTCTATACAACTCACAGAGGTGAACTGTCCTTTAGACAGAGCAGATGTGAAACCCTCTTTTTGTGATATTTGCAGGTGGAGATTTCAAGCGCTTTTAGGCCAAATGTAGAAAACGAAATATCTTCGTATAAAAACTAGACAGAATCATTCTCAGAAACTACTTTGTGATGTGTGCGTTCAATTCACAGAGTATAACCTTTCTTTTGATGGAGGAGTTTGGAGACACTGTCTTTGTAAAGTCTGCAAGTGGATATTTGGACCTCTTTGAGGCCTTCGTTGGAAACGGGATTTCCTCATATAATGTTACACAGAAGAATTCTCAGTAACTTATTTGTGCTGTGTGTATTCAACTCACAGAGTTGAACCTTCCTTCAGAAAGAGCAGATTTGAAACACTCTTTTTGTGGAGTTTCCATGTGGAGATTTCAATCGCTTTGAGACCAAAGGTAGAAAAGGAAACATCTTCGTATGAAAACTAGACAGAATCATTCACAGAAACTACTTTGTGATGTGTGTGTTCAACTCAAGGAGTTTAACCTTTCTTTTGATGGAGCAGTTTGGAAAAACTCTGTCTGTAAAGTCTGCAAGCAGATATTTGGACCTCTTTGAGGCCTTCGTTGGAAACGGGATTTCTTCATATAATGTTTGATAGGAGAAGTCTCAGTAACTTCTTTGTGCTGTGTGTATTCAACTCATAGAGTTGAACTTTCCTTTAGAAGAGCAGATGTTAAACACCCTTTTTGTGGAATTTGCAGCTGGAGATTTCAAGCGCTTTGAGGCCTACGGTAGAAAAGGAAACATCTTCTTATAAAATCTAGACAGAATCATTCACAGAAACTTCTTTTTGATGTGTGTGTTCAGCTCACAGAGTTTAACCTTTCTTTTGATGGAGCAGTTTGGAAACACACTGTTTGTAATGTCTCCAAGTGGATATTTGGACCTCTTTGAGGCCTTCGTTGGAAACGGGATTTCTTCATGTAATGTTCGACAGAAGAATTCTCAGTACCTTATTTGTTTTGTGTGTATTCAACTCACAGAGTTGAACCTTCCTTTAGACAGAGCAGATTTCAAACACCCTATTTGTGCAGTTTCCAGTTGGAGATTTCAATCGCTTTGAGACCAAATGTAGAAAAGGAAACATCTTCGTATAAAAATTAGACAGAATCATTCTCAGAAACTACTTTGTGATGTGTGCGTTCAACTCAAGGAGTTTAAGCTTTCTTTTCATAGAGTAGTTTGGAAACATTCTGTCTGTAAAGTCTGCAGGCAGATATTTGGACCTCTTTGTGGCCTTCGTTGGAAACGGGATTTCTTCATAGAACGCCAGAAAGAAGAATACTGAGTAAGTTCTTTGTGTTGCCTCTATTCAACTCACAGAGGTGAACTGTCCTTTAGACAGAGCAGATGTGAAACCCTCTTTTTGGGATATTTGCAGGTGGAGATTTCAAGCGCTTTTAGGCCAAATGTAGAAAAGGAAATATCTTCGTATAAAAACTAGACAGAATCATTCTCAGAAACTACTTTGTGATGTGTGCGTTCAATTCACGGAGTATAACCTTTCTTTTGATGGACGAGTTTGGAGACACTGTCTTTGTAAAGTCTGCAAGTGGATATTTGGACCTCTTTGAGGCCTTCGTTGGAAACGGGATTTCCTCATATAATGTTACACAGAAGAATTCTCAGTAACTTATTTGTGGTGTGTGTATTCAACTCACAGAGTTGAACCTTCCTTCAGAAAGAGCAGATTTGAAACACTCTTTTTGTGGAGTTTCCATGTGGAGATTTCAATCGCTTTGAGACCAAAGGTAGAAAAGGAAACATCTTCGTATAAAAACTAGACAGAATCATTCACAGAAACTACTTTGTGATGTGTGTGTTCAACTCAAGGAGTTTAACCTTTCTTTTGATGGAGGAGTTTGGAGACACTGTCTTTGTAAAGTCTGCAAGCAGATATTTGGACCTCTTTGAGGCCTTCGTTGGAAACGGGATTTCTTCATATGATGTTTGATAGGAGAAGTCTCAGTAACTTCTTTGTGCTGTGTGTATTCAACTCATTGAGTTGAACTTTCCTTTAGAAGAGCATATGTTAAACACCCTTTTTGTGGAATTTGCAGCTGGAGATTTCAAGCGCTTTGAGGCCAACGGTAGAAAAGGAAACATCTTCTTATAAAATCTAGACAGAATCATTCACAGAAACTTCTTTTTGATGTGTGTGTTCAGCTCACAGAGTTTAACCTTTCTTTTCATGGAGCAGTTTGGAAACACTCTGTTTGTAATGTCTGCAAGTGGATATTTGGACCTCTTTGAGGCCTTCTTTGGAAACGGGATTTCTTCAAGTAATGTTCGACAGAAGAATTCTCAGTAACTTATTTGTGGTGTGTGTATTCAACTCACAGAGTTGAACCTTCCTTTAGACAGAGCAGATTTGAAACAGCCTATTTGTGCAGTTTCCAGTTGGAGATTTCAATCGCTTTGAGACCAAATGTAGAAAGGGAAACATCTTCGTATAAAAACTAGACAGAATCATTCTCAGAAACTACTTTGTGATGTGTGCGTTCAACTCAAGGAGTTTAAGCTTTCTTTTCATAGAGTAGTTTGGAAACACTCTGTCTGTAAAGTCTGCAAGCAGATATTTGACCTCTTTGAGGCCTTCGTTGGAAACGGGATTTCTTCATAGAACGCTAGAAAGAAGAATACTGAGTAAGTTCTTTGTGTTGCCTCTATTCAACTCACAGAGGTGAACTGTCCTTTAGACAGAGCAGATGTGAAACCCTCTTTTTGTGATATTTGCAGGTGGAGATTTCAAGCACTTTTAGGCCAAATGTAGAAAAGGAAATATCTTCGTATAAAAACTAGACAGAATCATTCTCAGAAACTACTTTGTGATGTGTGCGTTCAATTCACAGAGTATAACCTTTCTTTTGATGGAGGAGTTTGGAGACACTGTCTTTGTAAAGTCTGCAAGTGGATATTTGGACCTCTTTGAGGCCTTCGTTGGAAACGGGATTTCCTCATATAATGTTACACAGAAGAATTCTCAGTAACTTATTTGTGGTGTGTTTATTCAACTCACAGAGGTGAACCTTCCTTCAGAAAGAGCAGATTTGAAACACTCTTTTTGTGGAGTTTCCATGTGGAGATTTCAATCGCTTTGAGACCAAAGGTAGAAAAGGAAACATCTTCGTATAAAAACTAGACAGAATCATTCTCAGAAACTAATTTGTGATGTGTGCGTTCAACTCAAGGAGTTTAAGCTTTCTTTTCATAGAGTAGTTTGGAAACACTCTGTCTGTAAAGTCTGCAAGCAGATATTTGGACCTCTTTGAGGCCTTCGTTGGAAACGGGATTTCTTCATATAACGCTAGAAAGAAGAATACTGACTAAGTTCTTTGTGTTGCCTCTATTCAACTCACAGAGGTGAACTGCCCTTTAGACAGAGCAGATGTGAAACCCTCTTTTTGTGATATTTGCAGGTGGAGATTTCAAGCGCTTTTAGGCCAAATGTAGAAAAGGAAATATCTTCGTATAAAAACTGGACAGAATCATTCTCAGAAACTACTTTTTGATGTGTGCGTTCAATTCCCAGAGTATAACCTTTCTTTTGATGGAGGAGTTTGGAGACACTGTCTTTGTAAAGTCTGCAAGTGGATATTTGGACCTCTTTGAGGCCTTCGTTGGAAACGGGATTTCCTCATATAATGTTACACAGAAGAATTATCAGTAACTTATTTGTGGTGTGTGTATTCAACTCACAGAGTTGAACCTTCCTTCAGAGAGAGCAGATTTGAAACACTCTTTTTGTGGAGTTTCCATGTGGAGATTTCAATAGCTTTGAGACCAAAGGTAGAAAAGGAAACATCTTCGTATAAAAACTAGACAGAATCATTCACAGAAACTACTTTGTGATGTGTGTGTTCAACTCAAGGAGTTTAACCTTTCTTTTGATGGAGCAGTTTGGAAACACTCTGTCTGTAAAGTCTGCAAGCAGATATTTGGACCTCTTTGAGGCCTTCGTTGGAAACGGGATTTCTTCATATAATGTTTGATAGGAGAAGTCTCAGTAACTTCTTTGTGCTGTGTGTATTCAACTCATAGAGTTGAACTTTCCTTTAGAAGAGCAGATGTTAAACACCCTTTTTGTGGAATTTGCAGCTGGAGATTTCAAGCGCTTTGAGGCATACGGTAGAAAAGGAAACATCTTCTTATAAAATCTAGACACAATCATTCACAGAAACTTCTTTTTGATGTGTGTGTTCAGCTCACAGAGTTTAACCTTTGTTTTGATGGAGCAGTTTGGAAACACACTGTTTGTAGTGTCTGCAAGTGGATATTTGGACCTCTTTGAGGCGTTCGTTGGAAACGGGATTTCTTCATGTAATGTTCGACAGAAGAATTCTCAGTAACTTATTTGTGTTGTGTGTATTCAACTCACAGAGTTGAGCCTTCCTTTAGACAGAACAGATTTGAAACACCCTATTTGTGCAGTTTACAGTTGGAGATTTCAATTGCTTTGAGGCCATAGAAACGGAAATACATTTGTATAAAAACAAGACAGGATCATTATCAGAAACTACTTTGTGATGTGTGCGTTCAACTCAAGAAGTTTAAGCTTTCTTTTCATAGAGTAGTTTGGAAACACTCTGTCTGTAAAGTCTGCAAGCAGATATTTGGACCTCTTTGAGGCCTTTGTTGGAAACGGCATTTCATCATATAACGCTAGAAAGAAGAATACTGAGTAAGTTCTTTGTGTTGCCTCTATTCAACTCACAGAGGTGAACTGTCCTTTAGACAGAGCAGATGTGAAACCCTCTTTTTGTGATATTTGCAGGTGGAGATTTCAAGCGCTTTTCGGCCAAATGTAGAAAAGGAAATATCTTCGTATAAAAACTAGACAGAATCATTCTCAGAAACTACTTTGTGATGTGTGCGTTCAATTCACAGAGTATAACCTTTCTTTTGATGGAGCAGTTTGGAGACACTGTCTTTTTAAAGTCTGCTAGTGGATATTTGGACCTCTTTGAGGCCTTCGTTGGAAACGGCATTTCCTCATATAATGTTACACAGAAGAATTCTCAGTAACTTATTTGTGGTGTGTGTATTCAACTCACAGAGTTGAACCTTCCTTCAGAAAGAGCAGATTTGAAACACTCTTTTTGTGGAGTTTCCATGTGGAGATTTCAATCGCTTTGAGGGCAAAGGTAGAAAAGGAAACATCTTCGTATAAAAACTAGACAGAATCATTCACAGAAACTACTTTGTGATGTGTGTGTTCAACTCAAGGAGTTTAACCTTTCTTTTGATGGAGCAGTTTGGAAACACTCTGTCTGTAAAGTCTGCAAGCAGATATTTGGACCTCTTTGAGGCCTTCGTTGGAAACGGGATTTCTTCATATAATGTTTGATAGGAGAAGTCTCAGTAACTTCTTTGTGCTGTGTGTATTCAACTCATAGAGTTGAACTTTCCTTTAGAAGAGCAGATGTCAAACACCCTTTTTGTGGAATTTGCAGCTGGAGATTTCAAGCGCTTTGAGGCCTACGGTAGAAAAGGAAACATCTTCTTATAAAATCTAGACAGAATCATTCACAGAAACTTCTTTTCGATGTGTGTGTTCAGCTCACAGAGTTTAACCTTTCTTTTGATGGAGCAGTTTGGAAACACTCTGTTTGTAATGTCTGCAAGTGGATATTTGGACCTCTTTGAGGCCTTCGTTGGAAACGGGATTTCTTCAAGTAATGTTCGACAGAAGAATTCTCAGTAACTTATTTGTGGTGTGTGTATTCAACTCAAAGAGTTGAACCTTCCTTTAGACAGAGCAGATTTGAAACACCCTATTTGTGCAGTTTCCAGTTGGAGATTTCAATCGCTTTGAGACCAAATGTAGAAAAGGAAACATCTTCGTATAAAAACTAGACAGAATCATTCTCAGAAACTACTTTGTGATGTGTGCGTTCAACTCAAGGAGTTTAAGCTTTCTTTTCATAGAGTAGTTTGGAAACACTCTGTCTGTAAAGTCTGCAAGCAGATATTTGGACCTCATTGGGGTCTTCGTTGGAAACCGGATTTCTTCATAGAACGCTAGAAAGAAGAATACTGAGTAAGTTCTTTGTGTTGCCTCTATTCAACTCACAGAGGTGAACTGTCCTTTAGACAGAGCAGATGTGAAACCCTCTTTTTGTGATATTTGCAGGTGGAGATTTCAAGCGCTTTTAGGCCAAATGTAGAAAAGGAAATATCTTCGTATAAAAACTAGACAGAATCATTCTCAGAAACTACTTTGTGATGTATGCGTTCAATTCACAGAGTATAACCTTTCTTTTGATGGAGGAGTTTGGAGACACTGTCTTTGTAAAGTCTGCAAGTGGATATTTGGACCTCTTTGAGGCCTTCGTTGGAAACGGGATTTCCTCATATAATGTTACACAGAAGAATTCTCAGTAACTTATTTGTGGTGTGTGTATTCAACTCACAGAGTTGAACCTTCCTTCAGAAAGAGCAGATTTGAAACACTCTTTTTGTGGAGTTTCCATGTGGAGATTTCAATCGCTTTGAGACCAAAGGTAGAAAAGGAAACATCTTCGTATAAAAACTAGACAGAATCATTCACAGAAACTACTTTGTGATGTGTGTGTTCAACTCAAGGAGTTTAACCTTTCTTTTGATGGAGCAGTTTGGAAAAACTCTGTCTGTTAAGTCTGCAAGCAGATATTTGGACCTCTTTGAGGCCTTCGTTGGAAACGGGATTTCTTCATATAATGTTTGATAGGAGAAGTCTCAGTAACTTCTTTGTGCTGTGTGTATTCAACTCATAGAGTTGAACTTTCCTTTAGAAGAGCAGATGTTAAACACCCTTTTTGTGGAATTTGCAGCTGGAGATTTCAAGCGCTTTGAGGCCTACGGTAGAAAAGGAAACATCTTCTTATAAAATCTAGACAGAATCATTCACAGAAACTTCTTTTCGATGTGTGTGTTCAGCTCACAGAGTTTAACCTTTCTTTTGATGGAGCAGTTTGGAAACACTCTGTTTGTAATGTCTGCAAGTGGATATTTGGACCTCTTTGAGGCCTTCGTTGGAAACGGGATTTCATCAAGTAATGTTCGACAGAAGAATTCTCAGTAACTTATTTGTGGTGTGTGTATTCAACTCACAGAGTTGAACCTTCCTTTAGACAGAGCAGATTTGAAACACCCTATTTGTGCAGTTTCCAGTTGGAGATTTCAATCGCTTTGAGACCAAATGTAGAAAAGGAAACATCTTCGTATAAAAACTAGACAGAATCATTCTCAGAAACTACTTTGTGATGTGTGCGTTCAACTCAAGGAGTTTAAGCTTTCTTTTCATAGAGTAGTTTGGAAACACTCTGTCTGTAAAGTCTGCAAGCAGATATTTGGACCTCTTTGGGGCCTTCGTTGGAAACGGGATTTCTTCATAGAACGCTAGAAAGAAGAATACTGAGTAAGTTCTTTGTGTTGCCTCTATTCAACTCACAGAGGTGAACTGTCCTTTAGACAGAGCAGATGTGAAACCCTCTTTTTGTGATATTTGCAGGTGGAGATTTCAAGCGCTTTTAGGCCAAATGAAGAAAAGGAAACATCTTCGTATAAAAACTAGACAGAATCATTCTCAGAAACTACTTTGTGATGTGTGCGTTCAATTCACAGAGTATAACCTTTCTTTTGATGGAGGAGTTTGGAGACACTGTCTTTGTAAAGTCTGCAAGTGGATATTTGGACCTCTTTGAGGCCTTCGTTGGAAACGGGATTTCCTCATATAATGTTACACAGAAGAATTCTCAGTAACTTATTTGTGGTGTGTGTATTCAACTCACAGAGATGAAACTTCCTTCAGAAAGAGCAGATTTGAAACACTCTTTTTGTGGAGTTTCCATGTGGAGATTTCAATCGCTTTGAGACCAAAGGTAGAAAAGGAAACATCTTCGTATAACAACTAGACAGAATCATTCACAGAAACTACTTTGTGATGTGTGTGTTCAACTCAAGGAGTTTAACCTTTCTTTTGATGGAGCAGTTTGGAAACACTCTGTCTGTAAAGTCTGCAAGCAGATATTTGGACCTCTTTGAGGCCTTCGTTGGAAACGGGATTTCTTCATATAATGTTTGATAGGAGAAGTCTCAGTAACTTCTTTGTGCTGTGTGTATTCAACTCATAGAGTTGAACTTTCCTTTAGAAGAGCAGATGTTAAACACCCTTTTTGTGGAATTTGCAGCTGGAGATTTCAAGCGCTTTGAGGCCTACGGTAGAAAAGGAAACATCTTCTTATAAAATCTAGACAGAATCATTCACAGAAACTTCTTTTTGATGTGTGTGTTCAGCTCACAGAGTTTAACCTTTCTTTTGATGGAGCAGTTTGGAAACACTCTGTTTGTAATGTCTGCAAGTGGATATTTGGACCTCTTTGAGGCCTTCTTTGGAAACGGGATTTCTTCAAGTAATGTTCGACAGAAGTATTCTCAGTAACTTATTTGTGGTGTGTGTATTCAACTCACAGAGTTGAACCTTCCTTTAGACAGAGCAGATTTGAAACACCCTATTTGTGCAGTTTCCAGTTGGAGATTTCAATCGCTTTGAGACCAAATGTAGAAAAGGAAACATCTTCGTATAAAAACTAGACAGAATCATTCTCAGAAACTACTTTGTGATGTGTGCGTTTAACTCAAGGAGTTTAAGCTTTCTTTTCATAGAGTAGTTTGGAAACACTCTGTCTGTAAAGTCTGCAAGCAGATATCTGGACCTCTTTGGGGCCTTCGTTGGAAACGGGATTTCTTCATAGAACGCTAGAAAGAAGAATACTGAGTAAGTTCTTTGTGTTGCCTCTATTCAACTCACAGAGGTGAACTGTCCTTTAGACAGAGCAGATGTGAAACCCTCTTTTTGTGATATTTGCAGGTGGAGATTTCAAGCGCTTTTAGGCCAAATGTAGAAAAGGAAATATCTTCGTATAAAAACTAGACAGAATCATTCTCAGAAACTACTTTGTGATGTGTGCGTTCAATTCACAGAGTATAACCTTTCTTTTGATGGAGGAGTTGGGAGACACTGTCTTTGTAAAGTCTGCAAGTGGATATTTGGATCTCTTTGAGGCCTTCGTTGGAAACGGGATTTCCTCATATAATGTTACACAGAAGAATTCTCAGTAACTTATTTGTGGTGTGTGTATTCAACTCACAGAGATGAACCTTCCTTCAGAAAGAGCAGATTTGAAACACTCTTTTTGTGGAGTTTCCATGTGGAGATTTCAATCGCTTTGAGACCAAAGGTAGAAAAGGAAACATCTTCGTATAAAAACTAGACAGAATCATTCACAGAAACTACTTTGTGATGTGTGTGTTCAACTCAAGGAGTTTAACCTTTCTTTTGATGGAGCAGTTTGGAAATACTCTGTCTGTAAAGTCTGCAAGCAGATATTTGGACCTCTTTGAGGCCTTCGTTGGAAACGGGATTTCTTCATATAATGTTTGATAGGAGAAGTCTCAGTAACTTCTTTGTGCTGTGTGTATTCAACTCATAGAGTTGAACTTTCCTTTAGAAGAGCAGATGTTAAACACCCTTTTTGTGGAATTTGCAGCTGGAGATTTCAAGCGCTTTGAGGCCTACGGTAGAAAAGGAAACATCTTCTTATAAAATCTAGACAGAATCATTCACAGAAACTTCTTTTTGATGTGTGTGTTCAGCTCACAGAGCTTAACCTTTCTTTTGATGGAGCAGTTTGGAAACACTCTGTTTGTAATGTCTGCAAGTGGATATTTGGACCTCTTTGAGGCCTTCGTTGGAAACGGGATTTCTTCAAGTAATGTTCGACAGAAGAATTCTCAGTAACTTATTTGTGGTGTGTGTATTCAACTCACAGAGTTGAACCTTCCTTTAGACAGAGCAGATTTGAAACACCCTATTTGTGCAGTTTCCAGTTGGAGATTTCAATCGCTTTGAGACCAAATGTAGAAAAGGAAACATCTTCGTATAAAAACTAGACAGAATCATTCTCAGAAACTACTTTGTGATGTGTGCGTTCAACTCAAGGAGTTTAAGCTTTCTTTTCATAGAGTAGTTTGGAAACACTCTGTTTGTAATGTCTGCAAGTGGATATTTGGACCTCTTTGAGGCCTTCGTTGGAAACGGGATTTCTTCAAGTAATGTTCGAAAGAAGAATTCTCAGTAACTTATTTGTGGTGTGTGTATTCAACTCACAGAGTTGAACCTTCCTTTAGACAGAGCAGATTTGAAACAGCCTATTTGTGCAGTTTCCAGTTGGAGATTTCAATCGCTTTGAGACCAAATGTAGAAAAGGAAACATCTTCGTATAAAAACTAGACAGAATCATTCTCAGAAACTACTTTGTGATGTGTGCGTTCAACTCAAGGAGTTTAAGCTTTCTTTTCATAGAGTAGTTTGGAAACACTCTGTCTGTAAAGTCTGCAAGCAGATATTTGACCTCTTTGAGGCCTTCGTTGGAAACGGGATTTCTTCATAGAACGCTAGAAAGAAGAATACTGAGTAAGTTCTTTGTGTTGCCTCTATTCAACTCACAGAGGTGAACTGTCCTTTAGACAGAGCAGATGTGAAACCCTCTTTTTGTGATATTTGCAGGTGGAGATTTCAAGCGCTTTTAGGCCAAATGTAGAAAAGGAAATATCTTCGTATAAAAACTAGACAGAATCATTCTCAGAAACTACTTTGTGATGTGTGCGTTCAATTCACAGAGTATAACCTTTCTTTTGATGGAGGAGTTTGGAGACACTGTCTTTGTAAAGTCTGCAAGTGGATATTTGGACCTCTTTGAGGCCTTCGTTGGAAACGGGATTTCCTCATATAATGTTACACAGAAGAATTCTCAGTAACTTATTTGTGGTGTGTGTATTCAACTCACAGAGATGAACCTTCCTTCAGAAAGAGCAGATTTGAAACACTCTTTTTGTGGAGTTTCCATGTGGAGATTTCAATCGCATTGAGACCAAAGGTAGAAAAGGAAACATCTTCGTATAAAAACTAGACAGAATCATTCACAGAAACTACTTTGTGATGTGTGTGTTCAACTAAAGGAGTTTAACCTTTCTTTTGATGGAGCAGTTTGGAAAAACTCTGTCTGTAAAGTCTGCAAGCAGATATTTGGACCTCTTTGAGGCCTTCGTTGCAAACGGGATTTCTTCATATAATGTTTGATAGGAGAAGTCTCAGTAACTTCTTTGTGCTGTGTGTATTCAACTCATAGAGTTGAACTTTCCTTTAGAAGAGCAGATGTTAAACACCCTTTTTGTGGAATTTGCAGCTGGAGATTTCAAGCGCTTTGAGGCCTACGGTAGAAAAGGAAACATCTTCTTATAAAATCTAGACAGAATCATTCACAGAAACTTCTTTTCGATGTGTGTGTTCAGCTCACAGAGTTTAACCTTTCTTTTGATGGAGCAGTTTGGAAACACTCTGTTTGTAATGTCTGCAAGTGGATATTTGGACCCCTTGAGGCCTTCGTTGGAAACGGGATTTCTTCATGTAATGTTCGACAGAAGAATTCTCAGTAACTTATTTGTGGTGTGTGTATTCAACTCACAGAGTTGAACCTTCCTTTAGACAGAGCAGATTTGAAACACCCTATTTGTGCAGTTTCCAGTTGGAGATTTCAATCGCTTTGAGACCAAATGTAGAAAAGGAAACATCTTCGTATAACAACTAGACAGAATCATTCTCAGAAACTACTTTGTGATGTGTGCGTTCAACTCAAGGAGTTTAAGCTTTCTTTTCATAGAGTAGTTTGGAAACACTCTGTCTGTAAAGTCTGCAAGCAGATATTTGGACCTCTTTGGGGCCTTCGTTGGAAACGGGATTTCTTCATAGAACGCTAGAAAGAAGAATACTGAGTAAGTTCTTTGTGTTGCCTCTATTCAACTCACAGAGGTGAACTGTCCTTTAGACAGAGCAGATGTGAAACCCTCTTTTTGTGATATTTGCAGGTGGAGATTTCAAGCGCTTTTAGGCCAAATGTAGAAAAGGAAATATCTTCGTATAAAAACTAGACAGAATCATTCTCAGAAACTACTTTGTGATGTGTGCGTTCAATTCACAGAGTATAACCTTTCTTTTGATGGAGGAGTTTGGAGACACTGTCTTTGTAAAGTCTGCAAGTGGATATTTGGACCTCTTTGAGGCCTTCGTTGGAAACGGGATTTCCTCATATAATGTTACCCAGAAGAATTCTCAGTAACTTATTTGTGGTGTGTGTATTCAACTCACAGAGTTGAACCTTCCTTCAGAAAGAGCAGATTTGAAACACTCTTTTTGTGGAGTTTCCATGTGGAGATTTCAATCGCATTGAGACCAAAGGTAGAAAAGGAAACATCTTCGTATAAAAACTAGACAGAATCATTCACAGAAACTACTTTGTGATGTGTGTGTTCAACTCAAGGAGTTTAACCTTTCTTTTGATGGAGCAGTTTGGAAACACTCTGTCTGTAAAGTCTGCAAGCAGATATTTGGACCTCTTTGAGGCCTTCGTTGGAAACGGGATTTCTTCATATAATGTTTGATAGGAGAAGTCTCAGTAACTTCTTTGTGCTGTGTGTATTCAACTCATAGAGTTGAACTTTCCTTTAGAAGAGCAGATGTTAAACACCCTTTTTGTGGAATTTGCAGCTGGAGATTTCAAGCGCTTTGAGGCCTACGGTAGAAAAGGAAACATCTTCTTATAAAATCTAGACAGAATCATTCACAGAAACTTCTTTTTGATGTGTGTGTTCAGCTCACAGAGTTTAACCTTTCTTTTGATGGAGCAGTTGGGAAACACACTGTTTGTAATGTCTGCAAGTGGATATTTGGACCTCTTTGAGGCCTTCGTTGGAAACGGGATTTCTTCCTGTAATGTTCGACAGAAGAATTCTCAGTAACTTATTTGTGGTGTGTGTATTCAACTCACAGAGTTGAACCTTCCTTCAGAAAGAGCAGATTTGAAACACTCTTTTTGTGGAGTTTCCATGTGGAGATTTCAATCGCTTTGAGACCAAAGGTAGAAAAGGAAACATCTTCGTATAAAAACTAGACAGAATCATTCACAGAAACTACTTTGTGATGTGTGTGTTCAACTCAAGGAGTTTAACCTTTCTTTTGATGGAGCAGTTTGGAAACACTCTGTCTGTAAAGTCTGCAAGCAGACATTTGGACCTCTTTGAGGCCTTCGTTGGAAACGGGATTTCTTCATATAATGTTTGATAGGAGAAGTCTCAGTAACTTCTTTGTGCTGTGTGTATTCAACTCATAGAGTTGAACTTTCCTTTAGAAGAGCAGATGTTAAACACCCTTTTTGTGGAATTTGCAGCTGGAGATTTCAAGCGCTTTGAGGCCTACGGTAGAAAAGGAAACATCTTCTTATAAAATCTAGACAGAATCATTCACAGAAACTTCTTTTTGATGTGTGTGTTCAGCTCACAGAGTTTAACCTTTCTTTTGATGGAGCAGTTGGGAAACACACTGTTTGTAATGTCCGCAAGTGGATATTTGGACCTCTTTGAGGCCTTCGTTGGAAACGGGATTTCCTCATATAATGTTACACAGAAGAATTCTCAGTAACTTATTTGTGGTTTGTGTATTCAACTCACAGAGTTGAACCTTCCTTCAGAAAGAGCAGATTTGAAACACTCTTTTTGAGGAGTTTCCATGTGGAGATTTCAATCGCTTTGAGACCAAAGGTAGAAAAGGAAACATCTTCTTATAAAAACTAGACAGAATCATTCACAGAAACTACTTTGTGATGTGTGTGTTCAACTCAAGGAGTTTAACCTTTCTTTTGATGGAGCAGTTTGGAAAAACTCTGTCTGTAAAGTCTGCAAGCAGATATTTGGACCTCTTTGGGGCCTTCGTTGGAAACGGGATTTCTTCATAGAATGCTAGAAAGAAGAATACTGAGTAAGTTCTTTGTGTTGCCTCTATTCAACTCACAGAGGTGAACTGTCCTTTAGACAGAGCAGATGTGAAACCCTCTTTTTGTGATATTTGCAGGTGGAGATTTCAAGCGCTTTTAGGCCAAATGTAGAAAAGGAAATATCTTCGTATAAAAACTAGACAGAATCATTCTCAGAAACTACTTTGTGATGTATGCGTTCAATTGACAGAGTATAACCTTTCTTTTGATGGAGGAGTTTGGAGACACTGTCTTTGTAAAGTCTGCAAGTGGATATTTGGACCTCTTTGAGGCCTTCGTTGGAAACGGGATTTCCTCATATAATGTTACACAGAAGAATTCTCAGTAACTTATTTGTGGTGTGTGTATTCAACTCACAGAGTTGAACTTTCCTTCAGAAAGAGCAGATTTGAAACACTCTTTTTGAGGAGTTTCCATGTGGAGATTTCAATCGCTTTGAGACCAAAGGTAGAAAAGGAAACATCTTCTTATAAAAACTAGACAGAATCATTCACAGAAACTACTTTGTGATGTGTGTGTTCAACTCAAGGAGTTTAACCTTTCTTTTGATGGAGCAGTTTGGAAATACTCTGTCTGTAAAGTCTGCAAGCAGATATTTGGACCTCTTTGAGGCCTTCGTTGGAAACGGGATTTCTTCATATAATGTTTGATAGGAGAAGTCTCAGTAACTTCTTTCTGCTGTGTGTATTCAACGCATAGGGTTGAACTTTCCTTTAGAAGAGAAGATGTTAAACACCCTCTTTGTGGAATTTGCAGCTGGAGATTTCAAGCGCTTTGAGGCCTACGGTAGAAAAGGAAACATCTTCTTATAAAATCTAGACAGAATCATTCACAGAAACTTCTTTTTGATGTGTGTGTTCAGCTCACAGAGTTTAACCTTTCTTTTGATGGAGCAGTTTGGAAACACTCTGTTTGTAATGTCTGCAAGTGGATATTTGGACCTCTTTGAGGCCTTCGTTGGAAACGGGATTTCTTCAAGTAATGTTCGACAGAAGAATTCTCAGTAACTTATTTGTGGTGTGTGTATTCAACTCACAGAGTTGAACCTTCCTTTAGACAGAGCAGATTTGAAACACCCTATTTGTGCAGTTTCCAGTTGGAGATTTCAATCGCTTTGAGACCAAATGTAGAAAAGGAAACATCTTCGTATAAAAACTAGACAGAATCATTCTCAGAAACTACTTTGTGATGTGTGAATTCAACTCAAGGAGTTTAAGCTTTCTTTTCATAGAGTAGTTTGGAAACACTCTGTCTGTAAAGTCTGCAAGCAGATATTTGGACCTCTTTGAGGCCTTCGTTGGAAAAGGGATTTCTTCATAGAACGCTAGAAAGAAGAATACTGAGTAAGTTCTTTGTGTTGCCTCTATTCAACTCACAGAGGTGAACTGCCCTTTAGACAGAGCAGATGTGAAACCCTCTTTTTGTGATATATGCAGGTGGAGATTTCAAGCGCTTTTAGGCCAAATGTAGAAAAGGAAATATCTTCGTATAAAAACTAGACAGAATCATTCTCAGCAAACTACTTTGTGATGTGTGCGTTCAATTCACAGCAGTATAACCTTTCTTTTGATGGAGGAGTTTGGAGACACTGTCTTTGTAAAGTCTGCAAGTGGATATTTGGACCTCTTTGAGGCCTTCGTTGGAAACGGGATTTCCTCATATAATGTTACACAGAAGAATTCTCAGTAACTTATTTGTGGTGTGTGTATTCAACTCACAGAGTTGAACCTTCCTTCAGAAAGAGCAGATTTGAAACACTCTTTTTTGTGGAGTTTCCATGTGGAGATTTCAATCGCTTTGAGACCAAAGGTAGAAAAGGAAACATCTTCGTATAAAAACTAGACAGAATCATTCACAGAAACTAATTTGTGATGTGTGTGTTCAACTCAAGGAGGTTAACCTTTCTTTTGATGGAGCAGTTTGGAAACACTCTGTCTGTAAAGTCTGCAAGCAGATATTTGGACCTCTTTGAGGCCTTCGTTGGAAACGGGATTTCTTCATATAATGTTTGATAGGAGAAGTCTCAGTAACTTCTTTGTGCTGTGTGTATTCAACTCATTGAGTTGAACTTTCCTTTAGAAGAGCAGATGTTAAACACCCTTTTTGTGGAATTTGCAGCTGGAGATTTCAAGCGCTTTGAGGCCTACGGTAGAAAAGGAAACATCTTCTTATAAAATCTAGACAGAATCATTCACAGAAACTTCTTTTTGATGTGTGTGTTCAGCTCACAGAGTTTAACCTTTCTTTTGATGGAGCAGTTTGGAAACACTCTGTTTGTAATGTCTGCAAGAGGATATTTGGACCTCTTTGAGGCCTTAGTTGGAAACGGGATTTCTTCAAGTAATTTTCGACAGAAGAATTCTCAGTAACTTATTTGTGGTGTGTGTATTCAACTCACAGAGTTGAACCTTCCTTTAGACAGAGCAGATTTGAAACACCCTATTTGTGCAGTTTCCAGTTGGAGATTTCAATCGCTTTGAGACCAAATGTAGAAAAGGAAACATCTTCGTATAAAAACTAGACAGAATCATTCTCAGAAACTACTTTGTGATGTGTGCGTTCAACTCAAGGAGTTTAAGCTTTCTTTTCATAGAGTAGTTTGGAAACACTCTGTCTGTAAAGTCTGCAAGCAGATATTTGGACCTCTTTGGGGCCTTCGTTGGAAACGGGATTTCTTCATAGAACGCTAGAAAGAAGAATACTGAGTAAGTTCTTTGTGTTGCCTCTATTCAACTCACAGAGGTGAACTGTCCTTTAGACAGAGCAGATGTGAAACCCTCTTTTTGTGATATTTGCAGGTGGAGATTTCAAGCGCTTTTAGGCCAAATGTAGAAAAGGAAATATCTTCGTATAAAAACTAGACAGAATCATTCTCAGAAACTACTTTGTGATGTGTGCGTTCAATTCACAGAGTATAACCTTTCTTTTGATGGAGGAGTTTGGAGACACTGTCTTTGTAAAGTCTGCAAGTGGATATTTGGACCTCTTTGAGGCCTTCGTTGGAAACGGGATTTCCTCATATAATGTTACCCAGAAGAATTCTCAGTAACTTATTTGTGGTGTGTGTATTCAACTCACAGAGTTGAACCTTCCTTCAGAAAGAGCAGATTTGAAACACTCTTTTTGTGGAGCTTCCATGTGGAGATTTCAATCGCTTTGAGACCAAAGGTAGAAAAGGAAACATCGTCGTATAAAAACTAGACAGAATCATTCACAGAAACTACTTTGTGATGTGTGTGTTCAACTCACAGAGTTTAACCTTTCTTTTGATGGAGCAGTTTGGAAACACTCTGTTTGTCACGTCTGCAAGTGGATATTTGGACCTCTTTGAGGCCTTCGTTGGAAACGGGATTTCTTCATATAATGTTTGATAGGAGAAGTCTCAGTAACTTCTTTGTGCTGTGTGTATTCAACTCATGGAGTTGAACTTTCCTTTAGAAGAGCAGAGGTTAAAGACCCTTTTTGTGGAATTTGCAGCTGGAGATTTCAAGCGCTTTGAGGCCTACGGTAGAAAAGGAAACATCTTCTTCTGAAGAATAGACAGAATCATTCACAGAAACTACTTTGTGATGTGTGTGTTCAACTCACAGAGTTTAACCTTTCTTTTGATGGAGGAGTTTGGAAACACTCTGTTTGTAATGTCTGCAAGTGGATATTTGGACCTCTTTGAGGCCTTCTTTGGAAACGGGATTTCTTCATGTAATGTACGACAGAAGAATTCTCAGTAAGTTATTTGTGGTGTGTGTATTCAACTCACAGAGTTGAACCTTCCTTTAGACAGAGCAGATTTGAAACACCCTATTTGTGCAGTTTCCAGTTGGAGATTTCAATCGCTTGGAGGCCAATCATAGAAACGGAAATATCTTCATATAAAAACAAGACAGAATCATTCTCAGAAACTACTTTCTGATGTGTGCGTTCAACTCAAGGAGTTTAAGCTTTCTTTTCATAGACTAGTTTGGAAACACTCTGTCTGTAAAGTCTGCAAGCAGATATTTAGACCTCTTTGGGGACTTCGTTAGAAACGGGATTTCTTCATAGAACGCTAGAAAGAAGAATACTGAGTAAGTTCTTTGTGTTGCCTCTATTCAACTCACAGAGGTGAACTGTCCTTTAGACAGAGCAGATGTGAAACAACCTTTTTGTGATATTTGCAGGTGGAGATTTCAAGCGCTTTTAGGCCAAATGTAGAAAAGGAAATATCTTCGTATAAAAACTAGACAGAATCATTCTCAGAAACTACTTTGTGATGTGTGCGTTCAACTCACAGAGTATAACCTTTCTTTTGATGGAGGAGTTTGGAGACACTGTCTTTGTAAAGTCTGCAAGCAGATATTTGGACCTCTTTGAGGCCATCGTTGGAAACGGGATTTCTTCATATAATGTTTGATAGGAGAAGTCTCAGTAACTTCTTTGTGCTGTGTGTATTCAACTCATAGAGTTGAACTTTCCTTTAGAAGAGCAGATGTTAAACACCCTTTTTGTGGAATTTGCAGCTGGAGATTTCAAGCGCTTTGAGGCCTACGGTAGAAAAGGAAGCATCTTCTTATAAAATCTAGACAGAATCATTCACAGAAACTTCTTTTTGATGTGTGTGTTCAGCTCACAGAGTTTAACCTTTCTTTTGATGGAGCAGTTTGGAAACACTCTGTTTGTAATGTCTGCAAGTGGATATTTGGACCTCTTTGAGGCCTTCTTTGGAAACGGGATTTCTTCAAGTAATGTTCGACAGAAGAATTCTCAGTAACTTATTTGTGGTGTGTGTATTCAACTCACAGAGTTGAACCTTCCTTTAGACAGAGCAGATTTGAAACACCCTATTTGTGCAGTTTCCAGTTGGAGATTTCAATCGCTTTGAGACCAAATGTAGAAAAGGAAACATCTTCGTATAAAAACTAGACAGAATCATTCTCAGAAACTACTTTGTGATGTTTGCGTTCAACTCAAGGAGTTTAAGCTTTCTTTTCCTAGAGTAGTTTGGAAAAACTCTGTCTGTAAAGTCTGCAAGCAGATATTTGGACCTCTTTGAGGCCTTCTTTGGAAACGGGATTTCTTCATATAACGCTACAAAGAAGAATACTGAGTAAGTTCTTTGTGTTGCCTCTATTCAACTCACAGAGGTGAACTGTCCTTTAGACAGAGCAGATGTGAAACCCTCTTTTTGTGATATTTGCAGGTGGAGATTTCAAGCGCTTTTAGGCCAAATGTAGAAAAGGAAATATCTTCGTATAAAAACTAGACAGAATCATTCTCAGAAACTACTTTGTGATGTGTGCGTTCAATTCACAGAGTATAACCTTTCTTTTGATGGAGGAGTTTGGAGACACTGTCTTTGTAAAGTCTGCAAGTGGATATTTGGACCTCTTTGAGGCCTTCGTTGGAAACGGGATTTCCTCATATAATGTTACACAGAAGAATTCTCAGTAACTTATTTGTGGTGTGTGTATTCAACTCACAGAGATGAACCTTCCTTCAGAAAGAGCAGATTTGAAACACTCTTTTTGTGGAGTTTCCATGTGGAGATTTCAATCGCTTTGAGACCAAAGGTAGAAAAGGAAACATCTTCGTATAAAAACTAGACAGAATCATTCACAGAAACTACTTTGTGATGTGTGTGTTCAACTCAAGGAGTTTAACCTTTCTTTTGATGGAGCAGTTTGGAAACCCTCTGTCTGTAAAGTCTGCAGGCAGATATTTGGACCTCTTTGAGGCCTTCGTTGGAATCGGGATTTCTTCATATAATGTTAGACAGAAGAAGTCTCAGTAACTTCTTTGTGCTGTGTGTATTCAACTCATAGAGTTGAACTTTCCTTTAGAAGAGCAGATGTTAAACACCCTTTTTGTGGAATTTGCAGCTGGAGATTTCAGGCGCTTTGAGGCCTACGGTAGAAAAGGAAACATCTTATAAAATCTAGACAGAATCATTCACAGAAACTTCTTTTTGATGTGTGTGTTCAGCTCACAGAGTTTAACCTTTCTTTTGATGGAGCAGTTTGGAAACACTCTGTTTGTAATGTCTGCAAGTGGATATTTGGACCTCTTTGAGGCCTTCGTTGGAAACGGGATTTCTTCATGTAATGTTCGACAGAAGAATTCTCAGTAACTTATTTGTGGTGTGTGTATTCAACTCACAGAGTTGAACCTTCCTTTAGACAGAGCAGATTTGAAACACCCTATTTGTGCAGTTTCCAGTTGGAGATTTGAATCGCTTTGAGACCAAATGTAGAAAAGGAAACATCTTCGTATAAAAACTAGACAGAATCATTCTCAGAAACTACTTTGTGATGTGTGCGTTCAACTCAAGGAGTTTAAGCTTTCTTTTCATAGAGTAGTTTGGAAACACTCTGTCTGTAAAGTCTGCAAGCAGATATTTGACCTCTTTGAGGCCTTCGTTGGAAACGGGATTTCTTCATAGAACGCTAGAAAGAAGAATACTGAGTAAGTTCTTTGTGTTGCCTCTATTCAACTCACAGAGGTGAACTGTCCTTTAGACAGAGCAGATGTGAAACCCTCTTTTTGTGATATTTGCAGGTGGAGATTTCAAGCGCTTTTAGGCCAAATGTAGAAAAGGAAATATCTTCGTATAAAAACTAGACAGAATCATTCTCAGAAACTACTTTGTGATGTGTGCGTTCAATTCACAGAGTATAACCTTTCTTTTGATGGAGGAGTTTGGAGACACTGTCTTTGTAAAGTCTGCAAGTGGATATTTGGACCTCTTTGAGGCCTTCGTTGGAAACGGGATTTCCTCATATAATGTTACACAGAAGAATTCTCAGTAACTTATTTGTGGTGTGTGTATTCAACTCACAGAGTTGAACCTTCCTTCAGAAAGAGCAGATTTGAAACACTCTTTTTGTGGAGTTTCCATGTGGAGATTTCAATCGCTTTGAGACCAAAGGTAGAAAAGGAAACATCTTCGTATAAAAACTAGACAGAATCATTCACAGAAACTACTTTGTGATGTGTGTGTTCAACTCAAGGAGTTTAACCTTTCTTTTGATGGAGCAGTTTGGAAACACTCTGTCTGTAAAGTCTGCAAGCAGATATTTGGACCTCTTTGAGGCATTCGTTGGAAACGGGATTTCTTCATATAATGTTTGATAGGAGAAGTCTCAGTAACTTCTTTGTGCTGTGTGTATTCAACTCATAGAGTTGAACTTTCCTTTAGAAGAGCAGATGTTAAACACCCTTTTTGTGGAATTTGCAGCTGGAGATTTCAAGCGCTTTGAGGCCTACGGTAGAAAAGGAAACATCTTCTTATAAAATCTAGACAGAATCATTCACAGAAACTTCTTTTCGATGTGTGTGTTCAGCTCACAGAGTTTAACCTTTCTTTTGATGGAGCAGTTTGGAAACACTCTGTTTGTAATGTCTGCAAGTGGATATTTGGACCTCTTTGAGGCCTTCGTTGGAAACGGGATTTCTTCAAGTAATGGTCGACAGAAGAATTCTCAGTAACTTATTTGTGGTGTGTGTATTCAACTCACAGAGTTGAACCTTCCTTTAGACAGAGCAGATTTGAAACACCCTATTTGTGCAGTTTCCAGTTGGAGATTTCAATCGCTTTGAGACCAAATGTAGAAAAGGAAACATCTTCATATAAAAACTAGACAGAATCATTCTCAGAAACTACTTTGTGATGTGTGCGTTCAACTCAAGGGGTTTAAGCTTTCTTTTCATAGAGTAGTTTGGAAACACTCTGTCTGTAAAGTCTGCAAGCAGATATTTGGACCTCTTTGAGGCCTTCGTTGGAAACGGGATTTCTTCATAGAACGCTAGAAAGAAGAATACTGAATAAGTTCTTTGTGTTGCCTCTATTCAACTCACAGAGGTGAACTGTCCTTTAGACAGAGCAGATGTGAAACCCTCTTTTTGTGATATTTGCAGGTGGATATTTCAAGCGCTTTTAGGCCAAATGTAGAAAAGGAAATATCTTCGTATAAAAACTAGACAGAATCATTCTCAGAAACTACTTTGTGATGTGTGCGTTCAATTCACAGAGTATAACCTTTCTTTTGATGGAGGAGTTTGGAGACACTGTCTTTGTAAAGTCTGCAAGTGGATATTTGGACCTCTTTGAGGCCTTCGTTGGAAACGGGATTTCCTCATATAATGTTACACAGAAGAATTCTCAGTAACTTATTTGTGGTGTGTGTATTCAACTCACAGAGTTGAACCTTCCTTCAGAAAGAGCAGATTTGAAACACTCTTTTTGTGGAGTTTCCATGTGGAGATTTCAATCGCTTTGAGACCAAAGGTAGAAAAGGAAACATCTTCGTATAAAAACTAGACAGAATCATTCACAGAAACTACTTTGTGATGTGTGTGTTCAACTCAAGGAGTTTAAACTTTCTTTTGATGCAGCAGTTTGGAAACACTCTGTTTGTCACGTCTGCAAGTGGATATTTGGACCTCTTTGAGGCCTTCGTTAGAAACGGCATTTCTTCATATAATGTTTGACAGGAGAAGTCTCAGTAACTTCTTTGTGCTGTGTGTATTCAACTCATAGAGTTGAACTTTCCTTTAGAAGAGCAGATGTTAAACACCCTTTTTGTGGAATTTGCAGCTGGAGATTTCAAGCGCTTTGAGGCCTACGGTAGAAAAGGAAACATCTTCTTATAAAATCTAGACAGAATCATTCACAGAAACTTCTTTTTGATGTGTGTGTTCAGCTCACAGAGTTTAACCTTTCTTTTGATGGAGCAGTTTGGAAACACTCTGTTTGTAATGCCTGCAAGTGGATATTTGGACCTCTTTGAGGCCTTCGTTGGAAACGGGAATTCTTCATGTAATGTTCGACAGAAGAATTCTCAGTAACTTATTTGTGGTGTGTGTATTCAACTCACAGAGTTGAACCTTCCTTTAGACAGAGCAGATTTGAAACAGCCTATTTGTGCAGTTTCCAGTTGGAGATTTCAAGAGCTTTGAGACCAAATGTAGAAAAGGAAACATCCTTCGTATAAAAACTAGACAGAATCATTCTCAGAAACTACTTTGTGATGTGTGCGTTCAACTCAAGGAGTTTAAGCTTTCTTTTCATAGAGTAGTTTGGAAACACTCTGTCTGTAAAGTCTGCAAGCAGATATTTGGACCTCTTTGGGGCCTTCGTTGGAAACGGGATTTCTTCATAGAACGCTAGAAAGAAGAATACTGAGTAAGTTCTTTGTGTTGCCTCTATTCAACTCACAGAGGTGAACTGTCCTTTAGACAGAGCAGATGTGAAACCCTCTTTTTGTGATATTTGCACGTGGAGATTTCAAGCGCTTTTAGGCCAAATGTAGAAAAGGAAATATCTTCGTATAAAAACTAGACAGAATCATTCTCAGAAACTACTTTGTGATGTGTGCGTTCAATTCACAGAGTATAACCTTTCTTTTGATGGAGGAGTTTGGAGACACTGTCTTTGTAAAGTCTGCAAGTGGATATTTGGACCTCTTTGAGGCCTTCGTTGGAAACGGGATTTCCTCATATAATGTTACACAGAAGAATTCTCAGTAACTTATTTGTGGTGTGTGTATTCAACTCACAGAGTTGAACCTTCCTTCAGAAAGAGCAGATTTGAAACACTCTTTTTGTGGAGTTTCCATGTGGAGATTTCAATCGCTTTGAGACCAAAGGTAGAAAAGGAAACATCTTCGTATAAAAACTAGACAGAATCATTCACAGAAACTACTTTGTGATGTGTGTGTTCAACTCAAGGAGTTTAACCTTTCTTTTGATGGAGCAGTTTGGAAACACTCTGTCTGTAAAGTCTGCAAGCAGATATTTGGACCTCTTTGAGGCCTTCGTTGGAAACGGGATTTCTTCATATAATGTTTGATAGGAGAAGTCTCAGTAACTTCTTTGTGCTGTGTGTATTCAACTCATAGAGTTGAACTTTCCTTTAGAAGAGCAGATGTTAAACACCCTTTTTGTGGAATTTGCAGCTGGAGATTTCAAGCGCTTTGAGGCCTACGGTAGAAAAGGAAACATCTTCTTATAAAATCTAGACAGAATCATTCACAGAAACTTCTTTTTGATGTGTGTGTTCAGCTCACAGAGTTTAACCTTTCTTTTGATGGAGCAGTTTGGAAACACTCTGTTTGTAATGTCTGCAAGTGGATATTTGGACCTCTTTGAGGCCTTCGCTGGAAACGGGATTTCTTCCTGTAATGTTCGACAGAAGAATTCTCAGTAACTTATTTGTGGTGTGTGTATTCAACTCACAGAGTTGAACCTTCCTTTAGACAGAGCAGATTTGAAACACCCTATTTGTGCAGTTCCCAGTTGCAGATTTCAATCGCTTTGAGACCAAATGTAGAAAAGGAAACATCTTCGTATAAAAACTAGACAGAATCATTCTCAGAAACTACTTTGTGATGTGTGCGTTTAACTCAAGGAGTTTAAGCTTTCTTTTCATAGAGTAGTTTGGAAACACTCTGTCTGTAAAGTCTGCAAGCAGATATTTGGACCTCTTTGAGGCCTTCGTTGGAAACGGGATTTCTTCATAGAACGCTAGAAAGAAGAATACTGAGTAAGTTCTTTGTGTTGCCTCTATTCAACTCACAGAGGTGAACTGTCCTTTAGACAGAGCAGATGTGAAACCCTCTTTTTGTGATATTTGCAGGTGGAGATTTCAAGCGCTTTTAGGCCAAATGTAGAAAAGGAAATATCTTCGTATAAAAACTAGACAGAATCATTCTCAGAAACTACTTTGTGATGTGTGCGTTCAATTCACAGAGTATAACCTTTCTTTTGATGGAGGAGTTTGGAGACACTGTCTTTGTAAAGTCTGCAAGTGGATATTTGGACCTCTTTGAGGCCTTCGTTGGAAACGGGATTTCCTCATATAATGTTACACAGAAGAATTCTCAGTAACTTATTTGTGGTGTGTGTATTCAACTCACAGAGTTGAACCTTCCTTCAGAAAGAGCAGATTTGAAACACTCTTTTTGTGGAGTTTCCATGTGGAGATTTCAAACGCTTTGAGACCAAAGGTAGAAAAGGAAACATCTTCGTATAAAAACTAGACAGAATCATTCACAGAAACTACTTTGTGATGTGTGTGTTCAACTCAAGGAGTTTAACCTTTCTTTTGATGGAGCAGTTTGGAAACACTCTGTCTGTAAAGTCTGCAAGCAGATATTTGGACCTCTTTGAGGCCTTCGTTGGAAACGGGATTTCTTCATATAATGTTTGATAGGAGAAGTCTCAGTAACTTCTTTGTGCTGTGTGTGTTCAACTCATAGAGTTGAACTTTCCTTTAGAAAAGCAGATGTTAAACACCCTTTTTGTGGAATTTGCAGCTGGAGATTTCAAGCGCTTTGAGGCCTACGGTAGAAAAGGAAACATCTTCTTATAAAATCTAGACAGAATCATTCACAGAAACTTCTTTTTGATGTGTGTGTTCAGCTCACAGAGTTTAACCTTTCTTTTGATGGAGCAGTTTGGAAACACTCTGTTTGTAATGTCTGCAAGTGGATATTTGGACCTCTTTGAGGCCTTCGTTGGAAACGGGATTTCTTCAAGTAATGTTCGGGAGAAGAATTCTCAGTAACTTATTTGTGGTGTGTGTATTCAACTCAAAGAGTTGAACCTTCCTTTAGACAGAGCAGATTTGAAACACCCTATTTGTGCAGTTTCCAGTTGGAGATTTCAATCGCTTTGAGACCAAATGTAGAAAAGGAAACATCTTCGTATAAAAACTAGACAGAATCATTCTCAGAAACTACTTTGTGATGTGTGCGTTCAACTCAAGGGAGTTTAAGCTTTCTTTTCATAGAGTAGTTTGGAAACACTCTGTCTGTAAAGTCTGCAAGCAGATATTTGGACCTCATTGGGGTCTTCGTTGGAAACCGGATTTCTTCATAGAACGCTAGAAAGAAGAATACTGAGTAAGTTCTTTGTGTTGCCTCTATTCAACTCACAGAGGTGAACTGTCCTTTAGACAGAGCAGATGTGAAACCCTCTTTTTGTGATATTTGCAGGTGGAGATTTCAAGCGCTTTTAGGCCAAATGTAGAAAAGGAAATATCTTCGTATAAAAACTAGACAGAATCATTCTCAGAAACTACTTTGTGATGTGTGCGTTCAATTCACAGAGTATAACCTTTCTTTTGATGGAGGAGTTTGGAGACACTGTCTTTGTAAAGTCTGCAAGTGGATATTTGGACCTCTTTGAGGCCTTCGTTGGAAACGGGATTTCCTCATATAATGTTACACAGAAGAATTCTCAGTAACTTATTTGTGGTGTGTGTATTCAACTCACAGAGTTGAACCTTCCTTCAGAAAGAGCAGATTTGAAACACTCTTTTTGTGGAGTTTCCATGTGGAGATTTCAATCGCTTTGAGACCAAAGGTAGAAAAGGAAACATCTTCGTATAAAAACTAGACAGAATCATTCACAGAAACTACTTTGTGATGTGTGTGTTCAACTCAAGGAGTTTAACCTTTCTTTTGATGGAGCAGTTTGGAAACACTCTGTCTGTAAAGTCTGCAAGCAGATATTTGGACCTCTTTGAGGCCTTCGTTGGAAACGGGATTTCTTCATATAATGTTTGATAGGAGAAGTCTCAGTAACTTCTTTGTCCTGTGTGTATTCAACGCATAGAGTTGAACTTTCCTTTAGAAGAGCAGATGTAAAACACCCTTTTTGTGGAATTTGCAGGTGGAGATTTCAAGCGCTTTGAGGCCTACGGTAGAAAAGGAAACATCTTCTTACAAAATCTAGACAGAATCATTCACAGAAACTTCTTTTTGATGTGTGTGTTCAGCTCACAGAGTTTAACCTTTCTTTTGATGGAGCAGTTTGGAAACACTCTGTTTGTAATGTCTGCAAGTGGATATTTGGACCTCTTTGAGGCCTTCGTTGGAAACGGGATTTCTTCATATAATGTTTGATAGGAGAAGTCTCAGTAACTTCTTTGTGCTGTGTGTATTCAACTCATAGAGTTGAACTTTCCTTTAGAAGAGCAGATGTTAAACACCCTTTTTGTGGAATTTGCAGCTGGAGATTTCAAGCGCTTTGAGGCCTACGGTAGAAAAGGAAACATCTTCTTATAAAATCTAGACAGAATCATTCACAGAAACTTCTTTTTGATGTGTGTGTTCAGCTCACAGAGTTTAACCTTTCTTTTGATGGAGCAGTTTGGAAACACACTGTTTGTAATGTCTGCAAGTGGATGTTTGGACCTCTTTGAGGCCTTCGTTGGAAACGGGATTTCTTCATGTAATGTTCGACAGAAGAATTCTCAGTAACTTTTTTGTGGTGTGTGTATTCAACTCACAGAGTTGAACCTTCCTTTAGACAGAGCAGATTTGAAACACCCTATTTGTGCAGTTTCCAGTTGGAGATTTCAATCGCTTTGAGACCAAATGTAGAAAAGGAAACATCTTCGTATAAAAACTAGACAGAATCATTCTCAGAAACTACTTTGTGATGTGTGCGTTCAACTCAAGGAGTTTAAGCTTTCTTTTGATGGAGGAGTTTGGAGACACTGTCTTTGTAAAGTCTGCAAGTGGATATTTGGATCTATTTGAGGCCTTCGTTGGAAACGGGATTTCCTCATATAATGTTACACAGAAGAATTCTCAGTAACTTATTTGTGGTGTGTGTATTCAACTCACAGAGTTGGACCTTCCTTCAGAAAGAGCAGATTTGAAACACTCTTTTTGTGGAGTTTCCATGTGGAGATTTCAATCGCTTTGAGACCAAAGGTAGAAAAGGAAACATCTTCGTATAAAAACTAGACAGAATCATTCACAGAAACTACTTTGTGATGTGTGTGTTCAACTCAAGGAGTTTAATCTTTCTTTTGATGGAGCAGTTTGGAAACACTCTGTCTGTAAAGTCTGCAAGCAGATATTTGGACCTCTTTGAGGCCTTCGTTGGAAACGGGATTTCTTCATATAATGTTTGATGGGAGAAGTCTCAGTAACTTCTTTGTGCTGTGTGTATTCAACTCATAGAGTTGAACTTTCCTTTAGAAGAGCAGATGTTAAACACCCTTTTTGTGGAATTTGCAGCTGGAGATTTCAAGCGCTTTGAGGCCTACGGTAGAAAAGGAAACATCTTCTTATAAAATCTAGACAGAATCATTCACAGAAACTTCTTTTTGATGTGTGTGTTCAGCTCACAGAGTTTAACCTTTCTTTTGATGGAGCAGTTGGGAAACACACTGTTTGTAATGTCTGCAAGTGGATATTTGGACCTCTTTGAGGCCTTCGTTGGAAACGGGATTTCTTCCTGTAATGTTCGACAGAAGAATTCTCAGTAACTTATTTGTGGTGTGTGTATTCAACTCACAGAGTTGAACCTTCCTTTAGACAGAGCAGATTTGAAACACCCTATTTGTGCAGTTTCCAGTTGGAGATTTCAATCGCTTTGAGACCAAATGTAGAAAAGGAAACATCTTCGTATAAAAACTAGACAGAATCATTCACAGAAACTACTTTGTGATGTGTGTGTTCAACTCAAGGAGGTTAACCTTTCTTTTGACGGAGCAGTTTGGAAACACTCTGTCTGTAAAGTCTGCGAACAGATATTTGGACCTCTTTGAGGCCTTCGTTGGAAACGGGGTTTCTTCATATAACGCTAGAAAGAAGAATACTCAGTAACTTCTTTGTGTTGCCTCTATTCAACTCACAGAGGTGAACTGTCCTTTAGACAGAGCAGATGTGAAACCCTCTTTTTGTGATATTTGCAGGTGGAGATTTCAAGCGCTTTTAGGCCAAATGTAGAAAAGGAAATATCTTCGTATAAAAACTAGACAGAATCATTCTCAGAAACTACTTTGTGATGTGTGCGTTCAATTCACAGAGTATAACCTTTCTTTTGATGGAGGAGTTTGGAGACACTGTCTTTGTAAAGTCTGCAAGCAGATATTTGGACCTCTTTGAGGCCTTCGTTGGAAACGGGATTTCTTCATATAATGTTTGATAGGAGAAGTCTCAGTAACTTCTTTGGGCTGTGTGTATTCAACTCATTGAGTTGAACTTTCCTTTAGAAGAGCAGATGTTAAACACCCTTTTTGTGGAATTTGCAGCTGGAGATTTCAAGCACTTTGTGGCCTACGGTAGAAAAGGAAACATCTTCTTATAAAATCTAGACAGAATCATTCACAGAAACTTCTTTTTGATGTGTGTGTTCAGCTCACAGAGTTTAACCTTTCTTTTGATGGAGCAGTTTGGAAACACTCTGTTTGTAATGTCTGCAAGTGGATATTTGGACCTCTTTGAGGCCTTCGTTGGAAACGGGATTTCTTCAAGTAATGTTCGACAGAAGAATTCTCGGTAACTTATTTGTGGTGTGTGTATTCAACTCAAAGAGTTGAACCTTCCTTTAGACAGAGCAGATTTGAAACACCCTATTTGTGCAGTTTCCAGTTGGAGATTTCAATCGCTTTGAGACCAAATGTAGAAAAAGAAATATCTTCGTATAAAAACTAGACAGAATCATTCTCAGAAACTACTTTGTGATGTGTGCGTTCAACTCAAGGAGTTTAAGCTTTCTTTTCATAGAGTAGTTTGGAACCACTCTGTCTGTAATGTCTGCAAGCAGATATTTGGACCTCTTTGAGGCCTTCGTTGGAAACGGGATTTCTTCATATAACGCTAGAAAGAAGAATACTGAGTAAGTTCTTTGTGTTGCCTCTATTCAACTCACAAAGGTGAACTGTCCTTTAGACAGAGCAGATGTGAAACCCTCTTTTTGTGATATTTGCAGGTGGAGACTTCAAGCGCTTTTAGGCCAAATGTAGAAAAGGAAATATCTTCGTATAAAAACTAGACAGAATCATTCTCAGAAACTACTTTGTGATGTGTGCGTTCAATTCACAGAGTATAACCTTTCTTTTGATGGAGGAGTTTGGAGACACTGTCTTTGTAAAGTCTGCAAGCAGATATTTGGACCTCTTTGAGGCCTTCGTTGGAAACGGGATTTCTTCATATAATGTTTGATAGGAGAAGTCTCAGTAACTTCTTTGGGCTGTGTGTATTCAACTCATTGAGTTGAACTTTCCTTTAGAAGAGCAGATGTTAAACACCCTTTTTGTGGAATTTGCAGCTGGAGATTTCAAGCACTTTGAGGCCTACAGTAGAAAAGGAAACATCTTCTTATAAAATCTAGACAGAATCATTCACAGAAACTTCTTTTTGATGTGTGTGTTCAGCTCACAGAGTTTAACCTTTCTTTTGATGGAGCAGTTTGGAAACACTCTGTTTGTAATGTCTGCAAGTCGATATTTGGACCTCTTTGAGGCCTTCGTTGGAAACGGGATTTCTTCAAGTAATGTTCGACAGAAGAATTCTCAGTAACCTATTTGTGGTGTGTGTATTCAACTCAAAGAGTTGAACCTTCCTTTAGACAGAGCAGATTTGAAACACCCTATTTGTGCAGTTTCCAGTTGGAGATTTCAATCGCTTTGAGACCAAATGTAGAAAAGGAAACATCTTCGTATAAAAACTAGACAGAATCATTCTCAGAAACTACTTTGTGATGTGTGCGTTCAACTCAAGAAGTTTAAGCTTTCTTTTCATAGAGTAGTTTGGAAACACTCTGTCTGTAAAGTCTGCAAGCAGATATTTGGACCTCTTTGGGGCCTTCGTTGGAAACGTGATTTCTTCATAGAACGCTAGAAAGAAGAATACTGAGTAAGTTCTTTGTGTTGCCGCTATTCAACTCACAGAGGTGAACTGTCCTTTAGACAGAGCAGATGTGAAACCCTCTTTTTGTGATATTTGCAGGTGGAGATTTCAAGCGCTTTTAGGCCAAATGTAGAAAAGGAAATATCTTCGTATAAAAACTAGACACAATCATTCTCAGAAACTACTTTGTGATGTGTGCGTTCAATTCACAGAGTATAACCTTTCTTTTGATGGAGGAGTTTGGAGACACTGTCTTTGTAAAGTCTGCAAGTGGATATTTGGACCTCTTTGAGGCCTTCGTTGGAAACGGGATTTCCTCATATAATGTTACACAGAAGAATTCTCAGTAACTTATTTGTGGTGTGTGTATTCAACTCACAGAGTTGAACCTTCCTTCACAAAGAGCAGATTTGAAACACTCTTTTTGTGGAGTTTCCATGTGGAGATTTCAATCGCTTTGAGACCAAAGGTAGAAAAGGAAACATCTTCGTATAAAAACTAGACAGAATCATTCTCAGAAACTACTTTGTGATGTGTGTGTTCAACTCAAGGAGTTTAACCTTTCTTTTGATGGAGCAGTTTCGAAAAACTCTGTCTGTAAAGTCTGCAAGCAGATATTTGGACCTCTTTGGGGCCTTCGTTGGAAACGGGATTTCTTCATAGAATGCTAGAAAGAAGAATACTGAGTAAGTTCTTTGTGTTGCCTCTATTCAACTCACAGAGGTGAACTGTCCTTTAGACAGAGCAGATGTGAAACCCTCTTTTTGTGATATTTGCAGGTGGAGATTTCAAGCGCTTTTAGGCCAAATGTAGTAAAGGAAATATCTTCGTATAAAAACTGGACAGAATCATTCTCAGAAACTACTTTGTGATGTGTGCGTTCAACTCAAGGTGTTTAAGCTTTCTTTTCATAGAGTAGTTTGGAAACACTCTGTCTGTAAAGTCTGCAAGCAGATATTTGGACCTCTTTAGGGCCTTCGTTGGAAACGGGATTTCTTCATAGAACGGTTGAAAGAAGAATACTGAATAAGTTCTTTGTGTTGCCTCTATTCAACTCACAGTGGTGAACTGTCCTTTAGACAGAGCAGATGTGAAACCCTCTTTTTGTGATATTTGCAGGTGGAGATTTCAAGCGCTTTTAGGCCAAGTGTAGAAAAGGAAATATCTTCGTATAAAAACTAGACAGAATCATTCTCAGAAACTACTTTGTGATGTGTGCGTTCAATTCACAGAGTATAACCTTTCTTTTGATGGAGGAGTTTGGAGACACTGTCTTTGTAAAGTCTGCAAGTGGATATTTGGACCTCTTTGAGGCCTTCGTTGAAAACGGGATTTCTTCATATAATGTTTGATAGGAGAAGTCTCAGTAACTTCTTTGTGCTGTGTGTATTCAACTCATAGAGTTGAACTTTCCTTTAGAAGAGCAGATGTTAAACACCCTTTTTGTGGAATTTGCAGCTGGAGATTTCAAGCGCTTTGAGGCCTACGGTAGAAAAGGAAACATCTTCTTATAAAATCTAGACAGAATCATTCACAGAAACTTCTTTTTGATGTGTGTGTTCAGCTCACAGAGTTTAACCTTTCTTTTGATGGAGCAGTTGGGAAACACACTGTTTGTAATGTCTGCAAGTGGATATTTGGACCTCTTTGAGGCCTTCGTTGGAAACGGGA
The DNA here is from genome assembly GCF_000001405.40 of Homo sapiens. Taxonomy (NCBI): domain Eukaryota; kingdom Metazoa; phylum Chordata; class Mammalia; order Primates; family Hominidae; genus Homo; species Homo sapiens. The sequence goes on from NC_000012.12 coordinate 35,265,823, forward strand.
TTTCTTCCTGTAATGTTCGACAGAAGAATTCTCAGTAACTTATTTGTGGTGTGTGTATTCAACTCACAGAGTTGAACCCTCTTTTAGACAGAGCAGATTTGAAACAGCCTATTTGTGCAGTTTCCAGTTGGAGATTTCAATCGCTTTGAGACCAATTGTAGAAAGGGAAACATCTTCGTATAAAAACTAGACAGAATCATTCTCAGAAACTACTTTGTGATGTGTGCGTTCAACTCAAGGAGTTTAAGCTTTCTTTTCATAGAGTAGTTTGGAAACACTCTGTCTGTAAAGTCTGCAAGCAGATATTTGGACCTCTTTAGGGCCTTCGGTTGGAAACGGGATTTCTTCATAGAACGCTAGAAAGAAGAATACTGAGTAAGTTCTTTGTGTTGCCTCTATTCAACTCACAGAGGTGAACTGTCCTTTAGACAGAGCAGATGTGAAACCCTCTTTTTGTGATATTTGCAGGTGGAGATTTCAAGCGCTTTTAGGCCAAATGTAGAAAAGGAAATATCTTCGTATAAAAACTAGACAGAATCATTCTCAGAAACTACTTTGTGATGTGTGCGTTCAATTCACAGAGTATAACCTTTCTTTTGATGGAGGAGTTGGGAGACACTGTCTTTGTAAAGTCTGCAAGTGGATATTTGGACCTCTTTGAGGCCTTCGTTGGAAACGGGATTTCCTCATATAATGTTACACAGAAGAATTCTCAGTAACTTATTTGTGGTGTGTGTATTCAACTCACAGAGTTGAACCTTCCTTCAGAAATAGCAGATTTGAAACACTCTTTTTGTGGAGTTTCCATGTGGAGATTTCAATGGCTTTGAGACCAAAGGTAGAAAAGGAAACATCTTCGTATAAAAACTAGACAGAATCATTCACAGAAACTACTTTGTGATGTGTGTGTTCAACTCACAGAGTTTAACCTTTCTTTTGATGGAGCAGTTTGGAAACACTCTGTTTGTCACGTCTGCAAGTGGATATTTGGACCTCTTTGAGGCCTTCGTTGGAAACGGGATTTCTTCATATAATGTTTGATAGGAGAAGTCTCAGTAACTTCTTTGTGCTGTGTGTATTCAACTCATAGAGTTGAACTTTCCTTTAGAAGAGCAGATGTTAAACACCCTTTTTGTGGAATTTGCAGCTGGAGATTTCAAGCGCTTTGAGGCCTACGGTAGAAAAGGAAACATCTTCTTATAAAATCTAGACAGAATCATTCACAGACACTTCTTTTTGATGTGTGTGTTCAGCTCACAGAGTTTAACCTTTCTTTTGATGGAGCAGTTTGGAAACACTCTGTTTGTAATGTCTGCAAGTGGATATTTGGACCGCTTTGAGGCCTTCGTTGGAAACGGGATTTCTTCAAGTAATGTTCGACAGAAGAATTCTCAGTAACTTATTTGTGGTGTGTGTATTCAACTCACAGAGTTGAACCTTCCTTTAGACAGAGCAGATTTGAAACACCCTATTTGTGCAGTTTCCAGTTGGAGATTTCAATCGCTTTGAGACCAAATGTAGAAAAGGAAACATCTTCGTATAACAACTAGACAGAATCATTCTCAGAAACTACTTTGTGATGTGTGCGTTCAACTCAAGGAGTTTAAGCTTTCTTTTCATAGAGTAGTTTGGAAACACTCTGTCTGTAAAGTCTGCAAGCAGATATTTGGACCTCTTTGGGGCCTTCGTTGGAAACGGGATTTCTTCATAGAACGCTAGAAAGAAGAATACTGAGTAAGTTCTTTGTGTTGCCTCTATTCAACTCACAGAGGTGAACTGTCCTTTAGACAGAGCAGATGTGAAACCCTCTTTTTGTGATATTTGCAGGTGGAGATTTCAAGCGCTTTTAGGCCAAATGTAGAAAAGGAAATATCTTTGTATAAAAACTAGACAGAATCACTCTCAGAAACTACTTTGTGATGTGTGCGTTCAATTCACAGAGTATAACCTTTCTTTTGATGGAGGAGTTTGGAGACACTGTCTTTGTAAAGTCTGCAAGCAGATATTTGGACCTCTTTGAGGCCATCGTTGGAAACGGGATTTCTTCATATAATGTTTGATAGGAGAAGTCTCAGTAACTTCTTTGTGCTGTGTGTATTCAACTCATAGAGTTGAACTTTCCTTTAGAAGAGCAGATGTTAAACACCCTTTTTGTGGAATTTGCAGCTGGAGATTTCAAGCGCTTTGAGGCCTACGGTAGAAAAGGAAACATCTTCTTATAAAATCTAGACAGAATCATTCACAGAAACTTCTTTTTGATGTGTGTGTTCAGCTCACAGAGTTTAACCTTTCTTTTGATGGAGCAGTTTGGAAACACTCTGTTTGTAATGTCTGCAAGTGGATATTTGGACCTCTTTGAGGCCTTCGTTGGAAACGGGATTTCTTCAAGTAATGTTCGACAGAAGAATTCTCAGTAACTTATTTGTGGTGTGTGTATTCAACTCACAGAGTTGAACCTTCCTTTAGACAGAGCAGATTTGAAACACCCTATTTGTGCAGTTTCCAGTTGGAGATTTCAATCGCTTTGAGACCAAATGTAGAAAAGGAAACATCTTCGTATAAAAACTAGACAGAATCATTCTCAGAAACTACTTTGTGATGTGTGCGTTCAACTCAAGGAGTTTAAGCTTTCTTTTCATAGAGTAGTTTGGAAACACTCTGTCTGTAAAGTCTGCAAGCAGATATTTGACCTCTTTGAGGCCTTCGTTGGAAACGGGATTTCTTCATAGAACGCTAGAAAGAAGAATACTGAGTAAGTTCTTTGTGTTGCCTCTATTCAACTCACAGAGGTGAACTGTCCTTTAGACAGAGCAGATGTGAAACCCTCTTTTTGTGATATTTGCAGGTGGAGATTTCAAGCACTTTTAGGCCAAATGTAGAAAAGGAAATATCTTCGTATAAAAACTAGACAGAATCATTCTCAGAAACTACTTTGTGATGTGTGCGTTCAATTCACAGAGTATAACCTTTCTTTTGATGGAGGAGTTTGGAGACACTGTCTTTGTAAAGTCTGCAAGTGGATATTTGGACCTCTTTGAGGCCTTCGTTGGAAACGGGATTTCCTCATATAATGTTACACAGAAGAATTCTCAGTAACTTATTTGTGGTGTGTGTATTCAACTCACAGAGTTGAACCTTCCTTCAGAAAGAGCAGATTTGAAACACTCTTTTTGTGGAGTTTCCATGTGGAGATTTCAATCGCTTTGAGACCAAAGGTAGAAAAGGAAACATCTTCGTATAAAAACTAGACAGAATCATTCACAGAAACTACTTTGTGATGTGTGTGTTCAACTCAAGGAGTTTAACCTTTCTTTTGATGGAGCAGTTTGGAAACACTCTGTCTGTAAAGTCTGCAAGCAGATATTTGGACCTCTTTGGGGCCTTCGTTGGAAACGGGATTTCTTCACAGAATGCTAGAAAGAAGAATACTGAGTAAGTTCTTTGTGTTGCCTCTATTCAACTCACAGAGGTGAACTGTCCTTTAGACAGAGCAGATGTGAATCCCTCTTTTTGTGATATTTGCAGGTGGAGATTTCAAGCGCTTTTAGGCCAAATGTAGAAAAGGAAATATCTTTGTATAAAAACTAGAGAGAATCATTCTCAGAAACTACTTTGTGATGTGTGCGTTCAATTCACAGAGTATAACCTTTCTTTTGATGGAGGAGTTTGGAGACACTGTCTTTGTAAAGTCTGCAAGTGGATATTTGGACCTCTTTGAGGCCTTCGTTGGAAACGGGATTTCCTCATATAATGTTACCCAGAAGAATTCTCAGTAACTTATTTGTGGTGTGTGTATTCAACTCACAGAGATGAACCTTCCTTCAGAAAGAGCAGATTTGAAACACTCTTTTTGTGGAGTTTCCATGTGGAGATTTCAATCGCTTTGAGACCAAAGGTAGAAAAGGAAACATCTTCGTATAACAACTAGACAGAATCATTCACAGAAACTACTTTGTGATGTGTGTGTTCAACTCAAGGAGTTTAACCTTTCTTTTGATGGAGCAGTTTGGAAACACTCTGTCTGTAAAGTCTGCAAGCAGATATTTGGACCTCTTTGAGGCCTTCGTTGGAAACGGGATTTCTTCATATAATGTTTGATAGGAGAAGTCTCAGTAACTTCTTTGTGCTGTGTGTATTCAACTCATAGAGTTGAACTTTCCTTTAGAAGAGCAGATGTTAAACACCCTTTTTGTGGAATTTGCAGCTGGAGATTTCAAGCGCTTTGAGGCCTACGGTAGAAAAGGAAACATCTTCTTATAAAATCTAGACAGAATCATTCACAGAAACTTCTTTTTGATGTGTGTGTTCAGCTCACAGAGTTTAACCTTTCTTTTGATGGAGCAGTTTGGAAACACTCTGTTTGTAATATCTGCAAGTGGATATTTGGACCTCTTTGAGGGCTTCGTTGGAAACGGGATTTCTTCCTGTAATGTTCGACAGAAGAATTCTCAGTAACTTATTTGTGGTGTGTGTATTCAACTCACAGAGTTGAACCTTCCTTTAGACAGAGCAGATTTGAAACACCCTATTTGTGCAGTTTCCAGTTGGAGATTTCAATCGCTTTGAGACCAAATGTAGAAAAGGAAACATCTTCGTATAAAAACTAGACAGAATCATTCTCAGAAACTACTTTGTGATGTGTGCGTTCAATTCACAGAGTATAACCTTTCTTTTGATGGAGGAGTTTGGAGACACTGTCTTTGTAAAGTCTGCAAGTGGATATTTGGACCTCTTTGAGGCCTTTGTTGGAAACGGGATTTCCTCATATAATGTTACACAGGGAGAATTCTCAGTAACTTATTTGTGGTGTCTGTATTCAACTCACAGAGTTGAACCTTCCTTCAGAGAGAGCAGATTTGAAACACTCTTTTTCTTGAGTTTCCATGTGGAGATTTCAATCGCTTTGAGACCAAAGGTAGAAAAGGAAACATCTTCGTATAAAAACTAGACAGAATCATTCACAGAAACTACTTTGTGATGTGTGTGTTCAACTCAAGGAGTTTAACCTTTCTTTTGATGGAGCAGTTTGGAAACACTCTGTCGGTAAAGTCTGCAAGCAGATATTTGGACCTCTTTGAGGCCTTCGTTGAAAACGGGATTTCTTCATATAATGTTTGATAGGAGAAGTCTCAGTAACTTCTTTGTGCTGTGTGTATTCAACTCATAGAGTTGAACTTTCCTTTAGAAGAGCAGATGTTAAACACCCTTTTTGTGGAATTTGCAGCTGGAGATTTCAAGCGCTTTGAGGCCTACGGTAGAAAAGGAAACATCTTCTTATAAAATCTAGACAGAATCATTCACAGAAACTTCTTTTTGATGTGTGTGTTCAGCTCACAGACTTTAACCTTTCTTTTGATGGAGCAGTTGGGAAACACACTGTTTGTAATGTCTGCAAGTGGATATTTGGACCTCTTTGAGGCCTTCGTTGGAAACGGGATTTCTTCATGTAATGTTCGACAGAAGAATTCTCAGTAACTTATTTGTGGTGTGTGTATTCAACTCAAAGAGTTGAACCTTCCTTTAGACAGAGCAGATTTGAAACACCCTATTTGTGCAGTTTCCAGTTGGAGATTTCAATCGCTTTGAGACCAAATGTAGAAAAGGAAACATCTTCGTATAAAAACTAGACAGAATCATTCTCAGAAACTACTTTGTGATGTGTGCGTTCAACTCAAGGAGTTTAAGCTTTCTTTTCATCGAGTAGTTTGGAAACACTCTGTCTGCAAAGTCTGCAAGCAGATATTTGGACCTCTTTGGGGCCTTCGTTGGAAACGGGATTTCTTCATAGAACGCTAGAAAGAAGAATACTGAGTACGTTCTTTGTGTTGCCTCTATTCAACTCACAGAGGTGAACTGTCCTTTAGACAGAGCAGATGTGAAACCCTCTTTTTGTGATATTTGCAGGTGGAGATTTCAAGCGCTTTTAGGCCAAATGTAGAAAAGGAAATATCTTCGTATAAAAACTAGACAGAATCATTCTCAGAAACTACTTTGTGATGTGTGCGTTCAATTCACAGAGTATAACCTTTCTTTTGATGGAGGAGTTTGGAGACACTGTCTTTGTAAAGTCTGCAAGTGGATATTTGGACCTCTTTGAGGCCTTCGTTGGAAACGGGATTTCCTCATATAATGTTACACAGAAGAATTCTCAGTAACTTATTTGTGGTGTGTGTATTCAACTCACAGAGATGAACCTTCCTTCAGAAAGAGCAGATTTGAAACACTCTTTTTGTGGAGTTTCCATGTGGAGATTTCAATCGCTTTGAGACCAAAGGTAGAAAAGGAAACATCTTCGTATAAAAACTAGACAGAATCATTCACAGAAACTACTTTGTGATGTGTGTGTTCAACTCAAGGAGTTTAACCTTTCTTTTGATGGAGCAGTTTGGAAACACTCTGTCTGTAAAGTCTGCAGGCAGATATTTGGACCTCTTTGAGGCCTTCGTTGGAAACGGGATTTCTTCATATAATGTTAGACAGAAGAAGTCTCAGTAACTTCTTTGTGCTGTGTGTATTCAACTCATAGAGTTGAACTTTCCTTTAGAAGAGCAGATGTTAAACACCCTTTTTGTGGAATTTGCAGCTGGAGATTTCAAGCGCTTTGAGGCCTACGGTAGAAAAGGAAACATCTTCTTATAAAATCTAGACAGAATCATTCACAGAAACTTCTTTTTGATGTGTGTGTTCAGCTCACAGAGTTTAACCTTTCTTTTGATGGAGCAGTTTGGAAACACTCTGTTTGTAATGTCTGCAAGTGGATATTTGGACCTCTTTGAGGCCTTCGTTGGAAACGGGATTTCTTCATGTAATGTTCGACAGAAGAATTCTCAGTAACTTATTTGTGGTGTGTGTATTCAACTCACAGAGTTGAACCTTCCTTTAGACAGAGCAGATTTGAAACACCCTATTTGTGCAGTTTCCAGTTGGAGATTTCAATCGCTTTGAGACCAAATGTAGAAAAGGAAACATCTTCGTATAAAAACTAGACAGAATCATTCTCAGAAACTACTTTGTGATGTGTGCGTTCAACTCAAGGAGTTTAAGCTTTCTTTTCATAGAGTAGTTTGGAAACACTCTGTCTGTAAAGTCTGCAAGCAGATATTTGGACCTCTTTGGGGCCTTCGTTGGAAACGGGATTTCTTCATAGAACGCTAGAAAGAAGAATACTGAGTAAGTTCTTTGTGTTGCCTCTATTCAACTCACAGAGGTGAACTGTCCTTTAGACAGAGCAGATGTAAAACCCTCTTTTTGTGATATTTGCAGGTGGAGATTTCAAGCGCTTTTAGGCCAAATGTAGAAAAGGAAATATCTTCGTATAAAAACTAGACAGAATCACTCTCAGAAACTACTTTGTGATGTGTGCGTTCAATTCACAGAGTATAACCTTTCTTTTGATGGAGGAGTTTGGAGACACTGTCTTTGTAAAGTCTGCAAGCAGATATTTGGACCTCTTTGAGGCCTTTGTTGGAAACGGGATTTCTTCATATAATGTTTGATAGGAGAAGTCTCAGTAACTTCTTTGTGCTGTGTGTATTCAACTCATAGAGTTGAACTTTCCTTTAGAAGAGCAGATGTTAAACACCCTTTTTGTGGAATTTGCAGCTGGAGATTTCAAGCGCTTTGAGGCCTACGGTAGAAAAGGAAACATCTTCTTATAAAATCTAGACAGAATCATTCACAGAAACTTCTTTTTGATGTGTGTGTTCAGCTCACAGAGTTTAACCTTTCTTTTGATGGAGCAGTTTGGAAACACTCTGTTTGTAACGTCTGCAAGTGGATATTTGGACCTCTTTGAGGCCTTCGTTGGAAACGGGATTTCTTCAAGTAATGTTCGACAGAAGAATTCTCAGTAACTTATTTGTGGTGTGTGTATTCAACTCACAGAGTTGAACCTTCCTTTAGACAGAGCAGATTTGAAACAGCCTATTTGTGCAGTTTCCAGTTGGAGATTTCAAGAGCTTTGAGACCAAATGTAGAAAAGGAAACATCTTCGTATAAAAACTAGACAGAATCATTCTCAGAAACTACTTTGTGATGTGTGCGTTCAACTCAAGGAGTTTAAGCTTTCTTTTCATAGAGTAGTTTGGAAACACTCTGTCTGTAAAGTCTGCAAGCAGATATTTGGACCTCTTTGGGGCCTTCGTTGGAAACGGGATTTCTTCATAGAACGCTAGAAAGAAGAATACTGAGTAAGTTCTTTGTGTTGCCTCTATTCAACTCACAGAGGTGAACTGTCCTTTAAACAGAGCAGATGTGAAACCCTCTTTTTGTGATATTTGCAGGTGGAGATTTCAAGCGCTTTTAGGCCAAATGTAGAAAAGGAAATATCTTCGTATAAAAACTAGACAGAATGATTCTCAGAAACTACTTTGTGATGTGTGCGTTCAATTCACAGAGTATAACCTTTCTTTGATGGAGGAGTTTGGAGACACTGTCTTTGTAAAGTCTGCAAGTGGATATTTGGACCTCTTTGAGGCCTTCGTTGGAAACGGGATTTCCTCATATAATGTTACACAGAAGAATTCTCAGTAACTTATTTGTGGTGTGTGTATTCAACTCACAGATTTGAACCTTCCTTCAGAAAGAGCAGATTTGAAACACTCTTTTTGTGGAGTTTCCATGTGGAGATTTCAATCACTTTGAGACCAAAGGTAGAAAAGGAAACATCTTCGTATAAAAACTAGACAGAATCATTCACAGAAACTACTTTGTGATGTGTGCGTTCAGCTCACAGAGTTTAACCTTTCTTTTGATGGTGCAGTTTGGAAACACTCTGTTTGACAAGTCTGCAAGTGGATATTTGGACCTCTTTGAGGCCTTCGTTGGAAACTGGATTTCTTCATATAATGTTAGACAGAAGAAGTCTCAGTAACTTCTTTGTGCTGTGTGTATTCAAATCACAGAGCTGAACTTTACTTTAGAACGAGCAGATGTTAAACACACTTTTTGTGGAATTTGCAGCTGGAGATTTCTAGCGCTTTGAGGCCTATGGTAGAAAAGGAAACATCTTCTTATAAAATCTAGACACAATCATTCACAGAAACTTCTTTTTGATGTGTGTGTTCAGCTCACAGAGTTTAACCTTTCTTTTGATGGAGCAGTTGGGAAACACACTGTTTGTAATGTCTGCAAGTGGATATTTGGACCTCTTTGAGGCCTTCGTTGGAAACGGGATTTCTTTCAAGTAATGTTCGACAGAGAATTCTCAGTAACTTATTTGTGGTGTGTGTATTCAACTCACAGAGTTGAACCTTCCTTTAGACAGAGCAGATTTGAAACACCCTATTTGTGCAGTTTCCATTTGGAGATTTCAATCGCTTTGAGACCAAATGTAGAAAAGGAAACATCTTCGTATAAAAACTAGACAGAATCATTCTCAGAAACTACTTTGTGATGTGTGCCGTTCAACTCAAGGAGTTTAAGCTTTCTTTTCATAGAGTAGTTTGGAAACACTCTGTCTGTAATGTCTGCAAGCAGATATTTGGACCTCTTTGTGGCCTTCGTTGGAAACGGGATTTCTTCATAGAACGCTAGAAAGAAGAATACTGAGTAAGTTCTTTGTGTTGCCTCTATTCAACTCACAGAGGTGAACTGTCCTTTAGACAGAGCAGATGTGAAACCCTCTTTTTGGGATATTTGCAGGTGGAGATTTCAAGCGCTTTTAGGCCAAATGTAGAAAAGGAAATATCTTCGTATAAAAACTAGACAGAATCATTCTCAGAAACTACTTTGTGATGTGTGCGTTCAATTCACAGAGTATAACCTTTTTTTTGATGGAGGAGTTTGGAGACACTGTCTTTGTAAAGTCTGCAAGTGGATATTTGGACCTCTTTGAGGCCTTCGTTGGAAACGGGATTTCCTCATATAATGTTACACAGAACAATTCTCAGTAACTTATTTGTGGTGTCTGTATTCAACTCACAGAGTTGAACCTTCCTTCAGAAAGAGCAGATTTGAAACACTCTTTTGGTGGAGTTTCCATGTGGAGATTTCAATCGCTTTGAGACCAAAGGTAGAAAAGGAAACATCTTCGTATAAAAACTAGACAGAATCATTCACAGAAACTACTTTGTGATGTGTGTGTTCAACTCAAGGAGTTTAACCTTTCTTTTGATGGAGCAGTTTGGAAACACTCTGTCTGTAAAGTCTGCAAGCAGATATTTGGACCTCTTTGAGGCCTTCGTTGGAAACGGTATTTCTTCATATAATGTTTGATAGGAGAAGTCTCAGTAACTTCTTTGTGCTGTGTGTATTCAACTCATAGAGTTGAACTTTCCTTTAGAAGAGCAGATGTTAAACACCCTTTTTGTGGAATTTGCAGCTGGAGATTTCAAGCGCTTTGAGGCCTACGGTAGAAAAGGAAACATCTTCTTATAAAATCTAGACAGAATCATTCACAGAAACTTCTTTTCGATGTGTGTGTTCAGCTCACAGAGTTTAACCTTTCTTTTGATGGAGCAGTTTGGAAACACTCTGTTTGTAATGTCTGCTAGTGGATATTTGGACCTCTTTGAGGCCTTCGTTGGAAACGGGATTTCTTCAAGTAATGGTCGACAGAAGAATTCTCAGTAACTTATTTGTGGTGTGTGTATTCAACTCACAGAGTTGAACCTTCCTTTAGACAGAGCAGATTTGAAACACCCTATTTGTGCAGTTTCCAGTTGGAGATTTCAATCGCTTTGAGACCAAATGTAGAAAAGGAAACATCTTCGTATAAAAACTAGACAGAATCATTCTCAGAAACTACTTTGTGATGTGTGCGTTCAACTCAAGGAGTTTAAGCTTTCTTTTCATAGAGTAGTTTGGAAACACTCTGTCTGTAAAGTCTGCAAGCAGATATTTGGACCTCTTTGAGGCCTTCGTTGGAAACGGGATTTCTTCATAGAACGGTAGAAAGAAGAATACTGAGTAAGTTCTTTGTGTTGCCTCTATTCAACTCACAGAGGTGAACTGTCCTTTAGACAGAGCAGATGTGAAACCCTCTTTTTGTGATATTTGCACGTGGAGATTTCAAGCGCTTTTAGGCCAAATGTAGAAAAGGAAATATCTTCGTATAAAAACTAGACAGAATCATTCTCAGAAACTACTTTGTGATGTGTGCGTTCAATTCACAGAGTATAACCTTTCTTTTGATGGAGGAGTTTGGAGACACTGTCTTTGTAAAGTCTGCAAGCAGATATTTGGACCTCTTTGAGGCCTTCGTTGGAAACGGGATTTCTTCATATAATGTTTGATAGGAGAAGTCTCAGTAACTTCTTTGTGCTGTGTGTATTCAACTCATAGAGTTGAACTTTCCTTTAGAAGAGCAGATGTTAAACACCCTTTTTGTGGAATTTGCAGCTGGAGATTTCAAGCGCTTTGAGGCCTACGGTAGAAAAGGAAACATCTTCTTATAAAATCTAGACAGAATCATTCACAGAAACTTCTTTTTGATGTGTGTGTTCAGCTCACAGAGTTTAACCTTTCTTTTGATGGAGCAGTTTGGAAACACTCTGTTTGTAATGTCTGCAAGTGGATATTTGGACCTCTTTGAGGCCTTCATTGGAAACGGGATTTCTTCAAGTAATGTTCGAAAGAAGAATTCTCAGTAACTTATTTGTGGTGTGTGTATTCAACTCACAGAGTTGAACCTTCATTTAGACAGAGCAGATTTGAAACACCCTATTTGTGCAGTTTCCAGTTGGAGATTTCAATCGCTTTGAGACCAAATGTAGAAAAGGAAACATCTTCGTATAAAAACTAGACAGAATCATTCTCAGTAACTACTTTGTGATGTGTGCGTTCAACTCAAGGAGTTTAAGCTTTCTTTTCATAGAGTACTTTGGAAACACTCTGTCTGTAAAGTCTGCAAGCAGATATTTGGACCTCATTGGGGTCTTCGTTGGAAACGGGATTTCTTCATAGAACGCTAGAAAGAAGAATACTGAGTAAGTTCTTTGTGTTGCCTCTATTCAACTCACAGAGGTGAACTGTCCTTTAGACAGAGCAGATGTGAAACCCTCTTTTTGTGATATTTGCAGGTGGAGATTTCAAGCGCTTTTAGGCCAAATGTAGAAAAGGAAATATCTTCGTATAAAAACTAGACAGAATCATTCTCAGAAACTACTTTGTGATGTGTGCGTTCAATTCACAGAGTATAACCTTTCTTTTGATGGAGGAGTTTGGAGACACTGTCTTTGTAAAGTCTGCAAGTGGATATTTGGACCTCTTTGAGGCCTTCGTTGGAAACGGGATTTCCTCATATAATGTTACCCAGAAGAATTCTCAGTAACTTATTTGTGGTGTGTGTATTCAACTCACAGAGTTGAACCTTCCTTCAGAAAGAGCAGATTTGAAACACTCTTTTTGTGGAGTTTCCATGTGGAGATTTCAATCGCTTTGAGACCAAAGGTAGAAAAGGAAACATCTTCGTATAAAAACTAGACAGAATCATTCACAGAAACTACTTTGTGATGTGTGTGTTCAACTCAAGGAGGTTAACCTTTCTTTTGATGGAGCAGTTTGGAAACACTCTGTCTGTAAAGTCTGCAAGCAGATATTTGGACCTCTTTGAGGCCTTCGTTGGAAACGGGATTTCTTCATATAATGTTTGATAGGAGAAGTCTCAGTAACTTCTTTGTGCTGTGTGTATTCAACTCATAGAGTTGAACTTTCCTTTAGAAGAGCAGATGTTAAACACCCTTTTTGTGGAATTTGCAGCTGGAGATTTCAAGCGCTTTGAGGCCTACGGTAGAAAAGGAAACATCTTCTTATAAAATCTAGACAGAATCATTCACAGAAACTTCTTTTTGATGTGTGTGTTCAGCTCACAGAGTTTAACCTTTCTTTTCATGGAGCAGTTTGGAAACACTCTGTTTGTAATGTCTGCAAGTGGATATTTGGACCTCTTTGAGGCCTTCGTTGGAAACGGAATTTCTTCAAGTAATGTTCGACAGAAGAATTCTCAGTAACTTATTTGTGGTGTGTGTATTCAACTCACAGAGTTGAACCTTCCTTTAGACAGAGCAGATTTGAAACACCCTATTTGTGCAGTTTCCAGTTGGAGATTTCAATCGCTTTGAGACCAAATGTAGAAAAGGAAACATCTTCGTATAAAAACTAGACAGAATCATTCTCAGAAACTACTTTGTGATGTGTGCGTTCAACTCAAGGAGTTTAAGCTTTCTTTTCATAGAGTAGTTTGGAAACACTCTGTCTGTAAAGTCTGCAAGCAGATATTTGGACCTCTTTGGGGCCTTCGTTGGAAACGGGATTTCTTCATAGAATGCTAGAAAGAAGAATACTGAGTAAGTTCTTTGTGTTGCCTCTATTCAACTCACAGAGGTGAACTGTCCTTTAGACAGAGCAGATGTGAAACCCTCTTTTTGTGATATTTGCAGGTGGAGATTTCAAGCGCTTTTAGGCCAAATGTAGAAAAGGAAATATCTTCGTATAAAAACTAGACAGAATCATTCTCAGAAACTACTTTGTGATGTGTGCGTTCAATTCACAGAGTATAACCTTTCTTTTGATGGAGGAGTTTGGAGACACTGTCTTTGTAAAGTCTGCAAGTGGATATTTGGACCTCTTTGAGGCCTTCGTTGGAAACGGGATTTCCTCATATAATGTTACACAGAAGAATTCTCAGTAACTTATTTGTGGTGTGTGTATTCAACTCACAGTGTTGAACCTTCCTTCAGAAAGAGCAGATTTGAAACACTCTTTTTGTGGAGTTTCCATGTGGAGATTTCAATCGCATTGAGACCAAAGGTAGAAAAGGAAACATCTTCGTATAAAAACTAGACAGAATCATTCTCAGAAATTACTTTGTGATGTGTGTGTTCAACTCAAGGAGTTTAACCTTTCTTTTGATAGAGCAGTTTGGAAACACTCTGTCTGTAAAGTCTGCAAGCAGATATTTGGACTTCTTGAGGCCTTCGTTGGAAACGGGATTTCTTCATATAACGCTAGAAAGAAGAAGTCTCAGTAACTTCTTTGTGCTGTGTGTATTCAACTCATAGAGTTGAACTTTCCTTTAGAAGAGCAGATGTTAAACACCCGTTTTGTGGAATTTGCAGCTGGAGATTTCAAGCGCTTTGAGGCCTACGGTAGAAAAGGAAACATCTTCTTATAAAATCTAGACAGAATCATTCACAGAAACTTCTTTTTGATGTGTGTGTTCAGCTCACAGAGTTTAACCTTTCTTTTGATGGAGCAGTTTGGAAACACTCTGTTTGTAATGTCTGCAAGTGGATATTTGGACCTCTTTGAGGCCTTCGTTGGAAACGGGATTTCTTCAAGTAATGTTCGACAGAAGAATTCTCAGTAACTTATTTGTGGTGTGTGTATTCAACTCACAGAGTTGAACCTTCCTTTAGACAGAGCAGATTTGAAACACCCTATTTGTGCAGTTTCCAGTTGGAGATTTCAATCGCTTTGAGACCAAATGTAGAAAAGGAAACATCTTCGTATAAAAACTAGACAGAATCATTCTCAGAAACTACTTTGTGATGTGTGCGTTCAACTCAAGGAGTTTAAGCTTTCTTTTCATAGAGTAGTTTGGAAACACTCTGTCTGTAAAGTCTGCAAGCAGATATTTGGACCTCTTTTGGGGGCCTTCGTTGGAAACGGGATTTCTTCATAGTAACTGCTAGAAAGAAGAATACTGAGTAAGTTCTTTGTGTTGCCTCTATTCAACTCACAGAGGTGAACTGTCCTTTAGACAGAGCAGATGTGAAACCCTCTTTTTGTGATATTTGCAGGTGGAGATTTCAAGCGCTTTTAGGCCAAATGTAGAAAAGGAAATATCTTCGTATAAAAACTAGACAGAATCATTCTCAGAAACTACTTTGTGATGTGTGCGTTCAATTCACAGAGTATAACCTTTCTTTTGATGGAGGAGTTTGGAGACACTGTCTTTGTAAAGTCTGCAAGTGGATATTTGGACCTCTTTGAGGCCTTCGTTGGAAACGGGATTTCCTCATATAATGTTACACAGAAGAATTCTCAGTAACTTATTTGTGGTGTGTGTATTCAACTCACAGAGATGAACCTTCCTTCAGAAAGAGCAGATTTGAAACACTCTTTTTGTGGAGTTTCCATGTGGAGATTTCAATCGCTTTGAGACCAAAGGTAGAAAAGGAAACATCTTCGTATAACAACTAGACAGATCATTCACAGAAACTACTTTGTGATGTGTGTGTTCAACTCAAGGAGTTTAACCTTTTCTTTTGATGGAGCAGTTTGGAAAAACTCTGTCTGTAAAGTCTGCAAGCAGATATTTGGACCTCTCTGAGGCCTTCGTTGGAAACGGGATTTCTTCATATAATGTTTGATAGGAGAAGTCTCAGTAACTTCTTTGTGCTGTGTGTATTCAACGCATAGAGTTGAACTTTCCTTTAGAAGAGCAGATGTAAAACACCCTTTTTGTGGAATTTGCAGCTGGAGATTTCAAGCGCTTTGTGGCCTACGGTAGAAAAGGAAACATCTTCTTATAAAATCTAGACAGAATCATTCACAGAAACTTCTTTTTGATGTGTGTGTTCAGCTCACAGAGTTTAACCTTTCTTTTGATGGAGCAGTTTGGAAACACTCTGTTTGTAATGTCTGCAAGTGGATATTTGGACCTCTTTGAGGCCTTCGTTGGAAACGGGATTTCTTCAAGTAATGTTCGACAGAAGAATTCTCAGTAACTTATTTGTGGTGTGTGTATTCAACTCACAGAGTTGAACCTTCCTTTAGACAGAGCAGATTTGAAACACCCTATTTGTGCAGTTTCCAGTTGGAGATTTCAATCGCTTTGAGACCAAATGTAGAAAAGGAAACATCTTCGTATAAAAACTATACAGAATCATTCTCCGAAACTACTTTGTGATGTGTGCGTTCAACTCAAGGAGTTTAAGCTTTCTTTTCATAGAGTAGTTTGGAAACACTCTGTCTGTAAAGTCTGCAAGCAGATATTTGGACCTCTTTGGGGCCTTCGTTGGAAACGGGATTTCTTCATAGAACGCTAGAAAGAAGAATACTGAGTAAGTTCTTTGTGTTGCTTCTATTCAACTCACAGAGGTGAACTGTCCTTTAGACAGAGCAGATGTGAAACCCTCTTTTTGTGATATTTGCAGGTGGAGATTTCAAGCGCTTTTAGGCCAAATGTAGAAAAGGAAATATCTTCGTATAAAAACTAGACAGAATCATTCTCAGAAACTACTTTGTGATGTGTGCGTTCAATTCACAGAGTATAACCTTTCTTTTGATGGAGGAGTTTGGAGACACTGTCTTTGTAAGTCTGCAAGTGGATATTTGGACCTCTTTGAGGCCTTCGTTGGAAACGGGATTTCCTCATATAATGTTACACAGAAGAATTCTCAGTAACTTATTTGTGGTGTGTGTATTCAACTCACAGATTTGAACCTTCCTTCAGAAAGAGCAGATTTGAAACACTCTTTTTGTGGAGTTTCCATGTGGAGATTTCAATCACTTTGAGACCAAAGGTAGAAAAGGAAACATCTTCGTATAAAAACTAGACAGAATCATTCACAGAAACTACTTTGTGATGTGTGTGTTCAACTCAAGGAGTTTAACCTTTCTTTTGATGGAGCAGTTTGGAAAAACTCTGTCTGTAAAGTCTGCAAGCAGATATTTGGACCTCTTTGGGGCCTTCGTTGGAAACGGGATTTCTTCATATAATGTTTGATAGGAGAAGTCTCAGTAACTTCTTTCTGCTGTGTTTATTCAACGCATAGAGTTGAACTTTCCTTTAGAAGAGCAGATGTTAAACACCCTTTTTGTAGAATTTGCAGCTGGAGATTTCAAGCGCTTTGAGGCCTACGGTAGAAAAGGAAACATCTTCTTATAAAATCTAGACAGAATCATTCACAGAAACTTCTTTTTCATGTGTGTGTTCAGCTCACAGAGTTTAACCTTTCTTTTGATGGAGCAGTTTTGAAACACTCTGTTTGTAATGTCTGCAAGTGGATATTTTGACCTCTTTGAGGCCTTCTTTGGAAACGGTATTTCTTCAAGTAATGTTCGACAGAAGAATTCTCAGTAACTTATTTGTGGTGTGTGTATTCAACTCACAGAGTTGAACCTTCCTTTAGACAGAGCAGATTTGAAACACCCTGTTTGTGCAGTTTCCAGTAGGAGATTTCAATCGCTTTGAGACCAAATGTAGAAAAGGAAACATCTTCGTATAAAAACTAGACAGAATCATTCTCAGAAACTACTTTGTGATGTGTGCGTTCAACTCAAGGAGTTTAAGCTTTCTTTTCATAGAGTAGTTTGGAAACACTCTGTCTGTAAAGTCTGCAAGCAGATATTTGGACCTCTTTGAGGCCTTCGTTGGAAACGGGATTTCTTCATAGAACGCTAGAAAGAAGAATACTGAGTAAGTTCTTTGTGTTGCCTCTATTCAACTCACAGAGGTGAACTGTCCTTTAGACAGAGCAGATGTGAAACCCTCTTTTTGTGATATTTGCAGGTGGAGATTTCAAGCGCTTTTAGGCCAAATGTAGAAAAGGAAATATCTTCGTATAAAAACTAGACAGAATCATTCTCAGAAACTACTTTGTGATGTGTGCGTTCAATTCACAGAGTATAACCTTTCTTTTGATGGAGGAGTTTGGAGACACTGTCTTTGTAAAGTCTGCAAGTGGATATTTGGACCTCTTTGAGGCCTTCGTTGGAAACGGGATTTCCTCATATAATGTTACCCAGAAGAATTCTCAGTAACTTAATTGTTGTGTGTTTATTCAACTCACAGAGTTGAACCTTCCTTCAGAAAGAGCAGATTTGAAACACTCTTTTTGTGGAGTTTCCATGTGGAGATTTCAATCGCTTTGAGACCAAAGGTAGAAAAGGAAACATCTTCGTATAAAAACTAGACAGAATCATTCACAGAAACTACTTTGTGATGTGTGTGTTCAACTCAAGGAGGTTAACCTTTCTTTTGATGGAGCAGTTTGGAAACACTCTGTCTGTAAAGTCTGCAAGCAGATATTTGGACCTCTTTGAGGCCTTCGTTGGAAACGGGATTTCTTCATATAATGTTTGATAGGACAAGTCTCAGTAACTTCTTTGTGCTGTGTGTATTCAACTCATAGAGTTGAACTTTCCTTTAGAAGAGCAGATGTTAAACACCCTTTTTGTGGAATTTGCAGCTGGAGATTTCAAGCGCTTTGAGGCCTACGGTAGAAAAGGAAACATCTTCTTATAAAATCTAGACAGAATCATTCACAGAAACTTCTTTTTGATGTGTGTGTTCAGCTCACAGAGTTTAACCTTTCTTTTGATGGAGCAGTTTGGAAACACTCTGTTTGTAATGTCTGCAAGTGGATATTTGGACCTCTTTGAGGCCTTCGTTGGAAACGGGATTTCTTCATGTAATGTTCGACAGAAGAATTCTCAGTAACTTATTTGTGGTGTGTGTATTCAACTCACAGAGTTGAACCTTCCTTTAGACAGAGCAGATTTGAAACACCCTATTTGTGCAGTTTCCAGTTGGAGATTTCAATCGCTTTGAGACCAAATGTAGAAAAGGAAACATCTTCGTATAAAAACTAGACAGAATCATTCTCAGAAACTACTTTGTGATGTGTGCGTTCAACTCAAGGAGTTTAAGCTTTCTTTTCATAGAGTAGTTTGGAAACACTCTGTCTGTAAAGTCTGCAAGCAGATATTTGACCTCTTTGGGGCCTTCGTTGGAAACGGGATTTCTTCATAGAACGCTAGAAAGAAGAATACTGAGTAAGTTCTTTGTGTTGCCTCTATTCAACTCACAGAGGTGAACTGTCCTTTAGACAGAGCAGATGTGAAACCCTCTTTTTGTGATATTTGCAGGTGGAGATTTCAAGCGCTTTTAGGCCAAATGTAGAAAAGGAAATATCTTCGTATAAAAACTAGACAGAATCATTCTCAGAAACTACTTTGTGATGTGTGCGTTCAATTCACAGAGTATAACCTTTCTTTTGATGGAGGAGTTTGGAGACACTGTCTTTGTAAAGTCTGCAAGTGGATATTTGGACCTCTTTGAGGCCTTCGTTGGAAACGGGATTTCCTCATATAATGTTACCCAGAAGAATTCTCAGTAACTTATTTGTGGTGTGTGTATTCAACTCACAGAGTTGAACCTTCCTTCAGAAAGAGCAGATTTGAAACATTCTTTTTGTGGAGTTTCCATGGGGAGATTTCAATGGCTTTGAGACCAAAGGTAGAAAAGGAAACATCTTCGTATAAAAACTAGACAGAATCATTCACAGAAACTACTTTGTGATGTGTGTGTTCAACTCACAGAGTTTAACCTTTCTTTTGATGGAGCAGTTTGGAAACACTCTGTTTGTCACGTCTGCAAGTGGATATTTGGACCTCGCTGAGGCTTTCGTTGGAAACGGGATTTCTTCCTATTATGTTTGATAGGAGAAGTCTCAGTAACTTCTTTGTGCTGTGTGTATTCAACTCATAGAGTTGAACTTTCCTTTAGAAGAGCAGATGTTAAACACCCTTTTTGTGGAATTTGCAGCTGGAGATTTCAAGCGCTTTGAGGCCTACGGTAGAAAAGGAAACATCTTCTTATAAAATCTAGACAGAATCATTCACAGAAACTTCTTTTTGATGTGTGTGTTCAGCTCACAGAGTTTAACCTTTCTTTTGATGGAGCAGTTTGGAAACACTCTGTTTGTAACGTCTGCAAGTGGATATTTGGACCTCTTTGAGGCCTTCGTTGGAAACGGGATTTCTTCAAGTAATGTTCGACAGAAGAATTCTCAGTAACTTATTTGTGGTGTGTGTATTCAACTCACAGAGTTGACCCTTCCTTTAGACAGATCAGATTTGAAACTCCCTATTTGTGCAGTTTCCACTTGGAGATTTCAATTGCTTTGAGACCAAATGTAGAAAAGGAAACATCTTCATATAAAAACTAGACAGAATCATTCTCAGAAACTACTTTGTGATGTGTGCGTTCAACTCAAGGAGTTTAAGCTTTCTTTTCATAGAGTAGTTTGGAAACACTCTGTCTGTAAAGTCTGCAAGCAGATATTTGGACCTCTTTAGGGCCTTCGGTTGGAAACGGGATTTCTTCATAGAACGCTAGAAAGAAGAATACTGAGTAAGTTCTTTGTGTTGCCTCTATTCAACTCACAGAGGTGAACTGTCCTTTAGACAGAGCAGATGTGAAACCCTCTTTTTTTGATATTTGCAGGAGGAGATTTCAAGCGTTTTTAGGCCAAATGTAGAAAAGGAAATATCTTCGTATAAAAACTAGACAGAATCATTCACAGAAACTACTTTGTGATGTGTGCGTTCAATTCACAGAGTATAACCTTTCTTTTGATGGAGGAGTTTGGAGACACTGTCTTTGTAAAGTCTGCAAGCAGATATTTGGACCTCTTTGAGGCCTTCGTTGGAAACGGGATTTCTTCATATAATGTTTGATAGGAGAAGTCTCAGTAACTTCTTTGGGCTGTGTGTATTCAACTCATTGAGTTGAACTTTCCTTTAGAAGAGCAGATGTTAAACACCCTTTTTGTGGAATATGCAGCTGGAGATTTCAAGCGCTTTGAGGCCTACGGTAGAAAAGGAAACATCTTCTTATAAAATCTAGACAGAATCATTCACAGAAACTTCTTTTTGATGTGTGTGTTCAGCTCACAGAGTTTAACCTTTCTTTTGATGGAGCAGTTTGGAAACACTCTGTTTGTAATGTCTGCAAGTGGATATTTGGACCTCTTTGAGGCCTTCGTTGGAAACGGGATTTCTTCAAGTAATGTTCGACAGAAGAATTCTCAGTAACTTATTTGTGGTGTGTGTATTCAACTCACAGAGTTGAACCTTCCTTTAGACAGAGCAGATTTGAAACACCCTATTTGTGCAGTTTCCAGTTGGAGATTTCAATCGCTTTGAGACCAAATGTAGAAAAGGAAACATCTTCGTATAAAAACTAGACAGAATCATTCTCAGAAACTACTTTGTGATGTGTGCGTTCAACTCAAGGAGTTTAAGCTTTCTTTTCATAGAGTAGTTTGGAAACACTCTGTCTGTTAAGTCTGCAAGCAGATATTTGGACCTCTTTGGGGCCTTCGTTGGAAACGGGATTTCTTCATAGAACGCTAGAAAGAAGAATACTGAGTAAGTTCTTTGTGTTGCCTCTATTCAACTCACAGAGGTGAACTGTCCTTTAGACAGAGCAGATGTGAAACCCTCTTTTTGTGATATTTGCAGGTGGAGATTTCAAGCGCTTTTAGGCCAAATGTAGAAAAGGAAATATCTTCGTATAAAAACTAGACAGAATCATTCTCAGAAACTACTTTGTGATGTGTGCGTTCAATTCACAGAGTATAACCTTTCTTTTGATGGAGGAGTTTGGAGACACTGTCTTTGTAAAGTCTGCAAGTGGATATTTGGACCTCTTTGAGGCCTTCGTTGGAAACGGGATTTCCTCATATAATGTTACACAGAAGAATTCTCAGTAACTTATTTGTGGTGTGTGTATTCAACTCACAGAGTTGAACCTTCCTTCAGAAAGAACAGATTTGAAACACTCTTTTTGTGGAGTTTCCATGTGGAGATTTCAATCGCTTTGAGACCAAAGGTAGAAAAGGAAACATCTTCGTATAAAAACTAGACAGAATCATTCACAGAAACTACTTTGTGATGTGTGTGTTCAACTCAAGGAGTTTAACCTTTCTTTTGATGGAGCAGTTTGGAAACACTCTGTCTGTAAAGTCTGCAAGCAGATATTTGGACCCCTTTGAGGCCTTCGTTGGAAACGGGATTTCTTCATATAATGTTTGATAGGAGAAGTCTCAGTAACTTCTTTGTGCTGTGTGTATTCAACTCATAGAGTTGAACTTTCCTTTAGAAGAGCAGATGTTAAACACCCTTTTTGTGGAATTTGCAGCTGGAGATTTCAAGCGCTTTGAGGCCTACGGTAGAAAAGGAAACATCTTCTTATAAAATCTAGACAGAATCATTCACAGAAACTTCTTTTTGATGTGTGTGTTCAGCTCACAGAGTTTAACCTTTCTTTTGATGGAGCAGTTTGGAAACACTCTGTTTGTAATGTCTGCAAGTGGATATTTGGACCTCTTTGAGGCCTTCGTTGGAAACGGGATTTCTTCATGTAATGTTCGACAGAAGAATTCTCAGTAACTTATTTGTGGTGTGTGTATTCAACTCACAGAGTTGAACCTTCCTTTAGACAGAGCAGATTTGAAACACCCTATTTGTGCAGTTTCCAGTTGGAGATTTCAATCGCTTTGAGGCCAATCATAGAAACGGAAATAACTATGTATAAAAACAAGACAGAATCATTCTCAGAAACTAGTTTGTGATGTGTGCGTTCAACTCAAGGAGTTTAAGCTTTCTTTTCATAGAGTAGTTTGGAAACACTCTGTCTGTAAAGTCTGCAAGAAGATATTTGGACCTCTTTGAGGCCTTCGTTGGAAATGGGATTTCTTCATATAACGCTAGAAAGAAGAAAACTGAGTAAGTGCTTTGTGTTGCCTCTATTCAACTCACAGAGGTGAACTGTCCTTTAGACAGAGCAGATGTGAAACCCTCTTTTTGTGATATTTGCAGGTGGAGATTTCAAGCGCTTTTCGGCCAAATGTAGAAAAGGAAATATCTTCGTATAAAAACTAGACAGAATCATTCTCAGAAACTACTTTGTGATGTGTGCGTTCAATTCACAGAGTATAACCTTTCTTTTGATTTAGGAGTTTGGAGACACTGTCTTTGTAAAGTCTGCAAGCAGATATTTGGACCTCTTTGAGGCCTTCGTTGGAAACGGGATTTCTTCATATAATGTTTGATAGGAGAATTCTCAGTAACTTATTTGTGGTGTGTGTATTCAACTCACAGAGTTGAACCTTCCTTCAGAAAGAGCAGATTTGAAACACTCTTTTTGTGGAGTTTCCATGTGGAGATTTCAATCGCTTTGAGACCAAAGGTAGAAAAGGAAACATCTTCGTATAAAAACTAGACAGAATCATTCACAGAAACTACTTTGTGATGTGTGTGTTCAACTCAAGGAGTTTAACCTTTCTTTTGATGGAGCAGTTTGGAAAAACTCTGTCTGTAAAGTCTGCAAGCAGATATTTGGACCTCTTTGAGGCCTTCGTTGGAAACGGGATTTCTTCATATAATGTTTGATAGGAGAAGTCTCAGTAACTTCTTTGTGCTGTGTGTATTCAACGCATAGAGTTGAACTTTCCTTTAGAAGAGCAGATGTTAAACACCCTTTTTGTGGAATTTGCAGCTGGAGATTTCAAGCGCTTTGTGGCCTACGGTAGAAAAGGAAACATCTTCTTATAAAATCTAGACAGAATCATTCACAGAAACTTCTTTTTGATGTGTGTGTTCAGCTCACAGAGTTTAACCTTTCTTTTGATGGAGCAGTTTGGAAACACTCTGTTTGTAATGTCTGCAAGTGGATATTTGGACCTCTTTGAGGCCTTCGTTGGAAACGGGATTTCTTCATGTAATGTTCGACAGAAGAATTCTCAGTAACTTGTTTGTGGTTTGTGTATTCAACTCACAGAGTTGAACCTTCCTTTAGACAGAGCAGATTTGAAACACCCTATTTGTGCAGTTTCCAGTTGGAGATTTCAATCGCTTTGAGACCAAATGTAGAAAAGGAAACATCTTCGCATAAAAACTAGACAGAATCATTCTCAGAAACTACTTTGTGATGTGTGCGTTCAACTCAAGGAGTTTAAGCTTTCTTTTCATAGAGTAGTTTGGAAACACTCTGTCTGTAAAGTCTGCAAGCAGATATTTAGACCTCTTTGGGGCCTTCGTTGGAAACGGGATTTCTTCATAGAACGCTAGAAAGAAGAATACTGAGTAAGTTCTTTGTGTTGCCTCTATTCAACTCACAGAGGTGAACTGTCCTTTAGACAGAGCAGATGTGAAACCCTCTTTTTGTGATATTTGCAGGTGGAGATTTCAAGCGCTTTTAGGCCAAATGTAGAAAAGGAAATATCTTCGTATAAAAACTAGAGAGAATCATTCTCAGAAACTACTTTGTGATGTGTGCGTTCATTTCACAGAGTATAACGTTTCTTTTGATGGAGGAGTTTGGAGACACTGTGTTTCTAAAGTCTGCAAGTGGATATTTGGACCTCTTTGAGGCCTTCGTTGGAAACGGGATTTCCTCATATAATGTTACACAGAAGAATTCTCAGTAACTTATTTGTGGTGTGTGTATTCAACTCACAGAGTTGAACCTTCCTTCAGAAAGAGCAGATTTGAAAGACTCTTTTTGTGGAGTTTCCATGTGGAGATTTCAATCGCTTTGAGACCAAAGGTAGAAAAGGAAACATCTTCGTATAAAAACTAGACAGAATCATTCACAGAAACTACTTTGTGATGTGTGTGTTCAACTCAAGGAGTTTAACCTTTCTTTTGATGGAGCAGTTTGGAAACACTCTGTCTGTAAAGTCTGCAAGCAGATATTTGGACCTCTTTGAGGCCTTCGTTGGAAACGGGATTTCTTCATATAATGTTTGATAGGAGAAGTCTCAGTAACTTCTTTGTGCTGTGTGTATTCAACTCATAGAGTTGAACTTTCCTTTAGAAGAGCAGATGTTAAACACCCTTTTTGTGGAATTTGCAGCTGGAGATTTCAAGCGCTTTGAGGCCTACGGTAGAAAAGGAAACATCTTCTTATAAAATCTAGACAGAATCATTCACAGAAACTTCTTTTTGATGTGTGTGTTCAGCTCACAGAGTTTAACCTTTCTTTTGATGGAGCAGTTTGGAAACACTCTGTTTGTAATGTCTGCAAGTGGATATTTGGACCTCTTTGAGGCCTTCGTTGGAAACGGGATTTCTTCAAGTAATGTTCGACAGAAGAATTCTCAGTAACTTCTTTGTGGTGTGTGTATTCAACTCACAGAGTTGAACCTTCCTTTAGACAGAGCAGATTTGAAACACCCTATTTGTGAGTTTCCAGTTGGAGATTTCAATCGCTTTGAGACCAAATGTAGAAAAGGAAACATCTTCGTATAAAAACTAGACAGAATCATTCTCCGAAACTACTTTGTGATGTGTGCGTTCAACTCAAGGAGTTTAAGCTTTCTTTTCATAGAGTAGTTTGGAAACACTCTGTCTGTAAAGTCTGCAAGCAGATATTTGGACCTCTTTGGGGCCTTCGTTGGAAACGGGATTTCTTCATAGAACGCTAGAAAGAAGAATACTGAGTAAGTTCTTTGTGTTGCCTCTATTCAACTCACAGAGGTGAACTGTCCTTTAGACAGAGCAGATGTGAAACCCTCTTTTTGTGATATTTGCAGGTGGAGATTTCAAGCGCTTTTAGGCCAAATGTAGAAAAGGAAATATCTTCGTATAAAAACTAGACAGAATCATTCTCAGAAACTACTTTGTGATGTGTGCGTTCAATTCACAGAGTATAACCTTTCTTTTGATGGAGGAGTTTGGAGACACTGTCTTTGTAAAGTCTGCAAGTGGATATTTGGACCTCTTTGAGGCCTTCGTTGGAAACGGGATTTCCTCATATAATGTTACACAGAAGAATTCTCAGTAACTTATTTGTGGTGTGTGTATTCAACTCACAGAGATGAACCTTCCTTCAGAAAGAGCAGATTTGAAACACTCTTTTTGTGGAGTTTCCATGTGGAGATTTCAATCGCATTGAGACCAAAGGTAGAAAAGGAAACATCTTCGTATAAAAACTAGACAGAATCATTCACAGAAACTACTTTGTGATGTGTGTGTTCAACTCAAGGAGTTTAACCTTTCTTTTGATGGAGCAGTTTGGAAACACTCTGTCTGTAATGTCTGCAAGCAGATATTTGGACCTCTTTGAGGCCTTCGTTGGAAACGGGATTTCTTCATATAATGTTTGATAGGAGAAGTCTCAGTAATTTCTTTGTGCTGTGTGTATTCAACTCATAGAGTTGAACTTTCCTTTAGAAGAGCAGATGTTAAACACCCTTTTTGTGGAATTTGCAGCTGGAGATTTCAAGCGCTTTGAGGCCTACGGTAGAAAAGGAAACATCTTCTTATAAAATCTAGACAGAATCATTCACAGAAACTTCTTTTTGATGTGTGTGTTCAGCTCACAGAGTTTAACCTTTCTTTTGATGGAGCAGTTTGGAAACACTCTGTTTGTAATGTCTGCAAGTGGATATTTGGACCTCTTTGAGGCCTTCGTTGGAAACGGGATTTCTTCAAGTAATGTTCGACAGAAGAATTCTCAGTAACTTATTTGTGGTGTGTGTATTCAACTCACAGAGTTGAACCTTCCTTTACACAGAGCAGATTTGAAACACCCTATTTGTGCAGTTTCCAGTTGGAGATTTCAATCGCTTTGAGACCAAATGTAGAAAAGGAAACATCTTCGTATAAAAACTAGACAGAATCATTCTCAGAAACTACTTTGTGATGTGTGCGTTCAACTCAAGGAGTTTAAGCTTTCTTTTCATAGAGTAGTTTGGAAACACTCTGTCTGTAAAGTCTGCAAGCAGATATTTGGACCTCATTGGGGCCTTCGTTGGAAACGGGATTTCTTCATAGAACGCTAGAAAGAAGAATACTCAGTAAGTTCTTTGTGTTGCCTCTATTCAACTCACAGAGGTGAACTGTCCTTTAGACAGAGCAGATGTGAAACCCTCTTTTTGTGATATTTGCAGGTGGAGATTTCAAGCGCTTTTAGGCCAAATGTAGAAAAGGAAATATCTTCGTATAAAAACTAGACAGAATCATTCTCAGAAACTACTTTGTGATGTGTGCGTTCAATTCACAGAGTATAACCTTTCTTTTGATGGAGGAGTTTGGAGACACTGTCTTTGTAAAGTCTGCAAGTGGATATTTGGACCTCTTTGAGGCCTTCGTTGGAAACGGGATTTCCTCATATAATGTTACACAGAAGAATTCTCAGTAACTTATTTGTGGTGTGTGTATTCAACTCACAGAGTTGAACCTTCCTTCAGAAAGAGCAGATTTGAAACACTCTTTTTGTGGAGTTTCCATGTGGAGATTTCAATCGCTTTGAGACCAAAGGTAGAAAAGGAAACATCTTCGTATAAAAACTAGACAGAATCATTCACAGAAACTACTTTGTGATGTGTGTGTTCAACTCAAGGAGTTTAACCTTTCTTTTGATGGAGCAGTTTGGAAACACTCTGTCTGTAAAGTCTGCAAGTAGATATTTGGACCTCTTTGAGGCCTTCGTTGGAAACGGGATTTCTTCATATAATGTTTGATAGGAGAAGTCTCAGTAACTTCTTTGTGCTGTGTGTATTCAACTCATAGAGTTGAACTTTCCTTTAGAAGAGCAGATGTTAAACACCCTTTTTGTGGAATTTGCAGCTGGAGATTTCAAGCGCTTTGAGGCCTACGGTAGAAAAGGAAACATCTTCTTATAAAATCTAGACAGAATCATTCACAGAAACTTCTTTTTGGTGTGTGTGTTCAGCTCACAGAGTTTAACCTTTCTTTTGATGGAGCAGTTTGGAAACACTCTGTTTGTAATGTCTGCAAGTGGATATTTGGACCTCTTTGAGGCCTTCGTTGGAAACGGGATTTCTTCAAGTAATGTTCGACAGAAGAATTCTCAGTAACTTATTTGTGGTGTGTGTATTCAACTCACAGATTTGAACCTTCCTTTAGACAGAGCAGATTCGAAACACAATATTTGTGCAGTTTCCAGTTGGAGATTTCAATCGCTTTGAGACGAAA
Organism: Homo sapiens; assembly: GCF_000001405.40. Lineage (NCBI taxonomy): Eukaryota > Metazoa > Chordata > Mammalia > Primates > Hominidae > Homo > Homo sapiens. The sequence goes on from NC_000012.12 coordinate 35,293,501, forward strand.
TGTAGAAAAGGAAACATCTTCGTATAAAAACTAGACAGAATCATTCTCAGAAACTACTTTGTGATGTGTGCGTTCAACTCAAGGAGTTTAAGCTTTCTTTTCATATAGTAGTTTGGAAACACTCTGTAAAGTCTGCAAGCAGATATTTGGACCTCTTTGAGGCCTTCGTTGGAAAAGGGATTTCTTCATAGAACGGTAGAAAGAAGAATACTGAGTAAGTTCTTTGTGTTGCCTCTATTCAACTCACAGAGGTGAACTGTCCTTTAGACAGAGCAGATGTGAAACCCTCTTTTTGTGATATTTGCAGGTGGAGATTTCAAGCGCTTTTAGGCCAAATGTAGAAAAGGAAATATCTTCGTATAAAAACTAGACAGAATCATTCTCAGAAACTACTTTGTGATGTGTGCGTTCAATTCACAGAGTATAACCTTTCTTTTGATGGAGGAGTTTGGAGACACTGTCTTTGTAAAGTCTGCAAGTGGATATTTGGACCTGTTTGAGGCCTTCGTTGGAAACGGGATTTCCTCATATAATGTTACACAGAAGAATTCTCAGTAACTTATTTGTGGTGTGTATATTCAACTCACAGAGATGAACCTTCCTTCAGAAAGAGCAGATTTGAAACACTCTTTTTGTGGAGTTTCCATGTGGAGATTTCAATCGCTTTGAGACCAAAGGTAGAAAAGGAAACATCTTCGTATAACAACTAGACAGAATCATTCACAGAAACTACTTTGTGATGTGTGTGTTCAACTCAAGGAGTTTAACCTTTCTTTTGATGGAGCAGTTTGGAAACACTCTGTCTGTAAAGTCTGCAAGTAGATATTTGGACCTCTTTGAGGCCTTCGTTGGAAACGGGATTTCTTCATATAATGTTTGATAGGAGAAGTCTCAGTAACTTCTTTGTGCTGTGTGTATTCAACTCATAGAGTTGAACTTTCCTTTAGAAGAGCAGATGTTAAACACCCTTTTTGTGGAATTTGCAGCTGGAGATTTCAAGCGCTTTGAGGCCTACGGTAGAAAAGGAAACATCTTCTTATAAAATCTAGACAGAATCATTCACAGAAACTTCTTTTCGATGTGTGTGTTCAGCTCACAGAGTTTAACCTTTCTTTTGATGGAGCAGTTTGGAAACACTCTGTTTGTAATGTCTGCAAGTGGATATTTGGACCTCTTTGAGGCCTTCGTTGGAAACGGGATTTCATCAAGTAATGGTCGACAGAAGAATTCTCAGTAACTTATTTGTGGTGTGTGTATTCAACTCAAAGAGTTGAACCTTCCTTTAGACAGAGCAGATTTGAAACACCCTATTTGTGCAGTTTCCAGTTGGAGATTTCAATCGCTTTGAGACCAAATGTAGAAAAGGAAACATCTTCGTATAAAAACTAGACAGAATCATTCTCAGAAACTACTTTGTGATGTGTGCGTTCAACTCAAGGAGTTTAAGCTTTCTTTTCATAGAGTAGTTTGGAAACACTCTGTCTGTAAAGTCTGCAAGCAGATATTTGGACCTCTTTGGGGCCTTCGTTGGAAACGGGATTTCTTCATAGAACGCTAGAAAGAAGAATACTGAGTAAGTTCTTTGTGTTGCCTCTATTCAACTCACAGAGGTGAACTGTCCTTTAGACAGAGCAGATGTGAAACCCTCTTTTTGTGATATTTGCAGGTGGAGATTTCAAGCGCTTTTAGGCCAAATGTAGAAAAGGAAATATCTTCGTATAAAAACTAGACAGAATCATTCTCAGAAACTACTTTGTGATGTGTGCGTTCAATTCACAGAGTATAACCTTTCTTTTGATGGAGGAGTTTGGAGACACTGTCTTTGTAAAGTCTGCAAGTGGATATTTGGACCTCTTTGAGGCCTTCGTTGGAAACGGGATTTCCTCATATAATGTTACACAGAAGAATTCTCAGTAACTTATTTGTGGTGTGTGTATTCAACTCACAGAGATGAACCTTCCTTCAGAAAGAGCAGATTTGAAACACTCTTTTTGTGGAGTTTCCATGTGGAGATTTCAATCGCTTTGAGACCAAAGGTAGAAAAGGAAACATCTTCGTATAACAACTAGACAGAATCATTCACAGAAACTACTTTGTGATGTGTGTGTTCAACTCAAGGAGTTTAACCTTTCTTTTGATGGAGCAGTTTGGAAACACTCTGTCTGTAAAGTCTGCAAGCAGATATTTGGACCTCTTTGAGGCCTTCGTTGGAAACGGGATTTCTTCATATAATGTTTGATAGGAGAAGTCTCAGTAACTTCTTTGTGCTGTGTGTATTCAACTCATAGAGTTGAACTTTCCTTTAGAAGAGCAGATGTTAAACACCCTTTTTGTGGAATTTGCAGCTGGAGATTTCAAGCGCTTTGAGGCCTACGGTAGAAAAGGAAACATCTTCTTATAAAATCTAGACAGAATCATTCACAGAAACTTCTTTTTGATGTGTGTGTTCAGCTCACAGAGTTTAACCTTTCTTTTGATGGAGCAGTTTGGAAACACTCTGTTTGTAATGTCTGCAAGTGGATATTTGGACCTCTTTGAGGCCTTCGCTGGAAACGGGATTTCTTCCTGTAATGTTCGACAGAAGAATTCTCAGTAACTTATTTGTGGTGTGTGTATTCAACTCACAGAGTTGAACCTTCCTTTAGACAGAGCAGATTTGAAACACCCTATTTGTGCAGTTTCCAGTTGGAGATTTCAATCGCTTTGAGACCAAATGTAGAAAAGGAAACATCTTCGTATAAAAACTAGACAGAATCATTCTCAGAAACTACTTTGTGATGTGTGCGTTCAACTCAAGGAGTTTAAGCTTTCTTTTCATAGAGTAGTTTGGAAACACTCTGTCTGTAAAGTCTGCAAGCAGATATTTGAACCTCTTTGAGGCCTTCGTTGGAAACGGGATTTCTTCATAGAACGCTAGAAAGAAGAATACTAAGTTCTTTGTGTTGCCTCTATTCTACTCACAGAGGTGAACTGTCCTTTAGACAGAGCAGATGTGAAACCCTCTTTTTGGGATATTTGCAGGTGGAGATTTCAAGTGCTTTTAGGCCAAATGTAGAAAAGGAAATATCTTCGTATAAAAACTAGACAGAATCATTCTCAGAAACTACTTTGTGATGTGTGCGTTCAATTCACAGAGTATAACCTTTCTTTTGATGGAGGAGTTTGGAGACACTGTCTTTGTAAAGTCTGCAAGTGGATATTTGGACCTCTTTGAGGCCTTCGTTGGAAACGGGATTTCCTCATATAATGTTACCCAGAAGAATTCTCACTAACTTATTTGTGGTGTGTGTATTCAACTCACAGAGATGAACCTTCCTTCAGAAAGAGCAGATTTGAAACACTCTTTTTGTGGAGTTTCCATGTGGAGATTTCAATCGCTTTGAGACCAAAGGTAGAAAAGGAAACATCTTCGTATAACAACTAGACAGAATCATTCACAGAAACTACTTTGTGATGTGTGTGTTCAACTCAAGGAGTTTAACCTTTCTTTTGATGGAGCAGTTTGGAAATACTCTGTCTGTAAAGTCTGCAAGCAGATATTTGGACCTCTTTGAGGCCTTCGTTGGAAACGGGATTTCTTCATATAATATTTGATAGGAGAAGTCTCAGTAACTTCTTTGTGCTGTGTGTATTCAACTCATAGAGTTGAACTTTCCTTTAGAAGAGCAGATGTTAAACACCCTTTTTGTGGAATTTGCAGCTGGAGATTTCAAGCGCTTTGAGGCCTACGGTAGAAAAGGAAACATCTTCTTATAAAATCTAGACAGAATCATTCACAGAAACTTCTTTTCGATGTGTGTGTTCAGCTCACAGAGTTTAACCTTTCTTTTGATGGAGCAGTTTGGAAACACTCTGTTTGTAATGTCTGCAAGTGGATATTTGGACCTCTTTGAGGCCTTCGTTGGAAACGGGATTTCTTCAAGTAATGTTCGACAGAAGAATTCTCAGTAACTTATTTGTGGTGTGTGTATTCAACTCACAGAGTTGAACCTTCCTTTAGACAGAGCAGATTTGAAACACCCTATTTGTGCAGTTTCCAGTTGGAGATTTCAATCGCTTTGAGACCAAATGTAGAAAAGGAAACATCTTCGTATAAAAACTAGACAGAATCATTCTCAGAAACTACTTTGTGATGTGTGCGTTCAACTCAAGGAGTTTAAGCTTTCTTTTCATAGAGTAGTTTGGAAACACTCTGTCTGTAAAGTCTGCAAGCAGATATTTGGACCTCTTTGGGGCCTTCGTTGGAAACGGGATTTCTTCATAGAACGCTAGAAAGAAGAATACTGAGTAAGTTCTTTGTGTTGCCTCTATTCAACTCACAGAGGTGAACTGTCCTTTAGACAGAGCAGATGTGAAACCCTCTTTTTGTGATATTTGCAGGTGGAGATTTCAAGCGCTTTTAGGCCAAATGTAGAAAAGGAAATATCTTCGTATAAAAACTAGACAGAATCATTCTCAGAAACTACTTTGTGATGTGTGCGTTCAATTCACAGAGTATAACCTTTCTTTTGATGGAGGAGTTTGGAGACACTGTCTTTGTAAAGTCTGCAAGCGGATATTTGGACCTCTTTGAGGCCTTCGTTGGAATCGGGATTTCCTCATATAATGTTACACAGAAGAATTCTCAGTAACTTATTTGTGGTGTGTGTATTCAACTCACAGAGATGAACCTTCCTTCAGAAAGAGCAGATTTGAAACACTCTTTTTGTGGAGTTTCCATGTGGAGATTTCAATCGCTTTGAGACCAAAGGTAGAAAAGGAAACATCTTCGTATAACAACTAGACAGAATCATTCACAGAAACTACTTTGTGATGTGTGTGTTCAACTCAAGGAGTTTAACCTTTCTTTTGATGGAGCAGTTTGGAAATACTCTGTCTGTAAAGTCTGCAAGCAGATATTTGGACCTCTTTGAGGCCTTCGTTGGAAACGGGATTTCTTCATATAATGTTTGATAGGAGAAGTCTCAGTAACTTCTTTGTGCTGTGTGTATTCAACTCATTGAGTTGAACTTTCCTTTAGAAGAGCAGATGTTAAACACCCTTTTTGTGGAATTTGCAGCTGGAGATTTCAAGCGCTTTGAGGCCTACGGAAGAACAGGAAACATCTTCTTATAAAATCTAGACAGAATCATTCACAGAAACTTCTTTTTGATGTGTGTGTTCAGCTCACAGAGTTTAACCTTTCTTTTGATGGAGCAGTTTGGAAACACACTGTTTGTAATGTCTGCAAGTGGATATTTGGACCTCTTTGAGGCCTTCGTTGGAAACGGGATTTCTTCCTGTAATGTTCGACAGAAGAATTCTCAGTAACTTATTTGTGGTGTGTGTATTCAACTCACAGAGTTGAACCTTCCTTTAGACAGAGCAGATTTGAAACACCCTATTTGTGCAGTTTCCAGTTGGAGATTTCAATCGCTTTGAGACCAAATGTAGAAAAGGAAACATCTTCGTATAAAAACTAGACAGAATTATTCTCAGAAACTACTTTGTGATGTGTGCGTTCAACTCAAGGAGTTTAAGCTTTCTTTTCATAGAGTAGTTTGGAAACACTCTGTCTGTAAAGTCTGCAAGCAGATATTTGGACCTCTTTGGGGCCTTCGTTGGAAACGGGATTTCTTCATGGAACGCTAGAAAGAAGAATACTGAGTAAGTTCTTTGTGTTGCCTCTATTCAACTCGCAGAGGTGAACTGTCCTTTAGACAGAGCAGATGTGAAACCCTCTTTTTGTGATATTTGCAGGTGGAGATTTCAAGCGCTTTTAGGCCAAATGTAGAAAAGGAAATATCTTCGTATAAAAACTAGACAGAATCATTCTCAGAAACTACTTTCTGATGTGTGCGTTCATTTCACAGAGTATAACCTTTCTTTTGATGGAGGAGTTTGGAGACACTGTGTTTCTAAAGTCTGCAAGTGGATATTTGGACCTCTTTGAGGCCTTCGTTGGAAACGGGATTTCCTCATATAATGTTACACAGAAGAATTCTCAGTAACTTATTTGTGGTGTGTTTATTCAAATCACAGAGGTGAACCTTACTTCAGAAAGAGCAGATTTGAAACCCTCTTTTTGTGGAGTTTCCATGTGGAGATTTCAATCGCTTTGAGACCAAAGGTAGAAAAGGAAACATCTTCGTATAAAAACTAGACAGAATCATTCACAGAAACTACTTTGTGATGTGTGTGTTCAACTCAAGGAGTTTAACCTTTCTTTTGATGGAGCAGTTTGGAAAAACTCTGTCTGTAAACTCTGCAAGCAGATATTTGGACCTCTTTGGGGCCTTCGTTGGAAACGGGATTTCTTCATAGAATGCTAGAAAGAAGAAGTCTCAGTAACTTCTTTCTGCTGTGTTTATTTAACTCATAGAGTTGAACTTTCCTTTAGAAGAGCAGATGTTAAACACCCTTTTTGTGGAATTTGCAGCTGGAGATTTCAAGCGCTTTGTGGCGTACTGTAGAAAAGGAAACATCTTCTTATAAAATCTAGACAGAATCATTCACAGAAACTTCTTTTTGATGTGTGTTCAGCTCACAGAGTTTAACCTTTCTTTTGATGGAGCAGTTTGGAAACACACTGTTTGTAATGTCTGCAAGTGGATATTTGGACCTCTTTGAGGCCTTCGTTGGAAACGGGATTTCTTCATGTAATGTTCGACAGAAGAATTCTCAGTAACTTATTTGTGGTGTGTGTATTCAACTCACAGAGTTGAACCTTCCTTTAGAAAGAGCAGATTTGAAACACCCTATTTGTGCAGTTTCCAGTTGGAGATTTCAATCGCTTTGAGACCAAATGTAGAAAAGGAAACATCTTCGTATAAAAACTAGACAGAATCATTCTCAGAAACTACTTTGTGATGTGTGCGTTCAACTCAAGGAGTTTAAGCTTTCTTTTCATAGAGTAGTTTGGAAACACTCTGTCTGTAAAGTCTGCAAGCAGATATTTGGACCTCTTTGAGGCCTTCGTTGGAAACGGGATTTCTTCATAGAACGCTAGAAAGAAGAATACTGAGTAAGTTCTTTGTGTTGCCTCTATTCAACTCACAGAGGTGAACTGTCCTTTAGACAGAGCAGATGTGAAACCCTCTTTTTGTGATATTTGCAGGTGGAGATTTCAAGCGCTTTTAGGCCAAATGTAGAAAAGGAAATATCTTCGTATAAAAACTAGACAGAATCATTCTCAGAAACTACTTTGTGATGTGTGCGTTCAATTCACAGAGTATAACCTTTCTTTTGATGGAGGAGTTTGGAGACACTGTCTTTGTAAAGTCTGCAAGTGGATATTTGGACCTATTTGAGGCCTTCGTTGGAAACGGGATTTCCTCATATAATGTTACACAGAAGAATTCTCAGTAACTTATTTGTGGTGTGTGTATTCAACTCACAGAGATGAACCTTCCTTCAGAAAGAGCAGATTTGAAACACTCTTTTTGTGGAGTTTCCATGTGGAGATTTCAATCGCTTTGAGACCAAAGGTAGAAAAGGAAACATCTTCGTATAACAACTAGACAGAATCATTCACAGAAACTACTTTGTGATGTGTGTGTTCAACTCAAGGAGTTTAACCTTTCTTTTGATGGAGCAGTTTGGAAACACTCTGTCTGTAAAGTCTGCAAGCAGATATTTGGACCTCTTTGAGGCCTTCGTTGGAAACGGGATTTCTTCATATAATGTTTGATAGGAGAAGTCTCAGTAACTTCTTTGTGCTGTGTGTATTCAACTCATAGAGTTGAACTTTCCTTTAGAAGAGCAGATGTTAAACACCCTTTTTGTGGAATTTGCAGCTGGAGATTTCAAGCGCTTTGAGGCCTACGGTAGAAAAGGAAACATCTTCTTATAAAATCTAGACAGAATCATTCACAGAAACTTCTTTTTGATGTGTGTGTTCAGCTCACAGAGTTTAACCTTTCTTTTGATGGAGCAGTTTGGAAACACTCTGTTTGTAACGTCTGCAAGTGGATATTTGGACCTCTTTGAGGCCTTCGTTGGAAACGGGATTTCTTCAAGTAATGTTCGACAGAAGAATTCTCAGTAACTTATTTGTGGTGTGTGTATTCAACTCACAGAGTTGACCCTTCCTTTAGACAGAGCAGATTTGAAACAGCCTATTTGTGCAGTTTCCAGTTGGAGATTTCAATCGCTTTGAGACCAAATGTAGAAAAGGAAACATCTTCGTATAAAAACTAGACAGAATCATTCTCAGAAACTACTTTGTGATGTGTGCGTTCAACTCAAGGAGTTTAAGCTTTCTTTTCATAGAGTAGTTTGGAAACACTCTGTCTGTAAAGTCTGCAAGCAGATATTTGACCTCTTTGAGGCCTTCGTTGGAAACGGGATTTCTTCATAGAACGCTAGAAAGAAGAATACTGAGTAAGTTCTTTGTGTTGCCTCTATTCAACTCACAGAGGTGAACTGTCCTTTAGACAGAGCAGATGTGAAACCCTCTTTTTGTGATATTTGCAGGTGGAGATTTCAAGCGCTTTTAGGCCAAATGTAGAAAAGGAAATATCTTCGTATAAAAACTAGACAGAATCATTCTCAGAAACTACTTTGTGATGTGTGCGTTCAATTCACAGAGTATAACCTTTCTTTTGATGGAGGAGTTTGGAGACACTGTCTTTGTAAAGTCTGCAAGTGGATATTTGGACCTCTTTGAGGCCTTCGTTGGAAACGGGATTTCCTCATATAATGTTACACAGAAGAATTCTCAGTAACTTATTTGTGGTGTGTGTATTCAACTCACAGAGTTGAACCTTCCTTCAGAAAGAGCAGATTTGAAACACTCTTTTTGTGGAGTTTCCATGTGGAGATTTCAATCGCATTGAGACCAAAGGTAGAAAAGGAAACATCTTCGTATAAAAACTAGACAGAATCATTCACAGAAACTACCTTGTGATGTGTGTGTTCAACTCAAGGAGTTTAACCTTTCTTTTGATGGAGCAGTTTGGAAACACTCTGTCTGTAAAGTCTGCAAGCAGATATTTGGACCTCTTTGAGTCCTTCGTTGGAAACGGGATTTCTTCATATAATGTTTGATAGGAGAAGTCTCAGTAACTTCTTTCTGCTGTGTGTATTCAACTCATAGAGTTGAACTTTCCTTTAGTAGAGCAGATGTTAAACACCCTTTTTGTGGAATTTGCAGCTGGAGATTTCAAGCGCTTTGAGGCCTACTGTAGAAAAGGAAACATCTTCTTACAAAATCTAGACAGAATCATTCACAGAAACTAATTTTTGATGTGTGTGTTCAGCTCACAGAGTTTAACCTTTCTTTTGATGGAGCAGTTTGGAAACACACTGTTTGTAATGTCTGCAAGTGGATATTTGGACCTCTTTGAGGCCTTCGTTGGAAACGGGATTTCTTCATGTAATGTTCGACAGAAGAATTCTCAGTAACTTATTTGTGGTGTGTGTATTCAACTCACAGAGTTGAACCTTCCTTTAGACAGAGCAGATTTGAAACACCCTATTTGTGCAGTTTCCAGTTGGAGATTTCAATCGCTTTCAGACCAAATGTAGAAAAGGAAACATCTTCGTATAAAAACTAGACAGAATCATTCACAGAAACTAATTTGTGATGTGTGTGTTCAACTCAAGGAGTTTAACCTTTCTTTTGATGGAGCAGTTTGGAAGAACTCTGTCTGTAAAGTCTGCAAGCAGATATATGGACCTCTTTGAGGCGTTCGTTGGAAACGGGATTTCTTCATATAATATTTGATAGGAGAAGTCTCAGTAACTTCTTTGTGCTGTGTGCATTCAACTCATAGAGTTGAAATTTCCTTTAGAAGAGCAGATGTTAAACACCCTTTTTGTGGAATTTGCAGCTGGAGATTTCAAGCGCTTTGAGGCCTACTGTAGAAAAGGAAACATCTTCTTATAAAATCTAGACAGAATCATTCACAGAAACTTCTTTTCGATGTGTGTGTTCAGCTCACAGAGTTTAACCTTTCTTTTGATGGAGCAGTTTGGAAACACTCTGTTTGTAATGTCTGCAAGTGGATATTTGGACCTCTTTGAGGCCTTCGTTGGAAACGGGATTTCTTCAAGTAATGTTCGACAGAAGAATTCTCAGTAACATATTTGTGGTGTGTGTATTCAACTCACAGAGTTGAACCTTCCTTTAGACAGAGCAGATTTGAAACACCCTATTTGTGCAGTTTCCAGTTGGAGATTTCAATCGCTTTGAGACCAAATGTAGAAAAGGAAACATACTTCGTATAAAAACTAGACAGAATCATTCTCAGAAACTACTTTGTGATGTGTGCGTTCAACTCAAGGAGTTTAAGCTTTCTTTTCATAGAGTAGTTTGGAAACACTCTGTCTGTAAAGTCTGCAAGCAGATATTTGGACCTCTTTGGGGCCTTCGTTGGAAACGGGATTTCTTCATAGAACGCTAGAAAGAAAGATACTGAGTAAGTTCTTTGTGTTGCCTCTATTCAACTCACAGAGGTGAACTGTCCTTTAGAGAGAGCAGATGTGAAACCCTCTTTTTGTGATATTTGCAGGTGGAGATTTCAAGCGCTTTTAGGCCAAATGTAGAAAAGGAAATATCTTCATATAAAAACTAGACAGAATCATTCACAGAAACTACTTTGTGATGTGTGCGTTCAATTCACAGAGTATAACCTTTCTTTTGATGGAGGAGTTTGGAGACACTGTCTTTGTAAAGTCTGCAAGCAGATATTTGGACCTCTTTCAGGCCATCGTTAGAAACGGGATTTCTTCATATAATGTTTGATAGGAGAATTCTCAGTAACTTATTTGTGGTGTGTGTATTCAACTCACAGAGTTGAACCTTCCTTCAGAAAGAGCAGATTTGAAACACTCTTTTTGTGGAGTTTCCATGTGGAGATTTCAATCGCTTTGAGACCAAAGGTAGAAAAGGAAACATCTTTGTAGAAAAACTAGACAGAATCATTCACAGAAACTACTTTGTGATGTGTGTGTTCAACTCAAGGAGTTTAACCTTTCTTTTGATGGAGCAGTTTGGAAACACTCTGTCTGTAAAGTCTGCAAGTAGATATTTGGACCTCTTTGAGGCCTTCGTTGGAAACGGGATTTCTTCATATAATGTTTGATAGGAGAAATCTCAGTAACTTCTTTGTGCTGTGTGTATTCAACTCATAGAGTTGAAATTTCCTTTAGAAGACCAGATGTTAAACACCCTTTTTGTGGAATTTGCAGCTGGAGATTTCAAGCGCTTTGAGGCCTACGGTAGAAAAGGAAACATCTTCTTATAAAATCTAGACAGAATCATTCACAGAAACTTCTTTTCGATGTGTGTGTTCAGCTCACAGAGTTTAACCTTTCTTTTGATGGAGCAGTTTGGAAACACTCTGTTTGTAATGTCTGCAAGTGGATATTTGGACCTCTTTGAGGCCTTCGTTGGAAACGGGATTTCTTCAAGTAATGTTCGACAGAAGAATTCTCAGTAACTTATTTGTGGTGTGTGTATTCAACTCACAGAGTTGAACCTTCCTTTAGACAGAGCAGATTTGAAACACCCTATTTGTGCAGTTTCCAGTTGGAGATTTCAATCGCTTTGAGACCAAATGTAGAAAAGGAAACATCTTCGTATAAAAACTAGACAGAATCATTCTCAGAAACTACTTTGTGATGTGTGCGTTCAACTCAAGGAGTTTAAGCTTTCTTTTCATAGAGTAGTTTGGAAACACTCTGTCTGTAAAGTCTGCAAGCAGATATTTGGACCTCTTTGGGGCCTTCGTTGGAAACGGGATTTCTTCATAGAACGCTAGAAAGAAGAATACTGAGTAAGTTCTTTGTGTTGCCTCTATTCAACTCACAGAGGTGAACCTGTCCTTTAGACAGAGCAGATGTGAAACCCTCTTTTTGTGATATTTGCAGGTGGAGATTTCAAGCGCTTTTAGGCCAAATGTAGAAAAGGAAATATCTTCGTATAAAAACTAGACAGAATCATTCTCAGAAACTACTTTGTGATGTGTGCGTTCAATTCACATAGTATAACCTTTCTTTTGATGGAAGAGTTTGGAGACACTGTCTTTGTAAAGTCTGCAAGTGGATATTTGGACCTCTTTGAGGCCTTCGTTGGAAACGGGATTTCCTCATATAATGTTACACAGAAGAATTCTCAGTAACTTATTTGTGGTGTGTGTATTCAACTCACAGAGTTGAACCTTCCTTCAGAAAGAGCAGATTTGAAACACTCTTTTTGTGGAGTTTCCATGTGGAGATTTCAATCGCTTTGAGACCAAAGGTAGAAAAGGAAACATCTTCGTATAAAAACTAGACAGAATCATTCACAGAAACTACTTTGTGATGTGTGTGTTCAACTCAAGGAGTTTAACCTTTCTTTTGATGGAGCAGTTTGGAAATACTCTGTCTGTAAAGTCTGCAAGCAGATATTTGGACCTCTTTGAGGCCTTCGTTGGAAACGGGATTTCTTCATATAATGTTTGATAGGAGAAGTCTCAGTAACTTCTTTGTGCTGTGTGTATTCAACGCATAGAGTTGAACTTTCCTTTAGAAGAGCAGATGTTAAACACCCTTTTTGTGGAATTTGCAGCTGGAGATTTCAAGCGCTTTGAGGCCTACGGTAGAAAAGGAAACATCTTCTTATAAAATCTAGACAGAATCATTCACAGAAACTTCTTTTCGATGTGTGTGTTCAGCTCACAGAGTTTAACCTTTCTTTTGATGGAGCAGTTTGGAAACACTCTGTTTGTAAGGTCTGCAAGTGGATATTTGGACCTCTTTGAGGCCTTCGTTGGAAACGGGATTTCTTCAAGTAATGGTCGACAGAAGAATTCTCAGTAACTTATTTGTGGTGTGTGTATTCAACTCACAGAGTTGAACCTTCCTTTAGACAGAGCAGATTTGAAACAGCCTATTTGTGCAGTTTCCAGTTGGAGATTTCAATCGCTTTGAGACCAAATGTAGAAAAGGAAACATCTTCGTATAAAAACTAGACAGAATCATTCTCAGAAACTACTTTGTGATGTGTGCGTTCAACTCAAGGAGTTTAAGCTTTCTTTTCATAGAGTAGTTTGGAAACACTCTGTCTGTAAAGTCTGCAAGCAGATATTTGGACCTCTTTGGGGCCTTCGTTGGAAACGGGATTTCTTCATAGAACGCTAGAAAGAAGAATACTGAGTAAGTTCTTTGTGTTGCCTCTATTCAACTCACAGAGGTGAACTGTCCTTTAGACAGAGCAGATGTGAAACCCTCTTTTTGTGATATTTGCAGGTGGAGATTTCAAGCGCTTTTAGGCCAAATGTAGAAAAGGAAATATCTTCGTATAAAAACTAGACAGAATCATTCTCAGAAACTACTTTGTGATGTGTGCGTTCAATTCACAGAGTATAACCTTTCTTTTGATGGAGGAGTTTGGAGACACTGTCTTTGTAAAGTCTGCAAGTGGATATTTGGACCTCTTTGAGGCCTTCGTTGGAAACGGGATTTCCTCATATAATGTTACACAGAAGAATTCTCAGTAACTTATCTGTGGTGTGTGTATTCAACTCACAGAGATGAACCTTCCTTCAGAAAGAGCAGATTTGAAACACTCTTTTTGTGGAGTTTCCATGTGGAGATTTCAATCGCTTTGAGACCAAAGGTAGAAAAGGAAACATCTTCGTATAACAACTAGACAGAATCATTCACAGAAACTACTTTGTGATGTGTGTGTTCAACTCAAGGAGTTTAACCTTTCTTTTGATGGAGCAGTTTGGAAACACTCTGTCTGTAAAGTCTGCAAGCAGATATTTGGACCTCTTTGAGGCCTTCGTTGGAAACGGGATTTCTTCATATAATGTTTGATAGGAGAAGTCTCAGTAACTTCTTTGTGCTGTGTGTATTCAACTCATAGAGTTGAACTTTCCTTTAGAAGAGCAGATGTTAAACACCCTTTTTGTGGAATTTGCAGCTGGAGATTTCAAGCGCTTTGAGGCCTACGGTAGAAAAGGAAACATCTTCTTATAAAATCTAGACAGAATCATTCACAGAAACTTCTTTTTGATGTGTGTGTTCAGCTCACAGAGTTTAACCTTTCTTTTGATGGAGCAGTTTGGAAACACTCTGTTTGTAATGTCTGCAAGTGGATATTTGGACCTCTTTGAGGCCTTCGTTGGAAACGGGATTTCTTTCAAGTAATGTTCGACAGAAGAATTCTCAGTAACTTCTTTGTGGTGTGTGTATTCAACTCACAGAGTTGAACCTTCCTTTAGACAGAGCAGATTTGAAACAGCCTATTTGTGCAGTTTCCAGTTGGAGATTTCAATCGCTTTGAGACCAAATGTAGAAAAGGAAACATCTTCGTATAAAAACTAGACAGAATCATTCTCAGAAACTACTTTGTGATGTGTGCGTTCAACTCAAGGAGTTTAAGCTTTCTTTTCATAGAGTAGTTTGGAAACACTCTGTCTGTAAAGTCTGCAAGCAGATATTTGGACCTCTTTGGGGCCTTCGTTGGAAACGGGATTTCTTCATAGAACGCTAGAAAGAAGAATACTAAGTTCTTTGTGTTGCCTCTATTCTACTCACAGAGGAGAATTGTCCTTTAGACAGAGCAGATGTGAAACCCTCTTTTTGGGATATTTGCAGGTGGAGATTTCAAGTGCTTTTAGGCCAAATGTAGAAAAGGAAATATCTTCGTATAAAAACTAGACAGAATCATTCTCAGAAACTACTTTGTGATGTGTGCGTTCAATTCACAGAGTATAACCTTTCTTTGATGGAGGAGTTTGGAGACACTGTCTTTGTAAAGTCTGCAAGTGGATATTTGGACCTCTTTGAGGCCTTCGTTGGAAACGGGATTTCCTCATATAATGTTACACAGATGAATTCTCAGTAACTTATTTGTGGTGTGTGTATTCAACTCACAGAGTTGAACCTTCCTTCAGAAAGAGCAGATTTGAAACACTCTTTTTGTGGAGTTTCCATGTGGAGATTTCAATCGCTTTGAGACCAAAGGTAGAAAAGGAAACATCTTCGTATAAAAACTAGACAGAATCATTCACAGAAACTACTTTGTGATGTGTGTGTTCAACTCAAGGAGTTTAACCTTTCTTTTGATGGAGCAGTTTGGATACACTCTGTCTGTAAAGTCTGCAAGCAGATATTTGGACCTCTTTGAGGCCTTCGTTGGAAACGGGATTTCTTCATATAATGTTTGATAGGAGAAGTCTCAGTAACTTCTTTGTGCTGTGTGTATTCAACGCATAGAGTTGAACTTTCCTTTAGAAGAGCAGATGTTAAACACCCTTTTTGTGGAATTTGCAGCTGGAGATTTCAAGCGCTTTGTGGCCTACGGTAGAAAAGGAAATATCTTCTTATAAAATCTAGACAGAATCATTCACAGAAACTTCTTTTTGATGTGTGTGTTCAGCTCACAGAGTTTAACCTTTCTTTTGATGGAGCAGTTTGGAAACACTCTGTTTGTAATGTCTGCAAGTGGATATTTGGACCTCTTTGAGGCCTTCGCTGGAAACGGGATTTCTTCCTGTAATGTTCGACAGAAGAATTCTCAGTAACTTATTTGTGGTGTGTGTATTCAACTCACAGAGTTGAACCTTCCTTTAGACAAAGCAGATTTGAAACACGCTATTTGTGCAGTTTCCAGTTGGAGATTTCAATCGCTTTGAGACCAAATGTAGAAAAGGAAACATCTTCGGTATAAAAACTAGACAGAATCATTCTCAGAAACTACTTTGTGATGTGTGCGTTCAACTCAAGGAGTTTAAGCTTTCTTTTCATAGAGTAGTTTGGAAACACTCTGTCTGTAAAGTCTGCAAGCAGATATTTGGACCTCTTTGGGGCCTTCGTTGGAAACGGGATTTCTTCATAGAACGCTAGAAAGAAGAATACTGAGTAAGTTCTTTGTGTTGCCTCTATTCAACTCACAGAGGTGAACTGTCCTTTAGACAGAGCAGATGTGAAACCCTCTTTTTGTGATATTTGCAGGTGGAGATTTCAAGCGCTTTTAGGCCAAATGTAGAAAAGGAAATATCTTCGTATAAAAACTAGACAGAATCATTCTCAGAAACTAGTTTGTGATGTGTGCGTTCAATTCACAGAGTATAACCTTTCTTTTGATGGAGGAGTTTGGAGACACTGTCTTTATAAAGTCTGCAAGTGGATATTTGGACCTCTTTGAGGCCTTCGTTGGAAACGGGATTTCCTCATATAATGTTACACAGAAGAATTCTCAGTAACTTATTTGTGGTGTGTGTATTCAACTCACAGAGATGAACCTTCCTTCAGAAAGAGCAGATTTGAAACCCTCTTTTTGTGGAGTTTCCATGTGGAGATTTCAATCGCTTTGAGACCAAAGGTAGAAAAGGAAACATCTTCGTATAAAAACTAGACAGAATCATTCACAGAAACTACTTTGTGATGTGTGTGTTCAACTCAAGGTGTTTAACCTTTCTTTTGATGGAGCAGTTTGAAAACACTCTGTCTGTAAAGTCTGCAAGCAGATATTTGGACCTCTTTGAGGCCTTCGTTGGAAACGGGATTTCTTCATATAATGTTTGATAGGAGAAGTCTCAGTAACTTCTTTGTGCTGTGTGTATTCAACTCATAGAGTTGAACTTTCCTTTAGAAGAGCAGATGTTAAACACCCTTTTTGTGGAATTTGCAGCTGGAGATTTCAAGCGCTTTGAGGCCTACGGTAGAAAAGGAAACATCTTCTTATAAAATTCTAGACAGAATCATTCACAGAAACTTCTTTTTGATGTGTGTGTTCAGCTCACAGAGTTTAACCTTTCTTTTGATGGAGCAGTTTGGAAACACTCTGTTTGTAACGTCTGCAAGTGGATATTTGGACCTCTTTGAGGCCTTCGTTGGAAACGGGATTTCTTCAAGTAATGTTCGACAGAAGAATTCTCAGTAACTTATTTGTGGTGTGTGTATTCAACTCACAGAGTTGAACCTTCCTTTAGACAGAGCAGATTTGAAACACCCTATTTGTGCAGTTTCCAGTTGGAGATTTCAATCGCTTTGAGACCAAATGTAGAAAAGGAAACATCTTCGTATAAAAACTAGACAGAATCATTCTCAGAAACTACTTTGTGATGTGTGCGTTCAACTCAAGGAGTTTAAGCTTTCTTTTCATAGAGTAGTTTGGAAACACTCTGTCTGTAAAGTCTGCAAGCAGATATTTGGACCTCATTGGGGCCTTCGTTGGAAACGGGATTTCTTCATAGAACGCTAGAAAGAAGAATACTGAGTAAGTTCTTTGTGTTGCCTCTATTCAACTCACAGAGGTGAACTGTCCTTTAGACAGAGCAGATGTGAAACCCTCTTTTTGTGATATTTGCAGGTGGAGATTTCAAGCGCTTTTAGGCCAAATGTAGAAAAGGAAATATCTTCGTATAAAAACTAGACAGAATCATTCTCAGAAACTACTTTGTGATGTGTGCGTTCAATTCACATAGTATAACCTTTCTTTTGATGGAGGAGTTTGGAGACACTGTCTTTGTAAAGTCTGCAAGTGGATATTTGGACCTCTTTGAGGCCTTCGTTGGAAACGGGATTTCCTCATATAATGTTACACAGAAGAATTCTCAGTAACTTATTTGTGGTGTGTGTATTCAGCTCACAGAGTTGAACCTTCCTTCAGAAAGAGCAGATTTGAAACACTCTTTTTGTGGGGTTTCCATGTGGAGATTTCAATCGCTTTGAGACCAAAGGTAGAAAAGGAAACATCTCCGTATAAAAACTAGACAGAATCATTCACAGAAACTACTTTGTGATGTGTGTGTTCAACTCAAGGAGTTTAACCTTTCTTTTGATGGAGCAGTTTGGAAACACTCTGTCTGTAAAGTCTGCAAGCAGATATTTGGACCTCTTTGAGGCCTTCGTTGGAAACGGGATTTCTTCATATAATGTTTGATAGGAGAAGTCTCAGTAACTTCTTTGTGCTGTGTGTATTCAACGCATAGAGTTGAACTTTCCTTTAGAAGAGCAGATGTTAAACACCCTTTTTGTGGAATTTGCAGCTGGAGATTTCAAGCGCTTTGAGGCCTACGGTAGAAAAGGAAACATCTTCTTATAAAATCTAGACAGAATCATTCACAGAAACTTCTTTTTGATGTGTGTGTTCAGCTCACAGAGTTTAACCTTTCTTTTGATGGAGCAGTTTGGAAACACCCTGTTTGTAATGTCTGCAAGTGGATATTTGGACCTCTTTGAGGCCTTCGTTGGAAACGGGATTTCTTCAAGTAATATTCGACAGAAGAATTCTCAGTAAGTTATTTGTGGTGTGTGTATTCAACTCACAGAGTTGAACCTTCCTTTAGACAGAGCAGATTTGAAACACCCTATTTGTGCAGTTTCCAGTTGGAGATTTCAATCGCTTGGAGGCCAATCATATAAACGGAAATATCTTCGTATAAAAACAAGACAGAATCATTCTCAGAAACTACTTTGTGATGTGTGCGTTCAACTCAAGGAGTTTAAGCTTTCTTTTCATAGAGTAGTTTGGAAACACTCTGTCTGTAAAGTCTGCAAGCAGATATTTGGACCTCTTTGGGGCCTTCGTTGGAAACGGGATTTCTTCATAGAACGCTAGAAAGAAGAATACTGAGTAAGTTCTTTGTGTTGCCTCTATTCAACTCACAGAGGTGAACTGTCCTTTAGACAGAGCAGATGTGAAACCCTCTTTTTGTGATATTTGCAGGTGGAGATTTCAAGCGCTTTTAGGCCAAATGTAGAAAAGGAAATATCTTCGTATAAAAACTAGACAGAATCATTCTCAGAAACTACTTTGTGATGTGTGCGTTCAATTCACAGAGTATAACCTTTCTTTTGATGGAGGAGTTTGGAGACACTGTCTTTGTAAAGTCTGCAAGTGGATATTTGGACCTCTTTGAGGCCTTCGTTGGAAACGGGATTTCCTCATATAATGTTACACAGAAGAATTCTCAGTAACTTATTTGTGGTGTGTGTATTCAACTCACAGAGTTGAACCTTCCTTCAGAAAGAGCAGATTTGAAACACTCTTTTTGTGGAGTTTCCATGTGGAGATTTCAATCGCTTTGAGACCAAAGGTAGAAAAGGAAACATCTTCGTATAAAAACTAGACAGAATCATTCACAGAAACTACTTTGTGATGTGTGTGTTCAACTCAAGGAGTTTAACCTTTCTTTTGATGGAGCAGTTTGGAAAAACTCTGTCTTTAAAGTCTGCAAGCAGATATTTGGACCTCTTTGAGGCCTTCGTTGGAAACGGGATTTCTTCATATAATGTTTGATAGGAGAAGTCTCAGTAACTTCTTTGTGCTGTGTGTATTCAACTCATTGAGTTGAACTTTCCTTTAGAAGAGCAGATGTTAAACACCCTTTTTGTGGAATTTGCAGCTGGAGATTTCAAGCGCTTTGAGGCCTACGGTAGAAAAGGAAACATCTTCTTATAAAATCTAGACAGAATCATTCACAGAAACTTCTTTTTGATGTGTGTGTTCAGCTCACAGAGTTTAACCTTTCTTTTGATGTAGCAGTTTGGAAACACTCTGTTTGTAATGTCTGCAAGTGGATATTTGGACCTCTTTGAGGCCTTCGTTGGAAACGGGATTTCTTCCTGTAATGTTCGACAGAAGAATTCTCAGTAACTTATTTGTGGTGTGTGTATTCAACTCACAGAGTTGAACCTTCCTTTAGACAGAGCAGATTTGAAACACCCTATTTGTGCAGTTTCCAGTTGGAGATTTCAATCGCTTTGAGACCAAATGTAGAAAAGGAAACATCTTCGTATAAAAACTAGACAGAATCATTCTCAGAAACTACTTTGTGATGTGTGCGTTCAACTCAAGGAGTTTAAGCTTTCTTTTCATAGAGTAGTTTGGAAACACTCTGTCTGTAAAGTGTGCAAGCAGATATTTGGACCTCTTTGAGGCCTTCGTTGGAAACGGGATTTCTTCATAGAACGCTAGAAAGAAGAATACTGAGTAAGTTCTTTGTGTTGCCTCTATTCAACTCACAGAGGTGAACTGTCCTTTAGACAGAGCAGATGTGAAACCCTCTTTTTGTGATATTTGCAGGTGGAGATTTCAAGCGCTTTTAGGCCAAATGTAGAAAAGGAAATATCTTCGTATGAAAACTAGACAGAATCATTCTCAGAAACTACTTTGTGATGTGTGCGTTCAATTCACAGAGTATAACCTTTCTTTTGATGGAGGAGTTTGGAGACACTGTCTTTGTAAAGTCTGCAAGTGGATATTTGGACCTCTTTGAGGCCTTCGTTGGAAACGGGATTTCCTCATATAATGTTACACAGAAGAATTCTCAGTAACTTATTTGTGGTGTGTGTATTCAACTCACAGAGTTGAACCTTCCTTCAGAAAGAGCAGATTTGAAACACTCTTTTTGTGGAGTTTCCATGTGGAGATT
Organism: Homo sapiens; assembly: GCF_000001405.40. Classification (NCBI taxonomy): domain Eukaryota; kingdom Metazoa; phylum Chordata; class Mammalia; order Primates; family Hominidae; genus Homo; species Homo sapiens. Next base: position 35,313,855 of record NC_000012.12, read on the forward strand.
TCAATCGCTTTGAGACCAAAGGTAGAAAAGGAAACATCTTCGTATAAAAACTAGACAGAATCATTCACAGAAACTACTTTGTGATGTGTGTGTTCAACTCAAGGAGTTTCACCTTTCTTTTGATGGAGCAGTTTGGAAACACTCTGTCTGTAAAGTCTGCAAGCAGATATTTGGACCTCTTTGAGGCCTTCGTTGGAAACGGGATTTCTTCATATAATGTTTGATAGGAGAAGTCTCAGTAACTTCTTTGTGCTGTGTGTATTCAACTCATAGAGTTGAACTTTCCTTTAGAAGAGCAGATGTTAAACACCCTTTTTGTGGAATTTGCAGCTGGAGATTTCAAGCGCTTTGAGGCCTACGGTAGAAAAGGAAACATCTTCTTATAAAATCTAGACAGAATCATTCACAGAAACTGCTTTTTGATGTGTGTGTTCAGCTCACAGAGTTTAACCTTTCTTTTGATGGAGCAGTTTGGAAACACTCTGTTTGTAATGTCTGCAAGTGGATATTTGGACCTCTTTGAGGCCTTCGTTGGAAACGGGATTTCTTCAAGTAATGGTCGACAGAAGAATTCTCAGTAACTTCTTTGTGGTGTGTGTATTCAACTCACAGAGTTGAACCTTCCTTTAGACAGAGCAGATTTGAAACAGCCTATTTGTGCAGTTTCCAGTTGGAGATTTCAATCGCTTTGAGACCAAATGTAGAAAAGGAAACATCTTCGTATAAAAACTAGACAGAATCATTCTCAGAAACTACTTTGTGATGTGTGCGTTCAACTCAAGGAGTTTAAGCTTTCTTTTCATAGAGTAGTTTGGAAACACTCTGTCTGTAAAGTCTGCAAGCAGATATTTGGACCTCTTTGGGGCCTTCGTTGGAAACGGGATTTCTTCATAGAACGCTAGAAAGAAGAATACTGAGTAAGTTCTTTGTGTTGCCTCTATTCAACTCACAGAGGTGAACTGTCCTTTAGACAGAGCAGATGTGAAACCCTCTTTTTGTGATATTTGCAGGTGGAGATTTCAAGCGCTTTTAGGCCAAATGTAGAAAAGGAAATATCTTCGTATAAAAACTAGACAGAATCATTCTCAGAAACTACTTTGTGATGTGTGCGTTCAATTCACAGAGTATAACCTTTCTTTTGATGGAGGAGTTTGGAGACACTGTCTTTGTAAAGTCTGCAAGTGGATATTTGGACCTCTTTGAGGCCTTCGTTGGAAACGGGATTTCCTCATATAATGTTACACAGAAGAATTCTCAGTAACTTATTTGTGGTGTGTGTATTCAACTCACAGAGTTGAACCTTCCTTCAGAAAGAGCAGATTTGAAACACTCTTTTTGTGGAGTTTCCATGTGGAGATTTCAATCGCATTGAGACCAAAGGTAGAAAAGGAAACATCTTCGTATAAAAACTAGACAGAATCATTCACAGAAACTACTTTGTGATGTGTGTGTTCAACTCAAGGAGTTTAACCTTTCTTTTGATGGAGCAGTTTGGAAAAACTCTGTCTGTAAAGTCTGCAAGCAGATATTTGGACCTCTTTGAGGCCTTCGTTGGAAACGGGATTTCTTCATATAATGTTTGATAGGAGAAGTCTCAGTAACTTCTTTGTCCTGTGTGTATTCAACGCATAGAGTTGAACTTTCCTTTAGAAGAGCAGATGTAAAACACCCTTTTTGTGGAATTTGCAGGTGGAGATTTCAAGCGCATTGAGGCCTACAGTAGAAAAGGAAACATCTTCTTACAAAATCTAGACAGAATCATTCACAGAAACTTCTTTTCGATGTGTGTGTTCAGCTCACAGAGTTTAACCTTTCTTTTGATGGAGCAGTTTGGAAACACTCTGTTTGTAATGTCTGCAAGTGGATATTTGGACCTCTTTGAGGCCTTCGTTGGAAACGGGATTTCTTCAAGTAATGGTCGACAGAAGAATTCTCAGTAACTTATTTGTGGTGTGTGTATTCAACTCACAGAGTTGAACCTTCCTTTAGACAGAGCAGATTTGAAACACCCTATTTGTGCAGTTTCCAGTTGGAGATTTCAATCGCTTTGAGACCAAATGTAGAAAAGGAAACATCTTCGTATAAAAACTAGACAGAATCATTCTCAGAAACTACTTTGTGATGTGTGCGTTCAACTCAAGGAGTTTAAGCTTTCTTTTCATAGAGTAGTTTGGAAACACTCTGTCTGTAAAGTCTGCAAGCAGATATTTGGACCTCTTTGGGGCCTTCGTTGGAAACCGGATTTCTTCATAGAACGCTAGAAAGAAGAATACTGAGTAAGTTCTTTGTGTTGCCTCTATTCAACTCACAGAGGTGAACTGTCCTTTAGACAGAGCAGATGTGAAACCCTCTTTTTGTGATATTTGCAGGTGGAGATTTCAAGCACTTTTAGGCCAAATGTAGAAAAGGAAATATCTTCGTATAAAAACTAGACAGAATCATTCTCAGAAACTACTTTGTGATGTGTGCGTTCAATTCACAGAGTATAACCTTTCTTTTGATGGAGGAGTTTGGAGACACTGTCTTTGTAAAGTCTGCAAGTGGATATTTGGACCTCTTTGAGGCCTTCGTTGGAAACGGGATTTCCTCATATAATGTTACACAGAAGAATTCTCAGTAACTTATTTGTGGTGTGTGTATTCAACTCACAGAGTTGAACCTTCCTTCAGAAAGAGCAGATTTGAAACACTCTTTTTGTGGAGTTTCCATGTGGAGATTTCAATCGCATTGAGACCAAAGGTAGAAAAGGAAACATCTTCGTATAAAAACTAGACAGAATCATTCACAGAAACTACTTTGTGATGTGTGTGTTCAACTCAAGGAGTTTAACCTTTCTTTTGATGGAGCAGTTTGGAAACACTCTGTCTGTAAAGTCTGCAAGTAGATATTTGGACCTCTTTGAGGCCTTCGTTGGAAACGGGATTTCTTCATATAATGTTTGATAGGAGAAGTCTCAGTAACTTCTTTGTGCTGTGTGTATTCAACTCATAGAGTTGAACTTTCCTTTAGAAGAGCAGATGTTAAACACCCTGTTTGTGGAATTTGCAGCTGGAGATTTCAAGCGCTTTGAGGCCTACGGTAGAAAAGGAAACATCTTCTTCTAAAATCTAGACAGAATCATTCACAGAAACTTCTTTTTGATGTGTGTGTTCAGCTCACAGAGTTTAACCTTTCTTTTGATGGAGCAGTTTGGAAACACTCTGTTTGTAATGTCTGCAAGTGGATATTTGGACCTCCTTTGAGGCCTTCGTTGGAAACGGGATTTCTTCAAGTAATGTTCGACAGAAGAATTCTCAGTAACTTATTTGTGGTGTGTGTATTCAACTCACAGAGTTGAACCTTCCTTTAGACAGAGCAGATTTGAAACAGCCTATTTGTGCAGTTTCCAGTTGGAGATTTCAAGAGCTTTGAGACCAAATGTAGAAAAGGAAACATCTTCGTATAAAAACTAGACAGAATCATTCTCAGAAACTACTTTGTGATGTGTGCGTTCAACTCAAGGAGTTTAAGCTTTCTTTTCATAGAGTAGTTTGGAAACACTCTGTCTGTAAAGTCTGCAAGCAGATATTTGACCTCTTTGAGGCCTTCGTTGGAAACGGGATTTCTTCATAGAACGCTAGAAAGAAGAATACTGAGTAAGTTCTTTGTGTTGCCTCTATTCAACTCACAGAGGTGAACTGTCCTTTAGACAGAGCAGATGTGAAACCCTCTTTTTGTGATATTTGCAGGTGGAGATTTCAAGCGCTTTTAGGCCAAATGTAGAAAAGGAAATATCTTCGTATAAAAACTAGACAGAATCATTCTCAGAAACTACTTTGTGATGTGTGCGTTCAATTCACAGAGTATAACCTTTCTTTTGATGGAGGAGTTTGGAGACACTGTCTTTGTAAAGTCTGCAAGTGGATATTTGGACCTCTTTGAGGCCTTCGTTGGAAACGGGATTTCCTCATATAATGTTACACAGAAGAATTCTCAGTAACTTATTTGTGGTGTGTGTATTCAACTCACAGAGTTGAACCTTCCTTCAGAAAGAGCAGATTTGAAACACTCTTTTTGTGGAGTTTCCATGTGGAGATTTCAATCGCTTTGAGACCAAAGGTAGAAAAGGAAACATCTTCGTATAAAAACTAGACAGAATCATTCACAGAAACTACTTTGTGATGTGTGTGTTCAACTCAAGGAGTTTAACCTTTCTTTTGATGGAGCAGTTTGGAAACACTCTGTCTGTAAAGTCTGCAAGCAGATATTTGGACCTCTTTGAGGCCTTCGTTGGAAACGGGATTTCTTCATTAATGTTTGATAGGAGAAGTCTCAGTAACTTCTTTGTGCTGTGTGTATTCAACTCATAGAGTTGAACTTTCCTTTAGAAGAGCAGATGTTAAACACCCTTTTTGTGGAATTTGCAGCTGGAGATTTCAAGCGCTTTGAGGCCTACGGTAGAAAAGGAAACATCTTCTTATAAAATCTAGACAGAATCATTCACAGAAACTTCTTTTTGATGTGTGTGTTCAGCTCACAGAGTTTAACCTTTCTTTTGATGGAGCAGTTTGGAAACACTCTGTTTGTAATGTCTGCAAGTGGATATTTGGAACTGTTTGAGGCCTTCGTTGGAAACGGGATTTCTTCAAGTAATGTTCGACAGAAGAATTCTCAGTAACTTCTTTGTGGTGTGTGTATTCAACTCACAGAGTTGAACCTTCCTTTAGACAGAGCAGATTTGAAACAGCCTATTTGTGCAGTTTCCAGTTGGAGATTTCAATCGCTTTGAGACCAAATGTAGAAAAGGAAACATCTTCGTATAAAAACTGGACAGAATCATTCTCAGAAACTACTTTGTGATGTGTGCGTTCAACTCAAGGAGTTTAAGCTTTCTTTTCATAGAGTAGTTTGGAAACACTCTGTCTGTAAAGTCTGCAAGCAGATATTTGGACCTCTTTGGGGCCTTCGTTGGAAACGGGATTTCTTCATAGAACGCTAGAAAGAAGAATACTGAGTACGTTCTTTGTGTTGCCTCTATTCAACTCACAGAGGTGAACTGTCCTTTAGACAGAGCAGATGTGAAACCCTCTTTTTGTGATATTTGCAGGTGGAGATTTCAAGCGCTTTTAGGCCAAATGTAGAAAAGGAAATATCTTCGTATAAAAACTAGACAGAATCATTCTCAGAAACTACTTTGTGATGTGTGCATTCAATTCACAGAGTATAACCTTTCTTTTGATGTAGGAGTTTGGAGACACTGTCTTTGTAAAGTCTGCACGTGGATATTTGGACCTCTTTGAGGCCTTCGTTGGAAACGGGATTTCCTCATATAATGTTACACAGAAGAATTCTCAGTAACTTATTTGTGGTGTGTGTATTCAACTCACAGAGTTGAACCTTCCTTCAGAAAGAGCAGATTTGAAACACTCTTTTTGTGGAGTTTCCATGTGGAGATTTCAATCGCTTTGAGACCAAAGGTAGAAAAGGAAACATCTTCGTATAAAAACTAGACAGAATCATTCACAGAAACTACTTTGTGATGTGTGTGTTCAACTCAAGGAGTTTAACCTTTCTTTTGATGGAGCAGTTTGGAAACACTCTGTCTGTAAAGTCTGCAAGCAGACATTTGGACCTCTTTGAGGCCTTCGTTGGAAACGGGATTTCTTCATATAATGTTTGATAGGAGAAGTCTCAGTAACTTCTTTGTGCTGTGTGTATTCAACTCATAGAGTTGAACTTTCCTTTAGAAGAGCAGATGTTAAACACCCTTTTTGTGGAATTTGCAGCTGGAGACTTCAAGCGCTTTGAGGCCTACGGTAGAAAAGGAAACATCTTCTTATAAAATCTAGACAGAATCATTCACAGAAACTTCTTTTTGATGTGTGTGTTCAGCTCACAGAGTTTAACCTTTCCTTTGATGGAGCAGTTTGGAAACACTCTGTTTGTAATGTCTGCAAGTGGATATTTAGACCTCTTTGAGGCCTTCGTTGGAAACGGTATTTCTTCATGTAATGTTCGACAGAAGAATTCTCAGTAATTTATTTGTGGTGTGTGTATTCAACTCACAGAGTTGAACCTTCCTTTAGACAGAGCAGATTTGAAACACCCTATTTGTGCAGTTTCCAGTTGGAGATTTCAATCGCTTTGAGGCCAATCGTAGAAACGGAAATATCTTCGTATAAAAACAAGACAGAATCATTCTCAGAAACTATTTTGTGATGTGTGCGTTCAACTCAAGGATTTTAAGCTTTCTTTTCATAGAGTAGTTTGGAAACACTATGTGTGTAAAGTCTGCAAGCAGATATTTGGACCTCTTTGAGGCCTTCGTTGGAAACGGGATTTCTTCATATAACGCTAGAAAGAAGAATACTCAGTAACTTCTTTGTGTTGCCTCTATTCAACTCACAGAGGTGAACTGTCCTTTAGACAGAGCAGATGTGAAACCCTCTTTTTGTGATATTTGCAGGTGGAGATTTCAAGCGCTTTTAGGCCAAATGTAGAAAAGGAAACATCTTCGTATAAAAATTAGACAGAATCATTCACAGAAACTACTTTGTGATGTGTGTGTTCAGCTCACAGAGTTTAACCTTTCTTTTGATGGTGCAGTTTGGAAACACTCCGATTGACAAGTCTGCAAGTGGATATTTGGACCTCTTTGAGGCCTTCGTTGGAAACGGGATTTCTTCATACAATGTTAGACAGAAGAAGTCTCAGTAACTTCTTTGTGCTGTGTGTATTCAACTCACAGAACTGAACTTTACTTTAGACAGAGTGGATGTTAAACACACTTTTTGTGGTATTTGCAGCTGGAGATTTCTAGCGCTTTGAGGCCTATGGTAGAAAAGGAAACATCTTCTTATAAAATCTAGACAGAATCATTCACAGAAACTTCTTTTTGATGTGTGTGTTCATCTCACAGAGTTTAACCTTTCTTTTGACGGAGCAGTTTGCAAACACTGTGTTTGCCATCTCGGCAAGTTGATATTTGGACCTCTTTGAGGCCTTCGTTGGAAACGGGATTTCTTCAGGTAATGTTCGGGAGAAGAATTCTCAGTAACTTATTTGTGGTGTGTGTATTCAACACACAGAGCTGAACCTTCCTTTAGACAGAGCAGATTTGAAACAGCCTATTTGTGCAGTTTCCAGTTGGAGATTTCAATCGCTTTGAGACCAAATGTAGAAAAGGAAACATCTTCGTATAAAAACTAGACAGAATCATTCTCAGAAACTACTTTGTGATGTGTGCGTTCAACTCAAGGAGTTTAAGCTTTCTTTTCATAGAGTAGTTTGGAAACACTCTGTCTGTAAAGTCTGCAAGCAGATATTTGACCTCTTTGAGGCCTTCGTTGGAAACGGGATTTCTTCATAGAACGCTAGAAAGAAGAATACTCAGTAAGTTCTTTGTGTTGCCTCTATTCAACTCACAGAGGTGAACTGTCCTTTAGACAGAGCAGATGTGAAACCCTCTTTTTGTGGTATTTGCAGGTGGAGATTTCAAGCGCTTTTAGGCCAAATGTAGAAAAGGAAATATCTTCGTATAAAAACTAGACAGAATCATTCTCAGAAACTACTTTGTGATGTGTGCGTTCAATTCACAGAGTATAACCTTTCTTTTGATGGAGGAGTTTGGAGACACTGTCTTTGTAAAGTCTGCAAGTGGATATTTGGACCTCTTTGAGGCCTTCGTTGGAAACGGGATTTCCTCATATAATGTTACACAGAAGAATTCTCAGTAACTTATTTGTGGTGTGTGTATTCAACTCACAGAGATGAACCTTCCTTCAGAAAGAGCAGATTTGAAACACTCTTTTTGTGGAGTTTCCATGTGGAGATTTCAATCGCTTTGAGACCAAAGGTAGAAAAGGAAACATCTTCGTATAACAACTAGACAGAATCATTCACAGAAACTACTTTGTGATGTGTGTGTTCAACTCAAGGAGTTTAACCTTTCTTTTGATGGAGCAGTTTGGAAACACTCTGTCTGTAAAGTCTGCAAGCAGATATTTGGACCTCTTTGAGGCCTTCGTTGGAAACGGGATTTCTTCATATAATGTTTGATAGGAGAAGTCTCAGTAACTTCTTTGTGCTGTGTGTATTCAACTCATAGGGTTGAACTTTCCTTTAGAAGAGCAGATGTTAAACACCCTTTTTGTGGAATTTGCAGCTGGAGATTTCAAGCGCTTTGAGGCCTACGGTAGAAAAGGAAACATCTTCTTATAAAATCTAGACAGAATCATTCACAGAAACTTCTTTTTGATGTGTGTGTTCAGCTCACAGAGTTTAACCTTTCTTTTGATGGAGCAGTTTGGAAACACTCTGTTTGTAATGTCTGCAAGTGGATATTTGGACCTCTTTGAGGCCTTCGTTGGAAACGGGATTTCTTCAAGTAATGTTCGGGAGAAGAATTCTCAGTAACTTATTTGTGGTGTGTGTATTCAACTCACAGAGTTGAACCTTCCTTTAGACAGAGCAAATTTGAAACACCCTATTTGTGCAGTTTCCAGTTGGAGATTTCAATCGCTTTGAGACCAAATGTAGAAAAGGAAACATCTTCGTATAAAAACTAGACAGAATCATTCTCAGAAACTCTTTGTGATGTGTGCGTTCAACTCAAGGAGTTTAAGCTTTCTTTTCATAGAGTAGTTTGGAAACACTCTGTCTGTAAAGTGTGCAAGCAGATATTTGGACCTCTTTGGGGCCTTCGTTGGAAACGGGATTTCTTCATAGAACGCTAGAAAGAAGAATACTGAGTACGTTCTTTGTGTTGCCTCTATTCAACTCACAGAGGTGAACTGTCCTTTAGACAGAGCAGATGTGAAACCCTCTTTTTGTGATATTTGCAGGTGGAGATTTCAAGCGCTTTTAGGCCAAATGTAGAAAAGGAAATATCTTCGTATAAAAACTAGACAGAATCATTCTCAGAAACTACTTTGTGATGTGTGCGTTCAATTCACAGAGTATAACCTTTCTTTTGATGGAGGAGTTTGGAGACACTGTCTTTGTAAAGTCTGCAAGTGGATATTTGGACCTCTTTGAGGCCTTCGTTGGAAACGGGATTTCCTCATATAATGTTACACAGAAGAATTCTCAGTAACTTATTTGTGGTGTGTGTATTCAACTCACAGAGTTGAACCTTCCTTCAGAAAGAGCAGATTTGAAACACTCTTTTTGTGGAGTTTCCATGTGGAGATTTCAATCGCTTTGAGACCAAAGGTAGAAAAGGAAACATCTTCGTATAAAAACTAGACAGAATCATTCACAGAAACTACTTTGTGATGTGTGTGTTCAACTCAAGGAGTTTAACCTTTCTTTTGATGGAGCAGTTTGGAAACATTCTGTCTGTAAAGTCTGCAAGCAGATATTTGGACCTCTTTGAGGCCTTCGTTGGAAACGGGATTTCTTCATATAATGTTTGATAGGAGAAGTCTCAGTAACTTCTTTGTGCTGTGTGTATTCAACTCATAGAGTTGAACTTTCCTTTAGAAGAGCAGATGTTAAACACCCTTTTTGTGGAATTTGCAGCTGGAGATTTCAAGCGCTTTGAGGCCTACGGTAGAAAAGGAAACATCTTCTTATAAAATCTAGACAGAATCATTCACAGAAACTTCTTTTTGATGTGTGTGTTCAGCTCACAGAGTTTAACCTTTCTTTTGATGGAGCAGTTGGGAAACACACTGTTTGTAATGTCTGCAAGTGGATATTTGGACCTCTTTGAGGCCTTCGTTGGAAACGGGATTTCTTCCTGTAATGTTCGACAGAAGAATTCTCAGTAACTTATTTGTGGTGTGTGTATTCAACTCACAGAGTTGAACCTTCCTTTAGACAGAGCAGATTTGAAACACCCTATTTGTGCAGTTTCCAGTTGGAGATTTCAATCGCTTTGAGACCAAATGTAGAAAAGGAAACATCTTCGTATAAAAACTAGACAGAATCATTCTCAGAAACTACTTTGTGATGTGTGCGTTCAACTCAAGGAGTTTAAGCTTTCTTTTCATAGAGTAGTTTGGAAACACTCTGTCTGTAAAGTCTGCAAGCAGATATTTGGACCTCTTTGAGGCCTTCGTTGGAAACGGGATTTCTTCATATAACGCTAGAAAGAAGAATACTGAGTAAGTTCTTTGTGTTGCCTCTATTCAACTCACAGAGGTGAACTGTCCTTTAGACAGAGCAGATGTGAAACCCTCTTTTTGTGATATTTGCAGGTGGAGATTTCAAGCACTTTTAGGCCAAATGTAGAAAAGGAAACATCTTCGTATAAAAACTAGACAGAATCATTCTCAGAAACTACTTTGTGATGTGTGCGTTCAACTCAAGGAGTTTAAGCTTTCTTTTCATAGAGTAGTTTGGAAACACTCTGTCTGTAAAGTCTGCAAGCAGATATTTGGACCTCATTGGGGTCTTCGTTGGAAACCGGATTTCTTCATAGAACGCTAGAAAGAAGAATACTGAGTAAGTTCTTTGTGTTGCCTCTATTCAACTCACAGAGGTGAACTGTCCTTTAGACAGAGCAGATGTGAAACCCTCTTTTTGTGATATTTGCAGTTGGAGATTTCAAGCGCTTTTAGGCCAAATGTAGAAAAGGAAATATCTTCGTATAAAAACTAGACAGAATCATTCTCAGAAACTACTTTGTGATGTGTGCGTTCAATTCACATAGTATAACCTTTCTTTTGATGGAGGAGTTTGGAGACACTGTCTTTGTAAAGTCTGCAAGTGGATATTTGGACCTCTTTGAGGCCTTCGTTGGAAACGGGATTTCCTCATATAATGTTACACAGAAGAATTCTCAGTAACTTATTTGTGGTGTGTGTATTCAACTCACAGAGTTGAACCTTCCTTCAGAAAGAGCAGATTTGAAACACTCTTTTTGTGGAGTTTCCATGTGGAGACTTCAATCGCTTTGAGACCAAAGGTAGAAAAGGAAACATCTTCGTATAAAAACTAGACAGAATCATTCACAGAAACTACTTTGTGATGTGTGTGTTCAACTCAAGGAGTTTAACCTTTCTTTTGATGGAGCAGTTTGGAAACACTCTGTCTGTAAAGTCTGCAAGCAGATATTTGGACCTCTTTGAGGCCTTCGTTGGAAACGGGATTTCTTCATATACTGTTTGATAGGAGAAGTCTCAGTAACTTCTTTGTGCTGTGTGTATTCAACTCATAGAGTTGAACTTTCCTTTAGAAGAGCAGATGTTAAACACCCTTTTTGTGGAATTTGCAGCTGGAGATTTCAAGCGCTTTGAGGCCTACGGTAGAAAAGGAAACATCTTCTTATAAAATCTAGACAGAATCATTCACAGAAACTTCTTTTCGATGTGTGTGTTCAGCTCACAGAGTTTAACCTTTCTTTTGATGGAGCAGTTTGGAAACACTCTGTTTGTAATGTCTGCAAGTGGATATTTGGACCTCTTTGAGGCCTTCGTTGGAAACGGGATTTCTTCAAGTAATGTTCGACAGAAGAATTCTCAGTAACTTATTTGTGGTGTGTGTATTCAACTCACAGAGTTGAACCTTCCTTTAGACAGAGCAGATTTGAAACACCCTATTTGTGCAGTTTCCAGTTGGAGATTTCAATCGCTTTGAGACCAAATGTAGAAAAGGAAACATCTTCGTATAAAAACTAGACAGAATCATTCTCAGAAACTACTTTGTGATGTGTGCGTTCAACTCAAGGAGTTTAACCTTTCTTTTCATAGAGTAGTTTGGAAACACTCTGTCTGTAAAGTCTGCAAGCAGATATTTGGACCTCTTTGAGGCCTTCGTTGGAAACGGGATTTCTTCATAGAACGCTATAAAGAAGAATACTGAGTAAGTTCTTTGTGTTGCCTCTATTCAACTCACAGAGGTGAACTGTCCTTTAGACAGAGCAGATGTGAAACCCTCTTTTTGTGATATTTGCAGGTGGAGATTTCAAGTGCTTTTAGGCCAAATGTAGAAAAGGAAATATCTTCGTATAAAAACTAGACAGAATCATTCTCAGAAACTACTTTGTGATGTGTGCGTTCAATTCACAGAGTATAACCTTTCTTTTGATGGAGGAGTTTGGAGACACTGTCTTTGTAAAGTCTGCAAGTGGATATTTGGACCTCTTTAAGGCCTTCGTTGGAAACGGGATTTCCTCATATAATGTTACACAGAAGAATTCTCAGTAACTTATTTGTGGTGTGTGTATTCAACTCACAGAGTTGAACCTTCCTTCAGAAAGAGCAGATTTGAAACACTCTTTTTGTGGAGTTTCCATGTGGAGATTTCAATCGCTTTGAGACCAAAGGTAGAAAAGGAAACATCTTCGTATAAAAACTAGACAGAATCATTCACAGAAACTACTTTGTGATGTGTGTGTTCAACTCAAGGAGTTTCACCTTTCTTTTGATGGAGCAGTTTGGAAACACTCTGTCTGTAAAGTCTGCAAGCAGATATTTGGACCTCTTTGAGGCCTTCGTTGGAAACGGGATTTCTTCATATAATGTTTGATAGGAGAAGTCTCAGTAACTTCTTCTGCTGTGTGTGTTCAACTCTATGAGTTGAACTTTCCTTTAGAAAAGCAGATGTTAAACACCCTTTTTGTGGAATTTGCAGCTGGAGATTTCAAGCGCTTTGAGGCCTACTGTAGAAAAGGAAACATCTTCTTATAAAATCTAGACAGAATCATTCACAGAAACTTCTTTTCGATGTGTGTGTTCAGCTCACAGAGTTTAACCTTTCTTTTGATGGAGCAGTTTGGAAACACTCTGTATGTAATGTCTGCAAGTGGATATTTGGACCTCTTTGAGGCCTTCGTTGGAAACGGGATTTCTTCAAGTAATGTTCGACAGAAGAATTCTCAGTAACTTCTTTGTGGTGTGTGTATTCAACTCACAGAGTTGAACCTTCCTTTAGACAGAGCAGATTTGAAACACCCTATTTGTGCAGTTTCCAGTTGGAGATTTCAATCGCTTTGAGACCAAATGTAGAAAAGGAAACATCTTCGTATAAAAACTAGACAGAATCATTCTCCGAAACTACTTTGTGATGTGTGCGTTCAACTCAAGGAGTTTAAGCTTTCTTTTCATAGAGTAGTTTGGAAACACTCTGTCTGTAAAGTCTGCAAGCAGATATTTGGACCTCTTTGGGGCCTTCGTTGGAAACGGGATTTCTTCATAGAACGCTAGAAAGAAGAATACTGAGTAAGTTCTTTGTGTTGCCTCTATTCAACTCACAGAGGTGAAATGTCCTTTAGGCAGAGCAGATGTGAAACCCTCTTTTTGTGATATTTGCAGGTGGAGATTTCAAGCGATTTTAGGCCAAATGTAGAAAAGGAAATATCTTCGTATAAAAACTAGACAGAATCATTCTCAGAAACTACTTTGTGACGTGTGTGTTCAATTCACAGAGTATAACCTTTCTTTTGATGGAGGAGTTTGGAGACACTGTCTTTGTAAAGTCTGCAAGTGGATATTTGGACCTCTTTGAGGCCTTCGTTGGAAACGGGATTTCCTCATATAATGTTACACAGAAGAATTCTCAGTAACTTATTTGTGGTGTGTGTATTCAACTCACAGAGATGAACCTTCCTTCAGAAAGAGCAGATTTGAAACACTCTTTTTGTGGAGTTTCCATGTGGAGATTTCAATCGCATTGAGACCAAAGGTAGAAAAGGAAACATCTTCGTATAAAAACTAGACAGAATCATTCACAGAAACTACTTTGTGATGTGTGTGTTCAACTCAAGGAGTTTAACCTTTCTTTTGATGGAGCAGTTTGGAAACACTCTGTCTGTAAAGTCTGCAAGCAGATATTTGGACCTCTTTGAGGCCTTCGTTGGAAACGGGATTTCTTAATATAATGTTTGATAGGAGAAGTCTCAGTAACTTCTTTGTGCTGTGTGTATTCAACTCATAGAGTTGAACTTTCCTTTAGAAGAGCAGATGTTAAACACCCTTTTTGTGGAATTTGCAGCTGGAGATTTCAAGCGCTTTGAGGCCTACGGTAGAAAAGGAAACATCTTCTTATAAAATCTAGACAGAATCATTCACAGAAACTTCTTTTTGATGTGTGTGTTCAGCTCACAGAGTTTAACCTTTCTTTTGATGGAGCAGTTGGGAAACACACTGTTTGTAATGTCTGCAAGTGGATATTTGGACCTCTTTGAGGCCTTCGTTGGAAACGGGATTTCTTCCTGTAATGTTCGACAGAAGAATTCTCAGTAACTTATTTGTGGTGTGTGTATTCAACTCACAGAGCTGAACCTTCCTTTAGACAGAGCAGATTTGAAACAGCCTATTTGTGCAGTTTCCAGTTGGAGATTTCAATCGCTTTGAGACCAAATGTAGAAAAGGAAAACATCTTCGTATAAAAACTAGACAGAATCATTCTCAGAAACTACTTTGTGATGTGTGCGTTCATCTCAAGGAGTTTAAGCTTTCTTTTCATAGAGTAGTTTGGAAACACTCTGTCTGTAAAGTCTGCAAGCAGATATTTGACCTCTTTGAGGCCTTCGTTGGAAACGGGATTTCTTCATAGAACGCTAGAAAGAAGAATACTGAGTAAGTTCTTTGTGTTGCCTCTATTCAACTCACAGAGGTGAACTGTCCTTTAGACAGAGCAGATTGTGAAACCCTCTTTTTATGATATTTGCAGGTGGAGATTTCAAGCGCTTTTAGGCCAAATGTAGAAAAGGAAATATCTTCGTATAAAAACTAGACAGAATCATTCTCAGAAACTACTTTGTGATGTGTGCGTTCAATTCACAGAGTATAACCTTTCTTTTGATGGAGGAGTTTGGAGACACTGTCTTTGTAAAGTCTGCAAGTGGATATTTGGACCTCTTTGAGGCCTTCGTTGGAAACGGGATTTCCTCATATAATGTTACACAGAAGAATTCTCAGTAACTTATTTGTGGTGTGTGTATTCAACTCACAGAGTTGAACCTTCCTTCAGAAAGAGCAGATTTGAAACACTCTTTTTGTGGAGTTTCCATGTGGAGATTTCAATCGCTTTGAGACCAAAGGTAGAAAAGGAAACATCTTCGTATAAAAACTAGACAGAATCATTCACAGAAACTACTTTGTGATGTGTGTGTTCAACTCAAGGAGTTTAACCTTTCTTTTGATGGAGCAGTTTGGAAACACTCTGTCTGTAAAGTCTGCAAGCAGATATTTGGACCTCTTTGAGGCCTTCGTTGGAAACGGGATTTCTTCATATAATGTTTGATAGGAGAAGTCTCAGTAACTTCTTTGTGCTGTGTGTATTCAACTCATAGAGTTGAACTTTCCTTTAGAAGAGCAGATGTTAAACACCCTTTTTGTGGAATTTGCAGCTGGAGATTTCAAGCGCTTTGAGGCCTACGGTAGAAAAGGAAACATCTTCTTATAAAATCTAGACAGAATCATTCACAGAAACTTCTTTTTGATGTGTGTGTTCAGCTCACAGAGTTTAACCTTTCTTTTGATGGAGCAGTTGGGAAACACACTGTTTGTAATGTCTGCAAGTGGATATTTGGACCTCTTTGAGGCCTTCGTTGGAAACGGGATTTCTTCCTGTAATGTTCGACAGAAGAATTCTCAGTAACTTATTTGTGGTGTGTGTATTCAACTCACAGAGCTGAACCTTCCTTTAGACAGAGCAGATTTGAAACAGCCTATTTGTGCAGTTTCCAGTTGGAGATTTCAATCGCTTTGAGACCAAATGTAGAAAAGGAAACATCTTCGTATAAAAACTAGACAGAATCATTCTCAGAAACTACTTTGTGATGTGTGCGTTCAACTCAAGGAGTTTAAGCTTTCTTTTCATAGAGTAGTTTGGAAACACTCTGTCTGTAAAGTCTGCAAGCAGATATTTGACCTCTTTGAGGCCTTCGTTGGAAACGGGATTTCTTCACAGAACGCTAGAAAGAAGAATACTGAGTAAGTTCTTTGTGTTGCCTCTATTCAACTCACAGAGGTGAACTGTCCTTTAGACAGAGCAGATGTGAAACCCTCTTTTTGTGATATTTGCAGGTGGAGATTTCAAGCGCTTTTAGGCCAAATGTAGAAAAGGAAATATCTTCGTATAAAAACTAGACAGAATCATTCTCAGAAACTACTTTGTGATGTGTGCGTTCAATTCACAGAGTATAACCTTTCTTTTGATGGAGGAGTTTGGAGACACTGTCTTTGTAAAGTCTGCAAGTGGATATTTGGACCTCTTTGAGGCCTTCGTTGGAAACGGGATTTCCTCATATAATGTTACACAGAAGAATTCTCAGTAACTTATTTGTGGTGTGTGTATTCAACTCACAGAGCATGAACCTTCCTTCAGAAAGAGCAGATTTGAAACACTCTTTTTGTGGAGTCTCCATGTGGAGATTTCAATCGCTTTGAGACCAAAGGTAGAAAAGGAAACATCTTCGTATAACAACTAGACAGAATCATTCACAGAAACTACTTTGTGATGTGTGTGTTCAACTCAAGGAGTTTAACCTTTCTTTTGATGGAGCAGTTTGGAAACACTCTGTCTGTAAAGTCTGCAAGCAGATATTTGGACCTCTTTGAGGCCTTCGTTGGAAACGGGATTTCTTCATATAATGTTTGATAGGAGAAGTCTCAGTAACTTCTTTGTGCTGTGTGTATTCAACTCATAGAGTTGAACTTTCCTTTAGAAGAGCAGATGTTAAACACCCTTTTTGTGGAATTTGCAGCTGGAGATTTCAAGCGCTTTGAGGCCTACGGTAGAAAAGGAAACATCTTCTTATAAAATCTAGACAGAATCATTCACAGAAACTTCTTTTTGATGTGTGTGTTCAGCTCACAGAGTTTAACCTTTCTTTTGATGGAGCAGTTTGGAAACACTCTGTTTATAATGTCTGCAAGTGGATATTTGGACCTCTTTGAGGCCTTCGTTGGAAACGGGATTTCTTCAAGTAATGTTCGACAGAAGAATTCTCAGTAACTTATTTGTGGTGTGTGTATTCAACTCACAGAGTTGAACCTTCCTTTAGACAGAGCAGATTTGAAACACCCTATTTGTGCAGTTTCCAGTTGGAGATTTCAATCGCTTTGAGACCAAATGTAGAAAAGGAAACATCTTCGTATAAAAACTAGACAGAATCATTCTCAGAAACTACTTTGTGATGTGTGCGTTCAACTCAAGGAGTTTAAGCTTTCTTTTCATAGAGTAGTTTGGAAACACTCTGTCTGTAAAGTCTGCAAGCAGATATTTGGACCTCTTTGAGGCCTTCGTTGGAAACGGGATTTCTTCATATAACGCTAGAAAGAAGAATACTGAGTAAGTTCTTTGTGTTGCCTCTATTCAACTCACAGAGGTGAACTGTCCTTTAGACAGAGCAGATGTGAAACCCTCTTTTTGTGATATTTGCAGGTGGAGATTTCAAGCACTTTTAGGCCAAATGTAGAAAAGGAAATATCTTCGTATAAAAACCAGACAGAATCATTCTCAGAAACTACTTTGTGATGTGTGCGTTCAATTCACAGAGTATAACCTTTCATTTTATGGAGGAGCTTGGAGACACTGTCTTTGTAAAGTCTGCAAGTGGATATTTGGACCTCTTTGAGGCCTTCGTTGGAAACGGGATTTCCTCATATAATGTTACACAGAAGAATTCTCAGTAACTTAATTGTGGTGTGTGTATTCAACTCACAGAGTTGAACCTTCCTTCAGAAAGAGCAGATTTGAAACACTCTTTTTGTGGAGTTTCCATGTGGAGATTTCAATCGCATTGAGACCAAAGGTAGAAAAGGAAACATCTTCGTATAAAAACTAGACAGAATCATTCACAGAAACTACTTTGTGATGTGTGTGTTCAACTCAGGGAGTTTAACCTTTCTTTTGATGGAGCAGTTTGGAAACACTCTGTCTGTAAAGTCTGCAAGCAGATATTTGGACCTCTTTGAGGCCTTCGTTGCAAACGGGATTTCTTCATATAATGTTTGATAGGAGAAGTCTCAGTAACTTCTTTGTGCTGTGTGTATTCAACTCATAGAGTTGAACTTTCCTTTAGAAGAGCAGATGTTAAACACCCTTTTTGTGGAATTTGCAGCTGGAGATTTCAAGCGCTTTGAGGCCTACGGTAGAAAAGGAAACATCTTCTTATAAAATCTAGACAGAATCATTCACAGAAACTTCTTTTTGATGTGTGTGTTCAGCTCACAGAGTTTAACCTTTCTTTTGATGGAGCAGTTGGGAAACACACTGTTTGTAATGTCTGCAAGTGGATATTTGGACCTCTTTGAGGCCTTCGTTGGAAACGGGATTTCTTCCTGTAATGTTCGACAGAAGAATTCTCAGTAACTTATTTGTGGTGTGTGTATTCAACTCACAGAGTTGAACCTTCCTTTAGACAGAGCAGATTTGAAACACCCTATTTGTGCAGTTTCCAGTTGGAGATTTCAATCGCTTTGAGACCAAATGTAGAAAAGGAAACATCTTCGTATAAAAACTAGACAGAATCATTCTCAGAAACTACTTTGTGATGTGTGCGTTCAACTCAAGGAGTTTAAGCTTTCTTTTCATAGAGTAGTTTGGAAACACTCTGTCTGTAAAGTCTGCAAGCAGATATTTGGTCCTCTTTGAGTCCTTCGTTGGAAACGGGATTTCTTCATAGAACGCTAGAAAGAAGAATACTGAGTAAGTTCTTTGTGTTGCCTCTATTCAACTCACAGAGGTGAACTGTCCTTTAGACAGAGCAGATGTGAAACCCTCTTTTTGTGATATTTGCACGTGGAGATTTCAAGCGCTTTTAGGCCAAATGTAGAAAAGGAAATATCTTCGTATAAAAACTAGACAGAATCATTCTCAGAAACTACTTTGTGATGTGTGCGTTCAATTCACAGAGTATAACCTTTCTTTTGATGGAGGAGTTTGGAGACACTGTCTCTGTAAAGTCTGCAAGTGGATATTTGGACCTCTTTGAGGCCTTCGTTGGAAACGGGATTTCCTCATATAATGTTACACAGAAGAATTCTCAGTAACTTATTTGTGTTGTGTGTATTCAACTCACAGAGTTGAACCTTCCTTCAGAAAGAGCAGATTTGAATCACTCTTTTTGTGGAGTTTCCATGTGGAGATTTCAATCGCTTTGAGACCAAAGGTAGAAAAGGAAACATCTTCGTATAAAAACTGGACAGAATCATTTACAGAAACTACTTTGTGATGTGTGTGTTCAACTCAAGGAGTTTAACCTTTCTTTTGATGGAGCAGTTTGGAAACACTCTGTCTGTAAAGTCTGCAAGTAGATATTTGGACCTCTTTGAGGCCTTCGTTGGAAACGGGATTTCTTCATATAATGTTTGATAGGAGAAGTCTCAGTAACTTCTTTGTGCTGTGTGTATTCAACTCATAGAGTTGAACTTTCCTTTAGAAGAGCAGATGTTAAACACCCTTTTTGTGGAATTTGCAGCTGGAGATTTCAAGCGCTTTGAGGCCTACGGTAGAAAAGGACACATCTTATAAAATCTAGACAGAATCATTCACAGAATCTTCTTTTTGATGTGTGTGTTCAGCTCACAGAGTTTAACCTTTCTTTTGATGGAGCAGTTTGGAAACACTCTGTTTGTAATGTCTGCAAGTGGATATTTGGAGCTCTTTGAGGCCTTCGTTGGAAACGGGATTTCTTCAAGTAATTTTCGACAGAAGAATTCTCAGTAACTTATTTGTGGTGTGTGTATTCAACTCACAGAGTTGAACCTTCCTTTAGACAGAGCAGATTTGAAACACCCTATTTGTGCAGTTTCCAGTTGGAGATTTCAATCGCTTTGAGACCAAATGTAGAAAAGGAAATATCTTCGTATAAAAACTAGACAGAATCATTCTCAGAAACTACTTTGTGATGTGTGCGTTCAACTCAAGGAGTTTAAGCTTTCTTTTCATAGAGTAGTTTGGAAACACTCTGTCTGTAAAGTCTGCAAGCAGATATTTGGACCTCTTTGAGGCCTTCGTTGGAAACGGGATTTCTTCAAGTAATGTTCGACAGAAGAATTCTCAGTAACTTATTTGTGGTGTGTGTATTCAACTCACAGAGTTGAACCTTCTTTAGACAGAGCAGATTTGATACACCCTATTTGTGCAGTTTCCAGTTGCAGATTTCAATCGCTTTGAGACCAAATGTGGAAAAGGAAACATCTTCGTATAAAAACTAGACAGAATCATTCTCAGAAACTATTTTGTGATGTGTGCGTTCAACTCAAGGAGTTTAAGCTTTCTTTTCGTAGAGTAGTTTGGAAACACTCTGTCTGTAAACTCTGCAAGCAGATATTTGGACCTCTTTGAGGCCTTCGTTGGAAACGGGATTTCTTCATATAACACTAGAAAGAAGAATACTGAGTAAGTTCTTTGTGTTGCCTCAATTCAACTCACAGAGGTGAACTGTCCTTCAGACAGAACAGATGTGAAACCCTATTTTTGTGATATTTGCAGGTGGAGATTTCAAGCACTTTTAGGCCAAATGTAGAAAAGGAAATATCTTCGCATAAAAACCACACAGAATCATTCTCAGAAACTACTTTGTGATGTGTGCGTTCAAATCACAGAGTATAACCTTTCTTTTGATGGAGGAGTTTGGAGACACTGTCTTTGTAAAGACTGCAAGTGGATATTTGGACGTCTTTGAGGCCTTCGTTGGAAACGGGATTTCCTCATATAATGTTACACAGAAGAATTCTCAGTAACTTATTTGTGGTGTGTGTATTCAACTCACAGAGTTGAACCTTCCTTCAGAAAGAGCAGATTTGAAACACCCTATGTGTGCAGTTTCTAGTTGGAGATTTCAATGGCTTTGAGACCAAAGGTAGAAAAGGAAACATCATCGTATAAAAACTAGACAGAATCATTCTCAGAAACTATTTTGTGATGTGTGCGTTCAACTCAAGGAGTTTAAGCTTTCTTTTCATAGAGTAGTTTGGAAACACTCTGTCTGTAAAGTCTGCAAGCAGATATTTGGACCTCTTTGAGGCCTTCGTTGGAAACGGGATTTCTTCATATAACGCTAGAAAGAAGAATACTGAGTAAGTTCTTTGTGTTGCCTCTATTCAACTCACAGAGGTGAACTGTCCTTTAGACAGAGCAGATGTGAAACCCTCTTTTTGTGATATTTGCAGGTGGAGATTTCAAGCACTTTTAGGCCAAATGTAGAAAATGAAATATCTTCGTATGAAAACCAGACGGAATCATTCTCAGAAACTACTTTGTGATGTGTGCGTTCAATTCACAGAGTATAACCTTTCTTTTGATGGAGGAGTTTGGAGACACTGTCTTTGTAAAGTCTGCAAGTGGATATTTGGACCTCTTTGAGGCCTTCGTTGGAAACGGGATTTCCTCATATAATGTTACACAGAAGAATTCTCAGTAACTTATTTGTGGTGTGTGTATTCAACTCACAGAGTTGAACCTTCCTTCAGAAAGAGCAGATTTGAAACACTCTTTTTGTGGAGTTTCCATGTGGAGATTTCAATCGCTTTGAGACCAAAGGTAGAAAAGGAAACATCTTCTTATAAAAACTAGACAGAATCATTCACAGAAACTACTTTGTGATGTGTGTGTTCAACTCAAGGAGTTTAACCTTTCTTTTGATGGAGCAGTTTGGAAAAACTCTGTCTGTAAAGTCTGCAAGCAGATATTTGGACCTCTTTGAGGCCTTCGTTGGAAACGGGATTTCTTCATATAATGTTTGATAGGAGAAGTCTCAGTAACTTCTTTGTGCTGTGTGTATTCAACTCATAGAGTTGAACTTTCCTTTAGAAGAGCAGATGTTAAACACCCTTTTTGTGGAATTTGCAGCTGGAGATTTCAAGCGCTTTGAGGCCTACGGTAGAAAAGGAAACATCTTCTTATAAAATCTAGACAGAATCATTCACAGAAACTTCTTTTTGATGTGTGTGTTCAGCTCACAGAGTTTAACCTTTCTTTTGATGGAGCAGTTTGGAAACACACTGTTTGTAATGTCTGCAAGTGGATATTTGGACCTCTTTGAGGCCTTCGTTGGAAACGGGATTTCTTCCTGTAATGTTCGACAGAAGAATTCTCAGTAACTTATTTGTGGTGTGTGTATTCAACTCACAGAGCTGACCCTTCCTTTAGACAGAGCAGATTTGAAACAGCCTATTTGTGCAGTTTCCAGTTGGAGATTTCAAGAGCTTTGAGACCAAATGTAGAAAAGGAAACATCTTCGTATAAAAACTAGACAGAATCATTCTCAGAAACTACTCTGTGATGTGTGCGTTCAACTCAAGGAGTTTAATCTTTCTTTTCATAGAGTAGTTTGGAAACACTCTGTCTGTAAAGTCTGCAAGCAGATATTTGGACCTCTTTGGGGACTTCGTTGGAAACGGGATTTCTTCATAGAACGCTAGAAAGAAGAATACTGAGTAAGTTCTTTGTGTTGCCTCTACTCAACTCACAGAGGTGAACTGTCCTTTAGACAGAGCAGATGTGAAACCCTCTTTTTGTGATATTTGCAGGTGGAGATTTCAAGCGCTTTTAGGCCAAATGTAGAAAAGGAAATATCTTCGTATAAAAACTAGACAGAATCATTCTCAGAAACTACTTTGTGATGTGTGCGTTCAATTCACAGAGTATAACCTTTCTTTTGATGGAGGAGTTTGGAGACACTGTCTTTGTAAAGTCTGCAAGTGGATATTTGGACCTCTTTGAGGCCTTCGTTGGAAACGGGATTTCCTCATATAATGTTACACAGAAGAATTCTCAGTAACTTATTTGTGGTGTGTGTATTCAACTCACAGAGTTGAACCTTCCTTCAGAAAGAGCAGATTTGAAACACTCTTTTTGTGGAGTTTCCATGTGGAGATTTCAATCGCTTTGAGACCAAAGGTAGAAAAGGAAACATCTTCGTATAGAAACTAGACAGAATCATTCACAGAAACTACTTTGTGATGTGTGTGTTCAACTCAAGGAGTTTAACCTTTCTTTTGATGGAGCAGTTTGGAAAAACTCTGTCTGTAAAGTCTGCAAGCAGATATTTGGACCTCTTTGAGGCCTTCGTTGGAAACGGGATTTCTTCATAGAATGCTAGAAAGAAGAATACTGAGTAAGTTCTTTGTGTTGCCTCTATTCAACTCACAGAGGTGAACTGTCCTTTAGACAGAGCAGATGTGAAACCCTCTTTTTGTGATATTTGCAGGTGGAGATTTCAAGCACTTTTAGGCCAAATGTAGAAAAGGAAATATCTTCGTATAAAAACTAGACAGAATCATTCTCAGAAACTACTTTGTGATGTGTGCGTTCAATTCACAGAGTATAACCTTTCTTTTGATGGAGGAGTTTGGAGACACTGTCTTTGTAAAGTCTGCAAGTGGATATTTGGACCTCTTTGAGGCCTTCGTTGGAAACGGGATTTCCTCATATAATGTTACACAGAAGAATTCTCAGTAACTTATTTGTGGTGTGTGTATTCAACTCACAGAGTTGAACCTTCCTTCAGAAAGAGCAGATTTGAAACACTCTTTTTGTGGAGTTTCCATGTGGAGATTTCAATCGCTTAGAGACCAAAGGTAGAAAAGGAAACATCTTCGTATAAAAACTAGACAGAATCATTCACAGAAACTACTTTGTGATGTGTGTGTTCAACTCAAGGAGGTTAACCTTTCTTTTGATAGAGCAGTTTGGAAACACTCTGTCTGTAAAGTCGGCAAGCAGATATTTGGACCTCTTTGAGGCCTTCGTTGGAAACGGGATTTCTTCATATAATGTTTGATAGGAGAAGTCTCAGTAACTTCTTTGTGCTGTGTGTATTCAACTCATAGAGTTGAACTTTTCTTTAGAAGAGCAGATGTTAAACACCCTTTTTGTGGAATTTGCAGCTGGAGATTTCAAGCGCTTTGAGGCCTACGGTAGAAAAGGAAACATCTTCTTATAAAATCTAGACAGAATCATTCACAGAAACTTCTTTTTGATGTGTGTGTTCAGCTCACAGAGTTTAAACTTTCTTTTGATTGAGCAGTTTGGAAACACTCTGTTTGTAATGTCTGCAAGTGGATATTTGGACCTCTTTGAGGCCTTCGTTGGAAACGGGATTTCTTCATGTAATGTTCGACACAAGAATTCTCAGTAACTTATTTGTGGTGTGTGTATTCAACTCACAGAGTTGAACCTTCCTTTAGACAGAGCAGATTTGAAACACCCTATTTGTGCAGTTTCCAGTTGGAGATTTCAATCGCTTTGAGACCAAATGTAGAAAAGGAAACATCTTCGTATAAAAACTAGACAGAATCATTCTCAGAAACTACTTTGTGATGTGTGCGTTTAACTCAAGGAGTTTAAGCTTTCTTTTCATAGAGTAGTTTGGAAACACTCTGTCTGTAAAGTCTGCAAGCAGATATTTGGACCTCTTTGAGGCCTTCGTTGGAAACGGGATTTCTTCATAGAACGCTAGAAAGAAGAATACTGAGTAAGTTCTTTGTGTTGCCTCTATTCAACTCACAGAGGTGAACTGTCCTTTAGACAGAGCAGATGTGAAACCCTCTTTTTGTGATATTTGCAGGTGGAGATTTCAAGCGCTTTTAGGCCAAATGTAGAAAAGGAAATATCTTCGTATAAAAACTAGACAGAATCATTCTCAGAAACTACTTTGTGATGTGTGCGTTCAATTCACAGAGTAGAACCTTTCTTTTGATGGAGGAGTTTGGAGACACTGTCTTTGTAAAGTCTGCAAGTGGATATTTGGACCTCTTTGAGGCCTTCGTTGGAAACGGGATTTCCTCATATAATGTTACACAGAAGAATTCTCAGTAACTTATTTGTGGTGTGTGTATTCAACTCACAGAGTTGAACCTTCCTTCAGAAAGAGCAGATTTGAAACACTCTTTTTTGTGGAGTTTCCATGTGGAGATTTCAATCGCTTTGAGACCAAAGGTAGAAAAGGAAACATCTTCGTATAAAAACTAGACAGAATCATTCACAGAAACTACTTTGTGATGTGTGTGTTCAACTCAAGGAGGTTAACCTTTCTTTTGATGGAGCAGTTTGGAAACACTCTGTCTGTAAAGTCTGCAAGCAGATATTTGGACCTCTTTGAGGCCTTCGTTGGAAACGGGATTTCTTCATATAATGTTTGATAGGAGAAGTCTCAGTAACTTCTTTGTGCTGTGTGTATTCAACTCATAGAGTTGAACTTTCCTTTAGAAGAGCAGATGTTAAACACCCTTTTTGTGGAATTTGCAGCTGGAGATTTCAAGCGCTTTGAGGCCTACGGTAGAAAAGGAAACATCTTCTTATAAAATCTAGACAGAATCATTCACAGAAACTTCTTTTCGATATGTGTGTTCAGCTCACAGAGTTTAACCTTTCTTTTGATGGAGCAGTTTGGAAACACTCTGTAATGCCTGCAAGTGGATATTTGGACCTCTTTGAGGCCTTCGTTGGAAACGGGATTTCTTCATGTAATGTTCGACAGAAGAATTCTCAGTAACTTATTTGTGGTGTGTGTATTCAACTCACAGAGTTGAACGTTCCTTTAGACAGAGCAGATTTGAAACAACCTATTTGTGCAGTTTGCACTTGGAGATTTCAATCGCTTTGAGACCAAATGTAGAAAAGGAAACATCTTCGTATAAAAACTAGACACAATCATTCTCAGAAACTACTTTGTGATGTGTGCGTTTAACTCAAGGAGTTTAAGCTTTCTTTTCATAGAGTAGTTTGGAAACACTCTGTCTGTAAAGTCTGCAAGCAGATATTTGGACCTCTTTGAGGCCTTCGTTGGAAACGGGATTTCTTCATAGAACGCTAGAAAGAAGAATACTGAGTAAGTTCTTTGTGTTGCCTCTATTCAACTCACAGAGGTGAACTGTCCTTTAGACAGAGCAGATGTGAAACCCTCTTTTTGTGATATTTGCAGGTGGAGATTTCAAGCGCTTTTAGGCCAAATGTAGAAAAGGAAATATCTTCGTATAAAAACTAGACAGAATCATTCTCAGAAACTACTTTGTGATGTGTGTGTTCAATTCACAGAGTAGAACCTTTCTTTTGATGGAGGAGTTTGGAGACACTGTCTTTGTAAAGTCTGCAAGTGGATATTTGGACCTCTTTGAGGCCTTCGTTGGAAACGGGATTTCCTCATATAATGTTACACAGAAGAATTCTCAGTAACTTATTTGTGGTGTGTGTATTCAACTCACAGAGTTGAACCTTCCTTCAGAAAGAGCAGATTTGAAACACTCTTTTTTGTGGAGTTTCCATGTGGAGATTTCAATCGCTTTGAGACCAAAGGTAGAAAAGGAAACATCTTCGTATAAAAACTAGACAGAATCATTCACAGAAACTACTTTGTGATGTGTGTGTTCAACTCAAGGAGGTTAACCTTTCTTTTGATGGAGCAGTTTGGAAACACTCTGTCTGTAAAGTCTGCAAGCAGATATTTGGACCTCTTTGAGGCCTTCGTTGGAAACGGGATTTCTTCATATAATGTTTGATAGGAGAAGTCTCAGTAACTTCTTTGTGCTGTGTGTATTCAACTCATAGAGTTGAACTTTCCTTTAGAAGAGCAGATGTTAAACACCCTTTTTGTGGAATTTGCAGCTGGAGATTTCAAGCGCTTTGAGGCCTACGGTAGAAAAGGAAACATCTTCTTATAAAATCTAGACAGAATCATTAACAGAAACTTCTTTTTGATGTGTGTGTTCAGCTCACAGAGTTTAACCTTTCTTTTGATGGAGCAGTTTGGAAACACTCTGTTTGTAATGTCTGCAAGTGGATATTTGGACCTCTTTGAGGCCTTCGTTGGAAACGGGATTTCTTCAAGTAATGTTCGACAGAAGAATTCTCAGTAACTTATTTGTGGTGTGTGTATTCAACTCACAGAGCTGAACCTTCCTTTAGACAGAGCAGATTTGAAACAGCCTATTTGTGCAGTTTCCAGTTGGAGATTTCAATCGCTTTGAGACCAAATGTAGAAAAGGAAACATCTTCGTATAAAAACTAGACAGAATCATTCTCAGAAACTACTTTGTGATGTGTGCGTTCATCTCAAGGAGTTTAAGCTTTCTTTTCATAGAGTAGTTTGGAAACACTCTGTCTGTAAAGTCTGCAAGCAGATATTTGACCTCTTTGAGGCCTTCGTTGGAAACGGGATTTCTTCATAGAACGCTAGAAAGAAGAATACTGAGTAAGTTCTTTGTGTTGCCTCTATTCAACTCACAGAGGTGAACTGTCCTTTAGACAGAGCAGATGTGAAACCCTCTTTTTGTGATATTTGCAGGTGGAGATTTCAAGCGCTTTTAGGCCAAATGTAGAAAAGGAAATATCTTCGTATAAAAACTAGACAGAATCATTCTCAGAAACTACTTTGTGATGTGTGCGTTCAATTCACAGAGTATAACCTTTCTTTTGATGGAGGAGTTTGGAGACACTGTCTTTGTAAAGTCTGCAAGTGGATATTTGGACCTCTTTGAGGCCTTCGTTGGAAACGGGATTTCCTCATATAATGTTACACAGAAGAATTCTCAGTAACTTATTTGTGGTGTGTGTATTCAACTCACAGAGTTGAACCTTCCTTCAGAAAGAGCAGATTTGAAACACTCTTTTTGTGGAGTTTCCATGTGGAGATTTCAATCGCTTTGAGACCAAAGGCAGAAAAGGAAACATCTTCGTATAAAAACTAGACAGAATCATTCACAGAAACTACTTTGTGATGTGTGTGTTCAACTCAAGGAGTTTAACCTTTCTTTTGATGGAGCAGTTTGGAAACACTCTGTCTGTAAAGTCGGCAAGCAGATATTTGGACCTCTTTGAGGCCTTCGTTGGAAACGGGATTTCTTCATATAATGTTTGATAGGAGAAGTCTCAGTAACTTCTTTGTGCTGTGTGTATTCAACTCGTAGAGTTGAACTTTCCTTTAGAAGGGCAGATGTTAAACACCATTTTTGTGGAATTTGCAGCTGGAGATTTCAAGCGCTTTGAGGCCTACGGTAGAAAAGGAAACATCTTCTTATAAAATCTAGACAGAATCATTCACAGAAACTTCTTTTTGATGTGTGTGTTCAGCTCACAGAGTTTAACCTTTCTTTTGATGGAGCAGTTGGGAAACACACTGTTTGTAATGTCCGCAAGTGGATATTTGGACCTCTTTGAGGCCTTCGTTGGAAACGGGAATTCTTCCTGTAATGTTCGACAGAAGAATTCTCAGTAACTTATTTGTGGTGTGTGTATTCAACTCACAGAGCTGAACCTTCCTTTAGACAGAGCAGATTTGAAACAGCCTATTTGTGCAGTTTCCAGTTGGAGATTTCAATCGCTTTGAGACCAAATGTAGAAAAGGAAACATCTTCGTATAAAAACTAGACAGAATCATTCTCAGAAACTACTTTGTGATGTGTGCGTTCAACTCAAGGAGTTTAAGCTTTCTTTTCATAGAGTAGTTTGGAAACACTCTGTCTGTAAAGTCTGCAAGCAGATATTTGACCTCTTTGAGGCCTTCGTTGGAAACGGGATTTCTTCATAGAACGCTAGAAAGAAGAATACTGAGTAAGTTCTTTGTGTTGCCTCTATTCAACTCACAGAGGTGAACTGTCCTTTAGACAGAGCAGATGTGAAACCCTCTTTTTGTGATATTTGCAGGTGGAGATTTCAAGCGCTTTTAGGCCAAATGTAGAAAAGGAAATATCTTCGTATAAAAACTAGACAGAATCATTCTCAGAAACTACTTTGTGATGTGTGCGTTCAATTCACAGAGTATAACCTTTCTTTTGATGGAAGAGTTTGGAGACACTGTCTTTGTAAAGTCTGCAAGTGGATATTTGGACCTCTTTGAGGCCTTCGTTGGAAACGGGATTTCCTCATATAATGTTACACAGAAGAATTCTCAGTAACTTATTTGTGGTGTCTGTATTCAACTCACAGAGTTGAACCTTCCTTCAGAAAGAGCAGATTTGAAACACTCTTTTGGTGGAGTTTCCATGTGGAGATTTCAATCGCTTTGAGACCAAAGGTAGAAAAGGAAACATCTTCGTATAAAAACTAGACAGAATCATTCACAGAAACTACTTTGTGATGTGTGTGTTCAACTCAAGGAGTTTAACCTTTCTTTTGATGGAGCAGTTTGGAAACACTCTGTCTGTAAAGTCTGCAAGCAGATATTTGGACCTCTTTGAGGCCTTCGTTGGAAACGGGATTTCTTCATATAATGTTTGATAGGAGAAGTCTCAGTAACTTCTTTGTGCTGTGTGTATTCAACTCATAGAGTTGAACTTTCCTTTAGAAGAGCAGATGTTAAACACCCTTTTTGTGGAATTTGCAGCTGGAGATTTCAAGCGCTTTGAGGCCTACGGTAGAAAAGGAAACATCTTCTTATAAAATCTAGACAGAATCATTCACAGAAACTTCTTTTCGATGTGTGTGTTCAGGTCACAGAGTTTAACCTTTCTTTTGATGGAGCAGTTTGGAAACACTCTGTTTGTAATGTCTGCAAGTGGATATTTGGACCTCTTTGAGGCCTTCGTTGGAAACGGGATTTCTTCAAGTAATGTTCGACAGAAGAATTCTCAGTAACTTATTTGTGGTGTGTGTATTCAACTCACAGAGTTGAACCTTCCTTTAGACAGAGCAGATTTGAAACACCCTATTTGTGCAGTTTCCAGTTGGAGATTTCAATCGCTTTGAGACCAAATGTAGAAAAGGAAACATCTTCGTATAAAAACTAGACAGAATCATTCTCAGAAACTACTTTGTGATGTGTGCGTTCAACTCAAGGAGTTTAAGCTTTCTTTTCATAGAGTAGTTTGGAAACACTCTGTCTGTAAAGTCTGCAAGCAGATATTTGGACCTCTTTGGGGCCTTCGTTGGAAACGGGATTTCTTCATAGAACGCTAGAAAGAAGAATACTGAGTAAGTTCTTTGTGTTGCCTCTATTCAACTCACAGAGGTGAACTGTCCTTTAGACAGAGCAGATGTGAAACCCTCTTTTTGTGATATTTGCAGGTGGAGATTTCAAGCGCTTTTAGGCCAAATGTAGAAAAGGAAATATCTTCGTATAAAAACAAGACAGAATCATTCTCAGAAACTACTTTGTGATGTGTGCGTTCAATTCACAGAGTATAACCTTTCTTTTGATGGAGGAGTTTGGAGACACTGTCTTTGTAAAGTCTGCAAGTGGATATTTGGACCTCTTTGAGGCCTTCGTTGGAAACGGGATTTCCTCATATAATGTTACCCAGAAGAATTCTCAGTAACTTATTTGTGGTGTGTGTATTCAACTCACAGAGTTGAACCTTCCTTCAGAAAGAGCAGATTTGAAACACTCTTTTTGTGGAGTTTCCATGTGGAGATTTCAATCGCTTTGAGACCAAAGGTAGAAAAGGAAACATCTTCGTATAAAAACTAGACAGAATCATTCACAGAAACTACTTTGTGATGTGTGTGTTCAACTCAAGGAGTTTAACCTTTCTTTTGATGGAGCTGTTTGGAAAAACTCTGTCTGTAAATTCTGCAAGCAGATATTTGGACCTCTTTGGGGCCTTCGTTGGAAACGGGATTTCTTCATATAATGTTTGATAGGAGAAGTCTCAGTAACTTCTTTCTGCTGTGTTTATTCAACGCATAGAGTTGAACTTTCCTTTAGAAGAGCAGATGTTAAACACCATTTTTGTAGAATTTGCAGCTGGAGATTTCAAGCGCTTTGAGGCCTACAGTAGAAAAGGAAACATCTTCTTATAAAATCTAGACAGAATCATTCACAGAAACTTCTTTTCGATGTGTGTGTTCAGCTCACAGAGTTTAACCTTTCTTTTGATGGAGCAGTTTTGAAACACTCTGTTTGTAATGTCTGCAAGTGGATATTTTGACCTCTTTGAGGCCTTCTTTGGAAACGGGATTTCTTCAAGTAATGTTCGACAGAAGAATTCTCAGTAACTTATTTGTGTTGTGTGTATTCAACTCACAGAGTTGAACCTTCCTTTAGACAGAGCAGATTTGAAACACCCTATTTGTGCAGTTTCCAGTTGGAGATTTCAATCGCTTTGAGACCAAATGTAGAAAAGGAAACATCTTCGTATAAAAACTAGACAGAATCATTCACAGAAACTACTTTGTGATGTGTGTGTTCAACTCAAGGAGTTTAACCTTTCTTTTGATGGAGCAGTTTGGAAACACTCTGTCTGTAAAGTCTGCAAGCAGATATTTGGACCTCTTTGGGGCATTCGTTGGAAACGGGATTTCTTCATAGAATGCTAGAAAGAAGAATACTGAGTAAGTTCTTTGTGTTGCCTCTATTCAACTCACAGAGGTGAACTGTCCTTTAGACACAGCAGATGTGAAACCCTCTTTTTGTGATATTTGCAGGTGGAGATTTCAAGCGCTTTTAGGCCAAATGTAGAAAAGGAAATATCCTCGTATAAAAACTAGACAGAATCATTCTCAGAAACTACTTTGTGATGTGTGCGTTCAATTCACAGAGTATAACCTTTCTTTTGATGGAGGAGTTTGGAGACACTGTTTTTGTAAAGTCTGCAAGTGGATATTTGGACCTCTTTGAGGCCTTCGTTGGAAACGGGATTTCCTCATATAATGTTACACGAGAAGAATTCTCAGTAACTTATTTGTGGTGTGTGTATTCAACTCACAGAGTTGAAACTTCCTTCAGAAAGAGCAGATTTGAAACACTCTTTTTGTGGAGTTTCCATGTGGAGATTTCAATCGCTTTGAGACCAAAGGTAGAAAAGGAAACATTCTTCGTATAAAAACTAGACAGAATCGTTCACTGAAACTACTTTGTGATGTGTGTGTTCAACTCACAGAGTTTAACATTTCTTTTGATGGAGCAGTTTGCAAACACTCTGTTTGTCACTTCTGCAAGTGGATATTTGGACCTCTTTGAGGCCTTCGTTGGAAACGGGATTTCGTCCTATAATGTTTGATAGGAGAAGACTCAGTAACTTCTTTGTGCTGTGTGTATTCAACTCACAGAGCTGAACTTTTCTTTAGACAGAGCAGATGTTAAACACAATTTTGTGGAATTTGGAGCTGGAGATTTCTAGCGGTTTGAGGACTATGGTAGAAAAGGAACATCTTCTTATAAAATCTAGACAGAATCATTCACAGAAACTTCTTTTTGATGTGTGTGTTCATCTCACAGAGTTTAACCTTTCTTTTGACGGAGCAGTTTGCAAACACTGTGTTTGCCATGTCGGCAAGTGGATATTTGGACCTCTTTGAGGCCTTCGTTGGAAACGGGATTTCTTCATGTAATGTTCGAGAGAAGAATTCTCAGTAACTTATTTCTGGTGTGTGTATTCAACTCACAGAGTTGAACCTTCCTTTAGACAGAGCAGATTTGAATCACCCTATTTGTGCAGTTTCCAGTTGGAGATTTCAATCGCTTTGAGGCCAATCATAGAAACGGAAATATCTTCGTATAAAAACAAGACAGATAATCATTCTCAGAAACTACTTTGTGATGTGTGCGTTCAATTCACAGAGTATAACCTTTCTTTTGATGGAGGAGTTTGGAGACACTGTCTTTGTAAAGTCTGCAAGTGGATATTTGGACCTCTTTGAGGCCTTCGTTGGAAACGGGATTTCCTCATATAATGTTACACAGAAGAATTCTCAGCAACTTATTTGTGGTGTGTGTATTCAACTCACAGAGTTGAACCTTCCTTCAGAAAGAGCAGATTTGAAACACTCATTTTGTGGAGTTTCCATGTGGAGATATCCATCGCTTTGAGACCAAAGGTAGAAAAGGAAACATCTTCGTATAAAAACTAGACAGAATCATTCACAGAAACTACTTTGTGATGTGTGTGTTCAGCTCACAGAGTTTAACCTTTCTTTTGATATGGCAGTTTGGAAACACTCTGTTTTTCACGTCTGCAAGTGGATATTTGGACTGCTTTGGGGCCTTCTTTGGAAACGGGATTTCTTCATATAATGTTTGATAGGAGAAGTCTCAGTAACTTCTTTGTGCTGTGTGTATTCAACTCATAGAGTTAAATTTTCCTTTAGAAGAGCAGATGTTAAACACCCTTTCTGTGGAATTTGCAGCTGGAGATTTCAAGCGCTTTGAGGCCTACGGTAGAAAAGGAAACATCTTCTTCTAAAATCTAGACAGAATCATTCACAGAAACTTCTTTTTGATGTGTGTGTTCAGCTCACAGGGTTTAACCTTTCTTTTGATGGAGCAGTTTGGAAACACTCTGTTTGTAATGTCTGCAAGTGGATATTTGGACCTCTTTGAGGCCTTCGTTGGAAACGGGATTTCTTCATGTAATGTTCGACAGAAGAATTCTCAGTAACTTACCTGTAGTGTGTGTATTCAACTCACAGAGTTGAACCTTCCTTTAGACAGAGCAGATTTGAAACACCCTATTTGTGCAGCTTCCAGTTGGAGATTTCAATCGCTTTGAGGCCAATCATAGAAACGGAAATATCTTCGTATAAAAACAAGACAGAATCATTCTCAGAAACTACTTTGCGATCTGTGCGTTCAACTCAAGGAGTTTAAGCTTTCTTTTCATAGAGTAGTTTGGAAACACTCTGTCTGTAAAGTCTGCAAGCAGATATTTGGACCTCTTTGAGGCCTTCGTTGGAAAAGAGATTTCTTCATAGAACGCTAGAAAGAATAATACTGAGTAAGTTCTTTCTGTTGCCTCTATACAACTCACAGAGGTGAACTGTCCTTTAGACAGAGCAGATGTGAAACCCTCTTTTTGTGATATTTGCAGGTGGAGATTTCAAGCGCTTTTAGGCCAAATGTAGAAAACGAAATATCTTCGTATAAAAACTAGACAGAATCATTCTCAGAAACTACTTTGTGATGTGTGCGTTCAATTCACAGAGTATAACCTTTCTTTTGATGGAGGAGTTTGGAGACACTGTCTTTGTAAAGTCTGCAAGTGGATATTTGGACCTCTTTGACGCCTTCGTTGGAAACGGGATTTCCTCATATAATGTTACACAGAAGAATTCTCAGTAACTTATTTGTGGTGTGTGTATTCAACTCACAGAGTTGAACCTTCCTTCAGAAAGAGCAGATTTGAAACACTCTTTTTGTGGAGTTTCCATGTGGAGATTTCAATCGCTTTGAGACCAAAGGTAGAAAAGGAAACATCTTCGTATAAAAACTAGACAGAATCATTCACAGAAACTACTTTGTGATGTGTGTGTTCAACTCAAGGAGTTTAACCTTTCTTTTGATGGAGCAGTTTGGAAACACTCTCTGTAAAGTCTGCAAGCAGATATTTGGACCTCTTTGAGGCCTTCGTTGGAAACGGGATTTCTTCATATAATGTTTGATAGGAGAAGTCTCAGTAACTTCTTTGTGCTGTGTGTATTCAACTCATGGAGTTGAACTTTCCTTTAGAAGAGCAGATGTTAAACACCCTTTTTGTGGAATTTGCAGCTGGAGATTTCAAGCGCTTTGAGGCCTACGGTAGAAAAGGAAACATCTTCTTCTAAAGTCTAGACAGAATCATTCACAGAAACTTCTTTTTGATGTGTGTGTTCAGCTCACAGAGTTTAACCTTTCTTTTGATGGAGCAGTCTGGAAACACTCTGTTTGTAATGTCTGCAAGTGGATATTTGGACCTCTTTGAGGCCTTCGTTGGAAACGGGATTTCTTCAAGTAATGTTCGACAGAAGAATTCTCAGTAACTTATTTGTGGTGTGTGTATTCAACTCACAGAGTTGAACCTTCCTTTAGACAGAGCAGATTTGAAACACCCTATTTGTGCAGTTTCCAGTTGGAGATTTCAATCGCTTTGAGACCAAATGTAGAAAAGGAAACATCTTCGTATAAAAACCAGACAGAATCATTCTCAGAAACTACTTTGTGATGTGTGCATTTAACTCAAGGAGTTTAAGCTTTCTTTTCATAGAGTAGTTTGGAAACACTCTGTCTGTAAAGTCTGCAAGCAGATATTTGGACCTCTTTGGGGCCTTCGTTGGAAACGGGATTTCTTCATAGAACGCTAGAAAGAAGAATACTGAGTAAGTTCTTTGTGTTGCCTCTATTCAACTCACAGAGGTGAACTGTCCTTTAGACAGAGCAGATGTGAAACCCTCTTTTTGTGATATTTGCAGGTGGAGATTTCAAGCGATTTTAGGCCAAATGTAGAAAAGGAAATATCTTCGTATAAAAACTAGACAGAATCATTCTCAGAAACTACTTTGTGATGTGTGCGTTCAATTCACAGAGTATAACCTTTCTTTTGATGGAGGAGTTTGGAGACACTGTCTTTGTAAAGTCTGCAAGTGGATATTTGGACCTCTTTGAGGCCTTCGTTGGAAACGGGATTTCCTCATATAATGTTACACAGAAGAATTCTCAGTAACTTATTTGTGGTGTGTGTATTCAACTCACAGAGTTGAACCTTCCTTCAGAAAGAGCAGATTTGAAACACTCTTTTTGTGGAGTTTCCATGTGGAGATTTCAATCGCATTGAGACCAAAGGTAGAAAAGGAAACATCTTCGTATAAAAACTAGACAGAATCATTCTCAGAAACTACTTTGTGATGTGTGCGTTCAATTCACAGAGTATAACCTTTCTTTTGATGGAGGAGTTTGGAGACACTGTCTTTGTAAAGTCTGCATGCAGATATTTGGACCTCTTTGAGGCCATCGTTGGAAACGGGATTTCTTCATATAATGTTTGATAGGAGAAGTCTCAGTAACTTTTTGTGCTGTGTGTATTCAACTCATAGAGGTGAACTTTCCTTTAGAAGAGCAGATGTTAAACACCCTTTTTGTGGAATTTGCAGCTGGAGATTTCAAGCGCTTTGAGGCCTACGGTAGAAAAGGAAACATCTTCTTATAAAATCTAGACAGAATCATTCACAGAAACTTCTTTTTGATGTGTGTGTTCAGCTCACAGAGTTTAACCTTTCTTTTGATGGAGCAGTTTGGAAACACTCTGTTTGTAATGTCTGCAAGTGGATATTTGGACCTCTTTGAGGCCTTCGTTGGAAACGGGATTTCTTCAAGTAATGTTCGACAGAAGAATTCTCAGTAACTTATTTGTGGTGTGTGTATTCAACTCACAGAGTTGAACCTTCCTTTACACAGAGCAGATTTGAAACACCCTATTTGTGCAGTTTCCAGTTGGAGATTTCAATCGCTTTGAGACCAAATGTAGAAAAGGAAACATCTTCGTATAAAAACTAGACAGAATCATTCTCAGAAACTACTTTGTGATGTGTGCGTTCAACTCAAGGAGTTTAAGCTTTCTTTTCATAGAGTAGTTTGGAAACACTCTGTCTGTAAAGTCTGCAAGCAGATATTTGGACCTCATTGGGGCCTTCGTTGGAAACGGGATTTCTTCATAGAACGCTAGAAAGAAGAATACTGAGTAAGTTCTTTGTGTTGCCTCTATTCAACTCACAGAGGTGAACTGTCCTTTAGACAGAGCAGATGTGAAACCCTCTTTTTGTGATATTTGCAGGTGGAGATTTCAAGCGCTTTTAGGCCAAATGTAGAAAAGGAAATATCTTCGTATAAAAACTAGACAGAATCATTCTCAGAAACTACTTTGTGATGTGTGCGTTCAATTCACAGAGAATAACCTTTCTTTTGATGGAGGAGTTTGGAGATACTGTCTTTGTAAAGTCTGCAAGTGGATATTTGGACCTCTTTGAGGCCTTCGTTGGAAACGGGATTTCCTCATATAATGTTACACAGAAGAATTCTCACTAACTTATTTGTGGTGTGTGTATTCCACTCACAGAGATGAACCTTCCTTCAGAAAGAGCAGATTTGAAACACTCTTTTTGTGGAGTTTCCATGTGGAGATTTCAATCGCTTTGAGACCAAAGGTAGAAAAGGAAACATCTTCGTATAACAACTAGACAGAATCATTCACAGAAACTACTTTGTGATGTGTGTGTTCAACTCAAGGAGTTTAACCTTTCTTTTGATGGAGCAGTTTGGAAACACTCTGTCTGTAAAGTCTGCAAGCAGATATTTGGACCTCTTTGAGGCCTTCGTTGGAAACGGGATTTCTTCATATAATGTTTGATAGGAGAAGTCTCAGTAACTTCTTTGTGCTGTGTGTATTCAACTCACAGAGTTGAACTTTCCTTTAGAAGAGCAGATGTTAAACACCCTTTTTGTGGAATTTGCAGCTGGAGATTTCAAGCGCTTTGAGGCCTACGGTAGAAAAGGAAACATCTTCTTATAAAATCTAGACAGAATCATTCACAGAAACTTCTTTTTGATGTGTGTGTTCAGCTCACAGAGTTTAACCTTTCTTTTGATGGAGCAGTTGGGAAACACACTGTTTGTAATGTCTGCAAGTGGATATTTGGACCTCTTTGAGGCCTTCGTTGGAAACGGGATTTCTTCCTGTAATGTTCGACAGAAGAATTCTCAGTAACTTATTTGTGGTGTGTGTATTCAACTCACAGAGCTGAACCTTCCTTTAGACAGAGCAGATTTGAAACAGCCTATTTCTGCAGTTTCCAGTTGGAGATTTCAATCGCTTTGAGACCAAATGTAGAATAGGAAACATCTTCGTATAAAAACTAGACAGAATCATTCTCAGAAACTACTTTGTGATGTGTGCGTTCAACTCAAGGAGTTTAAGCT
This sequence comes from Homo sapiens, assembly GCF_000001405.40. Lineage (NCBI taxonomy): Eukaryota > Metazoa > Chordata > Mammalia > Primates > Hominidae > Homo > Homo sapiens. The sequence continues at coordinate 35,351,332 of NC_000012.12, forward strand.
TTCTTTTCATAGAGTAGTTTGGAAACACTCTGTCTGTAAAGTCTGCAAGCAGATATTTGACCTCTTTGAGGCCTTCGTTGGAAACGGGATTTCTTCATAGAACGCTAGAAAGAAGAATACTGAGTAAGTTCTTTGTGTTGCCTCTATTCAACTCACAGAGGTGAACTGTCCTTTAGACAGAGCAGATGTGAAACCCTCTTTTTGTGATATTTGCAGGTGGAGATTTCAAGCGCTTTTAGGCCAAATGTAGAAAAGGAAATATCTTCGTATAAAAACTAGACAGAATCATTCTCAGAAACTACTTTGTGATGTGTGCGTTCAATTCACAGAGTATAACCTTTCTTTTGATGGAGGAGTTTGGAGACACTGTCTTTGTAAAGTCTGCAAGTAGATATTTGGACCTCTTTGAGGCCTTCGTTGGAAACGGGATTTCCTCATATAATGTTACACAGAAGAATTCTCAGTAACTTATTCGTGGTGTCTGTATTCAACTCACAGAGTTGAACCTTCCTTCAGAAAGAGCAGATTTGAAACACTCTTTTGGTGGAGTTTCCATGTGGAGATTTCAATCGCTTTGAGACCAAAGGTAGAAAAGGAAACATCTTCGTATAACAACTAGACAGAATCATTCACAGAAACTACTTTGTGATGTGTGTGTTCAACTCAAGGAGTTTAACCTTTCTTTTGATGGAGCAGTTTGGAAAAACTCTGTCTTTAAAGTCTGCAAGCAGATATTTGGACCTCTTTGAGGCCTTCGTTGGAAACGGGATTTCTTCATATAATGTTTGATAGGAGAAGTCTCAGTAACTTCTTTGTGCTGTGTGTATTCAACTCATAGAGTTGAACTTTCCTTTAGAAGAGCAGATGTTAAACACCCTTTTTGTGGAATTTGCAGCTGGAGATTTCAAGCGCTTTGAGTCCTACGGTAGAAAAGGAAACATCTTCTTATAAAACCTAGACAGAATCATTCACAGAAACTTGTTTTTGATGTGTGTGTTCAGCTCACAGAGTTTAACCTTTCTTTTGATGGAGCAGTTTGGAAACACTCTGTTTGTAATATCTGCAAGTGAATATTTGGACCTCTTTGAGGCCTTCGTTGGAAACGGGATTTCTTCAAGTAATGTTCGACAGAAGAATTCTCAGTAACTTATTTGTGGTGTGTGTATTCAACTCACAGAGTTGAACCTTCCTTTAGACAGAGCAGATTTGAAACACCGTATTTGTGCAGTTTCCAGTTGGAGATTTCAATCGCTTTGAGACCAAATGTAGAAAAGGAAACATCTTCGTATAAAAACTGGACAGAATCATTCTCAGAAACTACTTTGTGATGTGTGCGTTCAACTCAAGGAGTTTAAGCTTTCTTTTCATAGAGTAGTTTGGAAACACTCTGTCTGTAAAGTCTGCAAGCAGATATTTGGACCTCTTTGGGGCCTTCGTTGGAAACGGGATTTCTTCATAGAACACTAGAAAGAAGAATACTGAGTTCTTTGCGTTGCCTCTATTCAACTCACAGAGGTGAACTGTCCTTTAGACAGAGCAGATGTGAAACCCTCTTTTTGTGATATTTGCAGGTGGAGATTTCAAGCGCTTTTAGGCCAAATGTAGAAAAGGAAATATCTTCGTATAAAAACTAGACAGAATCATTCTCAGAAACTACTTTGTGATGTGTGCGTTCAATTCACAGAGTATAACCTTTCTTTTGATGGAGGAGTTTGGAGACACTGTGTTTGTAAAGTCTGCAAGTGGATATTTGGACCTCTTTGAGGCCTTCGTTGGAAACGGGATTTCCTCATATAATGTTACACAGAAGAATTCTCAGTAACTTATTTGTGGTGTGTGTATTCAACTCACAGAGTTGAACCTTCCTTCAGAAAGAGCAGATTTGAAACACTCTTTTTGTGGAGTTTCCATGTGGAGATTTCAATCGCTTTGAGACCAAAGGTAGAAAAGGAAACATCTTCGTATAAAAACTAGACAGAATCATTCACAGAAACTACTTTGTGATGTGTGTGTTCAACTCAAGGAGTTTAACCTTTCTTTTGATGGAGCAGTTTGGAAACACTCTGTCTGTAAAGTCTGCAAGCAGATATTTGGACCTCTTTGAGGCCTTCGTTGGAAACGGGATTTCTTCATATAATGTTTGATAGGAGAAGTCTCAGTAACTTCTTTGTGCTGTGTGTATTCAACTCACAGAGTTGAACTTTCCTTTAGAAGAGCAGATGTTAAACACCCTTTTTGTGGAATTTGCAGCTGGAGATTTCAAGCGCTTTGAGGCCTACGGTAGAAAAGGAAACATCTTCTTATAAAATCTAGACAGAATCATTCACAGAAACTTCTTTTTGATGTGTGTGTTCAGCTCACAGAGTTTAACCTTTCTTTTGATGGAGCAGTTTGGAAACACTCTGTTTGTAATGTCTGCAAGTGGATATTTGGACCTCTTTGAGGCCTTCTTTGGAAACGAGATTTCTTCCTGTAATGTTCGACAGAAGAATTCTCAGTAACTTATTTGTGGTGTGTGTATTCAACTCAAAGAGTTGAACCTTCCTTTAGACAGAGCAGATTTGAAACACCCTATTTGTGCAGTTTCCAGTTGGAGATTTCAATCGCTTTGAGACCAAATGTAGAAAAGGAAACATCTTCGTATAAAAACTAGACAGAATCATTCTCAGAAACTACTTTGTGATCTGTGCGTTCAACTCAAGGAGTTTAAGCTTTCTTTTCATAGAGTAGTTTGGAAACACTCTGTCTGTAAAGTCTGCAAGCAGATATTTGGACCTCATTGGGGCCTTCGTTGGAAACGTAATTTCTTCATAGAACGCTAGAAAGAAGAATACTGAGTACGTTCTTTGTGTTGCCTCTATTCAACTCACAGAGGTGAACTGTCCTTTAGACAGAGCAGATGTGAAACCCTCTTTTTGTGATATTTGCAGGTGGAGATTTCAAGCGCTTTTAGGCCAAATGTAGAAAAGGAAATATCTTCGTATAAAAACTAGACAGAATCATTCTCAGAAACTACTTTGTGATGTGTGCGTTCAATTCACAGAGTATAACCTTTCTTTTGATGGAGGAGTTTGGAGACACTGTCTTTGTAAAGTCTGCAAGTGGATATTTGGACCTCTTTGAGGCCTTCGTTGGAAACGGGATTTCCTCATATAATGTTACACAGAAGAATTCTCAGTAACTTATTTGTGGTGTGTGTATTCAACTCACAGAGATGAACCTTCCTTCAGAAAGAGCAGATTTGAAACACTCTTTTTGTGGAGTTTCCATGTGGAGATTTCAATCGCTTTGAGACCAAAGGTAGAAAAGGAAACATCTTCTTATAACAACTAGACAGAATCATTCACAGAAACTACTTTGTGATGTGTGTGTTCAACTCAAGGAGTTTAACCTTTCTTTTGATGGAGCAGTTTGGAAACACTCTGTCTGTAAAGTCTGCAAGTAGATATTTGGACCTCTTTGAGGCCTTCGTTGGAAACGGGATTTCTTCATATAATGTTTGATAGGAGAAGTCTCAGTAACTTCTTTGTGCTGTGTGTATTCAACTCATAGAGTTGAACTTTCCTTTAGAAGAGCAGATGTTAAACACCCTTTTTGTGTAATTTGCAGCTGGAGATTTCAAGCGCTTTGAGGCCTACGGTAGAAAAGGAAACATCTTCTTATAAAATCTAGACAGAATCATTCACAGAAACTTCTTTTTGATGTGTGTGTTCAGCTCACAGAGTTTAACCTTTCTTTTGATGGAGCAGTTGGGAAACACACTGTTTGTAATGTCTGCAAGAGGATATTTGGACCTCTTTGAGGCCTTCGTTGGAAACGGGATTTCTTCCTGTAATGTTCGACAGAAGAATTCTCAGTAACTTATTTGTGGTGTGTGTATTCAACTCACAGAGTTGAACCTTCCTTTAGACAGAGCAGATTTGAAACACCCTATTTGTGCAGTTTCCAGTTGGAGATTTCAATCGCTTTGAGACGAAATGTAGAAAAGGAAACATCTTCGTATAAAAACTAGACAGAATCATTCTCAGAAACTACTTTGTGATGTGTGCGTTCAACTCAAGGAGTTTAAGCTTTCTTTTCATAGAGTAGTTTGGAAACACTCTGTAAAGTCTGCAAGCAGATATTTGGACCTCTTTGAGGCCTTCGTTGGAAACGGGATTTCTTCATAGAACGCTAGAAAGAAGAATACTGAGTAAGTACTTTGTGTTGCCTCTATTCAACTCACAGAGGTGAACTGTCCTTTAGACAGAGCAGATGTGAAACCCTCTTTTTCTGATATTTGCAGGTGGAGATTTCAAGCGCTTTTAGGCCAAATGTAGAAAAGGAAATATCTTCGTATAAAAACTAGACACAATCATTCTCAGAAACTACTTTGTGATGTGTGCGTTCAATTCACAGAGTATAACCTTTCTTTTGATGGAGGAGTTTGGAGACACTGTCTTTGTAAAGTCTGCAAGTGGATATTTGGACCTCTTTGAGGCCTTCGTTGGAAACGGGATTTCCTCATATAATGTTACACAGAAGAATTCTCAGTAACTTATTTGTGGTGTGTGTATTCAACTCACAGAGTTGAACCTTCCTTCAGAAAGAGCAGATTTGAAACACTCTTTTTGTGGAGTTTCCATGTGGAGATTTCAATCGCTTTGAGACCAAAGGTAGAAAAGGAAACATCTTCGTATAAAAACTAGACAGAATCATTCACAGAAACTACTTTGTGATGTGTGTGTTCAACTCAAGGAGTTTAACCTTTCTTTTGATGGAGCAGTTTGGAAATACTCTGTCTGTAAAGTCTGCAAGCAGATATTTGGACCTCTTTGAGGCCTTCGTTGGAAACGGGATTTCTTCATATAATGTTTGATAGGAGAAGTCTCAGTAACTTCTTTGTGCTGTGTGTATTCAACTCATAGAGTTGAACTTTCCTTTAGAAGAGCAGATGTTAAACACCCTTTTTGTGGAATTTGCAGCTGGAGATTTCAAGCGCTTTGAGGCCTACGGTAGAAAAGGAAACATCTTCTTATAAAATCTAGACAGAATCATTCACAGAAACTTCTTTTTGATGTGTGTGTTCAGCTCACAGAGTTTAACCTTTCTTTTGATGGAGCAGTTTGGAAACACTCTGTTTGTAATGTCTGCAAGTGGATATTTGGACCTCTTTGAGGCCTTCGTTGGAAACGGGATTTCTTCATGTAATGTTCGACAGAAGAATTCTCAGTAACTTATTTGTGGTGTGTGTATTCAACTCACAGAGTTGAACCTTCCTTTAGACAGAGCAGATTTGAAACACCCTATTTGTGCAGTTTCCAGTTGGAGATTTCAATCGCTTTGAGACCAAATGTAGAAAAGGAAACATCTTCGTATAAAAACTAGACAGAATCATTCTCAGAAACTACTTTGTGATGTGTGCGTTCAACTCAAGGAGTTTAAGCTTTCTTTTCATAGAGTAGTTTGGAAACACTCTGTCTGTAAAGTCTGCAAGCAGATATTTGGACCTCTTTGAGGCCTTCGTTGGAAACGGGATTTCTTCATAGAACGGTAGAAAGAAGAATACTGAGTAAGTTCTTTGTGTTGCCTCTATTCAACTCACAGAGGTGAACTGTCCTTTAGACAGAGCAGATGTGAAACCCTCTTTTTGTGATATTTGCACGTGGAGATTTCAAGCGCTTTTAGGCCAAATGTAGAAAAGGAAATATCTTCGTATAAAAACTAGACAGAATCATTCTCAGAAACTACTTTGTGATGTGTGCGTTCAATTCACAGAGTATAACCTTTCTTTTGATGGAGGAGTTTGGAGACACTGTCTTTGTAAAGTCTGCAAGTGGATATTTGGACCTCTTTGAGGCCTTCGTTGGAAACGGGATTTCCTCATATAATGTTACACAGAAGAATTCTCAGTAACTTATTTGTGGTGTGTGTATTCAACTCACAGATTTGAACCTTCCTTCAGAAAGAGCAGATTTGAAACACTCTTTTTGTGGAGTTTCCATGTGGAGATTTCAATCACTTTGAGACCAAAGGTAGAAAAGGAAACATCTTCGTATAAAAACTAGACAGAATCATTCACAGAAACTACTTTGTGATGTGTGTGTTCAACTCAAGGAGTTTAACCTTTCTTTTGATGGAGCAGTTTGGAAAAACTCTGTCTGTAAAGTCTGCAAGCAGATATTTGGACCTCTTTGAGGCCTTCGTTGGAAACGGGATTTCTTCATAGAATGCTAGAAAGAAGAATACTGAGTAAGTTCTTTGTGTTGCCTCTATTCAACTCACAGAGGTGAACTGTCCTTTAGACAGAGCAGATGTGAAACCCTCTTTTTGTGATATTTGCAGGTGGAGATTTCAAGCGCTTTGAGGCCAAATGTAGAAAAGGAAATATCTTCGTATAAAAACTAGACAGAATCATTCTCAGAAACTACTTTGTGATGTGTGCGTTCAATTCACAGAGTATAACCTTTCTTTTGATGGAGGAGTTTGGAGACACTGTCTTTGTAAAGTCTGCAAGTGGATATTTGGACCTCTTTGAGGCCTTCGTTGGAAACGGGATTTCCTCATATAATGTTACACAGAAGAATTCTCAGTAACTTATTTGTGGTGTGTGTATTCAACTCACAGAGTTGAACCTTCCTTCAGAAAGAGCAGATTAGAAACACTCTTTTTGTGGAGTTTCCATGTGGAGATTTCAATCGCTTTGAGACCAAAGTTAGAAAAGGAAACATCTTCGTATAAAAACTAGACAGAATCATTCACAGAAACTACTTTGTGATGTGTGTGTTCAACTCAAGGAGTTTAACCTTTCTTTTGATGGAGCAGTTTGGAAACACTCTGTCTGTAAAGTCTGCAAGCAGATATTTGGACCTCTTTGAGGCCTTCGTTGGAAACGGGATTTCTTCATATAATGTTTGATAGGAGAAGTCTCAGTAACTTCTTTGTGCTGTGTGTATTCAACTCATAGAGTTGAACTTTCCTTTAGAAGAGCAGATGTTAAACACCCTTTTTGTGGAATTTGCAGCTGGAGATTTCAAGCGCTTTGAGGCCTACGGTAGAAAAGGAAACATCTTCTTATAAAATCTAGACAGAATCATTCACAGAAACTTCTTTTTGATGTGTGTGTTCAGCTCACAGAGTTTAACCTTTCTTTTGATGGAGCAGTTTGGAAACACTCTGTTTGTAATGTCTGCAAGTGGATATTTGGACCTCTTTGGGGCCTTCGTTGGAAACGGGATTTCTTCAAGTAATGTTCGACAGAAGAATTCTCAGTAACTTATTTGTGGTGTGTGTATTCAACTCACAGAGTTGAACCTTCCTTTAGACAGAGCAGATTTGAAACACCCTATTTGTGCAGTTTCCAGTTGGAGATTTCAATCGCTTTGAGACCAAATGTAGAAAAGGAAACATCTTCGTATAAAAACTAGACAGAATCATTCTCAGAAACTACTTTGTGATGTGTGCGTTCAACTCAAGGAGTTTAAGCTTTCTTTTCATAGAGTAGTTTGGAAACACTCTGTCTGTAAAGTCTGCAAGCAGATATTTGGACCTCTTTGGGGCCTTCGTTGGAAACGGGATTTCTTCATAGAACGCTAGAAAGAAGAATACTGAGTAAGTTCTTTGTGTTGCCTCTATTCAACTCACAGAGGTGAACTGTCCTTTAGACAGAGCAGATGTGAAACCCTCTTTTTGTGATATTTGCAGGTGGAGATTTCAAGCGCTTTTAGGCCAAATGTAGAAAAGGAAATATCTTCGTATAAAAACTAGACAGAATCATTCTCAGAAACTACTTTGTGATGTGTGCGTTCAATTCACAGAGTATAACCTTTCTTTTGATGGAGGAGTTTGGAGACACTGTCTTTGTAAAGTCTGCAAGTGGATATTTGGACCTCTTTGAGGCCTTCGTTGGAAACGGGATTTCCTCATATAATGTTACACAAAAGAATTCTCAGTAACTTATTTGTGGTGTGTGTATTCAACTCACAGAGATGAACCTTCCTTCAGAAAGAGCAGATTTGAAACACTCTTTTTGTGGAGTTTCCATGTGGAGATTTCAATCGCTTTGAGACCAAAGGTAGAAAAGGAAACATCTTCGTATAACAACTAGACAGAATCATTCTCAGAAACTACTTTGTGATGTGTGCGTTCAATTCACAGAGTATAACCTTTCTTTTGATGGAGGAGTTTGGAGACACTGTCTTTGTAAAGTCTGCAAGCAGATATTTGGACCTCTTTGAGGCCATCGTTGGAAACGGGGATTTCCTCATATAATGTTTCACAGAAGAAGTCTCAGTAACTTCTTTGTGCTGTGTGTATTCAACTCATAGAGTTGAACTTTCCTTTAGAAGAGCAGATGTTAAACACCCTTTTTGTGGAATTTGCAGCTGGAGATTTCAAGCGCTTTGAGGCCTACGGTAGAAAAGGAAACATCTTCTTATAAAATCTAGACAGAATCACTCACAGAAACTTCTTTTCGATGTGTGTGTTCAGCTCACAGAGTTTAACCTTTCTTTTGATTGAGCAGTTTGGAAACACTCTGTTTGTAATGTCTGCAAGTGGATATTTGGACCTCTTTGAGGCCTTCGTTGGAAACGGGATTTCTTCAAGTAATGTTCGACAGAAGAATTCTCTGTAACTTATTTGTGGTGTGTGTATTCAACTCACAGAGTTGAACCTTCCTTTAGACAGAGCAGATTTGAAACACCCTATTTGTGCAGTTTCCAGTTGGAGATTTCAATCGCTTTGAGACCAAATGTAGAAAAGGAAACATCTTCGTATAAAAACTAGACAGAATCATTCTCAGAAACTACTTTGTGATGTGTGCGTTCAACTCAAGGAGTTTAAGCTTTCTTTTCATAGAGTAGTTTGGAAACACTCTGTCTGTAAAGTCTGCAAGCAGATATTTAGACCTCTTTGGGGCCTTCGTTGGAAACGGGATTTCTTCATAGAACGCTAGAAAGAAGAATACTCAGTAAGTTCTTTGTGTTGCCTCTATTCAACTCACAGAGGTGAACTGTCCTTTAGACAGAGCAGATGTGAAACCCTCTTTTTGTGATATTTGCAGGTGGAGATTTCAAGCGCTTTTAGGCCAAATGTAGAAAAGGAAATATCTTCGTATAAAAACTAGACAGAATCATTCTCAGAAACTACTTTGTGATGTGTGCGTTCAATTCACAGAGTATAACCTTTCTTTTGATGGAGGAGTTTGGAGACACTGTCTTTGTAAAGTCTGCAAGTGGATATTTGGACCTCTTTGAGGCCTTCGTTGGAAACGGGATTTCCTCAAATAATGTTACACAGAAGAATTCTCAGTAACTTATTTGTGGTGTGTGTATTCAACTCACAGAGTTGAACCTTCCTTCAGAAAGAGCACATTTGAAACACTCTTTTTGTGGAGTTTCCATGTGGAGATTTCAATCGCTTTGAGACCAAAGGTAGAAAAGGAAACATCTTCGTATAAAAACTAGACAGAATCATTCACAGAAACTACTTTGTGTTGTGTGTGTTCAGCTCACAGAGTTTAACCTTTCTTTTGATGGTGCAGTTTGGAAACACTCTGTTTGACAAGTCTGCAAGTGGATATTTGGACCTCTTTGAGGCCTTCGTTGGAAACGGGATTTCTTCATATCATGTTAGACAGAAGAAGTCTCAGTAACTTCTTTGTGCTGTGTGTATTCAACTCACAGAGCTGAACTTTACTTTACACCGAGCAGATGTTAAACACACTTTTTGTGGAATTTGCAGCTGGAGATTTCTAGCGCTTTGAGGCCTATGGTAGAAAAGGAAACATCTTCTTATAAAATCTAGACAGAATCATTCACAGAAACTTCTTTTTGATGTGTGTGTTCAGCTCACAGAGTTTAACCTTTCTTTTGATGGAGCAGTTTGGAAACACTCTGTTTGTAATGTCTGCAAGTGTATATTTGGACCTCTTTGAGGCCTTCGTTGGAAACGGGATTTCTTCAAGTAATGTTCGACAGAAAAATTCTCAGTAACTTATTTGTGGTGTGTGTATTCAACTCACAGAGTTGAACCTTCCTTTAGACAGAGCAGATTTGAAACACCCTATTTGTGCAGTTTCCAGTTGGAGATTTCAATCGCTTTGAGACCGAATGTAGAAAAGGAAACATCTTCGTATAAAAACTAGACAGAATCATTCTCAGAAACTACTTTGTGATGTGTGCGTTCAACTCAAGGAGTTTAAGCTTTCTTTTCATAGAGTAGTTTGGAAACACTCTGTCTGTAAAGTCTGCAAGCAGATATTTGGACCTCATTGGGGCCTTCGTTGGAAACGGGATTTCTTCATAGAACGCTAGAAAGAAGAATACTGAGTAAGTTCTTTGTGTTGCCTCTATTCACCTCACAGAGGAGAACTGTCCTTTAGACAGAGCAGATGTGAAACCCTCTTTTTGTGATATTTGCACGTGGAGATTTCAAGCGCTTTTAGGCCAAATGTAGAAAAGGAAATATCTTCGTATAAAAACTAGACAGAATCATTCTCAGAAACTACTTTGTGATGTGTGCGTTCAATTCACAGAGTATAACCTTTCTTTTGATGGAGGAGTTTGGAGACACTGTCTTTGTAACGTCTGCAAGTGGATATTTGGACCTCTTTGAGGCCTTCGTTGGAAACGGGATTTCCTCATATAATGTTACACAGAAGAATTCTCAGTAACTTATTTGTGGTGTGTGTATTCAACTCACAGAGTTGAACCTTCCTTCAGAAAGAGCAGATTTGAAACACTCTTTTTGTGGAGTTTCCATGTGGAGATTTCAATCGCTTTGAGACCAAAGGTAGAAAAGGAAACATCTTCGTATAAAAACTAGACAGAATCATTCACAGAAACTACTTTGTGATGTGTGTGTTCAACTCAAGGAGTTTAACCTTTCTTTTGATGGAGCAGTTTGGAAAAACTCTGTCTGTAAAGTCTGCAAGCAGATATTTGGACCTCTTTGAGGCCTTCGTTGGAAACGGGATTTCTTCATATAATGTTTGATAGGAGAAGTCTCAGTAACTTCTTTGTGCTGTGTGTATTCAACTCATGGAGTTGAACTTTCCTTTAGAAGAGCAGATGTTAAACACCCTTTTTGTGGAATTTGCAGCTGGAGATTTCAAGCGCTTTGAGGCCTACGGTAGAAAAGGAAACATCTTCTTAGAAAATCTAGACAGAATCATTCACAGAAACTTCTTTTTGATGTGTGTGTTCAGCTCACAGAGTTTAACCTTTCTTTTGATGGAGCAGTTTGGAAACACTCTGTTTGTAATGTCTGCAAGTGGATATTTGGACCTCTTTGAGGCCTTCGCTGGAAACGGGATTTCTTCCTGTAATGTTCGACAGAAGAATTCTCAGTAACTTATTTGTGGTGTGTGTATTCAACTCACAGAGTTGAACCTTCCTTTAGACAGAGCAGATTTGAAACACCCTATTTGTGCAGTTTCCAGTTGGAGATTTCAATCGCTTTGAGACCAAATGTAGAAAAGGAAACATCTTCGTATAAAAACTAGACAGAATCATTCTCAGAAACTACTTTGTGATGTGTGCGTTCAACTCAAGGAGTTTAAGCTTTCTTTTCATAGAGTAGTTTGGAAACACTCTGTCTGTAAAGTCTGCAAGCAGATATTTGGACCTCTTTAGGGCCTTCGTTGGAAACGGGATTTCTTCATAGAACGCTAGAAAGAAGAATACTGAGTAAGTTCTTTGTGTTGCCTCTATTCAACTCACAGAGGTGAACTGTCCTTTAGACAGAGCAGATGTGAAACCCTCTTTTTGTGATATTTGCAGGTGGAGATTTCAAGCGCTTTTAGGCCAAATGTAGAAAAGGAAATATCTTCGTATAAAAACTAGACAGAATCATTCTCAGAAACTACTTTGTGATGTGTGCGTTGAATTCACAGAGCATAACCTTTCTTTTGATGGAGGAGTTTGGAGACACTGTCTTTGTAAAGTCTGCAAGTGGATATTTGGACCTCTTTGAGGCCTTCGTTGGAAACGGGATTTCCTCATATAATGTTACACAGAAGAATTCTCAGTAACTTATTTGTGGTGTGTGTATTCAACTCACAGAGATGAACCTTCCTTTAGACAGAGCAGATTTGAAACACCCTATTTGTGCAGTTTCCAGTTGGAGATTTCAATCGCTTTGAGACCAAATGTAGAAAAGGAAACATCTTCGTATAAAAACTAGACAGAATCATTCTCAGAAACTACTTTGTGATGTGTGCGTTCAACTCAAGGAGTTTAAGCTTTCTTTTCATAGAGTAGTTTGGAAACACTCTGTCTGTAAAGTCTGCAAGCAGATATTTGGACCTCTTTGGGGCCTTCGTTGGAAACGGCGTTTCTTCATAGAACCCTAGAAAGAAGAATACTGAGTAAGTTCTTTGTGTTGCCTCTATTCAACTCACAGAGGTGAACTGTCCTTTAGACAGAGCAGATGTGAAACCCTCTTTTTGTGATATTTGCAGGTGGAGATTTCAAGCGCTTTTAGGCCAAATGTAGAAAAGGAAATATCTTCGTATAAAAACTAGACAGAATCATTCTCAGAAACTACTTTGTGATGTGTGCGTTCAATTCACAGAGTATAACCTTTCTTTTGATGGAGGAGTTTGGAGACACTGTCTTTGTAAAGTCTGCAAGTGGATATTTGGACCTCTTTGAGGCCTTCGTTGGAAACGGGATTTCCTCATATAATGTTACACAGAAGAATTCTCAGTAACTTATTTGTGGTGTGTGTATTCAACTCACAGAGATGAACCTTCCTTCAGAAAGAGCAGATTTCAAACACTCTTTTTGTGGAGTTTCCATGTGGAGATTTCAATCGCTTTGAGACCAAAGGTAGAAAAGGAAACATCTTCGTATAACAACTAGACAGAATCATTCACAGAAACTACTTTGTGATGTGTGTGTTCAACTCAAGGAGTTTAACCTTTCTTTTGATGGAGCAGTTTGGAAACACTCTGTCTGTAAAGTCTGCAAGCAGATATTTGGACCTCTTTGAGGCCTTCGTTGGAAACGGGATTTCTTCATATAATGTTTGATAGGAGAAGTCTCAGTAACTTCTTTGTGCTGTGTGTATTCAACTCATAGAGTTGAACTTTCCTTTAGAAGAGCAGATGTTAAACACCCTTTTTGTGGAATTTGCAGCTGGAGATTTCAAGCGCTTTGAGGCCTACGGTAGAAAAGGAAACATCTTCTTATAAAATCTAGACAGAATCATTCACAGAAACTTCTTTTTGATGTGTGTGTTCAGCTCACAGAGTTTAACCTTTCTTTTGATGGAGCAGGTTGGAAACAATCTGTTTGTAATGTCTGCAAGTGGATATTTGGACCTCTTTGAGGCCTTCGTTGGAAACGGGATTTCTTCAAGTAATGTTCGACAGAAGAATTCTCAGTAACTTATTTGTGGTGTGTGTATTCAACTCACAGAGTTGAACCTTCCTTTAGACAGAGCAGATTTGAAACAGCCTATTTGTGCAGTTTCCAGTTGGAGATTTCAATCGCTTTGAGACCAAACGTAGAAAAGGAAACATCTTCGTATAAAAACTAGACAGAATCATTCTCAGAAACTACTTTGTGATGTGTGCGTTCAACTCAAGGAGTTTAAGCTTTCTTTTCATAGAGTAGTTTGGAAACACTCTGTCTGTAAAGTCTGCAAGCAGATATTTGGACCTCTTTGGGGCCTTCGTTGGAAACGGGATTTCTTCGTAGAACGCTAGAAAGAAGAATACTGAGTAAGTTCTTTGTGTTGCCTCTATTCAACTCACAGAGGTGAACTGTCCTTTAAACAGAGCAGATGTGAAACCCTCTTTTTGTGATATTTGCAGGTGGAGATTTCAAGCGCTTTTAGGCCAAATGTAGAAAAGGAAATATCTTCGTATAAAAACTAGACAGAATCATTCTCAGAAACTACTTTGTGATGTGTGCGTTCAATTCACAGAGTATAACCTTTCTTTTGATGGAGGAGTTTGGAGACACTGTCTTTGTAAAGTCTGCAAGTGGAGATTTGGACCTCTTTGAGGCCTTCGTTGGAAACGGGATTTCCTCATATAATGTTACACAGAAGAATTCTCAGTAACTTATTTGTGGTGTGTGTATTCAACTCACAGAGTTGAACCTTCCTTCAGAAAGAGCAGATTTGAAACACTCTTTTTGTGGAGTTTCCATGTGGAGATTTCAATCGCATTGAGACCAAAGGTAGAAAAGGAAACATCTTCGTATAAAAACTAGACAGAATCATTCACAGAAACTACTTTGTGATGTGTGTGTTCAACTCAAGGAGTTTAACCTTTCTTTTGATGGAGCAGTTTGGAAACACTCTGTCTGTAAAGTCTGCAAGCAGATATTTGGACCTCTTTGAGGCCTTCGTTGGAAACGGGATTTCTTCATATAATGTTTGATAGGAGAAGTCTCAGTAACTTCTTTGTGCTGTGTGTATTCAACTCATAGAGTTGAACTTTCCTTTAGAAGAGCAGATGTAAAACACCCTTTTTGTGGAATTTGCAGCTGGAGATTTCAAGCGCTTTGAGGCCTACGGTAGAAAAGGAAACATCTTCTTATAAAATCTAGACAGAATCATTCACAGAAACTTCTTTTTGATGTGTGTGTTCAGCTCACAGAGTTTAACCTTTCTTTTGATGGAGCAGTTTGGAAACACTCTGTTTGTAATGTCTGCAAGTGGATATTTGGACCTTTTTGAGGCCTTCATTGGAAACGGGATTTCTTCAAGTAATGGTCGACAGAAGAATTCTCAGTAACTTATTTGTGGTGTGTGTATTCAACTCACAGAGTTGAACCTTCCTTTAGACAGAGCAGATTTGAAACACCCTATTTGTGCAGTTTCCAGTTGGAGATTTCAATCGCTTTGAGACCAAATGTAGAAAAGGAAACATCTTCGTATAAAAACTAGACAGAATCATTCTCAGAAACTACTTTGTGATGTGTGCGTTCAACTCAAGGAGTTTAAGCTTTCTTTTCATAGAGTAGTTTGGAAACACTCTGTCTGTAAAGTCTGCAAGCAGATATTTGGACCTCTTTGGGGCCTTCGTTGGAAACGGGATTTCTTCATAGAACGCTAGAAAGAAGAATACTGAGTAAGTTCTTTGTGTTGCCTCTATTCAACTCACAGAGGTGAACTGTCCTTTAGACAGAGCAGATGTGAAACCCTCTTTTTGTGATATTTGCAGGTGGAGATTTCAAGCGCTTTTAGGCCAAATGTAGAAAAGGAAATATCTTCGTATAAAAACTAGACAGAATCATTCTCAGAAACTACTTTGTGATGTGTGCGTTCAATTCACAGAGTATAACCTTTCTTTTGATGGAGGAGTTTGGAGACACTGTCTTTGTAAAGTCTGCATGTGGATATTTGGACCTCTTAGAGGCCTTCGTTGGAAACGGGATTTCCTCATATAATGTTACACAGAAGAATTCTCAGTAACTTATTTGTGGTGTGTGTATTCAACTCACAGAGTTGAACCTTCCTTCAGAAAGAGCAGATTTGAAACACTCTTTTTGTGGAGTTTCCATGTGGAGATTTCAATCGCTTTGAGACCAAAGGTAGAAAAGGAAACATCTTCGTAAAAAACTAGACAGAATCATTCACAGAAACTACTTTGTGATGTGTGTGTTCAACTCAAGGAGTTTAACCTTTCTTTTGATGGAGCAGTTTGGAAAAACTCTGTCTGTAAAGTCTGCAAGCAGATATTTGGACCTCTTTGAGGCCTTCGTTGGAAACGGGATTTCTTCATATAATGTTTGATAGGAGAAGTCTCAGTAACTTCTTTGTGCTGTGTGTATTCAACGCATAGAGTTGAACTTTCCTTTAGAAGAGCAGATGTTAAACACCCTTTTTGTGGAATTTGCAGCTGGAGATTTCAAGCGCTTTGAGGCCTACGGTAGAAAAGGAAACATCTTCTTATAAAATCTAGACAGAATCATTCACAGAAACTTCTTTTTGATGTGTGTGTTCAGCTCACAGAGTTTAACCTTTCTTTTGATGGAGCAGTTTGGAAACACCCTGTTTGTAATGTCTGCAAGTGGATATTTGGACCTCTTTGAGGCCTTCGTTGGAAACGGGATTTCTTCAAGTAATATTCGACAGAAGAATTCTCAGTAACTTATTTGTGGTGTGTGTATTCAACTCACAGAGTTGAACCTTCCTTTAGACAGAGCAGATTTGAAACACCCTATTTGTGCAGTTTCCAGTTGGAGATTTCAATCGCTTTGAGACCAAATGTAGAAAAGGAAACATCTTCGTATAAAAACTAGACAGAATCATTCTCAGAAACTACTTTGTGATGTGTGCGTTCAACTCAAGGAGTTTAAGCTTTCTTTTCATAGAGTAGTTTGGAAACACTCTGTCTGTAAAGTCTGCAAGCAGATATTTGGACCTCTTTGGGGCCTTCGTTGGAAACGGGATTTCTTCATAGAACGCTAGAAAGAAGAATACTGAGTAAGTTCTTTGTGTTGCCTCTATTCAACTCACAGAGGTGAACTGTCCTTTAGACAGAGCAGATGTGAAACCCTCTTTTTGTGATATTTGCAGGTGGAGATTTCAAGCGCTTTTAGGCCAAATGTAGAAAAGGAAATATCTTCGTATAAAAACTAGGCAGAATCATTCTCAGAAACTACTTTGTGATGTGTGCGTTCAATTCACAGAGTATAACCTTTCTTTTGATGGAGGAGTTTGGAGACACTGTCTTTGTAAAGTCTGCAAGTGGATATTTGGACCTCTTTGAGGCCTTCGTTGGAAACGGGATTTCCTCATATAATGTTACACAGAAGAATTCTCAGTAACTTATTTGTGGTGTGTGTATTCAACTCACAGAGTTGAACCTTCCTTCAGAAAGAGCAGATTTGAAACACTCTTTTTGTGGAGTTTCCATGTGGAGATTTCAATCGCTTTGAGACCAAAGGTAGAAAAGGAAACATCTTCGTATAAAAACTAGACAGAATCATTCACAGAAACTACTTTGTGATGTGTGTGTTCAACTCAAGGAGTTTAACCTTTCTTTTGATGGAGCAGTTTGGAAATACTCTGTCTGTAAAGTCTGCAAGCAGATATTTGGACCTCTTTGAGGCCTTCGTTGGAAACGGGATTTCTTCATATAATGTTTGATAGGAGAAGTCTCAGTAACTTCTTTGTGCTGTGTGTATTCAACTCATAGAGTTGAACTTTCCTTTAGAAGACCAGATGTTAAACACCCTTTTTGTGGAATTTGCAGCTGGAAATTTCAAGCGCTTTGAGGCCTACGGTAGAAAAGGAAACATCTTCTTATAAAATCTAGACAGAATCATTCACAGAAACTTCTTTTTGATGTGTGTGTTCAGCTCACAGAGTTTAACCTTTCTTTTGATGGAGCAGTTTGGAAACACTCTGTTTGTAATATCTGCAAGTGGATATTTGGACCTCTTTGAGGCCTTCGTTGGAAACGGGATTTCTTCAAGTAATGTTCGACAGAAGAATTCTCAGTAACTTATTTGTGGTGTGTGTATTCAACTCACAGAGTTGAACCTTCCTTTAGACAGAGCAGATTTGAAACACCCTATTTGTGCAGTTTCCAGTTGGAAATTTCAATCGCTTTGAGACCAAATGTAGAAAAGGAAACATCTTCGTATAAAAACTAGACAGAATCATTCTCAGAAACTACTTTGTGATGTGTGCGTTCAACTCAAGGAGTTTAAGCTTTCTTTTCATAGAGTAGTTTGGAAACACTCTGTCTGTAAAGTCTGCAAGCAGATATTTGGACCTCTTTGGGGCCTTCGTTGGAAACGGGATTTCTTCATAGAACGCTAGAAAGAAGAATACTGAGTAAGTTCTTTGTGTTGCCTCTATTCAACTCACAGAGGTGAACTGTCCTTTAGACAGAGCAGATGTGAAACCCTCTTTTTGTGATATTTGCAGGTGGAGATTTCAAGCGCTTTTAGGCCAAATGTAGAAAAGGAAATATCTTCGTATAAAAACTAGACAGAATCATTCTCAGAAACTACTTTGTGATGTGTGCGTTCAATTCACAGAGTATAACCTTTCTTTTGATGGAGGAGTTTGGAGACACTGTCTTTGTAAAGTCTGCAAGTGGATATTTGGACCTCTTTGAGGCCTTCGTTGGAAACGGGATTTCCTCATATAATGTTACACAGAAGAATTCTCAGTAACTTATTTGTGGTGTGTGTATTCAACTCACAGAGTTGAACCTTCCTTCAGAAAGAGCAGATTTGAAACACTCTTTTTGTTGGGTTTCCATGTGGAGATTTCAATCGCTTTGAGACCAAAGGTAGAAAAGGAAACATCTTCGTATAAAAACTAGACAGAATCATTCACAGAAACTACTTTGTGATGTGTGTGTTCAACTCAAGGAGTTTAACCTTTCTTTTGATGGAGCAGTTTGGAAACACTCTGTCTGTAAAGTCTGCAAGCAGATATTTGGACCTCTTTGAGGCCTTCGTTGGACACGGGATTTCTTCATATAATGTTTGATAGGAGAAGTCTCAGTAACTTCTTTGTGCTGTGTGTATTCAACTCATAGAGTTGAACTTTCCTTTAGAAGAGCAGATGTTAAACACCCTTTTTGTGGAATTTGCAGTTGGAGATTTCAAGCGCTTTGAGGACTACAGTAGAAAAGGAAACATCTTCTTATAAAATCTGGACAGAATCATTCACAGAAACTTCTTTTTGATGTGTGTGTTCAGCTCACAGAGTTTAACCTTTCTTTTGATGGAGCAGTTTGGAAACACTCTGTTTGTAATGCCTGCAAGTGGATATTTGGACCTCTTTGACGCCTTCGTTGGAAACGGGAATTCTTCATGTAATGTTCGACAGAAGAATTCTCAGTAACTTATTTGTGGTGTGTGTATTCAACTCACAGAGTTGAACCTTCCTTTAGACAGAGCAGATTTGAAACACCCTATTTGTGCAGTTTCCAGTTGGAGATTTCAATCGCTTTGAGGCCAATCATAGAAACGGAAATAACCTTGTATAAAAACAAGACAGAATCATTCTCAGAAACAACTTTGTGATGTGTGCTTTCAACTCAAGGAGTTTAAGCTTTCTTTTCATAGAGTAGTTTGGAAACACTCTGTCTGTAAAGTCGGCAAGCAGATATTTGGACCTCTTTGAGGCCTTCGTTGGAAACGGGATTTCTTCATATAACGCTAGAAAGAAGAATACTGAGTAAGTTCTTTGTGTTGCCTCTATTCAACTCACAGAGGTGAACTGTCCTTTAGACAGAGCAGATGTGAAACCCTCTTTTTGTGATATTTGCAGGTGGAGATTTCAAGCGCTTTTAGGCCAAATGTAGAAAAGGAAATATCTTCGTATAAAAACTAGACAGAATCATTCTCAGAAACTACTTTGTGATGTGTGCGTTCAATTCACAGAGTATAACCTTTCTTTTGATGGACGAGTTTGGAGACACTGTCTTTGTAAAGTCTGCAAGTGGATATTTGGACCTCTTTGAGGCCTTCGTTGGAAACGGGATTTCCTCATATAATGTTACACAGAAGAATTCTCAGTAACTTATTTGTGGTGTGTGTATTCAACTCACACAGTTGAACCTTCCTTCAGAAAGAGCAGATTTGAAACACTCTTTTTGTGGAGTTTCCATGTGGAGATTTCAATCGCTTTGAGACCAAAGGTAGAAAAGGAAACATCTTCGTATAAAAACTAGACAGAATCATTCACAGAAACTACTTTGTGATGTGTGTGTTCAACTCAAGGAGTTTAACCTTTCTTTTGATGGAGCAGTTTGGAAACACTCTGTCTGTAAAGTCTGCAAGCAGATATTTGGACCTCTTTGAGGCCTTCGTTGGAAACGGGATTTCTTCATATAATGTTTGATAGGAGAAGTCTCAGTAACTTCTTTGTGCTGTGTGTATTCAACTCATAGAGTTGAACTTTCCTTTAGAAGAGCAGATGTTAAACTCCCTTTTTGTGGAATTTGCAGCTGGAGATTTCAAGCGCTTTGAGGCCTACGGTAGAAAAGGAAACATCTTCTTATAAAATCTAGACAGAATCATTCACAGAAACTTCTTTTCGATGTGTGTGTTCAGCTCACAGAGTTTAACCTTTCTTTTGATGGAGTAGTTTGGAAACACTCTGTTTGTAATGTCTGCAAGTGGATATTTGGACCTCTTTGAGGCCTTCGTTGGAAACGGGATTTCTTCAAGTAATGTTCGACAGAAGAATTCTCAGTAACTTATTTGTGGTGTGTGTATTCAACTCACAGAGTTGAACCTTCCTTTAGACAGAGCAGATTTGAAACACCCTATTTGTGCAGTTTCCAGTTGGAGATTTCAATCGCTTTGAGACCAAATGTAGAAAAGGAAACATCTTCGTATAAAAACTAGACAGAATCATTCTCCGAAACTACTTTGTGATGTGTGCGTTCAACTCAAGGAGTTTAAGCTTTCTTTTCATAGAGTAGTTTGGAAACACTCTGTCTGTAAAGTCTGCAAGCAGATATTTGGACCTCTTTGGGGCCTTCGTTGGAAACGGGATTTCTTCATAGAACGCTAGAAAGAAGAATACTGAGTAAGTTCTTTGTGTTGCCTCTATTCAACTCACAGAGGTGAACTGTCCTTTAGACAGAGCAGATGTGAAACCCTCTTTTTGTGATATTTGCAGGTGGAGATTTCAAGCGCTTTTAGGCCAAATGTAGAAAAGGAAATATCTTCGTATAAAAACTAGACAGAATCATTCTCAGAAACTACTTTGTGATGTGTGCGTTCAATTCACAGAGTATAACCTTTCTTTTGATGGAGGAGTTTGGAGACACTGTCTTTGTAAAGTCTGCAAGTGGATATTTGGACCTCTTTGAGGCCTTCGTTGGAAACGGGATTTCCTCATATAATGTTACCCAGAAGAATTCTCAGTAACTTATTTGTGGTGTGTGTATTCAACTCACAGAGTTGAACCTTCCTTCAGAAAGAGCAGATTTGAAACACTCTTTTTGTGGAGTTTCCATGTGGAGATTTCAATCGCTTTGAGACCAAAGGTAGAAAAGGAAACATCTTCAGTATAGAAACTAGACAGAATCATTCACAGAAACTACTTTGTGATGTGTGTGTTCAACTCAAGGAGTTTAACCTTTCTTTTGATGGAGCAGTTTGGAAACACTCTGTCTGTAAAGTCTGCAAGCAGATATTTGGACCTCTTTGAGGCCTTCGTTGGAAACGGGATTTCTTCATATAATGTTAGATAGGAGAAGTCTCAGTAACTTCTTTGTGCTGTGTGTATTCAACTCATAGAGTTGAACTTTCCTTTAGAAGAGCAGATGTTAAACACCCTTTTTGTGGAATTTGCAGCTGGAGATTTCAAGCGCTTTGAGGCCTACGGTAGAAAAGGAAACATCTTCTTATAAAATCTAGACAGAATCATTCACAGAAACTTCTTTTTGATGTGTGTGTTCAGCTCACAGAGTTTAACCTTTCTTTTGATGGAGCAGTTTGGAAACACTCTGTTTGTAATGTCTGCAAGTGGATATTTGGACCTCTTTGAAGCCTTCGTTGGAAACGGGATTTCTTCCTGTAATGTTCGACAGAAGAATTCTCAGTAACTTATTTGTGGTGTGTGTATTCAACTCACAGAGTTGAACCTTCCTTTAGACAGAGCAGATTTGAAACAGCCTATTTGTGCAGTTTCCAGTTGGAGATTTCAAGAGCTTTGAGACCAAATGTAGAAAAGGAAACATCTTCGTATAAAAACTAGACAGAATCATTCTCAGTAAACTACTTTGTGATGTGTGCGTTCAACTCAAGGAGTTTAAGCTTTCTTTTCATAGAGTAGTTTGGAAACACTCTGTCTGTAAAGTCTGCAAGCAGATATTTGAACCTCTTTGAGGCCTTCGTTGGAAACGGGATTTCTTCATAGAACGCTAGAAAGAAGAATACTGAGTAAGTTCTTTGTGTTGCCTCTATTCAACTCACAGAGGTGAACTGTCCTTTAGACAGAGCAGATGTGAAACCCTCTTTTTGTGATATTTGCAGGTGGAGATTTCAAGCACTTTTAGGCCAAATGTAGAAAAGGAAATATCTTCGTATAAAAACTAGACAGAATCATTCTCAGAAACTACTTTGTGATGTGTGCGTTCAATTCACAGAGTATAACCTTTCTTTTGATGGAGGAGTTTGGAGACACTGTCTTTGTAAAGTCTGCAAGTGGATATTTGGACCTCTTTGAGGCCTTCGTTGGAAACGGGATTTCCTCATATAATGTTACCCAGAAGAATTCTCAGTAACTTATTTGTGGTGTGTTTATTCAACTCACAGAGGTGAACCTTCCTTCAGAAAGAGCAGATTTGAAACACTCTTTTTGTGGAGTTTCCATGTGGAGATTTCAATCGCTTTGAGACCAAAGGTAGAAAAGGAAACATCTTCGTATAAAAACTAGACAGAATCATTCACAGAAACTACTTTGTGATGTGTGTGTTCAACTCAAGGAGTTTAACCTTTCTTTTGATGGAGCAGTTTGGAAACACTCTGTCTGTAAAGTCTGCAAGTAGATATTTGGACCTCTTTGAGGCCTTCGTTGGAAACGGGATTTCTTCATATAATGTTTGATAGGAGAAGTCTCAGTAACTTCTTTGTGCTGTGTGTATTCAACTCATAGAGTTGAACTTTCCTTTAGAAGAGCAGATGTTAAACACCCTTTTTGTGGAATTTGCAGCTGGAGATTTCAAGCGCTTTGAGGCCTACGGTAGAAAAGGAAACATCTTCTTATAAAATCTAGACAGAATCATTCACAGAAACTTCTTTTTGATGTGTGTGTTCAGCTCACAGAGTTTAACCTTTCTTTTGATGGAGCAGTTTGGAAACACTCTGTTTGTAACGTCTGCAAGTGGATATTTGGACCTCTTTGAGGCCTTCGTTGGAAACGGGATTTCTTCAAGTAATGTTCGACAGAAGAATTCTCAGTAACTTATTTGTGGTGTGTGTATTCAACTCACAGAGTTGAACCTTCCTTTAGACAGAGCAGATTTGAAACACCCTATTTGTGCAGTTTCCAGTTGGAGATTTCAATCGCTTTGAGACCAAATGTAGAAAAGGAAACATCTTTGTATAAAAACTAGACAGAATCATTCTCAGAAACTACTTTGTGATGTGTGCGTTCAACTCAAGGAGTTTAAGCTTTCTTTTCCTAGAGTAGTTTGGAAACACTCTGTCTGTAAAGTCTGCAAGCAGATATTTGGACCTCTTTGAGGCCTTCGTTGGAAACGGGATTTCTTCATAGAACGCTAGAAAGAAGAATAGTGAGTAAGTTCTTGGTGTTGCCTCTATTCAACTCACAGAGGTGAACTGTCCTTTAGACAGAGCAGATGTGAAACCCTCTTTTTGTGATATTTGCAGGTGGAGATTTCAAGCGCTTTTAGGCCAAATGTAGAAAAGGAAATATCTTCGTATAAAAACTAGACAGAATCATTCTCAGAAACTACTTTGTGATGTGTGCGTTCAATTCACAGAGTATAACCTTTCTTTTGATGGAGGAGTTTGGAGACACTGTCTTTGTAAAGTCTGCAAGTGGATATTTGCACCTCTTTGAGGCCTTCGTTGGAAACGGGATTTCCTCATATAATGTTACACAGAAGAATTCTCAGTAACTTATTTGTGGTGTGTGTATTCAACTCACAGAGTTGAACCTTCCTTCAGAAAGAGCAGATTTGAAACACTCTTTTTGTGGAGTTTCCATGTGGAGATTTCAATCGCTTTGAGACCAAAGGTAGAAAAGGAAACATCTTTGTAGAAAAACTAGACAGAATCATTCACAGAAACTACTTTGTGATGTGTGTGTTCAACTCAAGGAGGTTAACCTTTCTTTTGATGGAGCAGTTTGGAAACACTCTGTCTGTAAAGTCTGCAAGCAGATATTTGGACCTCTTTGAGGCCTTCGTTGGAAACGGGATTTCTTCATATAATGTTTGATAGGAGAAGTCTCAGTAACTTCTTTGTGCTGTGTGTATTCAACTCATAGAGTTGAACTTTCCTTTAGAAGAGCAGATGTTAAACACCCTTTTTGTGGAATTTGCAGCTGGAGATTTCAAGCGCTTTGAGGCCTACGGTAGAAAAGGAAACATCTTCTTATAAAATCTAGACAGAATCATTCACAGAAACTTCTTTTCGATGTGTGTGTTCAGCTCACAGAGTTTAACCTTTCTTTTGATGGAGCAGTTTGGAAACACTCTGTTTGTAATGTCTGCAAGTGGATATTTGGACCTCTTTGAGGCCTTCGTTGGAAACGGGATTTCTTCCTGTAATGTTCGACAGAAGAATTCTCAGTAACTTATTTGTGGTGTGTGTATTCAACTCACAGAGTTGAACCTTCCTTTAGACAGAGCAGATTTGAAACACCCTATTTGTGCAGTTTCCAGTTGGAGATTTCAATCGCTTTGAGACCAAATGTAGAAAAGGAAACATCTTCGTATAAAAACTAGACAGAATCATTCTCAGAAACTACTTTGTGATGTGTGCGTTCAACTCAAGGAGTTTAAGCTTTCTTTTCATAGAGTAGTTTGGAAACACTCTGTCTGTAAAGTCTGCAAGCAGATATTTGGACCTCATTGGGGCCTTCGTTGGAAACGGGATTTCTTCATAGAACGCTAGAAAGAAGAATACTGACTAAGTTCTTTGTGTTGCCTCTATTCAACTCACAGAGGTGAACTGTCCTTTAGACAGAGCAGATGTGAAACCCTCTTTTTGTGATATTTGCAGGTGGAGATTTCAAGCGCTTTTAGGCCAAATGTAGAAAAGGAAATATCTTCGTATAAAAACTAGACAGAATCATTCTCAGAAACTACTTTGTGATGTGTGCGTTCAATTCACAGAGTATAACCTTTCTTTTGATGGAGGAGTTTGGAGACACTGTCTTTGTAAAGTCTGCAAGTGGATATTTGGACCTCTTTGAGGCCTTCGTTGGAAACGGGATTTCCTCATATAATGTTACACAGAAGAATTCTCAGTAACTTATTTGTGGTGTGTGTATTCAACTCACAGAGTTGAACCTTCCTTCACAAAGAGCAGATTTGAAACACTCTTTTTGTGGAGTTTCCATGTGGAGATTTCAATCGCTTTGAGACCAAAGGTAGAAAAGGAAACATCTTCGTATAAAAACTAGACAGAATCATTCACAGAAACTACTTTGTGATGTGTGTGTTCAACTCAAGGAGGTTAACCTTTCTTTTGATGGAGCAGTTTGGAAACACTCTGTCTGTAAAGTCTGCAAGCAGATATTTGGACCTCTTTGAGGCCTTCGTTGGAAACGGGATTTCTTCATATAATGTTTGATAGGAGAAGTCTCAGTAACTTCTTTGTGCTGTGTGTATTCAACTCATAGAGTTGAACTTTCCTTTAGAAGAGCAGATGTTAAACACCCTTTTTGTGGAATTTGCAGCTGGAGATTTCAAGCGCTTTGAGGCCTACGGTAGAAAAGGAAACATCTTCTTATAAAATCTAGACAGAATCATTCACAGAAACTTCTTTTTGATGTGTGTGTTCAGCTCACAGAGTTTAACCTTTCTTTTGATGGAGCAGTTGGGAAACACACTGTTTGTAATGTCCGCAAGTGGATATTTGGACCTCTTTGAGGCCTTCGTTGGAAACGGGATTTCTTCCTGTAATGTTCGACAGAAGAATTCTCAGTAACTTATTTGTGGTGTGTGTATTCAACTCACAGAGCTGAACCTTCCTTTAGACAGAGCAGATTTGAAACAGCCTCTTTGTGCAGTTTCCAGTTGGAGATTTCAATCGCTTTGAGACCAAATGTAGAAAAGGAAACATCTTCGTATAAAAACTAGACAGAATCATTCTCAGAAACTACTTTGTGATGTGTGCGTTCAACTCACGGAGTTTAAGCTTTCTTTTCATAGAGTAGTTTGGAAACACTCTGTCTGTAAAGTCTGCAAGCAGATATTTGGACCTCTTTGAGGCCTTCGTTGGAAACGGGATTTCTTCATATAACGCTAGAAAGAAGAATACTGAGTAAGTTCTTTGTGTTGCCTCTATTCAACTCACAGAGGTGAACTGTCCTTTAGACAGAGCAGATGTGAAACCCTCTTTTTGTGATATTTGCAGGTGGAGATTTCAAGCGCTTTTAGGCCAAATGTAGAAAAGGAAATATCTTCGTATAAAAACTAGACAGAATCATTCTCAGAAACTACTTTGTGATGTGTGCGTTCAATTCACAGAGTATAACCTTTCTTTTGATGGAGGAGTTTGGAGACACTGTCTTTGTAAAGTCTGCAAGTGGATATTTGGACCTCTTTGAGGCCTTCGTTGGAAACGGGATTTCCTCATATAATGTTACACAGAAGAATTCTCAGTAACTTATTTGTGGTGTGTGTATTCAACTCACAGAGTTGAACCTTCCTTCAGAAAGAGCAGATTTTAAACACTCTTTTTGTGGAGTTTCCATGTGGAGATTTCAATCGCATTGAGACCAAAGGTAGAAAAGGAAACATCTTCGTATAAAAACTAGAAAGAATCATTCACAGAAACTACTTTGTGATGTGTGTGTTCAACTCAAGGAGTTTAACCTTTCTTTTGATGGAGCAGTTTGGAAACACTCTGTCTGTAAAGTCTGCAAGCAGATATTTGGACCTCTTTGAGGCCTTCGTTGGAAACGGGATTTCTTCATATAATGTTTGATAGGAGAAGTCTCAGTAACTTCTTTGTGCTGTGTGTATTCAACTCATAGAGTTGAACTTTCCTTTAGAAGAGCAGATGTTAAACACCCTTTTTGTGGAATTTGCAGCTGGAGATTTCAAGCGCTTTGAGGCCTACGGTAGAAAAGGAAACATCTTCTTATAAAATCTAGACAGAATCATTCACAGAAACTTCTTTTTGATGTGTGTGTTCAGCTCACAGAGTTTAACCTTTCTTTTGATGGAGCAGTTGGGAAACACACTGTTTGTAATGTCCGCAAGTGGATATTTGGACCTCTTTGAGGCCTTCGTTGGAAACGGGAATTCTTCCTGTAATGTTCGACAGAAGAATTCTCAGTAACTTATTTGTGGTGTGTGTATTCAACTCACAGAGCTGAACCTTCCTTTAGACAGAGCAGATTTGAAACAGCCTATTTGTGCAGTTTCCAGTTGGAGATTTCAATCGCTTTGAGACCAAATGTAGAAAAGGAAACATCTTCGTATAAAAACTAGACAGAATCATTCTCAGAAACTACTTTGTGATGTGTGCGTTCAACTCAAGGAGTTTAAGCTTTCTTTTCATAGAGTAGTTTGGAAACACTCTGTCTGTAAAGTCTGCAAGCAGATATTTGACCTCTTTGAGGCCTTCGTTGGAAACGGGATTTCTTCATAGAACGCTAGAAAGAAGAATACTGAGTAAGTTCTTTGTGTTGCCTCTATTCAACTCACAGAGGTGAACTGTCCTTTAGACAGAGCAGATGTGAAACCCTCTTTTTGTGATATTTGCAGGTGGAGATTTCAAGCGCTTTTAGGCCAAATGTAGAAAAGGAAATATCTTCGTATAAAAACTAGACAGAATCATTCTCAGAAACTACTTTGTGATGTGTGCGTTCAATTCACAGAGTATAACCTTTCTTTTGATGGAGGAGTTTGGAGACACTGTCTTTGTAAAGTCTGCAAGTGGATATTTGGACCTCTTTGAGGCCTTCGTTGGAAACGGGATTTCCTCATATAATGTTACACAGAAGAATTCTCAGTAACTTATTTGTGGTGTGTGTATTCAACTCACAGAGTTGAACCTTCCTTCAGAAAGAGCAGATTTGAAACACTCTTTTTGTGGAGTTTCCATGTGGAGATTTCAATCGCTTTGAGACCAAAGGTAGAAAAGGAAACATCTTCGTATAAAAACTGGACAGAATCATTCACAGAAACTACTTTGTGATGTGTGTGTTCAACTCAAGGAGTTTAACCTTTCTTTTGATGGAGCAGTTTGGAAACACTCTGTCTGTAAAGTCTGCAAGCAGATATTTGGACCTCTTTGAGGCCTTCGTTGGAAACGGGATTTCTTCATATAATGTTTGATAGGAGAAGTCTCAGTAACTTCTTTGTGCTGTGTGTATTCAACTCATAGAGTTGAACTTTCCTTTAGAAGAGCAGATGTTAAACACCCTTTTTGTGGAATTTGCAGCTGGAGATTTCCAGCGCTTTGAGGCCTACGGTAGAAAAGGAAACATCTTATAAAATCTAGACAGAATCATTCACAGAAACTTCTTTTTGATGTGTGTGTTCAGCTCACAGAGTTTAACCTTTCTTTTGATGGAGCAGTTTGGAAACACTCTGTTTGTAATGCCTGCAAGTGGATATTTGGACCTCTTTGAGGCCTTCGTTGGAAACGGGAATTCTTCATGTAATGTTCGACAGAAGAATTCTCAGTAACTTATTTGTGGTGTGTGTATTCAACTCACAGAGTTGAACCTTCCTTTAGACAGAGCAGATTTGAAACACCCTATTTGTGCAGTTTCCAGTTGGAGATTTCAATCGCTCTGAGGCCAATCATAGAAACGGAAATAACCTTGTATAAAAACAAGACAGAATCATTCTCAGAAACTACTTTGTGATGTGTGCGTTCAACTCAAGGAGTTTAAGCTTTCTTTTCATAGAGTAGTTTGGAAACACTCTGTCTGTAAAGTCTGCAAGCAGATATTTGGACCTCTTTGAGGCCTTCGTTGGAAACGGGATTTCTTCATATAACGCTAGAAAGAAGAATACTGAGTAAGTTCTTTGTGTTGCCTCTATTCAACTCACAGAGATGAACTGTCCTTTAGACAGAGCAGATGTGAAACCCTCTTTTTGAGATATTTGCAGGTGGAGATTTCAAGCGCTTTTAGGCCAAATGTAGAAAAGGAAATATCTTCGTATAAAAACTAGACAGAATCATTCTCAGAAACTACTTTGTGATGTGTGCGTTCAATTCACAGAGTATAACCTTTCTTTTGATGGAGGAGTTTGGAGACACTGTCTTTGTAAAGTCTGCAAGTGGATATTTGGACCTCTTTGAGGCCTTCGTTGGAAACGGGATTTCCTCATATAATGTTACACAGAAGAATTCTCAGTAACTTATTTGTGGTGTGTGTATTCAACTCACAGAGTTGAACCTTCCTTCAGAAAGAGCAGATTTGAAACACTCTTTTTGTGGAGTTTCCATGTGGAGATTTCAATCGCATTGAGACCAAAGGTAGAAAAGGAAACATCTTCGTATAAAAACTAGACAGAATCATTCACAGAAACTACTTTGTGATGTGTGTGTTCAACTCAAGGAGTTTAACCTTTCTTTTGATGGAGCAGTTTGGAAAAACTCTGTCTGTAAAGTCTGCAAGCAGATATTTGGACCTCTTTGAGGCCTTCGTTGGAAACGGGATTTCTTCATAGAATGCTAGAAAGAAGAATACTGAGTAAGTTCTTTGTGTTGCCTCTATTCAACTCACAGAGGTGAACTGTCCTTTAGACAGAGCAGATGTGAAACCCTCTTTTTGTGATATTTGCACGTGGAGATTTCAAGCGCTTTTAGGCCAAATGTAGAAAAGGAAATATCTTCGTATAAAAACTAGACAGAATCATTCTCAGAAACTACTTTGTGATGTGTGCGTTCAATTCACAGAGTATAACCTTTCTTTTGATGGAGGAGTTTGGAGACACTGTCTTTGTAAAGTCTGCAAGTGGATATTTGGACCTCTTTGAGGCCTTCGTTGGAAACGGGATTTCCTCATATAATGTTACCCAGAAGAATTCTCAGTAACTTATTTGTGGTGTGTGTATTCAACTCACAGAGTTGAACCTTCCTTCAGAAAGAGCAGATTTGAAACACTCTTTTTGTGGAGTTTCCATGTGGAGATTTCAATCGCTTTGAGACCAAAGGTAGAAAAGGAAACATCTTCGTATAAAAACTAGACAGAATCATTCACAGAAACTACTTTGTGATGTGTGTGTTCAACTCAAGGAGTTTAACCTTTCTTTTGATGGAGGAGTTTGGAGACACTGTCTTTGTAAAGTCTGCAAGCAGATATTTGGACCTCTTTGAGGCCTTCGTTGGAAACGGGATTTCTTCATATAATGTTTGATAGGAGAAGTCTCAGTAACTTCTTTGTGCTGTGTGTATTCAACTCATTGAGTTGAACTTTCCTTTAGAAGAGCAGATGTTAAACACCCTTTTTGTGGAATTTGCAGCTGGAGATTTCAAGCGCTTTGAGGCCTACGGTAGAAAAGGAAACATCTTCTTATAAAATCTAGACAGAATCATTCACAGAAACTTCTTTTTGATGTGTGTGTTCAGCTCACAGAGTTTAACCTTTCTTTTGATGGAGCAGTTTGGAAACACTCTGTTTGTAATGTCTGCAAGTGGATATTTGGACCTCTTTGAGGCCTTCGTTGGAAAAGGGATTTCTTCAAGTAATGTTCGACAGAAGAATTCTCAGTAACTTATTTGTGGTGTGTGTATTCAACTCACAGAGTTGAACCTTCCTTTAGACAGAGCAGATTTGAAACACCCTATTTGTGCAGTTTCCAGTTGGAGATTTCAATCGCTTTGAGACCAAATGTAGAAAAGGAAACATCTTCGTATAAAAACTAGACAGAATCATTCTCAGAAACTACTTTGTGATGTGTGCGTTCAACTCAAGGAGTTTAAGCTTTCTTTTCATAGAGTAGTTTGGAAACACTCTGTCTGTAAAGTCTGCAAGCAGATATTTGGACCTCATTGGGGCCTTCGTTGGAAACGGGATTTCTTCATAGAACGCTAGAAAGAAGAATACTCAGTAAGTTCTTTGTGTTGCCTCTACTCAACTCACAGAGGTGAACTGTCCTTTAGACAGAGCAGATGTGAAACCCTCTTTTTGTGATATTTGCAGGTGGAGATTTCAAGCGCTTTTAGGCCAAATGTAGAAAAGGAAATATCTTCGTATAAAAACTAGACAGAATCATTCTCAGAAACTACTTTGTGATGTGTGCGTTCAATTCACAAAGTATAACCTTTCTTTTGATGGAGGAGTTTGGAGACACTGTCTTTGTAAAGTCTGCAAGTGGATATTTGGACCTCTTTGAGGCCTTCGTTGGAAACGGGATTTCCTCATATAATGTTACACAGAAGAATTCCCAGTAACTTATTTGTGGTGCGTGTATTCAACTCACAGAGTTGAACCTTCCTTCAGAAACAGCAGATTTGAAACACTCTTTTTGTGGAGTTTCCATGTGGAGATTTCAATCGCTTTGAGACCAAAGCTAGAAAAGGAAACATCTTCGTATAAAAACTAGACAGAATCATTCACAGAAACTACTTTGTGATGTGTGTGTTCAACTCAAGGAGTTTAACCTTTCTTTTGATGGAGCAGTTTGGAAAAACTCTGTCTTTAAAGTCTGCAAGCAGATATTTGGACCTCTTTGAGGCCTTCGTTGGAAACGGGATTTCTTCATATAATGTTTGATAGGAGAAGTCTCAGTAACTTCTTTGTGCTGTGTGTATTCAACTCATAGAGTTGAACTTTCCTTTAGAAGAGCAGATGTTAAACACCCTTTTTGTGGAATTTGCAGCTGGAGATTTCAAGCGCTTTGAGGCCTACGGTAGAAAAGGAAACATCTTCTTATAAAATCTAGACAGAATCATTCACAGAAACTTCTTTTTGATGTGTGTGTTCAGCTCACAGAGTTTAACCTTTCTTTTGATGGAGCAGTTGGGAAACACACTGTTTGTAATGTCTGCAAGTGGATATTTGGACCTCTTTGAGGCCTTCGTTGGAAACGGGATTTCTTCCTGTAATGTTCGACAGAAGAATTCTCAGTAACTTATTTGTGGTGTGTGTATTCAACTCACAGAGTTGAACCTTCCTTTAGACAGAGCAGATTTGAAACACCCTATTTGTGCAGTTTCCAGTTGGAGATTTCAATCGCTTTGAGACCAAATGTAGAAAAGGAAACATCTTCGTATAAAAACTAGACAGAATCATTCTCAGAAACTACTTTGTGATGTGTGCGTTCAACTCAAGCAGTTTAAGCTTTCTTTTCATAGAGTAGTTTGGAAACACTCTGTCTGTAAAGTCTGCAAGCAGATATTTGGACCTCTTTGGGGCCTTCGTTGGAAACGGGTTTTCTTCATAGAACGCTAGAAAGAAGAATACTGAGTAAGTTCTTTGTGTTGCCTCTATTCAACTCACAGAGGTGAACTGTCCTTTAGACAGAGCAGATGTGAAACCCTCTTTTTGTGATATTTGCAGGTGGAGATTTCAAGCGCTTTTAGGCCAAATGTAGAAAAGGAAATATCTTCGTATAAAAACTAGACAGAATCATTCTCAGAAACTACTTTGTGATGTGTGCGTTCAATTCACAGAGTATAACCTTTCTTTTGATGGAGGAGTTTGGAGACACTGTCTTTGTAAAGTCTGCAAGTGGATATTTGGACCTCTTTGAGGCCTTCGTTGGAAACGGGATTTCCTCATATAATGTTACACAGAAGAATTCTCAGTAACTTATTTGTGGTGTGTGTATTCAACTCACAGAGTTGAACCTTCCTTCAGAAAGAGCAGATTTGAAACACTCTTTTTGTGGAGTTTCCATGTGGAGATATCAATCGCTTTGTGACCAAAGGTAGAAAAGGAAACATCTTCGTATAAAAACTAGACAGAATCATTCACAGAAACTACTTTGTGATGTGTGTGTTCAACTCAAGGAGTTTAACCTTTCTTTTGATGGAGCAGTTTGGAAACACTCTGTCTGTAAAGTCTGCAAGCAGATATTTGGACCTCTTTGAGGCCTTCGTTGGAAACGGGATTTCTTCATATAATGTTTGATAGGAGAAGTCTCAGTAACTTCTTTGTGCTGTGTGTATTCAACTCATAGAGTTGAACTTTCCTTTAGAAGAGCAGATGTTAAACACCCTTTTTGTGGAATTTGCAGCTGGAGATTTCAAGCGCTTTGAGGCCTACGGTAGAAAAGGAAACATCTTCTTATAAAATCTAGACAGAATCATTCACAGAAACTTCTTTTCGATGTGTGTGTTCAGCTCACAGAGTTTAACCTTTCTTTTGATGGAGCAGTTTGGAAACACTCTGTTTGTAATGTCTGCAAGTGGATATTTGGACCTCTTTGGGGCCTTCGTTGGAAACGGGATTTCTTCAAGTAATGTTCGACAGAAGAATTTTCAGTAACTTATTTGTGGTGTGTGTATTCAACTCACAGAGTTGAGCCTTCCTTTAGACAGAGCAGATTTGAAACACCCTATTTGTGCAGTTTCCAGTTGGAGATTTCAATCGCTTTGAGACCAAATGTAGAAAAGGAAACATCTTCGTATAAAAACTAGACAGAATCATTCTCAGAAACTACTTTGTGATGTGTGCGTTCAACTCAAGGAGTTTAAGCTTTCTTTTCATAGAGTAGTTTGGAAACACTCTGTCTGTAAAGTCTGCAAGCAGATATTTGGACCTCTTTGGGGCCTTCGTTGGAAACGGGATTTCTTCATAGAACGCTAGAAAGAAGAATACTGAGTAAGTTCTTTGTGTTGCCTCTATTCAACTCACAGAGGTGAACTGTCCTTTAGACAGAGCAGATGTGAAACCCTCTTTTTGTGATATTTGCAGGTGGAGATTTCAAGCGCTTTTAGGCCAAATGTAGAAAAGGAAATATCTTCGTATAAAAACTAGACAGAATCATTCTCAGAAACTACTTTGTGATGTGTGCGTTCAATTCACAGAGTATAACCTTCCTTTTGATGGAGGAGTTTGGAGACACTGTCTTTGTAAAGTCTGCAAGTGGATATTTGGACCTCTTTGAGGCCTTCGTTGGAAACGGGATTTCCTCATATAATGTTACACAGAAGAATTCTCAGTAACTTATTTGTGGTGTGTGTATTCAACTCACAGAGTTGAACCTTCCTTCAGAAAGAGCAGATTTGAAACACTCTTTTGGTGGAGTTTCCATGTGGAGATTTCAATCGCTTTGAGACCAAAGGTAGAAAAGGAAACATCTTCGTATAAAAACTAGACAGAATCATTCACAGAAACTACTTTGTGATGTGTGTGTTCAACTCAAGGAGTTTAACCTTTCTTTTGATGGAGCAGTTTGGAAACACTCTGTCTGTAAAGTCTGCAAGCAGATATTTGGACCTCTTTGAGGCCTTCGTTGGAAACGGGATTTCTTCATATAATGTTTGATAGGAGAAGTCTCAGTAACTCCTTTGTGCTGTGTGTATTCAACTCATAGAGTTGAACTTTCCTTTAGAAGAGCAGATGTTAAACACCCTTTTTGTGGAATTTGCAGCTGGAGATTTCAAGCGCTTTGAGGCCTACGGTAGAAAAGGAAACATCTTCTTATAAAATCTAGACAGAATCATTCACAGAAACTTCTTTTTGATGTGTGTGTTCAGCTCACAGAGTTTAACCTTTCTTTTGATGGAGCAGTTTGGAAACACTCTGTTTGTAATGTCTGCAAGTGGATATTTGGACCTCTTTGAGGCCTTCGTTGGAAACGGGATTTCTTCAAGTAATGTTCGACAGAAGAATTCTCAGTAACTTATTTGTGGTGTGTGTATTCAACTCAAAGAGTTGAACCTTCCTTTAGACAGAGCAGATTTGAAACACCCTATTTGTGCAGTTTCCAGTTGGAGATTTCAATCGCTTTGAGACCAAATGTAGAAAAGGAAACATCTTCGTATAAAAACTAGACAGAATCATTCTCAGAAACTACTTTGTGATGTGTGCGTTCAACTCAAGGAGTTTAAGCTTTCTTTTCATAGAGTAGTTTGGAAACACTCTGTCTGTAAAGTCTGCAAGCAGATATTTGGACCTCTTTGAGGCCTTCGTTGGAAACGGGATTTCTTCATAGAACGCTAGAAAGAAGAATACTGAGTAAGTTCTTTGTGTTGCCTCTATTCAACTCACAGAGGTGAACTGTCCTTTAGACAGAGCAGATGTGAAACCCTCTTTTTGTGATATTTGCACGTGGAGATTTCAAGCGCTTTTAGGCCAAATGTAGAAAAGGAAATATCTTCGTATAAAAACTAGACAGAATCATTCTCAGAAACTACTTTGTGATGTGTGCGTTCAATTCACAGAGTATAACCTTTCTTTTGATGGAGGAGTTTGGAGACACTGTCTTTGTAAAGTCTGCAAGTGGATATTTGGACCTCTTTGAGGCCTTCGTTGGAAACGGGATTTCCTCATATAATGTTACACAGAAGAATTCTCAGTAACTTATTTGTGGTGTGTGTATTCAACTCACAGAGATGAACCTTCCTTCAGAAAGAGCAGATTTGAAACACTCTTTTTGTGGAGTTTCCATGTGGAGATTTCAATCGCTTTGAGACCAAAGGTAGAAAAGGAAACATCTTCGTATAACAACTAGACAGAATCATTCACAGAAACTACTTTGTGATGTGTGTGTTCAACTCAAGGAGTTTAACCTTTCTTTTGATGGAGCAGTTTGGAAACACTCTGTCTGTAAAGTCTGCAAGCAGATATTTGGACCTCTTTGAGGCCTTCGTTGGAAACGGGATTTCTTCATATAATGTTTGATAGGAGAAGTCTCAGTAACTTCTTTGTGCTGTGTGCATTCAACTCATAGAGTTGAACTTTCCTTTAGAAGAGCAGATGTTAAACACCCTTTTTGTGGAATTTGCAGCTGGAGATTTCAAGCGCTTTGAGGCCTACGGTAGAAAAGGAAACATCTTCTTATAAAATCTAGACAGAATCATTCACAGAAACTTCTTTTCGATGTGTGTGTTCAGCTCACCGAGTTTAACCTTTCTTTTGATGGAGCAGTTTGGAAACACTCTGTTTGTAATGTCTGCAAGTGGATATTTGGACCTCTTTGAGGCCTTCGTTGGAAACGGGATTTCATCAAGTAATGGTCGACAGAAGAATTCTCAGTAACTTATTTGTGGTGTGTGTATTCAACTCACAGAGTTGAACCTTCCTTTAGACAGAGCAGATTTGAAACACCCTATTTGTGCAGTTTCCAGTTGGAGATTTCAATCGCTTTGAGACCAAATGCAGAAAAGGAAACATCTTCGTATAAAAACTAGACAGAATCATTCTCAGAAACTACTTTGTGATGTGTGCGTTCAACTCAAGGAGTTTAAGCTTTCTTTTCATAGAGTAGTTTGGAAACACTCTGTCTGTAAAGTCTGCAAGCAGATATTTGGACCTCTTTGGGGCCTTCGTTGGAAACGGGATTTCTTCATAGAACGCTAGAAAGAAGAATACTGAGTAAGTTCTTTGTGTTGCCTCTATTCAACTCACAGAGGTGAAATGTCCTTTAGGCAGAGCAGATGTGAAACCCTCTTTTTGTGATATTTGCAGGTGGAGATTTCAAGCGCTTTTAGGCCAAATGTAGAAAAG
This sequence comes from Homo sapiens, assembly GCF_000001405.40. Classification (NCBI taxonomy): domain Eukaryota; kingdom Metazoa; phylum Chordata; class Mammalia; order Primates; family Hominidae; genus Homo; species Homo sapiens. Next base: position 35,387,593 of record NC_000012.12, read on the forward strand.
GAAATATCTTCGTATAAAAACTAGACAGAATCATTCTCAGAAACTACTTTGTGACGTGTGTGTTCAATTCACAGAGTATAACCTTTCTTTTGATGGAGGAGTTTGGAGACACTGTCTTTGTAAAGTCTGCAAGTGGATATTTGGACCTCTTTGAGGCCTTCGTTGGAAACGGGATTTCCTCATATAATGTTACACAGAAGAATTCTCAGTAACTTATTTGTGGTGTGTGTATTCAACTCACAGAGATGAACCTTCCTTCAGAAAGAGCAGATTTGAAACACTCTTTTTGTGGAGTTTCCATGTGGAGATTTCAATCGCTTTGAGACCAAAGGTAGAAAAGGAAACATCTTCGTATAAAAACTAGACAGAATCATTCACAGAAACTACTTTGTGATGTGTGTGTTCAACTCAAGGAGTTTAACCTTTCTTTTGATGGAGCAGTTTGGAAAAACTCTGTCTGTAAAGTCTGCAAGCAGATATTTGGACCTCTTTGAGGCCTTCGTTGGAAACGGGATTTCTTCATATAATGTTTGATAGGAGAAGTCTCAGTAACTTCTTTGTGCTGTGTGTATTCAACTCATAGAGTTGAACTTTCCTTTAGAAGAGCAGATGTTAAACACCCTTTTTGTGGAATTTGCAGCTGGAGATTTCAAGCGCTTTGAGGCCTACGGTAGAAAAGGAAACATCTTCTTAGAAAATCTAGACAGAATCATTCACAGAAACTTCTTTTTGATGTGTGTGTTCAGCTCACAGAGTTTAACCTTTCTTTTGATGGAGCAGTTTGGAAACACTCTGTTTGTAATGTCTGCAAGTGGATATTTGGACCTCTTTGAGGCCTTCGCTGGAAACGGGATTTCTTCCTGTAATGTTCGACAGAAGAATTCTCAGTGACTTATTTGTGGTGTGTGTATTCAACTCACAGAGTTGAACCTTCCTTTAGACAGAGCAGATTTGAAACACCCTATTTGTGCAGTTTCCAGTTGGAGATTTCAATCGCTTTGAGACCAAATGTAGAAAAGGAAACATCTTCGTATAAAAACTAGACAGAATCATTCTCAGAAACTACTTTGTGATGTGTGCGTTCAACTCAAGGAGTTTAAGCTTTCTTTTCATAGAGTAGTTTGGAAACACTCTGTCTGTAAAGTCTGCAAGCAGATATTTGCACCTCTTTGAGGCCTTCGTTGGAAACGGGATTTCAACATATAACGCTAGAAAGAAGAATACTGAGTAAGTTCTTTGTGTTGCCTCTATTCAACTCACAGAGGTGAACTGTCCTTTAGACAGAGCAGATGTGAAACCCTCTTTTTGTGATATTTGCAGGTGGAGATTTCAAGCGCTTTGAGGCCAAATGTAGAAAAGGAAATATCTTCGTATAAAAACTAGACAGAATCATTCTCAGAAACTACTTTGTGATGTGTGCGTTCAATTCACAGAGTATAACCTTTCTTTTGACGGAGGAGTTTGGAGACACTGTCTTTGTAAAGTCTGCAAGCAGATATTTGGACCTCTTTGAGGCCTTCGTTGGAAACGGGATTTCTTCATAGAACGCTAGAAAGAAGAATACTGAGTAAGTTCTTTGTGTTGCCTCTATTCAACTCACAGAGGTGAACTCTCCTTTAGATAGAGCAGATGTGAAACCCTCTTTTTGTGATATTTGCAGGTGGAGATTTCAAGCGCTTTTAGGCCAAATGTAGAAAAGGAAATATCTTCGTATAAAAACTAGACAGAATCATTCTCAGAAACTACTTTGTGATGTGTGCGTTCAATTCACAGAGTATAACCTTTCTTTTGATGGAGGAGTTTGGAGACACTGTCTTTGTAAAGTCTGCAAGTGGATATTTGGACCTCTTTGAGGCCTTCGTTGGAAACGGGATTTCCTCATATAATGTTACACAGAAGAATTCTCAGTAACTTATTTGTGGTGTGTGTATTCAACTCACAGAGTTGAACCTTCCTTCAGAAAGAGCAGATTTGAAACACTCTTTTTGTGGAGTTTCCATGTGGAGATTTCAATCGCATTGAGACCAAAGGTAGAAAAGGAAACATCTTCGTATAAAAACTAGACAGAATCATTCACAGAAACTACTTTGTGATGTGTGTGTTCAACTCAAGGAGGTTAACCTTTCTTTTGATAGAGCAGTTTGGAAACACTCTGTCTGTAAAGTCGGCAAGCAGATATTTGGACCTCTTTGAGGCCTTCGTTGGAAACGGGATTTCTTCATATAATGTTTGATAGGAGAAGTCTCAGTAACTTCTTTGTGCTGTGTGTATTCAACTCATAGAGTTGAACTTTCCTTTAGAAGAGCAGATGTTAAACACCCTTTTTGTGGAATTTGCAGCTGGAGATTTCAAGCGCTTTGAGGCCTACGGTAGAAAAGGAAACATCTTCTTATAAAATCTAGACAGAATCATTCACAGAAACTTCTTTTTGATGTGTGTGTTCAGCTCACAGAGTTTAACCTTTCTTTTGATGGAGCAGTTTGGAAACACTCTCATTGTAATGTGTGCAAGTGGATATTTGGACCTCTTTGAGGCCTTCTTTGGAAATGGGATTTCTTCAAGTAATTTTCGACAGAAGAATTCTCAGTAACTTATTTGTGGTGTGTGTATTCAACTCACAGAGTTGAACCTTCCTTTAGACAGAGCAGATTTGAAACACCCTATTTGTGCAGTTTCCAGTTGGAGATTTCAATCGCTTTGAGACCAAATGTAGAAAAGGAAACATCTTCGTATAAAAACTAGACAGAATCATTCTCAGAAACTACTTTGTGATGTGAGCGTTCAACTCAAGGAGTTTAAGCTTTCTTTTCATAAAGTAGTTTGGAAACACTGTCTGTAAAGTGTGCAAGCAGATATTTGGACCTCTTTGGGGCCTTCGTTGGAAACGGGATTTCTTCATAGAACGCTAGAAAGAAGAATACTGAGTAAGTTCTTTGTGTTGCCTCTATTCAACTCACAGAGGTGAACTGTCCTTTAGAAAGAGCAGATGTGAAACCCTCTTTTTGTGATATTTGCAGGTGGAGATTTCAAGCGCTTTTAGGCCAAATGTAGAAAAGGAAATATCTTCATATAAAAACTAGACAGAATCATTCTCAGAAACTACTTTGTGATGTGTGCGTTCAATTCACAGAGTATAACCTTTCTTTTGATGGAGGAGTTTGGAGACACTGTCTTTGTAAAGTCTGCAAGCAGATATTTGGACCTCTTTGGGGCCTTCGTTGGAAACGGGATTTCTTCATATAATGTTTGATAGGAGAAGTCTCAGTAACTTCTTTGTGCTGTGTGTATTCAACTCATTGAGCTGAACTTTCCTTTAGAAGAGCAGATGTTAAACACCCTTTTTGTGGAATTTGCAGCTGGAGATTTCAAGCGCTTTGAGGCCTACGGTAGAAAAGGAAACATCTTCTTATAAAATCTAGACAGAATCATTCACAGAAACTTCTTTTTGATGTGTGTGTTCAGCTCACAGAGTTTAACCTTTCTTTTGATGGAGCAGTTTGGAAACACTCTGTTTGTAATGTCTGCAAGTGGATATTTGGACCTCTTTGAGGCCTTCTTTGGAAACGGGATTTCTTCAAGTAATGTTCGACAGAAGAATTCTCAGTAACTTATTTGTGGTGTGTGTATTCAACTCACAGAGTTGAACCTTCCTTTAGACAGAGCAGATTTGAAACACCCTATTTGTGCAGTTTCCAGTTGGAGATTTCAATCGCTTTGAGACCAAATGTAGAAAAGGAAACATCTTCGTATAAAAACTAGACAGAATCATTCTCAGAAACTACTTTGTGATGTGTGCGTTCAACTCAAGGAGTTTAAGCTTTCTTTTCATAGAGTAGTTTGGAAACACTCTGTCTGTAAAGTCTGCAAGCAGATATTTGGACCTCTTTGGGGCCTTCGTTGGAAACGGGATTTCTTCATAGAACGCTAGAAAGAAGAATACTGAGTAAGTTCTTTGTGTTGCCTCTATTCAACTCACAGAGGTGAACTGTCCTTTAGACAGAGCAGATGTGAAACCCTCTTTTTGTGATATTTGCAGGTGGAGATTTCAAGCGCTTTTAGGCCAAATGTAGAAAAGGAAATATCTTCGTATAAAAACTAGACAGAATCATTCTCAGAAACTACTTTGTGATGTGTGCGTTCAATTCACAGAGTATAACCTTTCTTTTGATGGAGGAGTTTGGAGACACTGTCTTTGTAAAGTCTGCAAGTGGATATTTGGACCTCTTTGAGGCCTTCGTTGGAAACGGGATTTCCTCATATAATGTTACACAGAAGAATTCTCAGTAACTTATTTGTGGTGTGTGTATTCAACTCACAGAGATGAACCTTCCTTCAGAAAGAGCAGATTTGAAACACTCTTTTTGTGGAGTTTCCATGTGGAGATTTCAATCGCTTTGAGACCAAAGGTAGAAAAGGAAACATCTTCGTATAACAACTAGACAGAATCATTCACAGAAACTACTTTGTGATGTGTGTGTTCAACTCAAGGAGTTTAACCTTTCTTTTGATGGAGCAGTTTGGAAACACTCTGTCTGTAAAGTCTGCAAGCAGATATTTGGACCTCTTTGAGGCCTTCGTTGGAAACGGGATTTCTTCATATAATGTTTGATAGGAGAAGTCTCAGTAACTTCTTTGTGCTGTGTGTATTCAACTCATAGAGTTGAACTATCCTTTAGAAGAGCAGATGTTAAACACCCTTTTTGTGGAATTTGCAGCTGGAGATTTCAAGTGCTTTGAGGCCTACGGTAGAAAAGGAAACATCTTCTTATAAAATCTAGACAGAATCATTCACAGGAAACTTCTTTTTGATGTGTGTGTTCAGCTCACAGAGTTTAACCTTTCTTTTGATGGAGCAGTTTGGAAACACTCTGTTTGTAATGTCTGCAAGTGGATATTGGGACCTCTTTGAGGCCTTCGTTGGAAACGGGATTTCTTCATGTAATATTCGACAGAAGAATTCTCAGTAACTTATTTGTGGTGTGTGTATTCAACTCACAGAGTTGAACCTTCCTTTAGACAGAGCAGATTTGAAACAGCCTATTTGTGCAGTTTCCAGTTGGAGATTTCAAGAGCTTTGAGACCAAATGTAGAAAAGGAAACATCTTCGTATAAAAACTAGACAGAATCATTCTCAGAAACTACTTTGTGATGTGTGCGTTCAACTCAAGGAGTTTAAGCTTTCTTTTCATAGAGTAGTTTGGAAACACTCTGTCTGTAAAGTCTGCAAGCAGATATTTGGACCTCTTTGGGGCCTTCGTTGGAAACGGGATTTCTTCATAGAATGCTAGAAAGAAGAATACTGAGTAAGTTCTTTGTGTTGCCTCTATTCAACTCACAGAGGTGAACTGTCCTTTAGACAGAGCAGATGTGAAACCCTCTTTTTGTGATATTTGCAGGTGGAGATTTCAAGCGCTTTTAGGCCAAATGTAGAAAAGGAAATATCTTCGTATAAAAACTAGACAGAATCATTCTCAGAAACTACTTTGTGATGTGTGCGTTCAATTCACAGAGTATAACCTTTCTTTTGATGGAGGAGTTTGGAGACACTGTCTTTGTAAAGTCTGCAAGTGGATATTTGGATCTCTTTGAGGCCTTCGTTGGAAACGGGATTTCCTCATATAATGTTACACAGAAGAATTCTCAGTAACTTATTTGTGGTGTGTGTATTCAACTCACAGAGTTGAACCTTCCTTCAGAAAGAGCAGATTTGAAACACTCTTTTTGTGGAGTTTCCATGTGGAGATTTCAATCGCATTGAGACCAAAGGTAGAAAAGGAAACATCTTCGTATAAAAACTAGACAGAATCATTCACAGAAACTACTTTGTGATGTGTGTGTTCAACTCAAGGAGTTTAACCTTTCTTTTGATGGAGCAGTTTGGAAACACTCTGTCTGTAAAGTCTGCAAGCAGATATTTGGACCTCTTTGAGGCCTTCGTTGGAAACGGGATTTCTTCATATAATGTTTGATAGGAGAAGTCTCAGTAACTTCTTTGTGCTGTGTGTATTCAACTCATAGAGTTGAACTTTCCTTTAGAAGAGCAGATGTTAAACACCCTTTTTGTGGAATTTGCAGCTATAGATTTCAAGCGCTTTGAGGCCTACGGTAGAAAAGGAAACATCTTCTTAAACAATCTAGACAGAATCATTCACAGAAACTTCTTTTTGATGTGTGTGTTCAGCTCACAGAGTTTAACCTTTCTTTTGATGGAGCAGTTGGGAAACACACTGTTTGTAATGTCTGCAAGTGGATATTTGGACCTCTTTGAGGCCTTCGTTGGAAACGGGATTTCTTCCTGTAATGTTCGACAGAAGAATTCTCAGTAACTTATTTGTGGTGTGTGTATTCAACTCACAGAGCTGAACCTTCCTTTAGACAGAGCAGATTTGAAACAGCCTATTTCTGCAGTTTCCAGTTGGAGATTTCAATCGCTTTGAGACCAAATGTAGAATAGGAAACATCTTCGTATAAAAACTAGACAGAATCATTCTCAGAAACTACTTTGTGATGTGTGCGTTCAACTCAAGGAGTTTAAGCTTTCTTTTCATAGAGTAGTTTGGAAACACTCTGTCTGTAAAGTCTGCAAGCAGATATTTGACCTCTTTGAGGCCTTCGTTGGAAACGGGATTTCTTCATAGAACGCTAGAAAGAAGAATACTGAGTAAGTTCTTTGTGTTGCCTCTATTCAACTCACAGAGGTGAACTGTCCTTTAGACAGAGCAGATGTGAAACCCTCTTTTTGTGATATTTGCAGGTGGAGATTTCAAGCGCTTTTAGGCCAAATGTAGAAAAGGAAATATCTTCGTATAAAAACTAGACAGAATCATTCTCAGAAACTACTTTGTGATGTGTGCGTTCAATTCACAGAGTATAACCTTTCTTTTGATGGAGGAGTTTGGAGACACTGTCTTTGTAAAGTCTGCAAGTGGATATTTGGACCTCTTTGAGGCCTTCGTTGGAAACGGGATTTCCTCATATAATGTTACACAGAAGAATTCTCAGTAACTTATTTGTGGTGTGTGTATTCAACTCACAGAGTTGAACCTTCCTTCAGAAAGAGCAGATTTGAAACACTCTTTTTGTGGAGTTTCCATGTGGAGATTTCAATCGCTTTGAGACCAAAGGTAGAAAAGGAAACATCTTCGTATAAAAACTAGACAGAATCATTCACAGAAACTACTTTGTGACGTGTGTGTTCAACTCAAGGAGTTTAACCTTTCTTTTGATGGAGCAGTTTGGAAAAACTCTGTCTGTAAAGTCTGCAAGCAGATATTTGGACGTCTTTGGGGTCTTCGTTGGAAAGGGGATTTCTTCATAGAACGCTAGAAAGAAGAATACTGAGTAAGTTCTTTGTGTTGCCTCTATTCAACTCACAGAGGTGAACTCTCCTTTAGACAGAGCAGATGTGAAACCCTCTTTTTGTGATATTTGCAGGTGGAGGTTTCAAGCGCTTTTAGGCCAAATGTAGAAAAGGAAATATCTTCGTATAAAAACTAGACAGAATCATTCTCAGAAACTACTTTGTGATGTGTGCGTTCAATTCACAGAGTATAACCTTTCTTTTGATGGAGGAGTTTGGAGACACTGTCTTTGTAAAGTCTGCAAGTGGATATTTGGACCTCTTTGAGGCCTTCGTTGGAAACGGGATTTCCTCATATAATGTTACACAGAAGAATTCTCAGTAACTTATTTGTGGTGTGTGTATTCAACTCACAGAGTTCAACCTTCCTTCAGAAAGAGCAGATTTGAAACACTCTTTTTGTGGAGTTTCCATGTGGAGATTTCAATCGTTTTGAGACCAAAGGTAGAAAAGGAAACATCTTCGTATAAAAACTAGACAGAATCATTCACAGAAACTACTTTGTGATGTGTGTGTTCAACTCAAGGAGTTTAACCTTTCTTTTGATGGAGCAGTTTGGAAACACTCTGTCTGTAAAGTCTGCAAGCAGATATTTGGACCTCTTTGAGGCCTTCGTTGGAAACGGGATTTCTTCATATGATGTTTGATAGGAGAAGTCTCAGTAACTTCTTTGTGCTGTGTGTATTCAACTCATAGAGTTGAACTTTCCTTTAGAAGAGCAGATGTTAAACACCCTTTTTGTGGAATTTGCAGCTGGAGATTTCAAGCGCTTTCAGGCCTACGGTAGAAAAGGAAACATCTTCTTATAAAATCTAGACAGAATCATTCACAGAAACTTCTTTTCGATGTGTGTGTTCTGCTCACAGGGTTTAACCTTTCTTTTGATGGAGCAGTTTGGAAACACTCTGTTTGTAATATCTGCAAGTGGATATTTGGACCTCTTTGAGGCCTTCGTTGGAAACGGGATTTCTTCAAGTTATGTTCGACAGAAGAATTCTCAGTAACTTATTTGTGGTGTGTGTATTCAACTCACAGAGTTGAACCTTCCTTTAGACAGAGGAGATTTGAAACACCCTATTTGTGCAGTTTCCAGTTGGAGATTTCAATCGCTTTGAGACCAAATGTAGAAAAGGAAACATCTTCGTATAAAAACTAGACTGAATCATTCTCAGAAACTACTTTGTGATATGTGCGTTCAATTCAAGGAGTTTAAGCTTTCTTTTCATAGAGTAGTTTGGAAACACTCTGTCTGTAAAGTCTGCAAGCAGATATTTGGACCTCTTTGAGGCCTTCGTTGGAAACGGGATTTCTTCATAGAACGCTAGAAAGAAGAATACTGAGTAAGTTCTTTGTGTTGCCTCTATTCAACTCACAAAGGTGATCTGTCCTTTAGACAGAGCAGATGTGAAACCCTCTTTTTGTGATATTTGCAGGTGGAGACTTCAAGCGCTTTTAGGCCAAATGTAGAAAAGGAAATATCTTCGTATAAAAACTAGACAGAATCATTCTCAGAAACTACTTTGTGATGTGTGCGTTCAATTCACAGAGTATAACCTTTCTTTTGATGGAGGAGTTTGGAGACACTGTCTTTGTAAAGTCTGCAAGCAGATATTTGGACCTCTTTGAGGCCTTCGTTGGAAACGGGATTTCTTCATATAATGTTTGATAGGAGAAGTCTCAGTAACTTCTTTGGGCTGTGTGTATTCAACTCGTTGAGTTGAACTTTCCTTTAGAAGAGCAGATGTTAAACACCCTTTTTGTGGAATTTGCAGCTGGAGATTTCAAGCACTTTGAGGCCTACGGTAGAAAAGGAAACATCTTCTTATAAAATCTAGACAGAATCATTCACAGAAACTTCTTTTTGATGTGTGTGTTCAGCTCACAGAGTTTAACCTTTGTTTTGATGGAGCAGTTTGGAAACACTCTGTTTGTAATGTCTGCAAGTGGATATTTGGACCTCTTTGAGGCCTTCGTTGGAAACGGGATTTCTTCAAGAAATGTTCGACAGAAGAATTCTCAGTAACTTATTTGTGGTGTGTGTATTCAACTCAAAGAGTTGAACCTTCCTTTAGACAGAGCAGATTTGAAACACCCTATTTGTGCAGTTTCCAGTTGGAGATTTCAATCGCTTTGAGACCAAATGTAGAAAAGGAAACATCTTCGTATAAAAACTAGACAGAATCATTCACAGAAACTACTTTGTGATGTGTGTGTTCAACTCAAGGAGTTTAACCTTTCTTTTGATGGAGCAGTTTGGAAACACTCTGTCTGTAAAGTCTGCAAGCAGATATTTGGACCTCTTTGAGGCCTTCGTTGGAAACGGGATTTCTTCATATAATGTTTGATAGGAGAAGTCTCAGTAACTTCTTTGTGCTGTGTGTATTCAACTCATAGAGTTGAACTTTCCTTTAGAAGAGCAGATGTTAAACACCCTTTTTGTGGAATTTGCAGCTGGAGATTTCAAGCGCTTTGAGGCCTACGGTAGAAAAGGAAACATCTTCTTATAAAATCTAGACAGAATCATTCACAGAAACTTCTTTTCGATGTGTGTGTTTAGCTCACAGAGTTTAACCTTTCTTTTGATGGAGCAGTTTGGAAACACTCTGTTTGTAATGTCTGCAAGTGGATATTTGGACCTCTTTGAGGCCTTCGTTGGAAACGGGATTTCTTCAAGTAATGTTCGACAGAAGAATTCTCAGTAACTTATTTGTGGTTTGTGTATTCAACTCACAGAGTTGAACCTTCCTTTAGACAGAGCAGATTTGAAACACCCTATTTGTGCAGTTTCCAGTTGGAGATTTCAATCGCTTTGAGACCAAATGTAGAAAAGGAAACATCTTCGTATAAAAACTAGACAGAATCATTCTCAGAAACTACTTTGTGATGTGTGCGTTCAACTCAAGGAGTTTAAGCTTTCTTTTCATAGAGTAGTTTGGAAACACTCTGTCTGTAAAGTCTGCAAGCAGATATTTGGACCTCTTTGGGGCCTTCGTTGGAAACGGGATTTCTTCATAGAACGCTAGAAAGAAGAATACTGAGTAAGTTCTTTGTGTTGCCTCTATTCAACTCACAGAGGTGAACTGTCCTTTAGACAGAGCAGATGTGAAACCCTCTTTTTGTGATATTTGCAGGTGGAGATTTCAAGCGCTTTTAGGCCAAATGTAGAAAAGGAAATATCTTCGTATAAAAACTAGACAGAATCATTCTCAGAAACTACTTTGTGATGTGTGCGTTCAATTCACAGAGTATAACCTTTCTTTTGATGGAGGAGTTTGGAGACACTGTCTTTGTAAAGTCTGCAAGTGGATATTTGGACCTCTTTGAGGCCTTCGTTGGAAACGGGATTTCCTCATATAATGTTACACAGAAGAATTCTCAGTAACTTATTTGTGGTGTGTGTATTCAACTCACAGAGATGAACGTTCCTTCAGAAAGAGCAGATTTGAAACACTCTTTTTGTGGAGTTTCCATGTGGAGATTTCAATCGCTTTGAGACCAAAGGTAGAAAAGGAAACATCTTCGTATAACAACTAGACAGAATCATTCACAGAAACTACTTTGTGATGTGTGTGTTCAACTCAGGAGGTTAACCTTTCTTTTGATGGAGCAGTTTGGAAACACTCTGTCTGTAAAGTCTGCAAGCAGATATTTGGACCTCTTTGAGGCCTTCGTTGGAAATGGGATTTTTTCATATAATGTTTGATAGGAGAAGTCTCAGTAACTTCTTTATGCTGTGTGTATTCAACTCATAGAGTTGAACTTTCCTTTAGAAGAGCAGATGTTAAACACCCTTTTTGTGGAATTTGCAGCTGGAGATTTCAAGCGCTTTGAGGCCTACGGTAGAAAAGGAAACATCTTCTTATAAAATCTAGACAGAATCATTCACAGAAACTTCTTTTTGATGTGTGTGTTCAGCTCACAGAGTTTAACCTTTCTTTTGATGGAGCAGTTTGGAAACACACTGTTTGTAATGTCTGCAAGTGGATATTTGGACCTCTTTGAGGCCTTCGTTGGAAACGGGATTTCTTCATGTAATGTTCGACAGAAGAATTCTCAGTAACTTATTTGTGGTGTGTGTATTCAACTCACAGAGTTGAACCTTCCTTTAGACAGAGCAGATTTGAAACACCCTATTTGTGCAGTTTCCAGTTGGAGATTTCAATCGCTTTGAGACCAAATGTAGAAAAGGAAACATCTTCGTATAAAAACTAGACAGAATCATTCTCAGAAACTACTTTGTGATGTGTGCGTTCAACTCAAGGAGTTTAAGCTTTCTTTTCATAGAGTAGTTTGGAAACACTCTGTCTGTAAAGTCTGCAAGCAGATATTTGGACCTATTTCAGGCCTTCGTTGGAAAAGGGATTTCTTCATAGAACGCTGGAAAGAAGAATACTGAGTACGTTCTTTGTGTTGCCTCTATTCAACTCACAGAGGTGAACTGTCCTTTAGACAGAGCAGATGTGAAACCCTCTTTTTGTGATATTTGCAGGTGGAGATTTCAAGCGCTTTTAGGCCAAATGTAGAAAAGGAAATATCTTCGTATAAAAACTAGACAGAATCATTCTCAGAAACTACTTTGTGATGTGTGCGTTCAATTCACAGAGTATAACCTTTCTTTTGATGGAGGAGTTTGGAGACACTGTCTTTGTAAAGTCTGCAAGTGGATATTTGGACCTCTTTGAGGCCTTCGTTGGAAACGGGATTTCCTCATATAATGTTACCCAGAAGAATTCTCAGTAACTTATTTGTGGTGTGTGTATTCAACTCACAGAGTTGAACCTTCCTTCAGAAAGAGCAGATTTGAAACACTCTTTTTGTGGAGTTTCCATGTGGAGATTTCAATCGCTTTGAGACCAAAGGTAGAAAAGGAAACATCTTCGTATAAAAACTAGACAGAATCATTCACAGAAACTACTTTGTGATGTGTGTGTTCAACTCAAGGAGTTTAACCTTTCTTTTGATGGAGCAGTTTGGAAACACTCTGTCTGTAAAGTCTGCAAGCAGACATTTGGACCTCTTTGAGGCCTTCGTTGGAAACGGGATTTCTTCATATAATGTTTGATAGGAGAAGTCTCAGTAACTTCTTTGTGCTGTGTGTATTCAACTCATAGAGTTGAACTTTCCTTTAGAAGAGCAGATGTTAAACACCCTTTTTGTGGAATTTGCAGCTGGAGATTTCAAGCGCTTTGAGGCCTACGGTAGAAAAGGAAACATCTTCTTATAAAATCTAGACAGAATCATTCACAGAAACTTCTTTTTGATGTGTGTGTTCAGCTCACAGAGTTTAACCTTTCTTTTGATGGAGCAGTTGGGAAACACACTGTTTGTAATGTCCGCAAGTGGATATTTGGACCTCTTTGAGGCCTTCGTTGGAAACGGGATTTCCTCATATAATGTTACACAGAAGAATTCTCAGTAACTTATTTGTGGTGTGTGTATTCAACTCACAGAGTTGAACCTTCCTTCAGAAAGAGCAGATTTGAAACACTCTTTTTGTGGAGTTTCCATGTGGAGATTTCAATCGCTTTGAGACCAAAGGTAGAAAAGGAAACATCTTCGTATAAAAACTAGACAGAATCATTCACAGAAACTACTTTGTGATGTGTGTGTTCAACTCAAGGAGTTTAACCTTTCTTTTGATGGAGCAGTTTGGAAATACTCTGTCTGTAAAGTCTGCAAGCAGATATTTGGACCTCTTTGAGGCCTTCGTTGGAAACGGGATTTCTTCATATAATGTTTGATAGGAGAAGTCTCAGTAACTTCTTTGTGCTGTGTGTATTCAACGCATAGAGTTGAACTTTCCTTTAGAAGAGCAGATGTTAAACACCCTTTTTGTGGAATTTGCAGCTGGAGATTTCAAGCGCTTTGTGGCCTACGGTAGAAAAGGAAACATCTTCTTATAAAATCTAGACAGAATCATTCACAGAAACTTCTTTTTGATGTGTGTGTTCAGCTCACAGAGTTTAACCTTTCTTTTGATGGAGCAGTTTGGAAACACTCTGTTTGTAATGTCTGCAAGTGGATATTTGGACCTCTTTGAGGCCTTCGTTGGAAACGGGATTTCTTTCAAGTAATGTTCGACAGAAGAATTCTCAGTAACTTATTTGTGGTGTGTGTATTCAACTCACAGAGTTGAACCTTCCTTTAGACAGAGCAGATTTGAAACAACCTATTTGTGCAGTTTCCAGTTGGAGATTTCAATCGTTTTGAGACCAAATGTAGAAAAGGAAACATCTTCGTATAAAAACTAGACAGAATCATTCTCAGAAACTACTTTGTGATGTGTGCGTTCAATTCACAGAGTATAACCTTTCTTTTGATGGAGGAGTTTGGAGACACTGTCTTTGTAAAGTCTGCAAGTGGATATTTGGACCTCTTTGAGGCCTTCGTTGGAAACGGGATTTCCTCATATAATGTTACACAGAAGAATTCTCAGTAACTTATTTGTGGTGTGTGTATTTAACTCACAGAGATGAACCTTCCTTCAGAAAGAGCAGATTTGAAACACTCTTTTTGTGGAGTTTCCATGTGGAGATTTCAATCGCTTTGAGACCAAAGGTAGAAAAGGAAACATCTTCGTATAAAAACTAGACAGAATCATTCACAGAAACTACTTTGTGATGTGTGTGTTCAACTCAAGGAGTTTAACCTTTCTTTTGATGGAGCAGTTTGGAAACACTCTGTCTGTAAAGTCTGCAAGCAGATATTTGGACCTCTTTGAGGCCTTCGTTGGAAACGGGATTTCTTCATATAATGTTAGACAGAAGAAGTCTCAGTAACTTCTTTGTGCTGTGTGTATTCAACTCATAGAGTTGAACTTTCCTTTAGAAGAGCAGATGTTAAACACCCTTTTTGTGGAATTTGCAGCTGGAGATTTCAAGCGCTTTGAGGCCTACGGTAGAAAAGGAAACATCTTCTTATAAAATCTAGACAGAATCATTCACAGAAACTTCTTTTTGATGTGTGTGTTCAGCTCACAGAGTTTAACCTTTCTTTTGATGGAGCAGTTTGGAAACACTCTGTTTGTAATGTCTGCAAGTGGATATTTGGACGTCTTTGAGGCCTTCGTTGGAAACGGGATTTCTTCATGTAATGTTCGACAGAAGAATTCTCAGTAACTTATTTGTGGTGTGTGTATTCAACTCACAGAGTTGAACCTTCCTTTAGACAGAGCAGATTTGAAACACCCTATTTGTGCAGTTTCCAGTTGGAGATTTCAATCGCTTTGAGACCAAATGTAGAAAAGGAAACATGCTTCGTATAAAAACTAGACAGAATCATTCTCAGAAACTACTTTGTGATGTGTGCGTTCAACTCAAGGAGTTTAAGCTTTCTTTTCATAGAGTAGTTTGGAAACACTCTGTAAAGTCTGCAAGCAGATATTTGGACCTCTTTGAGGCCTTCGTTGGAAACGGGATTTCTTCATAGAACGCTAGAAAGAAGAATACTGAGTAAGTTCTTTGTGTTGCCTCTATCCAACTCACAGAGGTGAACTGTCCTTTAGACAGAGCAGATGTGAAACCCTCTTTTTGTGATATTTGCAGGTGGAGATTTCAAGCGCTTTTAGGCCAAATATAAAAAAGGAAATATCTTCGTATAAAAACTAGACAGAATCATTCTCATAAACTACTTTGTGATGTGTGCGTTCAATTCACAGAGTATAACCTTTCTTTTGATGAAGGAGTTTGGAGACACTGTCTTTGTAAAGACTGCAAGTGGATATTTGGACCTCTTTGAGGCCTTCGTTGGAAACGGGATTTCCTCATATAATGTTACACAGAAGAATTGTCAGTAACTTATTTGTGGTGTGTGTATTCAACTCACAGAGTTGAACCTTCCTTCAGAAAGAGCAGATTTGAAACACTCTTTTTGTGGAGTTTCCATGTGGAGATTTCAATCGCTTTGAGACCAAAGGTAGAAAAGGAAACATCTTCGTATAAAAACTAGACAGAATCATTCACAGAAACTACTTTGTGATGTGTGTGATCAACTCAAGGAGTTTAACCTTTCTTTTCATGGAGCAGTTTGGAAACACTCTATCTGTAAAGTCTGCAAACAGATATTTGGACCTGCTTTGAGGCCTTCGTTGGAAACGGGATTTCTTCAAGTAATGTTCGACAGAAGAAGTCTCAGTAACTTCTTTGTGCTGTGTGTATTCAACTCATGGAGTTGAACTTTCCTTTAGAAGAGCAGATGTTAAACACCCTTTTTGTGGAATTTGCAGCTGGAGATTTCAAGCGCTGTGAGGCCTACGGTAGAAAAGGAAACATCTTCTTCTAAAGTCTAGACAGAATCATTCACAGAAACTTCTTTTTGATGTGTGTGTTCAGCTCACAGAGTTTAACCTTTCTTTTGATGGAGCAGTTTGGAAACACTCTGTTTGTAATGTCTGCAAGTGGATATTTGGACCTCTTTGAGGCCTTCGTTGGAAACGGGATCTCTTCATGTAATGTTCGACAGAAGAATTCTCAGTAACTTATTTGTGGTGTGTGTATTCAACTCACAGAGTTGAACCTTCCTTTACACAGAGCAGATTTGAAACACCCTATTTGTGCAGTTTCCAGTTGGAGATTTCAATCGCTTGGAGGCCAATCATAGAAACGGAAATATCTTCGTATAAAAACAAGACAGAATCATTCTCAGAAACTACTTTGTGATGTGTGCGTTCAACTCAAGGAGTTTAAGCTTTCTTTTCATAGAGTACTTTGGAAACACTCTGTCTCTGAAGTCTGCAAGCAGATATTTGGACCTCTTTGAGGCATTCGTTGGAAACGGGATTTCTTCATAGAGCGCTAGAAAGAAGAATACTGAGTAAGTTCTTTGTGTTGCTTCTATTCAACTCACAGAGGTGAACTGTCCTTTAGACAGAGCAGATGTGAAACCCTCTTTTTGTGATATTTGCAGGTGGAGATTTCAAGCGCTTTTAGGCCAAATGTAGAAAAGGAAATATCTTCGTATAAAAACTAGACAGAATCATTCTCAGAAACTACTTTGTGATGTGTGCGTTCAATTCACAGAGTATAACCTTTCTTTTGATGGAGGAGTTTGGAGACACTGTCTTTGTAAGTCTGCAAGTGGATATTTGGACCTCTTTGAGGCCTTCGTTGGAAACGGGATTTCCTCATATAATGTTACACAGAAGAATTCTCAGTAACTTATTTGTGGTGTGTGTATTCAACTCACAGAGATGAACCTTCCTTCAGAAAGAGCAGATTTGAAACACTCTTTTTGTGGAGTTTCCATGTGGAGATTTCAATCGCTTTGAGACCAAAGGTAGAAAAGGAAACATCTTCGTATAAAAACTAGACAGAATCATTCACAGAAACTACTTTGTGATGTGTGTGTTCAACTCAAGGAGTTTAACCTTTCTTTTGATGGAGCAGTTTGGAAAAACTCTGTCTGTAAAGTCTGCAAGCAGATATTTGGACCTCTTTGAGGCCTTCGTTGGAAACGGGATATCTTCATATAATGTTTGATAGGAGAAGTCTCAGTAACTTCTTTGTGCTGTGTGTATTCAACTCATAGAGTTGAACTTCCCTTTAGAAGAGCAGATGTTAAACACCGTTTTTGTGGAATTTGCAGCTGGAGATTTCAAGCGCTTTGAGGCCTACAGTAGAAAAGGAAACATCTTCTTATAAAATCCTAGACAGAATCATTCACAGAAACTTCTTTTTGATGTGTGTGTTCAGCTCACAGAGTTTAACCTTTCTTTTGATGGAGCAGTTTGGAAACACACTGTTTGTAATGTCTGCAAGTGGATATTTGGACCTCTTTGAGGCCTTCGTTGGAAACGGGATTTCTTCATGTAATGTTCGACAGAAGAATTCTCAGTAACTTATTTGTGGTGTGTGCATTCAACTCACAGAGTTGAACCTTCCTTTAGACAGAGCAGATTTGAAACACCCTATTTGTGAATTTTCCAGTTGGAGACTTCAATCGCTTTGAGACCAAATGTAGAAAAGGAAACATCTTCGTATAAAAACTAGACAGAATCATTCTCAGAAACTACTTTGTGATGTGTGCGTTCAACTCAAGGAGTTTAAGCTTTCTTTTCATAGAGTAGTTTGGAAACACTCTGTCTGTAAAGTCTGCAAGCAGATATTTGGACCTCTTTGAGGCCTTCGTTGGAAACGGGATTTCTTCAAGTAATGTTCGACAGAAGAATTCTCAGTAACTTATTTGTGGTGTGTGTATTCAACTCACAGAGTTGAACCTTCTTTAGACAGAGCAGATTTGATACACCCTATTTGTGCAGTTTCCAGGTGGAGATTTCAATCGCTTTGAGACCAAATGTAGAAAAGGAAACATCTTCGTATAAAAACTAGACAGAATCATTCTCAGAAACTACTTTGTGATGTGTGCGTTCAACTCAAGGAGTTTAAGCTTTCTTTTCATAGAGTAGTTTGGAAACACTCTGTCTGTAAAGTCTGCAAGCAGATATTTGGACCTCTTTGGGGCCTTCGTTGGAAACGGGATTTCTTCATAGAACGCTAGAAAGAAGAATACTGAGTAAGTTCTTTGTGTTGCCTCTATTCAACTCACAGAGGTGAACTGTCCTTTAGACAGAGCAGATGTGAAACCCTCTTTTTGTGATATTTGCAGGTGGAGATTTCAAGCCCTTTTAGGCCAAATGTAGAAAAGGAAATATCTTCGTATAAAAACTAGACAGAATCATTCTCAGAAACTACTTTGTGATGTGTGCGTTCAATTCACAGAGTATAACCTTTCATTTTATGGAGGAGCTTGGAGACACTGTCTTTGTAAAGTCTGCAAGTGGATATTTGGACCTCTTTGAGGCCTTCGTTGGAAACGGGATTTCCTCATATAATGTTACACAGAAGAATTCTCAGTAACTTATTTGTGGTGTGTGTATTCAACTCACAGAGTTGAACCTTCCTTCAGAAAGAGCAGATTTGAAACACTCTTTTTGTGGAGTTTCCATGTGGAGATTTCAATCGCTTTGAGACCAAAGGTAGAAAAGGAAACATCTTCGTATAAAAACTAGACAGAATCATTCACAGAAACTACTTTGTGATGTGTGTGTTCAACTCAAGGAGTTTAACCTTTCTTTTGATGGAGCAGTTTGGAAAAACTCTGTCTGTAAAGTCTGCAAGCAGATATTTGGACCTCTTTGAGGCCTTCGTTGGAAACGGGATTTCTTCATATAATGTTTGATAGGAGAAGTCTCAGTAACTTCTTTGTGCTGTGTATATTCAACTCATAGAGTTGAACTTTCCTTTAGAAGACCAGATGTTAAACACCCTTTTTGTGGAATTTGCAGCTGGAGATTTCAAGCGCTTTGAGGCCGACGGTAGAAAAGGAAACATCTTCTTATAAAATCTAGACAGAATCATTCACAGAAACTTCTTTTTGATGTGTGTGTTCAGCTCACAGAGTTTAACCTTTCTTTTGATGGAGCAGTTTGGAAACACTCTGTTTGTAATATCTGCAAGTGGATATTTGGACCTCTTTGAGGCCTTCGTTGGAAACGGGATTTCTTCAAGTAATGGTCGACAGAAGAATTCTCAGTAACTTATTTGTGGTGTGTGTATTCAACTCACAGAGTTGAACCTTCCTTTAGACAGAGCAGATTTGAAACACCCTATTTGTGCAGTTTCCAGTTGGAGATTTCAATCGCTTTGAGACCAAATGTAGAAAAGGAAATATCTTCGTATAAAAACTAGACAGAATCATTCTCAGAAACTACTTTGTGATGTGTGCGTTCAACTCAAGGAGTTTAAGCTTTCTTTTCATAGAGTAGTTTGGAAACACTCTGTCTGTAAAGTCTGCAAGCAGATATTTGGACCTCTTTGAGGCCTTCGTTGGAAACGGGATTTCTTCATAGAACGCTAGAAAGAAGAATACTGAGTAAGTTCTTTGTGTTGCCTCTATTCAACTCACAGAGGTGAACTGTCCTTTAGACAGAGCAGATGTGAAACCCTCTTTTTGTGATATTTGCAGGTGGAGATTTCAAGCGCTTTTAGGCCAAATGTAGAAAAGGAAATATCTTCGTATAAAAACTAGACAGAATCATTCTCAGAAACTACTTTGTGATGTGTGCGTTCAATTCACAGAGTATAACCTTTCTTTTGATGGAGGAGTTTGGAGACACTGTCTTTGTAAAGTCTGCAAGTGGATATTTGGACCTCTTTGAGGCCTTCGTTGGAAACGGGATTTCCTCATATAATGTTACACAGAAGAATTCTCAGTAACTTATTTGTGGTGTGTGTATTCAACTCACAGAGTTGAACCTTCCTTCAGAAAGAGCAGATTTGAAACACTCTTTTTGTGGAGTTTCCATGTGGAGATTTCAATCGCATTGAGACCAAAGGTAGAAAAGGAAACATCTTCGTATAAAAACTAGACAGAATCATTCACAGAAACTACTTTGTGATGTGTGTGTTCAACTCAAGGAGTTTAACCTTTCTTTTGATGGAGCAGTTTGGAAGCGCTCTGTCTGTAAAGTCTGCAAGCAGATATTTGGACCTCTTGGGGCCTTCGTTGGAAACGGGATTTCTTCATATAATGTTTGATAGGAGAAGTCTCAGTAACTTCTTTGTGCTGTGTGTATTCAACTCATAGAGTTGAACTTTCCTTTAGAAGAGCAGATGTTAAACACCCTTTTTGTGGAATTTGCAGCTGGAGATTTCAAGCGCTTTGAGGCCTACGGTAGAAAAGGAAACATCTTCTTATAAAATCTAGACAGAATCATTCACAGAAACTTCTTTTTGATGTGTGTGTTCAGCTCACAGAGTTTAACCTTTCTTTTGATGGAGCAGTTTGGAAACACTCTGTTTGTAATGTCTGCAAGTGGATATTTGGACCTCTTTGAGGCCTTCGTTGGAAACGGGATTTCTTCAAGTAATGTTCGACAGAAGAATTCTCAGTAACTTATTTGTGGTGTGTGTTTTCAACTCACAGAGTTGAACCTTCCTTCAGAGAGAGCAGATTTGAAACACTCTTTTTGTGGAGTTTCCATGTGGAGATTTCAATCGCTTTGAGACCAAAGGTAGAAAAGGAAATATCTTCGTATAAAAATTAGACAGAATCATTCACAGAAACTACTTTCTGATGTGTGTGTTCAACTCAAGGAGTTTAACCTTTCTTTTGATGGAGCAGTTTAAAAACACTCTGTCTGTAAAGTCTGCAAGCAGATATTTGGACCTCTTTGAGGCCTTCGTTGGAAACGGGATTTCTTTATAGAACGCTAGAAAGAAGAATACTGAGTAAGTTCTTTGTGTTGCCTCTATTCAACTCACAGAGGTGAACTGTCCTTTAGACAGAGCAGATGTGAAACCCTCTTTTTGTGATATTTGCAGGTGGAGATTTCAAGCGCTTTTAGGCCAAATGTAGAAAAGGAAATATCTTCGTATAAAAACTAGACAGAATCATTCTCAGAAACTACTTTGTGATGTGTGCGTTCAATTCACAGAGTATAACCTTTCTTTTGATGGAGGAGTTTGGAGACACTGTCTTTGTAAAGTCTGCAAGTGGATATTTGGACCTCTTTGAGGCCTTCGTTGGAAACGGGATTTCCTCATATAATGTTACACAGAAGAATTCTCACTAACTTATTTGTGGTGTGTGTATTCAACTCACAGAGATGAACCTTCCTTCAGAAAGAGCAGATTTGAAACACTCTTTTTGTGGAGTTTCCATGTGGAGATTTCAATCGCTTTGAGACCAAAGGTAGAAAAGGAAACATCTTCGTATAACAACTAGACAGAATCATTCACAGAAACTACTTTGTGATGTGTGTGTTCAACTCAAGGAGTTTAACCTTTCTTTTGATGGAGCAGTTTGGAAACACTCTGTCTGTAAAGTCTGCAAGCAGATATTTGGACCTCTTTGAGGCCTTCGTTGGAAACGGGATTTCTTCATATAATGTTTGATAGGAGAAGTCTCAGTAACTTCTTTGTGCTGTGTGTATTCAACTCATAGAGTTGAACTTTCCTTTAGAAGAGCAGATGTTAAACACCCTTTTTGTGGAATTTGCAGCTGGAGATTTCAAGCGCTTTGAGGCCTACGGTAGAAAAGGAAACATCTTCTTATAAAATCTAGACAGAATCATTCACAGAAACTTCTTTTTGATGTGTGTGTTCAGCTCACAGAGTTTAACCTTTCTTTTGATGGAGCAGTTGGGAAACACACTGTTTGTAATGTCTGCAAGTGGATATTTGGACCTCTTTGAGGCCTTCGTTGGAAACGGGATTTCTTCCTGTAATGTTCGACAGAAGAATTCTCAGTAACTTATTTGTGGTGTGTGTATTCAACTCACAGAGTTGAACCTTCCTTTAGACAGAGCAGATTTGAAACACCCTATTTGTGCAGTTTCCAGTTGGAGATTTCAATCGCTTTGAGACCAAATGTAGAAAAGGAAACATCTTCGTATAAAAACTAGACAGAATCATTCTCAGAAACTACTTTGTGATGTGTGCGTTCAACTCAAGGAGTTTAAGCTTTCTTTTCATAGAGTAGTTTGGAAACACTCTGTCTGTAAAGTCTGCAAGCAGATATTTGGACCTCTTTGGGGCCTTCGTTGGAAACGGGATTTCTTCATAGAACGCTAGAAAGAAGAATACTGAGTAAGTTCTTTGTGTTGCCTCTATTCAACTCACAGAGGTGAACTGTCCTTTAGACAGAGCAGATGTGAAACCCTCTTTTTGTGATATTTGCAGGTGGAGATTTCAAGCGCTTTTAGGCCAAATGTAGAAAAGGAAATATCTTCGTATAAAAACTAGACAGAATCATTCTCAGAAACTACTTTGTGATGTGTGCGTTCAATTCACAGAGTATAACCTTTCTTTTGATGGAGGAGTTTGGAGACACTGTCTTTGTAAAGTCTGCAAGTGGATATTTGGACCTCTTTGAGGCCTTCGTTGGAAACGGGATTTCCTCATATAATGTTACCCAGAAGAATTCTCAGTAACTTATTTGTGGTGTGTGTATTCAACTCACAGAGTTGAACCTTCCTTCAGAAAGAGCAGATTTGAAACACTCTTTTTGTGGAGTTTCCATGTGGAGATTTCAATCGCTTTGAGACCAAAGGTAGAAAAGGAAACATCTTCGTATAAAAACTAGACAGAATCATTCACAGAAACTACTTTGTGATGTGTGTGTTCAACTCAAGGAGTTTAACCTTTCTTTTGATGGAGGAGTTTGGAGACACTGTCTTTGTAAAGTCTGCAAGCAGATATTTGGACCTCTTTGAGGCCTTCGTTGGAAACGGGATTTCTTCATATAATGTTTGATAGGAGAAGTCTCAGTAACTTCTTTCTGCTGTGTGTATTCAACTCATTGAGTTGAACTTTCCTTTAGAAGAGCAGATGTTAAACACCATTTTTGTGGAATTTGCAGCTGGAGATTTCAAGCGCTTTGAGGCCTACGGTAGAAAAGGAAACATCTTCTTATAAAATCTAGACAGAATCATTCACAGAAACTTCTTTTTGATGTGTGTGTTCAGCTCACAGAGTTTAACCTTTCTTTTGATGGAGCAGTTTGGAAACACTCTGTTTGTAATGTCTGCAAGTGGATATTTGGACCTCTTTGAGGCCTTCGTTGGAAACGGGATTTCTTCCTGTAATGTTCGACAGAAGAATTCTCAGTAACTTATTTGTGGTGTGTGTATTCAACTCAAAGAGTTGAACCTTCCTTTAGACAGAGCAGATTTGAAACACCCTATTTGTGCAGTTTCCAGTTGGAGATTTCAATCGCTTTGAGACCAAATGTAGAAAAGGAAACATCTTCGTATAAAAACTAGACAGAATCATTCTCAGAAACTACTTTGTGATGTGTGCATTCAACTCAAGGAGTTTAAGCTTTCTTTTCATAGAGTAGTTTGGAAACACTCTGTCTGTAAAGTCTGCAAGCAGATATTTGGACCTCTTTGGGGCCTTTGTTGGAAACGGGATTTCTTCATAGAACGCTAGAAAGAAGAATACTGAGTAAGTTCTTTGTGTTGCCTCTATTCAACTCACAGAGGTGAACTGTCCTTTAAACAGAGCAGATGTGAAACCCTCTTTTTGTGATATTTGCAGGTGGAGATTTCAAGCGCTTTTAGGCCAAATGTAGAAAAGGAAATATCTTCGTATAAAAACTAGACAGAATCATTCTCAGAAACTACTTTGTGATGTGTGCGTTCAATTCACAGAGTATAACCTTTCTTTTGATGGAGGAGTTTGGAGACACTGTCTTTGTAAAGTCTGCAAGTGGATATTTGGACCTCTTTGAGGCCTTCGTTGGAAACGGGATTTCCTCATATAATGTTACACAGAAGAATTCTCAGTAACTTATTTGTGGTGTGTGTATTCAACTCACAGAGATGAACCTTCCTTCAGAAAGAGCAGATTTGAAACACTCTTTTTGTGGAGTTTCCATGTGGAGATTTCAATCGCTTTGAGACCAAAGGTAGAAAAGGAAACATCTTCGTATAACAACTAGACAGAATCATTCACAGAAACTACTTTGTGATGTGTGTGTTCAACTCAAGGAGTTTAACCTTTCTTTTGATGGAGCAGTTTGGAAACACTCTGTCTGTAAAGTCTGCAAGCAGATATTTGGACCTCTTTGAGGCCTTCGTTGGAAACGGGATTTCTTCATATAATGTTTCACAGGAGAAGTCTCAGTAACTTCTTTGTGCTGTGTGTATTCAACTCATAGAGTTGAACTTTCCTTTAGAAGAGCAGATGTTAAACACCCTTTTTGTGGAATTTGCAGCTGGAGATTTCAAGCGCTTTGAGGCCTACGGTAGAAAAGGAAACATCTTCTTATAAAATCTAGACAGAATCATTCACAGAAACTTCTTTTCGATGTGTGTGTTCAGCTCACAGAGTTTAACCTTTCTTTTGATGGAGCAGTTTGGAAACACTCTGTAATGTCTGCAAGTGGATATTTGGACCTCTTTGATGCCTTCGTTGGAAACTGGATTTCTTCATGTAATGTTCGACAGAAGAATTCTCAGTAACTTATTTGTGGTGTGTGTATTCAACTCACAGAGTTGAACCTTCCTTTAGACAGAGCAGATTTGAAACAACCTATTTGTGCAGCTTGCACTTGGAGATTTCAATCGCTTTGAGACCAAATGTAGAAAAGGAAACATCTTCGTATAAAAACTAGACACAATCATTCTCAGAAACTACTTTGTGATGTGTGCGTTTAACTCAAGGAGTTTAAGCTTTCTTTTCATAGAGTAGTTTGGAAACACTCTGTCTGTAAAGTCTGCAAGCAGATATTTGGACCTCTTTGAGGCCTTCGTTGGAAACGGGATTTCTTCATAGAACGCTAGAAAGAAGAATACTGAGTACGTTCTTTGTGTTGCCTCTATTCAACTCACAGAGGTGAACTGTCCTTTAGACAGAGCAGATGTGAAACCCTCTTTTTGTGATATTTGCAGGTGGAGATTTCAAGCGCTTTTAGGCCAAATGTAGAAAAGGAAATATCTTCGTATAAAAACTAGACAGAATCATTCTCAGAAACTACTTTGTGATGTGTGCGTTCAATTCACAGAGTATAACCTTTCTTTTGATGGAGGAGTTTGGAGACACTGTCTTTGTAAAGTCTGCAAGTGGATATTTGGACCTCTTTGAGGCCTTCGTTGGAAACGGGATTTCCTCATATAATGTTACCCAGAAGAATTCTCAGTAACTTATTTGTGGTGTGTGTATTCAACTCACAGAGATGAACGTTCCTTCAGAAAGAGCAGATTTGAAACACTCTTTTTGTGGAGTTTCCATGTGGAGATTTCAATCGCTTTGAGACCAAAGGTAGAAAAGGAAACATCTTCGTATAACAACTAGACAGAATCATTCACAGAAACTACTTTGTGATGTGTGTGTTCAACTCAAGGAGTTTAACCTTTCTTTTGATGGAGCAGTTTGGAAACACTCTGTCTGTAAAGTCTGCAAGCAGATATTTGGACCTCTTTGAGGCCTTCGTTGGAAACGGGATTTCTTCATATAATGTTAGATAGGAGAAGTCTCAGTAACTTCTTTGTGCTGTGTGTATTCAACTCATAGAGTTGAACTTTCCTTTAGAAGAGCAGATGTTAAACACCCTTTTTGTGGAATTTGCAGCTGGAGATTTCAAGCGCTTTGTGGCCTACGGTAGAAAAGGAAATATGTTCTTATAAAATCTAGACAGAAATCATTCACAGAAACTTCTTTTCGATGTGTGTGTTCAGCTCACAGTAGTTTAACCTTTCTTTTGATGGAGCAGTTTGGAAACACTCTGTTTGTAATGTCTGCAAGTGGATATTTGGACCTCTTTGAGGCCTTCGTTGGAAACGGGATTTCTTCAAGTAATGGTCGACAGAAGAATTCTCAGTAACTTATTTGTGGTGTGTGTATTCAACTCACAGAGTTGAACCTTCCTTTAGACAGAGCAGATTTGAAACACCCTATTTGTGCAGTTTCCAGTTGGAGATTTCAATCGCTTTGAGACCAAATGTAGAAAAGGAAACATCTTCGTATAAAAACTAGACAGAATCATTCTCAGAAACTACTTTGTGATGTGTGCGTTCAACTCAAGGAGTTTAAGCTTTCTTTTCATAGAGTAGTTTGGAAACACTCTGTCTGTAAAGTCTGCAAGCAGATATTTGGACCTCTTTGGGGCCTTTGTTGGAAACGGGATTTCTTCATAGAACGCTAGAAAGAAGAATACTGAGTAAGTTCTTTGTGTTGCCTCTATTCAACTCACAGAGGTGAACTGTCCTTTAGACAGAGCAGATGTGAAACCCTCTTTTTGTGATATTTGCAGGTGGAGATTTCAAGCGCTTTTAGGCCAAATGTAGAAAAGGAAATATCTTCGTATAAAAACTAGACAGAATCATTCTCAGAAACTACTTTGTGATGTGTGCGTTCAATTCACAGAGTATAACCTTTCTTTTGATGGAGGAGTTTGGAGACACTGTCTTTGTAAAGTCTGCAAGTGGATATTTGGACCTCTTTGAGGCCTTCGTTGGAAACGGGATTTCCTCATATAATGTTACCCAGAAGAATTCTCAGTAACTTATTTGTGGTGTGTATATTCAACTCACAGAGATGAACCTTCCTTCAGAAAGAGCAGATTTGAAACACTCTTTTTGTGGAGTTTCCATGTGGAGATTTCAATCGCTTTGAGACCAAAGGTAGAAAAGGAAACATCTTCGTATAACAACTAGACAGAATCATTCACAGAAACTACTTTGTGATGTGTGTGTTCAACTCAAGGAGTTTAACCTTTCTTTTGATGGAGCAGTTTGGAAACACTCTGTCTGTAAAGTCTGCAAGCAGATATTTGGACCTCTTTGAGGCCTTCGTTGGAAACGGGATTTCTTCATATAATGTTTGATAGGAGAAGTCTCAGTAACTTCTTTGTGCTGTGTGTATTCAACTCATAGAGTTGAACTTTCCTTTAGAAGAGCAGATGTTAAACACCCTTTTTGTGGAATTTGCAGCTGGAGATTTCAAGCGCTTTGAGGCCTACGGTAGAAAAGGAAACATCTTCTTATAAAATCTAGATAGAATCATTCACAGAAACTTCTTTTTGGTGTGTGTGTTCAGCTCACAGAGTTTAACCTTTCTTTTGATGGAGCAGTTTGGAAACACTCTGTTTGTAATGTCTGCAAGTGGATATTTGGACCTCTTTGAGGCCTTCGTTGGAAACGGGATTTCTTCAAGTAATGTTCGACAGAAGAATTCTCAGTAACTTATTTGTGGTGTGTGTATTCAACTCACAGAGTTGAACCTTCCTTTAGACAGAGCAGATTTGAAACACCCTATTTGTGCAGTTTCCAGTTGGAGATTTCAATCGCTTTGAGACCAAATGTAGAAAAGGAAACATCTTCGTATAAAAACTAGACAGAATCATTCTCAGAAACTACTTTTTGATGTGTGCATTCAACTCAAGGAGTTTAAGCTTTCTTTTCATAGAGTAGTTTGGAAACACTCTGTCTGTAAAGTCTGCAAGCAGATATTTGGACCTCTTTGGGGCCTTCGTTGGAAACGGGATTTCTTCATAGAACGCTAGAAAGAAGAATACTGAGTAAGTTCTTTGTGTTGCCTCTATTCAACTCACAGAGGTGAACTGTCCTTTAGACAGAGCAGATGTGAAACCCTCTTTTTGAGATATTTGCAGGTGGAGATTTCAAGCGCTTTTAGGCCAAATGTAGAAAAGGAAATATCTTCGTATAAAAACTAGACAGAATCATTCTCAGAAACTACTTTGTGATGTGTGCGTTCAATTCACAGAGTATAACCTTTCTTTTGATGGAGGAGTTTGGAGACACTGTCTTTGTAAAGTCTGCAAGCAGATATTTGGACCTCTTTGAGGCCTTCGTTGGAAACGGGATTTCTTCATATAATGTTTGATAGGAGAAGTCTCAGTAACTTCTTTGTGCTGTGTGTATTCAACTCATAGAGTTGAACTTTCCTTTAGAAGAGCAGATGTTAAACACCCTTTTTGTGGAATTTGCAGCTGGAGATTTCAAGCGCTTTGAGGCCTACGGTAGAAAAGGAAACATCTTCTTATAAAATCTAGACAGAATCATTCACAGAAACTTCTTTTTGATGTGTGTGTTCAGCTCACAGAGTTTAACCTTTCTTTTGATGGAGCAGTTTGGAAACACTCTGTTTGTAATGTCTGCAAGTGGATATTTGGACCTCTTTGAGGCCTTCATTGGAAACGGGATTTCTTCAAGTAATGTTCGACAGAAGAATTCTCAGTAACTTATTTGTGGTGTGTGTATTCAACTCACAGAGTTGAACCTTCCTTTAGACAGAGCAGATTTGAAACACCCTATTTGTGCAGTTTCCAGTTGGAGATTTCAATCGCTTTGAGACCAAATGTAGAAAAGGAAACATCTTCGTATAAAAACTAGACAGAATCATTCTCAGAAACTACTTTGTGATGTGTGCGTTCAACTCAAGGAGTTTAAGCTTTCTTTTCATAGAGTAGTTTGGAAACACTCTGTCTGTAAAGTCTGCAAGCAGATATTTGGACCTCTTTGGGGCCTTCGTTGGAAACGGGATTTCTTCATAGAACGCTAGAAAGAAGAATACTGAGTAAGTTCTTTGTGTTGCCTCTATTCAACTCACAGAGGTGAACTGTCCTTTAGACAGAGCAGATGTGAAACCCTCTTTTAGTGATATTTGCAGGTGGAGATTTCAAGCGCTTTTAGGCCAAATGTAGAAAAGGAAATATCTTCGTATAAAAACTAGACAGAATCATTCTCAGAAACTACTTTGTGATGTGTGCGTTCAATTCACAGAGTATAACCTTTCTTTTGATGGAGGAGTTTGGAGACACTGTCTTTGTAAAGTCTGCAAGTGGATATTTGGACCTCTTTGAGGCCTTCGTTGGAAACGGGATTTCCTCATATAATGTTACACAGAAGAATTCTCAGTAACTTATTTGTGGTGTGTGTATTCAACTCACAGAGTTGAACCTTCCTTCCGAAAGAGCAGATTTGAAACACTCTTTTTGTGGAGTTTCCATGTGGAGATTTCAATCGCTTTGAGACCAAAGGTAGAAAAGGAAACATCTTCGTATAAAAACTAGACAGAATCATTCACAGAAACTACTTTGTGATGTGTGTGTTCAACTCAAGGAGTTTAACCTTTCTTTTGATGGAGCAGTTTGGAAACACTCTGTCTGTAAAGTCTGCAAGCAGATATTTGGACCTCTTTGAGGCCTTCGTTGGAAACGGGATTTCTTCATATAATGTTTGATAGGAGAAGTCTCAGAAACTTCTTTGTGCTGTGTGTATTCAACTCATAGAGTTGAACTTTCCTTTAGAAGAGCAGATGTTAAACACCCTTTTTGTGGAATTTGCAGCTGGAGATTTCAAGCGCTTTGAGGCCTACGGTAGAAAAGGAAACATCTTCTTATAAAATCTAGACAGAATCATTCACAGAAACTTCTTTTTGATGTGTGTGTTCAGCTCACAGAGTTTAACCTTTCCTTTGATGGAGCAGTTTGGAAACACTCTGTCTGTAATGTCTGCAAGTGGATATTTGGACCTCTTTGAGGCCTTCGTTGGAAACGGGATTTCTTCATGTAATGTTCAACAGAAGAATTCTCAGTAACTTATTTGTTGTGTGTGTATTCAACTCACAGAGTTGAACCTTCCTTTAGACAGAGCAGATTTGAAACACCCTATTTGTGCAGTTTCCAGTTGGAGATTTCAATCGCTTTGAGGCCAATCATAGAAACGGAAAGATCTTGGTATAAAAACAAGACAGAATCATTCTCAGAAACTACTTTGTGATGTGTGCGTTCAACTCAAGGAGTTTAAGCTTTCTTTTCATAGAGTAGTTTGGAAACACTCTGTCTGTAAAGTCTGCAAGCAGATATTTGGACCTCTTTGGGGCCTTCGTTGGAAACGGGATTTCTTCATAGAACGCTAGAAAGACGAATACTGAGTAAGTTCTTTGTGTTGCCTCTATTCAACTCACAGAGGTGAACAGTCCTTCAGACAGAGCAGATGTGAAACCCTCTTTTTGTGATATTTGCAGGTGGAGATTTCAAGGGCTTTTAGGCCTAATGTAGAAAAGGAAATATCTTCGTATAAAAAGTAGACAGAATCATTCTCAGAAACTACTTTGTGATGTGTGCGTTCAATTCACAGAGTATAACCTTTCTTTTGATGGAGGAGTTTGGAGACACTGTCTTTGTAAAGTCTGCAAGTGGATATTTGGACCTCTTTGAGGCCTTCGTTGGAAACGGGATTTCCTCATATAATGTTACCCAGAAGAATTCTCAGTAACTTATTTGTGGTGTGTGTATTCAACTCACAGAGATGAACCTTCCTTCAGAAAGAGCAGATTTGAAACACTCTTTTTGTGGAGTTTCCATGTGGAGATTTCAATCGCTTTGAGACCAAAGGTAGAAAAGGAAACATCTTCGTATAAAAACTAGACAGAATCATTCACAGAAACTACTTTGTGATGTGTGTGTTCAACTCAAGGAGTTTAACCTTTCTTTTGATGGAGCAGTTTGGAAACACTCTGTCTGTAATGTCTGCAAGCAGATATTTGGACCTCTTTGAGGCCTTCGTTGGAAACGGGATTTCTTCATATAATGTTTGATAGGAGAAGTCTCAGTAACTTCTTTGTGCTGTGTGTATTCAACTCATAGAGTTGAACTTTCCTTTAGAAGAGCAGATGTTAAACACCCTTTTTGTGGAATTTGCAGCTGGAGATTTCAAGCGCTTTGAGGCCTACGGTAGAAAAGGAAACATCTTCTTATAAAATCTAGACAGAATCACTCACAGAAACTTCTTTTTGATGTGTGTGTTCAGCTCACAGAGTTTAACCTTTCTTTTGATGGAGCAGTTTGGAAACACACTGTTTGTAATGTCTGCAAGTGGATATTTGGACCTCTTTGAGGCCTTCGTTGGAAACGGGATTTCTTCATGTAATGTTCGACAGAAGAATTCTCAGTAACTTATTTGTGGTGTGTGTATTCAACTCACAGAGTTGAACCTTCCTTTAGACAGAGCAGATTTGAAACACCCTATTTGTGCAGTTTCCAGTTGGAGATTTCAATCGCTTTGAGACTAAATGTAGAAAAGGAAACATCTTCGTATAAAAACTAGACAGAATCATTCTCAGAAACTACTTTGTGATGTGTGCGTTCAACTCAAGGAGTTTAAGCTTTCTTTTCATAGAGTAGTTTGGAAACACTCTGTCTGTAAAGTCTGCAAGCAGATATTTGGACCTCTTTGGGGCCTTCGTTGGAAACGGGATTTCTTCATAGAACGCTAGAAAGAAGAATACTGAGTAAGTTCTTTGTGTTGCCTCTATTCAACTCACAGAGGTGAACTGTCCTTTAGACAGAGCAGATGTGAAACCCTCTTTTTGTGATATTTGCAGGTGGAGATTTCAAGCGCTTTTAGGCCAAATGTAGAAAAGGAAATATCTTCGTATAAAAACTAGACAGAATCATTCTCAGAAACTACTTTGTGATGTGTGCGTTCAATTCACAGAGTATAACCTTTCTTTTGATGGAGGAGTTTGGAGACACTGTCTTTGTAAAGTCTGCAAGTGGATATTTGGGACCTCTTTGAGGCCTTCGTTGGAAACGGGATTTCCTCATATAATGTTACACAGAAGAATTCTCAGTAACTTATTTGTGGTGTGTGTATTCAACTCACAGAGTTGAACCTTCCTTCAGTAAGAGCAGATTTGAAACACTCTTTTTGTGGAGTTTCCATGTGGAGATTTCAATCGCATTGAGACCAAAGGTAGAAAAGGAAACATCTTCGTACAAAAACTAGACAGAATCATTCACAGAAACTACTTTGTGATGTGTGTGTTCAACTCAAGGAGTTTAACCTTTCTTTTGATGGAGCAGTTTGGAAACACTCTGTCTGTAAAGTCTGCAAGCAGATATTTGGACCTCTTTGAGGCCTTCGTTGGAAACGGGATTTCTTCATATAATGTTTGATAGGAGAAGTCTCAGTAACTTCTTTGTGCTGTGTGTATTCAACTCATAGAGTTGAACTTTCCTTTAGAAGAGCAGATGTTAAACACCCTTTTTGTGGAATTTGCAGCTGGAGATTTCAAGCGCTTTGAGGCCTACGGTAGAAAAGGAAACATCTTCTTATAAAATCTAGACAGAATCATTCACAGAAACTTCTTTTTGATGTGTGTGTTCAGCTCACAGAGTTTAACCTTTCTTTTGATGGAGCAGTTTGGAAACACTCTGTTTGTAATGTCTGCAAGTGGATATTTGGACCTCTTTGAGGCCTTCGTTGGAAACGGGATTTCTTCAAGTAATGGTCGACAGAAGAATTCTCAGTAACTTATTTGTGGTGTGTGTATTCAACTCACAGAGTTGAACCTTCCTTTAGACAGAGCAGATTTGAAACACCCTATTTGTGCAGTTTCCAGTTGGAGATTTCAATCGCTTTGAGACCAAATGTAGAAAAGGAAACATCTTCGTATAAAAACTAGACAGAATCATTCTCAGAAACTACTTTGTGATGTGTGCGTTCAACTCAAGGAGTTTAAGCTTTCTTTTCATAGAGTAGTTTGGAAACACTCTGTCTGTAAAGTCTGCAAGCAGATATTTGGACCTCTTTGGGGCCTTCGTTGGAAACGGGATTTCTTCATGGAACGCTAGAAAGAAGAATACTGAGTAAGTTCTTTGTGTTGCCTCTATTCAACTCACAAAAGTGAACTATCCTTTAGACAGAGCAGATGTGAAACCCTCTTTTTGTGATATTTGCAGGTGGAGATTTCAAGCGCTTTGAAGCCAAATGTAGAAAAGGAAATATCTTCGTATAAAAACTAGACAGAATCATTCTCAGAAGCTACTTTGTGATGTGTGCGTTCAATTCACAGAGTATAACCTTTCTTTTGATGGAGGAGTTTCGAGACACTGTCTTTTAAAAGTCTGCAAGTGGATATTTGGACCTCTTTGAGGCCTTCGTTGGAAACGGGATTTCCTCATATAATGTTACACAGAAGAATTCTCAGTAACTTATTTGTGGTGTGTGTATTCAACTCACAGAGTTGAACCTTCCTTCAGAAAGAACAGATTTGAAACACTCTTTTTGTGGAGTTTCCATGTGGAGATTTCAATCGCTTTGAGACCAAAGGTAGAAAAGGAAACATCTTCGTATAAAAACTAGACAGAATCATTCACAGAAACTACTTTGTGATGTGTGTGTTCAACTCAAGGAGTTTAACCTTTCTTTTGATGGAGCAGTTTGGAAACACTCTGTCTGTAAAGTCTGCAAGCAGATATTTGGACCTCTTTGAGGCCTTCGTTGGAAACGGGATTTCTTCATATAATGTTTGATAGGAGAAGTCTCAGTAACTTCTTTGTGCTGTGTGTATTCAACTCATAGAGTTGAACTTTCCTTTAGAAGAGCAGATGTTAAACACCCTTTTTGTGGAATTTGCAGCTGGAGATTTCAAGCGCTTTGAGGCCTACGGTAGAAAAGGAAACATCTTCTTATAAAATCTAGACAGAATCATTCACAGAAACTTCTTTTTGATGTGTGTGTTCAGCTCACAGAGTTTAACCTTTCTTTTGATGGAGCAGTTTGGAAACACTCTGTTTGTAATGTCTGCAAGTGGATATTTGGACCTCTTTGAGGCCTTCGTTGGAAACGGGATTTCTTCATGTAATGTTCGACAGAAGAATTCTCAGTAACTTATTTGTGGTGTGTGTATTCAACTCACAGAGTTGAACCTTCCTTTAGACAGAGCAGATTTGAAACACCCTATTTGTGCAGTCTCCAGTTGGAGATTTCAATCGCTTTGAGACCAAATGTAGAAAAGGAAATATCTTCGTATAAAAACTAGACAGAATCATTCTCAGAAACTACTTTGTGATGTGTGCGTTCAACTCAAGGAGTTTAAGCTTTCTTTTCATAGAGTAGTTTGGAAACACTCTGTCTGTAAAGTCTGCAAGCAGATATTTGGACCTCATTGGGGTCTTCGTTGGAAACGGGATTTCTTCATAGAACGCTAGAAAGAAGAATACTGAGTAAGTTCTTTGTGTTGCCTCTATTCAACTCACAGAGGTGAACTGTCCTTTAGACAGAGCAGATGTGAAACCCTCTTTTTGTGATATTTGCAGGTGGAGATTTCAAGCGCTTTTAGGCCAAATGTAGAAAAGGAAATATCTTCGTATAAAAACTAGACAGAATCATTCTCAGAAACTACTTTGTGATGTGTGCGTTCAATTCACAGAGTATAACCTTTCTTTTGATGGAGGAGTTTGGAGACACTGTCTTTGTAAAGTCTGCAAGTGGATATTTGGACCTCTTTGAGGCCTTCGTTGGAAACGTGATTTCCTCATATAATGTTACACAGAAGAATTCTCAGTAACTTATTTGTGGTGTGTGTATTCAACTCACAGAGTTGAACCTTCCTTCAGAAAGAGCAGATTTGAAACACTCTTTTTGTGGAGTTTCCATGTGGAGATTTCAATCGCTTTGAGACCAAAGGTAGAAAAGGAAACATCTTCGTATAAAAACTAGACAGAATCATTCACAGAAACTACTTTGTGATGTGTGTGTTCAACTCAAGGAGTTTAACCTTTCTTTTGATGGAGCAGTTTGGAAAAACTCTGTCTGTAAAGTCTGCAAGCACATATTTGGACCTCTTTGGGGCCTTCGTTGGAAACGGGATTTCTTCATAGAATGCTAGAAAGAAGAATACTGAGTAAGTTCTTTGTGTTGCCTCTATTCAACTCACAGAGGTGAACTGTCCTTTAGACAGAGCAGATGTGAAACCCTCTTTTGGTGATATTTGCAGGTGGAGATTTCAAGCGCTTTTAGGCCAAATGTAGAAAAGGAAATATCTTCGTATAAAAACTAGACAGAATCATTCTCAGAAACTACTTTGTGATGTGTGCGTTCAATTCACAGAGTATAACCTTTCTTTTGATGGAGGAGTTTGGAGACACTGTCTTTGTAAAGTCTGCAAGTGGATATTTGGACCTCTTTGAGGCCTTCGTTGGAAATGGGATTTCCTCATATAATGTTACACAGAAGAATTCTCAGTAACTTATTTGTGGTGTGTGTATTCAACTCACAGAGTTGAACCTTCCTTCAGAAAGAGCAGATTTGAAACACTCTTTTTATGGAGTTTCCCTGTGGAGATTTCAATCGCTTTGAGACCAAAGGTAGAAAAGGAAACATCTTCGTATAAAAACTAGACAGAAATCATTCACAGAAACTACTTTGTGATGTGTGTGTTCAACTCAAGGAGTTTAACCTTTCTTTTGATGGAGGAGTTTGGAAAAACTCTGTCTTTAAAGTCTGCAAGCAGATATTTGGACCTCTTTGAGGCCTTCGTTGGAAACGGGATTTCTTCATATAATGTTTGATAGGAGAAGTCTCAGTAACTTCTTTGTGCTGTGTGTATTCAACTCATAGAGTTGAACTCTCCTTTAGAAGAGCAGATGTTAAACACCCTTCTTCTGGAATTTGCAGTTGGAGAATTCAAGCGCTTTGAGGCCTACAGAAGAAAAGGAAACATCTTCTTATAAAATCTAGACAGAATCATTCACAGAAACATCTTTTTGATGTGTGTGTTCAGCTCACAGGGTTTAACCTTTCTTTTGATGGAGCAGTTTGGAAACACTCTGTTTGTAATGTCTGCAAGTGGATATTTGGACCTCTTTGAGGTCTTCGTTGGAAACGGGATTTCTTCATGTAATGTTCGACAGAAGAATTCTCAGTAACTTATTTGTGGTGTGTGTATTCAACTCAAAGAGTTGAACCTTCCTTTAGACAGAGCAGATTTGAAACACCCTATTTGTGCAGTTTCCAGTTGGAGATTTCAATCGCTTTGAGACCAAATGTAGAAAAGGAAACATCTTCGTATAAAAACTAGACAGAATCATTCTCAGAAACTACTTTGTGATGTGTGCGTTCAACTCAAGGAGTTTAAGCTTTCTTTTCATAGAGTAGTTTGGAAACACTCTGTCTGTAAAGTCTGCAAGCAGATATTTGGACCTCTTTGGGGCCTTCGTTGGAAACGGGATTTCTTCATAGAACGCTAGAAAGAAGAATACTGAGTAAGTTCTTTGTGTTGCCTCTATTCAACTCACAGAGGTGAACTGTCCTTTAGACAGAGCAGATGTGAAACCCTCTTTTTGTGATATTTGCAGGTGGAGATTTCAAGCGCTTTTAGGCCAAATGTAGAAAAGGAAATATCTTCGTATAAAAACTAGACAGAATCATTCTCAGAAACTACTTTGTGATGTGTGCGTTCAATTCACAGAGTATAACCTTTCTTTTGATGGAGGAGTTTGGAGACACTGTCTTTGTAAAGTCTGCAAGTGGATATTTGGACCTCTTTGAGGCCTTCGTTGGAAACGGGATTTCCTCATATAATGTTACACAGAAGAATTCTCAGTAACTTATTTGTGGTGTCTGTATTCAACTCACAGAGTTGAACCTTCCTTCAGAAAGAGCAGATTTGAAACACTCTTTTTGTGGAGTTTCCATGTGGAGATTTCAATCGCTTTGAGACCAAAGGTAGAAAAGGAAACATCTTCGTATAAAAACTAGACAGAATCATTCACAGAAACTACTTTGTGATGTGTGTGTTCAACTCAAGGAGTTTAACCTTTCTTTTGATGGAGCAGTTTGGAAACACTCTGTCTGTAAAGTCTGCAAGCAGATATCTGGACCTCTTTGAGGCCTTCGTTGGAAACGGGATTTCTTCATATAATGTTTGATAGGAGAAGTCTCAGTAACTTCTTTGTGCTGTGTGTATTCAACTCATAGAGTTGAACTTTCCTTTAGAAGAGCAGATGTTAAACACCCTTTTTGTGGAATTTGCAGCTGGAGATTTCAAGCGCTTTGAGGCCTACGGTAGAAAAGGAAACATCTTCTTATAAAATCTAGACAGAATCATTCACAGAAACTTCTTTTTGATGTGTGTGTTCAGCTCACAGAGTTTAACCTTTCTTTTGATGGAGCAGTTTGGAAACACTCTGTTTGTAATGTCTGCAAGTGGATATTTGGACCTCTTTGAGGCCTTCGTTGGAAACGGGATTTCTTCAAGGAATGTTCGACAGAAGAATTCTCAGTAACTTATTTGTGGTGTGTGTATTCAACTCACAGAGTTGAACCTTCCTTTAGACAGAGCAGATTTGAAACACCCTATTTGTGCAGTTTTCAGTTGGAGATTTCAATCGCTTTGAGACCAATTGTAGAAAAGGAAACATCTTCGTATAAAAACTAGACAGAATCATTCTCAGAAACTACTTTGTGATGTGTGCGTTCAACTCAAGGAGTTTAAGCTTTCTTTTCATAGAGTAGTTTGGAAACACTCTGTCTGTAAAGTCTGCAAGCAGATATTTGGACCTCTTTGGGGCCTTCGTTGGAAACGGGATTTCTTCATAGAACGCTAGAAAGAAGAATACTGAGTAAGTTCTTTGTGTTGCCTCTATTCAACTCACAGAGGTGAACTGTCCTTTAGACAGAGCAGATGTGAAACCCTCTTTTTGTGATATTTGCAGGTGGAGATTTCAAGCGCTTTTAGGCCAAATGTAGAAAAGGAAATATCTTCGTATAAAAACTAGACAGAATCATTCTCAGAAACTACTTTGTGATGTGTGCGTTCAATTCACAGAGTATAACCTTTCTTTTGATGGAGGAGTTTGGAGACACTGTCTTTGTAAAGTCTGCAAGTGGATATTTGGACCTCTTTGAGGCCTTCGTTGGAAACGGGATTTCCTCATATAATGTTACACAGAAGAATTCTCAGTAACTTATTTGTGGTGTGTGTATTCAACTCACAGAGTTGAACCTTCCTTCAGAAAGAGCAGATTTGAAACACTCTTTTTGTGGAGTTTCCATGTGGAGATTTCAATCGCTTTGAGACCAAAGGTAGAAAAGGAAACATCTTCGTATAAAAACTAGACAGAATCATTCACAGAAACTACTTTGTGATGTGTGTGTTCAACTCAAGGAGTTTAACCTTTCTTTTGATGGAGCAGTTTGGAAACACTCTGTCTGTAAAGTCTGCAAGCAGATATTTGGACCTCTTTGAGGCCTTCGTTGGAAACGGGATTTCTTCATATAATGTTTGATAGGAGAAGTCTCAGTAACTTCTTTGTGCTGTGTGTATTCAACTCATAGAGTTGAACTTTCCTTTAGAAGAGCAGATGTTAAACACCCTTTTTGTGGAATTTGCAGCTGGAGATTTCAAGCGCTTTGAGGCCTACGGTAGAAAAGGAAACATCTTCTTATAAAATCTAGACAGAATCATTCACAGAAACTTCTTTTTGATGTGTGTGTTCAGCTCACAGAGTTTAACCTTTCTTTTCATGGAGCAGTTTGGAAACACTCTGTTTGTAATGTCTGCAAGTGGATATTTGGACCTCTTTGAGGCCTTCGTTGGAAACGGGATTTCTTCAAGTAATGTTCGACAGAAGAATTCTCAGTAACTTATTTGTGTTGTGTGTATTCAACTCACAGAGTTGAACCTTCCTTTAGACAGAGCAGATTTGAAACACCCTATTTGTGCAGTTTCCAGTTGGAGATTTCAATCGCTTTGAGACGAAATGTAGAAAAGGAAACATCTTCGTATAAAAACTAGACAGAATCATTCTCAGAAACTACTTTGTGATGTGTGCGTTCAACTCAAGGAGTTTAAGCTTTCTTTTCATAGAGTAGTTTGGAAACACTCTGTCTGTAAAGTCTGCAAGCAGATATTTGGACCTCTTTGAGGCCTTCGTTGGAAACGGGATTTCTTCATAGAACGGTAGAAAGAAGAATACTGAGTAAGTTCTTTGTGTTGCCTCTATTCAACTCACAGAGGTGAACTGTCCTTTAGACAGAGCAGATGTGAAACCCTCTTTTTGTGATATTTGCAGGTGGAGATTTCAAGCGCTTTGAGGCCAAATGTAGAAAAGGAAATATCTTCGTATAAAAACTAGACAGAATCATTCTCAGAAACTACTTTGTGATGTGTGCGTTCAATTCACAGAGTATAACCTTTCTTTTGATGGAGGAGTTTGGAGACACTGTCTTTGTAAAGTCTGCAAGCAGATATTTGGACCTCTTTGAGGCCTTCGTTGGAAACGGGATTTCTTCATATAATGTTTGATAGGAGAAGTCTCAGTAACTTCTTTGGGCTGTGTGTATTCAACTCATTGAGTTGAACTTTCCTTTAGAAGAGCAGATGTTAAACACCCTTTTTGTGGAATTTGCAGCTGGAGATTTCAAGCACTTTGAGGCCTACGGTAGAAAAGGAAACATCTTCTTATAAAATCTAGACAGAATCATTCACAGAAACTTCTTTTTGATGTGTGTGTTCAGCTCACAGAGTTTAACCTTTCTTTTGATGGAGCAGTTTGGAAACACTCTGTTTGTAATGTCTGCAAGTGGATATTTGGACCTCTTTGAGGCCTTCGTTGGAAACGGGATTTCTTCAAGTAATGTTCGACAGAAGAATTCTCAGGAACTTATTTGTGGTGTGTGTATTCAACTCAAAGAGTTGAACCTTCCTTTAGACAGAGCAGATTTGAAACACCCTATTTGTGCAGTTTCCAGTTGGAGATTTCAATCGCTTTGAGACCAAATGTAGAAAAGGAAACATCTTCGTATAAAAACTAGACAGAATCATTCTCAGAAACTACTTTGTGATGTGTGCGTTCAACTCAAGGAGTTTAAGATTTCTTTTCATAGAGTAGTTTGGAAACACTCTGTCTGTAAAGTCTGCAAGCAGATATTTGGACCTCTTTGGGGCCTTCGTTGGAAACAGGATTTCTTCATAGAACGCTAGAAAGAAGAATACTGAGTAAGTTCTTTGTGTTGCCTCTATTCAACTCACAGAGGTGAACTGTCCTTTAGAGAGAGCAGATGTGAAACCCTCTTTTTGTGATATTTGCAGGTGGAGATTTCAAGCGCTTTTAGGCCAAATGTAGAAAAGGAAATATCTTCGTATAAAAACTAGACAGAATCATTCTCAGAAACTACTTTGTGATGTGTGCGTTCAATTCACAGAGTATAACCTTTCTTTTGATGGAGGAGTTTGGAGACACTGTCTTTGTAAAGTCTGCAAGTGGATATTTGGATCTCTTTGAGGCCTTCGTTGGAAACGGGATTTCCTCATATAATGTTACACAGAAGAATTCTCAGTAACTTATTTGTGGTGTGTGTATTCAACTCACAGAGTTGAACCTTCCTTCAGAAAGAGCAGATTTGAAACACTCTTTTTGTGGAGTTTCCATGTGGAGATTTCAATCGCATTGAGACCAAAGGTAGAAAAGGAAACATCTTCGTATAAAAACTAGACAGAATCATTCACAGAAACTACTTTGTGATGTGTGTGTTCAACTCAAGGAGTTTAACCTTTCTTTTGATGGAGCAGTTTGGAAACACTCTGTCTGTAAAGTCTGCAAGCAGATATTTGGACCTCTTTGAGGCCTTCGTTGGAAACGGGATTTCTTCATATAATGTTTGATAGGAGAAGTCTCAGCAACTTCTTTGTGCTGTGTGTATTCAACTCATAGAGTTGAACTTTCCTTTAGAAGAGCAGATGTTAAACACCCTTTTTGTGGAATTTGCAGCTGGAGATTTCAAGCGCTTTGAGGCCTACGGTAGAAAAGGAAACATCTTCTTATAAAATCTAGACAGAATCATTCACAGAAACTTCTTTTCGATGTGTGTGTTCAGCTCACAGAGTTTAACCTTTCTTTTGATGGAGCAGTTTGGAAACACTCTGTTTGTAATGTCTGCAAGTGGATATTTGGACCTCTTTGAGGCCTTCGTTGGAAACGGGATTTCTTCAAGTAATGTTCGACAGAAGAATTCTCAGTAACTTATTTGTGGTGTGTGTATTCAACTCACAGAGTTGAACCTTCCTTTAGACAGAGCAGATTTGAAACACCCTATTTGTGCAGTTTCCAGTTGGAGATTTCAATCTCTTTGAGACCAAATGTAGAAAAGGAAACATCTTCGTATAAAAACTAGACAGAATCATTCTCAGAAACTACTTTGTGATGTCTGCGTTCAACTCAAGGAGTTTAAGCTTTCTTTTCATAGAGTAGTTTGGAAACACTCTGTCTGTAAAGTCTGCAAGCAGATATTTGAACCTCTTTGAGGCCTTCGTTGGGAAACGGGATTTCTTCATAGAACGCTAGAAAGAAGAATACTAAGTTCTTTGTGTTGCCTCTATTCAACTCACAGAGGTGAACTGTCCTTTAGACAGAGCAGATGTGAAACCCTCTTTTTGTGATATTTGCAGGTGGAGATTTCAAGCGCTTTTAGGCCAAATGTAGAAAAGGAAATATCTTCGTATAAAAACTAGACAGAATCATTCTCAGAAACTACTTTGTGATGTGTGCGTTCAATTCACAGAGTATAACCTTTCTTTTGATGGAGGAGTTTGGAGACACTGTCTTTGTAAAGTCTGCAAGTGGATATTTGGACCTCTTTGAGGCCTTCGTTGGAAACGGGATTTCCTCATATAATGTTACACAGAAGAATTCTCAGTAACTTATTTGTGGTGTGTGTATTCAACTCACAGAGTTGAACCTTCCTTCAGAAAGAGCAGATTTGAAACACTCTTTTTGTGGAGTTTCCATGTGGAGATTTCAATCGCTTTGAGACCAAAGGTAGAAAAGGAAACATCTTCGTATAAAAACTAGACAGAATCATTCACAGAAACTACTTTGTGATGTGTGTGTTCAACTCAAGGAGTTTAACCTTTCTTTTGATGGAGCAGTTTGGAAACACTCTGTCTGTAAAGTCTGCAAGCAGATATTTGGACCTCTTTGAGGCCTTCGTTGGAAACGGGATTTCTTCATATAATGTTTGATAGGAGAAGTCTCAGTAACTTCTTTGTGTTGTGTGTATTCAACTCATAGAGTTGAACTTTCCTTTAGAAGAGCAGATGTTAAACACCCTTTTTGTGGAATTTGCAGCTGGAGATTTCAAGCGCTTTGAGGCCTACGGTAGAAAAGGAAACATCTTCTTAGAAAATCTAGACAGAATCATTCACAGAAACTTCTTTTTGATGTGTGTGTTCAGCTCACAGAGTTTAACCTTTCTTTTGATGGAGCAGTTTGGAAACACACTATTTGTAATGTCTGCAAGTGGATATTTGGACCTCTTTGAGGCCTTCGTTGGAAACGGAATTTCTTCAAGGAATGTTTGACAGAAGATTTCTCAGTAACTTATTTGTGTTGTGTGTATTCAACTCACAGAGTTGAACCTTCCTTTAGACAGAGCAGATTTGAAACACCCTATTTGTGCACTTTCCAGTTGGAGATTTCAATCGCTTTGAGACCAAATGTAGAAAAGGAAACATCTTCGTATAAAAACTAGACAGAATCATTCACAGAAACTACTTTGTGATGTGTGTGTTCAACTCAAGGAG
The DNA here is from genome assembly GCF_000001405.40 of Homo sapiens. Lineage (NCBI taxonomy): Eukaryota > Metazoa > Chordata > Mammalia > Primates > Hominidae > Homo > Homo sapiens. The sequence goes on from NC_000012.12 coordinate 35,429,788, forward strand.
TTTAACCTTTCTTTTGATGGAGCAGTTTGGAAACACTCTGTCTGTAAAGTCTGCAAGCAGATATTTGGACCTCTGTGAGGCCTTCGTTGGAAACGGGATTTCTTCATATAATGTTTGATAGGAGAAGTCTCAGTAACTTCTTTGTGCTGTGTGTATTCAACGCATAGAGTTGAACTTTCCTTTAGAAGAGCAGATGTTAAACACCCTTTTTGTGGAATTTGCAGCTGGAGATTTCAAGCGCTTTGAGGCCTACAGTAGAAAAGGAAACATCTTCTTATAAAATCTAGACAGAATCATTCACAGAAACTACTTTGTGATGTGTGTGTTCAGCTCACAGAGTTTAACCTTTCTTTTGATGGTGCAGTTTGGAAACACTCTGTTTGACAAGTCTGCAAGTGGATATTTGGACCTCTTTGAGGCCTTCGTTGGAAACGGGATTTCTTCATATAATGTTAGACAGAAGAAGTCTCAGTAACTTCTTAGTGCTGTGTGAATTCAACTCATAGAGTTGAAATCTCCTTTAGAAGAGCAGATGTTAAATACCCTTTTTGTGGAATTTGCAGCTGGAGATTTCAAGCGCTTTGAGGCCTACGGTAGAAAAGGAAACATCTTCTTATAAAATCTAGACAGAATCATTCACAGAAACTTCTTTTTGATGTGTGTGTTCAGCTCACAGAGTTTAACATTACTTTTGATGGAGTTGTTTGGAAACACTCTTTTTGCAATGTCTGCAAGTGGATATTTGGACCTCTTTGAGGCCTTCGTTGGAAACGGGATTTCTTCATGTAATGTTCGACAGAAGAATTCTCAGTAACTTATTTGTGGTGTGTGTATTCAACTCACAGAGTTGAACCTTCCTTTAGACAGAGCAGATTTGAAACACCCTATTTGTGCAGTTTCCAGTTGGAGATTTCAATCGCTTTGAAGCCATAGAAACGGAAATACCTTTGTATAAAAACAAGACAGAATCATTCTCAGAAACTACTTTGTGATGTGTGCGTTCAACTCAAGGAGTTTAAGCTTTCTTTTCATAGAGTAGTTTGGAAACACTCTGTCTGTAAGTCTGCAAGCAGATATTTGGACCTCTTTGAGGCCTTCGTTGGAAACGGGATTTCTTCATAGAACGCTAGAAAGAAGAATACTGAGTAAGTTCTTTGTGTTGCCTCTATTCAACTCACAGAGGTGAACTGTCCTTTAGACAGAGCAGATGTGAAACCCTCTTTTTGTGATATTTGCAGGTGGAGATTTCAAGCGCTTTTAGGCCAAATGTAGAAAAGGAAATATCTTCGTATAAAAACTAGACAGAATCATTCTCAGAAACTATTTTGTGATGTGTGCGTTCAATTCACAGAGTATAACCTTTCTTTTGGTGGAGGAGTTTGGAGACACTGTCTTTGTAAAGTCTGCAAGTGGATATTTGGACCTCTTTGAGGCCTTCGTTGGAAACGGGATTTCCTCATATAATGTTACACAGAAGAATTCTCAGTAACTTATTTGTGGTGTGTGTATTCAACTCACAGAGTTGAACCTTCCTTCAGAAAGAGCAGATTTGAAACACTCTTTTTGTGGAGTTTCCATGTGGAGATTTCAATCGCTTTGAGACCAAAGGTAGAAAAGGAAACATCTTCGTATAAAAACTAGACAGAATCATTCACAGAAACTACTTTGTGATGTGTGTGTTCAACTCAAGGAGGTTAAACTTTCTTTTGATGGAGCAGTTTGGAAACACTCTGTCTGTAAAATCTGCAAGCAGATATTTGGACCTCTTTGAGGCCTTCGTTGGAAACGGGATTTCTTCATATAATGTTTGATAGGAGAAGTCTCAGTAACATCTTTGTGCTGTGTGTATTCAACTCATAGAGTTGAACTTTCCTTTAGAAGAGCAGATGTTAAACACACTTTTTGTGGAATTTGCAGCTGGAGATTTCAAGCGCTTTGAGGCCTACGGTAGAAAAGGAAACATCTTCTTATAAAATCTAGACAGAATCATTCACAGAAACTTCTTTTTGATGTGTGTGTTCAGCTCACAGAGTTTAACCTTTCTTTTGATGGAGCAGTTTGGAAACACTCTGTTTGTAATGTCTGCAAGTGGATATTTGGACCTCTTTGAGGCCTTCTTTGGAAACGGGATTTCTTCAAGTAATGTTCGACAGAAGAATTCTCAGTAACTTATTTGTGGTGTGTGTATTCAACTCACAGAGTTGAACCTTCCTTTAGACAGAGCAGATTTGAAACACCCTATTTGTGCAGTTTCCAGTTGGAGATTTCAATCGCTTTGAGACCAAATGTAGAAAAGGAAACATCTTCGTATAAAAACTAGACAGAATCATTCTCAGAAACTACTTTGTGATGTGTGCGTTCAACTCAAGGAGTTTAAGCTTTCTTTTCATAGAGTAGTTTGGAAACACTCTGTCTGTAAAGTCTGCAAGCAGATATTTGGACCTCTTTGGGGCCTTCGTTGGAAACGGGATTTCTTCATAGAACGCTAGAAAGAAGAATACTGAGTAAGTTCTTTGTGTTGCCTCTATTCAACTCACAGAGGTGAACTGTCCTTTAGACAGAGCAGAAGTGAAACCCTCTTTTTGTGATATTTGCAGGTGGAGATTTCAAGCGCTTTTAGGCCAAATGTAGAAAAGGAAATATCTTCGTATAAAAACTAGACAGAATCATTCTCAGAAACTACTTTGTGATGTGTGCGTTCAATTCACAGAGTATAACCTTTCTTTTGATGGAGGAGTTTGGAGACACTGTCTTTGTAAAGTCTGCAAGTGGATATTTGGACCTCTTTGAAGCCTTCGTTGGAAACGGGATTTCCTCATATAATGTTACACAGAAGAATTCTCAGTAACTTATTTGTGGTGTGTGTATTCAACTCACAGAGATGAACCTTCCTTCAGAAAGAGCAGATTTGAAACACTCTTTTTGTGGAGTTTCCATGTGGAGATTTCAATCGCTTTGAGACCAAAGGTAGAAAAGGAAACATCTTCGTATAACAACTAGACAGAATCATTCACAGAAACTACTTTGTGATGTGTGTGTTCAACTCAAGGAGTTTAAACTTCCTTTTGATGGAGCAGTTTGGAAACACTCTGTCTGTAAAGTCTGCAAGCAGATATTTGGACCTCTTTGAGGCCTTCGTTGGAAACGGGATTTCTTCATATAATGTTTGATAGGAGAAGTCTCAGTAACTTCTTTGTGCTGTGTGTATTCAACGCATAGAGTTGAACTTTCCTTTAGAAGAGCAGATGTTAAACACCCTTTTTGTGGAATTTGCAGCTGGAGATTTCAAGCGCTTTGAGGCCTACGGTAGAAAAGGAAACATCTTCTTATAAAATCCAGACAGAATCATTCACAGAAACTTCTTTTTGATGTGTGTGTTCAGCTCACAGAGTTTAACCTTTCTTTTGATGGAGCAGTTTGGAAACACTCTGTTTGTAATGTCTGCAAGTGGATATTTGGACCTCTTTGAGGCCTTCGTTGGAAACGGGATTTCTTCATGTAATGTTCGACAGAAGAATTCTCAGTAACTTATTTGTGGTGTGTGTATTCAACTCACAGAGTTGAACCTTCCTTTAGACAGAGCAGATTTGAAACACCCTATTTGTGCAGTTTCCAGTTGGAGATTTCAATCGCTTTGAGACCAAATGTAGAAAAGGAAACATCTTCGTATAAAAACTAGACAGAATCATTCTCAGAAACTACTTTGTGATGTGTGCGTTCAACTCAAGGAGTTTAAGCTTTCTTTTCATAGAGTAGTTTGGAAACACTCTGTCTGTAAAGTCTGCAAGCAGATATTTGACCTCTTTGAGGCCTTCGTTGGAAACGGGATTTCTTCATATAATGTTTGATAGGAGAAGTCTCAGTAACTTCTTTGTGCTGTGTGTATTCAACTCATAGAGTTGAACTTTCCTTTAGAAGAGCAGATGTTAAACACCCTTTTTGTGGAATTTGCAGCTGGAGATTTCAAGCGCTTTGAGGCCTACGGTAGAAAAGGAAACATCTTCTTATAAAATCTAGACAGAATCATTCACAGAAACTTCTTTTTGATGTGTGTGTTCAGCTCACAGAGTTTAACCTTTCTTTTGATGGAGCAGTTTGGAAACACTCTGTTTGTAATGTCTGCAAGTGGATATTTGGACCTCTTTGAGGCCTTCGTTGGAAACGGGATTTCTTCAAGTAATGTTCGACAGAAGAATTCTCAGTAACTTATTTGTGGTGTGTGTATTCAACTCACAGAGTTGAACCTTCCTTTAGACAGAGCAGATTTGAAACACCCTATTTGTGCAGTTTCCTGTTGGAGATTTCAATCGCTTTGAGACCAAATGTAGAAAAGGAAACATCTTCGTATAAAAACTAGAAAGAATCATTCTCAGAAACTACTTTGTGATGTGTGCGTTCAACTCAAGGAGTTTAAGCTTTCTTTTCATAGAGTAGTTTGGAAACACTCTGTCTGTAAAGTCTGCAAGCAGATATTTGGACCTCTTTGAGGCCTTCGTTGGAAACGGGATTTCTTCATAGAACGCTAGAAAGAAGAATACTGAGTAAGTTCTTTGTGTTGCCTCTATTCAACTCACAGAGGTGAACTGTCCTTTAGACAGAGCAGATGTGAAACCCTCTTTTTGTGATATTTGCAGGTGGAGATTTCAAGCACTTTTAGGCCAAATGTAGAAAAGGAAATATCTTCGTATAAAAACTAGACAGAATCATTCTCAGAAACTACTTTGTGATGTGTGCGTTCAATTCACAGAGTATAACCTTTCTTTTGATGGAGGAGTTTGGAGACACTGTCTTTGTAAAGTCTGCAAGTGGATATTTGGGACCTCTTTGAGGCCTTCGTTGGAAACGGGATTTCCTCATATAATGTTACACAGAAGAATTCTCAGTAACTTATTTGTGGTGTGTGTATTCAACTCACAGAGTTGAACCTTCCTTCAGTAAGAGCAGATTTGAAACACTCTTTTTGTGGAGTTTCCATGTGGAGATTTCAATCGCATTGAGACCAAAGGTAGAAAAGGAAACATCTTCGTACAAAAACTAGACAGAATCATTCACAGAAACTACTTTGTGATGTGTGTGTTCAACTCAAGGAGTTTAACCTTTCTTTTGATGGAGCAGTTTGGAAACACTCTGTCTGTAAAGTCTGCAAGCAGATATTTGGACCTCTTTGAGGCCTTCGTTGGAAACGGGATTTCTTCATATAATGTTTGATAGGAGAAGTCTCAGTAACTCCTTTGTGCTGTGTGTATTCAACTCATAGAGTTGAACTTTCCTTTAGAAGAGCAGATGTTAAACACCCTTTTTGTGGAATTTGCAGCTGGAGATTTCAAGCGCTTTGAGGCCTACGGTAGAAAAGGAAACATCTTCTTATAAAATCTAGACAGAATCATTCACAGAAACTTCTTTTTGATGTGTGTGTTCAGCTCACAGAGTTTAACCTTTCTTTTGATGGAGCAGTTTGGAAACACTCTGTTTGTAATGTCTGCAAGTGGATATTTGGACCTCTTTGAGGCCTTCTTTGGAAACGGGATTTCTTCAAGTAATGTTCGACAGAAGAATTCTCAGTAACTTATTTGTGGTGTGTGTATTCAACTCACAGAGTTGAACCTTCCTTTAGACAGAGCAGATTTGAAACAGCCTATTTGTGCAGTTTCCAGTTGGAGATTTCAATCGCTTTGAGACCAAATGTAGAAAAGGAAACATCTTCGTATAAAAACTAGACAGAATCATTCTCAGAAACTACTTTGTGATGTGTGCGTTCAACTCAAGGAGTTTAAGCTTTCTTTTCATAGAGTAGTTTGGAAACACTCTGTCTGTAAAGTCTGCAAGCAGATATTTGGACCTCTTTGGGGCCTTCGTTGGAAACGGGATTTCTTCATAGAACGCTAGAAAGAAGAATACTGAGTAAGTTCTTTGTGTTGCCTCTATTCAACTCACAGAGGTGAACTGTCCTTTAGACAGAGCAGATGTGAAACCCTCTTTTTGTGATATTTGCAGGTGGAGATTTCAAGCACTTTTAGGCCAAATGTAGAAAAGGAAATATCTTCGTATAAAAACTAGACAGAATCATTCTCAGAAACTACTTTGTGATGTGTGCGTTCAACTCAAGGAGTTTAAGCTTTCTTTTCATAGAGTAGTTTGGAAACACTCTGTCTGTAAAGTCTGCAAGCAGATATTTGACCTCTTTGAGGCCTTCGTTGGAAACGGGATTTCTTCATAGATCGCTAGAAAGAAGAATACTGAGTAAGTTCTTTGTGTTGCCTCTATTCAACTCACAGAGGTGAACTGTCCTTTAGACAGAGCAGATGTGAAACCCTCTTTTTGTTATATTTGCAGGTGGAGATTTCAAGCGTTTTCAGGCCAAATGTAGAAAAGGAAATATTCTTCGTATAAAAACTAGACAGAATCATTCTCAGAAACTACTTTGTGATGTGTGCGTTCAATTCACACAGTATAACCTTTCTTTTGATGGAGGAGCTTGGAGACACTGTCTTTGTAAAGTCTGCAAGTGGATATTTGGACCTCTTTGAGGCCTTCGTTGGAAACGGGATTTCCTCATATAATGTTACACAGAAGAATTCTCAGTAACTTATTTGTGGTGTGTGTATTCAACTCACAAGAGTTGAACCTTCCTTCAGAAAGAGCAGATTTGAAACACTCTTTTTGTGGAGTTTCCATGTGGAGATTTCAATCGCTTTGAGACCAAAGGTAGAAAAGGAAACATCTTCGTATAAAAACTAGACAGAATCATTCACAGAAACTACTTTGTGATGTGTGTGTTCAACTCAAGGAGTTTAACCTTTCTTTTGATGGAGTAGTTTAAAAACACTCTGTCTGTAAAGTCTGCAAGCAGATATTTGGACCTCTTTGAGGCCTTCGTTGGAAACGGGATTTCTTCATATAATGTTTGATAGGAGAAGTCTCAGTAACTTCTTTCTGCTGTGTGTATTCAACGCATAGAGTTGAACTTTCCTTTAGAAGAGCAGATGTTAAACACCCTTTTTGTGGAATTTGCAGCTGGAGATTTCAAGCGCTTTGAGGCCTACGGTAGAAAAGGAAACATCTTCTTAGAAAATCTAGACAGAATCATTCACAGAAACTTCTTTTTGATGTGTGTGTTCAGCTCACAGAGTTTAACCTTTCTTTTGATGGAGCAGTTTGGAAACACTCTGTTTGTAATGTCTGCAAGTGGATATTTGGACCTCTTTGAGGCCTTCGTTGGAAACGGGATTTCTTCATGTAATGTTCGACAGAAGAATTCTCAGTAACTTATTTGTGGTGTGTGTATTCAACTCACAGAGTTGAACCTTCCTTTAGACAGAGCAGATTTGAAACACCCTATTTGTGCAGTTTCCAGTTGGAGATTTCAATCGCTTTGAGACGAAATGTAGAAAAGGAAACATCTTCGTATAAAAACTAGACAGAATCATTCTCAGAAACTACTTTGTGATGTGTGCGTTCAACTCAAGGAGTTTAAGCTTTCTTTTCATAGAGTAGTTTGGAAACACTCTGTAAAGTCTGCAAGCAGATATTTGGACCTCTTTGAGGCCTTCGTTGGAAACGGGATTTCTTCATAGAACGCTAGAAAGAAGAATACTGAGTAAGTTCTTTGTGTTGCCTCTATTCAACTCACAGAGGTGAACTGTCCTTTAGACAGAGCAGATGTGAAACCCTCTTTTTGTGATATTTGCAGGTGGAGATTTCAAGCGCTTTTAGGCCAAATGTAGAAAAGGAAATATCTTCGTATAAAAACTAGACAGAATCATTCTCAGAAACTACTTTGTGATGTGTGCGTTCAATTCACAGAGTATAACCTTTCTTTTGGTGGAGGAGTTTGGAGACACTGTCTTTGTAAAGTCTGCAAGTGGATATTTGGACCTCTTTGAGGCCTCCGTTGGAAACGGGATTTCCTCATATAATGTTACACAGAAGAATTCTCAGTAACTTATTTGTGGTGTGTGTATTCAACTCACAGAGATGAACCTTCCTTCAGAAAGAGCAGATTTGAAACACTCTTTTTGTGGAGTTTCCATGTGGAGATTTCAATCGCTTTGAGACCAAAGGTAGAAAAGGAAACATCTTCGTATAACAACTAGACAGAATCATTCACAGAAACTACTTTGTGATGTGTGTGTTCAACTCAAGGAGTTTAACCTTTCTTTTGATGGAGCAGTTTGGAAACACTCTGTCTGTAAAGTCTGCAAGCAGATATTTGGACCTCTTTGAGGCCTTCGTTGGAAACGGGATTTCTTCATATAATGTTTGATAGGAGAAGTCTCAGTAACCTCTTTGTGCGGTGTGTATTCAACTCATAGAGTTGAACTTTCCTTTAGAAGAGCAGATGTTAAACACCCTTTTTGTGGAATTTGCAGCTGGAGATTTCAAGCGCTTTGAGGCCTACGGTAGAAAAGGAAACATCTTCTTATAAAATCTAGACAGAATCATTCACAGAAACTTCTTTTTGATGTGTGTGTTCAGCTCACAGAGTTTAACCTTTCTTTTGATGGAGCAGTTTGGAAACACTCTGTTTGTAATGTCTGCAAGTGGATATTTGGACCTCTTTGAGGCCTTCGTTGGAAACGGGATTTCTTCAAGTAATGTTCGACAGAAGAATTCTCAGTAACTTATTTGTGGTGTGTGTATTCAACTCACAGAGTTGAACCTTCCTTTAGACAGAGCAGATTTGAAAAAGCCTATTTGTGCAGTTTCCAGTTGGAGATTTCAATCGCTTTGAGACCAAATGTAGAAAAAGAAACATCTTCGTATAAAAACTAGACAGAATCATTCTCAGAAACTACTTTGTGATGTGTGCGTTCAACTCAAGGAGTTTAAGCTTTCTTTTCATAGAGTAGTTTGGAAACACTCTGTCTGTAAAGTCTGCAAGCAGATATTTGGACCTCTTTGGGGCCTTCGTTGGAAACGGGATTTCTTCATAGAACGCTAGAAAGAAGAATACTGAGTAAGTTCTTTGTGTTGCTTCTATTCAACTCACAGAGGTGAACTGTCCTTTAGACAGAGCAGATGTGAAACCCTCTTTTTGTGATATTTGCAGGTGGAGATTTCAAGCGCTTTTAGGCCAAATGTAGAAAAGGAAATATCTTCGTATAAAAACTAGACAGAATCATTCTCAGAAACTACTTTGTGATGTGTGCGTTCAATTCACAGAGTATAACCTTTCTTTTGATGGAGGAGTTTGGAGACACTGTCTTTGTAAAGTCTGCAAGTGGATATTTGGACCTCTTTGAGGCCTTCGTTGGAAACGGGATTTCTTCATATAATGTTTGATAGGAGAAGTCTCAGTAACTTCTTTGTGCTGTGTGTATTCAACTCATAGAGTTGAACTTTCCTTTAGAAGAGCAGATGTTAAACACCCTTTTTGTGGAATTTGCAGCTGGAGATTTCAAGCGCTTTGAGGCCTATGGTAGAAAAGGAAACATCTTCCTATAAAATCTAGACAGAATCATTCACAGAAACTTCTTTTTGATGTGTGTGTTCAGCTCACAGAGTTTAACCATTCTTTTGATGGAGCAGTTTGGAAACACTCTGTTTGTAATGTCTGCAAGTGGATAATTGCACCTCTTTGAGGCCTTCGTTGGAAACGGGATTTCTTCATGTAATGTTCGACAGAAGAATTCTCAGTAACTTATTTGTGGTGTGTGTGTTCAACTCACAGAGTTGTACCTTCCTTTAGACAGAGCAGATTGGAAACACCCTATTTGTGCAGCTTCCAGTTGGAGATTTCAATGGCTTTGAGGCCAATCATAGAAACGGAAATATCTTCGTATAAAAACAAGACAGAATCATTCTCAGAAACTACTTTGCAATGGGTGCGTTCAACTCAAGGAGTTTAAGCTTTCTTTTCATAGAGTACTTTGGAAACACTCTGTCTGTAAAGTCTGCAAGCAGATATTTGGACCTCTTTGAGGCCTTCGTTTGAAACGGGATTTCTTCATATAACGCTAGAAAGAAGAATACTGAGTAAGTTCTTTGTGTTGCCTCTATTCAACTCACAGAGGGGAACTGTCCTTTAGACTGAGCAGATGTGAAACCCTCTTTTTGTGATATTTGCAGTTGGAGATTTCAAGCGCTTTTAGGCCAATCATAGAAACGGAAATATCTTCGTATAAAAACAAGACAGAATCATTCTCAGAAACTACTTTGTGATGTTTGCGTTCAACTCAAGGAGTTTAAGCTTTCTTTTCCTAGAGTAGTTTGGAAAAACTCTGTCTGTAAAGTCTGCAAGCAGATATTTGGACCTCTTTGAGGCCTTCGTTGGAAACGGGATTTCTTCATATAACGCTACAAAGAAGAATACTCAGTAACTGCTTTGTGTTGCCTCTATTCAACTCACAGAGGTGAACTGTCCTTTAGACACAGCAGATGTGAAACCCTCTTTTTGTGATATTTGCAGGTGGACATTTCAAGCGCTTTTAGGCCAAATGTAGAAAAGGAAATATCTTCGTATAAAAACTAGACAGAATCATTCTCAGAAACTACTTTGTGATGTGTGCGTTCAATTCACAGAGTATAACCTTTCTTTTGATGGAGGAGTTTGGAGACACTGTCTTTGTAAAGTCTGCAAGTGGATATTTGGACCTCTTTGAGGTCTTCGTTGGAAACGGGATTTCCTCATATAATGTTACACAGAAGCATTCTCAGTAACTTACTTGTGCTGTGTGTATTCAACTCACAGATTTGAACCTTCCTTCAGAAAGAGCAGATTTGAAACACTCTTTTTGTGGAGTTTCCATGTGGAGATTTCAATCGCTTTGAGACCAAAGGTAGAAAAGGAAACATCTTCGTATAAAAACTAGACAGAATCATTCACAGAAACTACTTTGTGATGTGTGTGTTCAACTCAAGGAGTTTAACCTTTCTTTTGATGGAGCAGTTTGGAAACACTCTGTCTGTAAAGTCTGCAAGCAGATATTTGGACCTCTTTGAGGCCTTCGTTGAAAACGGGATTTCTTCATATAATGTTTGATAGGAGAAGTCTCAGTAACTTCTTTGTGCTGTGTGTATTCAACTCATAGAGTTGAACTTTCCTTTAGAAGAGCAGATGTTAAACACCCTTTTTGTGGAATTTGCAGCTGGAGATTTCAAGCGCTTTGAGGCCTACGGTAGAAAAGGAAACATCTTCTTATAAAATCTAGACAGAATCATTCACAGAAACTTCTTTTTGATGTGTGTGTTCAGCTCACAGAGTTTAACCTTTCTTTTGATGGAGCAGTTTGGAAACACTCTGTTTGTAATGTCTGCAAGTGGATATTTGGACCTCTTTGAGGCCTTCGTTGGAAACGGGATTTCTTCAAGTAATGTTCGACAGAAGAATTCTCAGTAACTTATTTGTGGTGTGTGTATTCAACTCACAGAGTTGAACCTTCCTTTAGACAGAGCAGATTTGAAACACCCTATTTGTGCAGTTTCCAGTTGGAGATTTCAATCGCTTTGAGACCAAATGTAGAAAAGGAAACATCTTCGTATAAAAACTAGACAGAATCATTCTCAGAAACTACTTTGTGTTATGTGCGTTCAATTCAAGGAGTTTAAGCTTTCTTTTCATAGAGTAGTTTGGAAACACTCTGTCTGTAAAGTCAGCAAGCAGATATTTGGACCTCATTGGGGTCCTTCGTTGGAAACGGGATTTCTTCATAGAACGCTAGAAAGAAGAATACTGAATAAGTTCTTTGTGTTGCCTCTATTCAACTCACAGAGGTGAACTGTCCTTTAGACAGAGCAGATGTGAAACCCTCTTTTTGTGATATTTGCAGGTGGAGATTTCAAGCGCTTTTAGGCCAAATGTAGAAAAGGAAATATCTTCGTATAAAAACTAGACAGAATCATTCTCAGAAACTACTTTGTGATGTGTGCGTTCAATTCACAGAGTATAACCTTTCTTTTGATGGAGGAGTTTGGAGACACTGTCTTTGTAAAGTCTGCAAGTGGATATTTGGACCTCTTTGAGGCCTTCGTTGGAAACGGGATTTCCTCATATAATGTTACACAGAAGAATTCTCAGTAACTTATTTGTGGTGTGTGTATTCAACTCACAGAGATGAACCTTCCTTCAGAAAGAGCAGATTTGAAACACTCTTTTTGTGGAGTTTCCATGTGGAGATTTCAATCGCTTTGAGACCAAAGGTAGAAAAGGAAACATCTTCGTATAAAAACTAGACAGAATCATTCACAGAAACTACTTTGTGATGTGTGTGTTCAACTCAAGGAGGTTAACCTTTCTTTTGATGGAGCAGTTTGGAAACACTCTGTCTGTAAAGTCTGCAAGCAGATATTTGGACCTCTTTGAGGCCTTCGTTGGAAACGGGATTTCTTCATATAATGTTTGATAGGAGAAGTCTCAGTAACTTCTTTGTGCTGTGTGTATTCAACTCATAGAGTTGAACTTTCCTTTAGAAGAGCAGATGTTAAACACCCTTTTTGTGGAATTTGCAGCTGGAGATTTCAAGCGCTTTGAGGCCTACGGTAGAAAAGGAAACATCTTCTTATAAAATCTAGACAGAATCATTCACAGAAACTTCTTTTTGATGTGTGTGTTCAGCTCACAGAGTTTAACCTTTCTTTTGATGGAGCAGTTTGGAAACACTCTGTTTGTAATGTCTGCAAGTGGATATTTGGACCTCTTTGAGGCCTTCGTTGGAAACGGGATTTCTTCCTGTAATGTTCGACAGAAGAATTCTCAGTAACTTATTTGTGGTGTGTGTATTCAACTCACAGAGTTGAACCTTCCTTTAGACAGAGCAGATTTGAAACACCCTATTTGTGCAGTTTCCAGTTGGAGATTTCAATCGCTTTGAGACCAAATGTAGAAAAGGAAACATCTTCGTATAAAAACTAGACAGAATCATTCTCAGAAACTACTTTGTGATGTGTGCGTTCAACTCAAGGAGTTTAAGCTTTCTTTTCATAGAGTAGTTTGGAAACACTCTGTCTGTAAAGTGTGCAAGCAGATATTTGGACCTCTTTGAGGCCTTCGTTGGAAACGGGATTTCTTCATAGAACGCTAGAAAGAAGAATACTGAGTAAGTTCTTTGTGTTGCCTCTATTCAACTCACAGAGGTGAACTGTCCTTTAGACAGAGCAGATGTGAAACCCTCTTTTTGTGATATTTGCAGGTGGAGATTTCAAGCGCTTTTAGGCCAAATGTAGAAAAGGAAATATCTTCGTATGAAAATTAGACAGAATCATTCTCAGAAACTACTTTGTGATGTGTGCGTTCAATTCACAGAGTATAACCTTTCTTTTGATGGAGGAGTTTGGAGACACTGTCTTTGTAAAGTCTGCAAGTGGATATTTGGATCTCTTTGAGGCCTTCGTTGGAAACGGGATTTCCTCATATAATGTTACACAGAAGAATTCTCAGTAACTTATTTGTGGTGTGTGTATTCAACTCACAGAGTTGAACCTTCCTTCAGAAAGAGCAGATTTGAAACACTCTTTTTGTGGAGTTTCCATGTGGAGATTTCAATCGCATTGAGACCAAAGGTAGAAAAGGAAACATCTTCGTATAAAAACTAGACAGAATCATTCACAGAAACTACTTTGTGATGTGTGTGTTCAACTCAAGGAGTTTAACCTTTCTTTTGATGGAGCAGTTTGGAAACACTCTGTCTGTAAAGTCTGCAAGCAGATATTTGGACCTCTTTGAGGCCTTCGTTGGAAACGGGATTTCTTCATATAATGTTTGATAGGAGAAGTCTCAGTAACTTCTTTGTGCTGTGTGTATTCAACTCATAGAGTTGAACTTTCCTTTAGAAGAGCAGATGTTAAACACCCTTTTTGTGGAATTTGCAGCTGGAGATTTCAAGCGCTTTGAGGCCTACGGTAGAAAAGGAAACATCTTCTTATAAAATCTAGACAGAATCATTCACAGAAACTTCTTTTTGATGTGTGTGTTCAGCTCACAGAGTTTAACCTTTCTTTTGATGGAGCAGGTGGGAAACACACTGTTTGTAATGTCTGCAAGTGGATATTTGGACCTCTTTGAGGCCTTCGTTGGAAACGGGATTTCTTCCTGTAATGTTCGACAGAAGAATTCTCAGTAACTTATTTGTGGTGTGTGTATTCAACTCACAGAGTTGAACCTTCCTTTAGACAGAGCAGATTTGAAACAGCCTATTTGTGCAGTTTCCAGTTGGAGATTTCAATCGCTTTGAGACCAAATGTAGAAAAGGAAACATCTTCGTATAAAAACTAGACAGAATCATTCTCAGAAACTACTTTGTGATGTGTGCGTTCAACTCAAGGAGTTTAAGCTTTCTTTTCATAGAGTAGTTTGGAAACACTCTGTCTGTAAAGTCTGCAAGCAGATATTTGGAACTCTTTGAGGCCTTCGTTGGAAACGGGATTTCTTCAGAGAACGCTAGAAAGAAGAATACTGGGTAAGTTCTTTGTGTTGCCTCTATTCAACTCACAGAGGTGAACTGTCCTTTAGACAGAGCAGATGTGAAACCCTCTTTTTGTGATATTTGCAGGTGGAGATTTCAAGCGCTTTTAGGCCAAATGTAGAAAAGGAAATATCTTCGTATAAAAACTAGACAGAATCATTCTCAGAAACTACTTTGTGATGTGTGCGTTCAATTCACAGAGTATAACCTTTCTTTTGATGGAGGAGTTTGGAGACACTGTCTTTGTAAAGTCTGCAAGTGGATATTTGGACCTCTTTGAGGCCTTCGTTGGAAACGGGATTTCCTCATATAATGTTACACAGAAGAATTCTCAGTAACTTATTTGTGGTGTGTGTATTCAACTCACAGAGTTGAACCTTCCTTCAGAAAGAGCAGATTTGAAACACTCTTTTTGTGGAGTTTCCATGTGGAGATTTCAATCGCTTTGAGACCAAAGGTAGAAAAGGAAACATCTTCGTATAAAAACTAGACAGAATCATTCACAGAAACTACTTTGTGATGTGTGTGTTCAACTCAAGGAGTTTAACCTTTCTTTTGATGGAGCAGTTTGGAAACACTCTGTCTGTAAAGTCTGCAAGCAGATATTTGGACCTCTTTGAGGCCTTCGTTGGAAACGGGATTTCTTCATATAATGTTTGATAGGAGAAGTCTCAGTAACTTCTTTGTGCTGTATGTATTCAACTCATAGAGTTGAACTTTCCTTTAGAAGAGCAGATGTTAAACACCCTTTTTGTGGAATTTGCAGCTGGAGATTTCAAGCGCTTTGAGGCCTACGGTAGAAAAGGAAACATCTTCTTATAAAATCTAGACAGAATCATTCACAGAAACTTCTTTTTGATGTGTGTGTTCAGCTCACAGAGTTTAACCTTTCTTTTGATGGAGCAGTTTTGGAAACACTCTGTTTGTAATGTCTGCAAGTGGATATTTGGACCTCTTTGAGGCCTTCGTTGGAAACGGGATTTCTTCAAGTAATGTTCGACGGAAGAATTCTCAGTAACTTATTTGTGGTGTGTGTATTCAACTCACAGAGTTGAACCTTCCTTTAGACAGAGCAGATTTGAAACAGCCTATTTGTGCAGTTTCCAGTTGGAGATTTCAATCGCTTTGAGACCAAATGTAGAAAAGGAAACATCTTCGTATAAAAACTAGACAGAATCATTCTCAGAAACTACTTTGTGATGAGTGCGTTTAACTCAAGGAGTTTAAGCTTTCTTTTCATAGAGTAGTTTGGAAACACTCTGTCTGTAAAGTCTGCAAGCAGATATTTGGACCTCTTTGGGGCCTTCGTTGGAAACGGGATTTCTTCATAGAACGCTAGAAAGAAGAATACTGAGTAAGTTCTTTGTGTTGCCTCTATTCAACTCACAGAGGTGAACTGTCCTTTAGACAGAGCAGATGTGAAACCCTCTTTTTGTGATATTTGCAGGTGGAGATTTCAAGCGCTTTTAGGCCAAATGTAGAAAAGGAAATATCTTCGTATAAAAACTAGACAGAATCATTCTCAGAAACTACTTTGTGATGTGTGCGTTCAATTCACAGAGTATAACCTTTCTTTTGATGGAGGAGTTTGGAGACACTGTCTTTGTAAAGTCTGCAAGTGGATATTTGGACCTCTTTGAGGCCTTCGTTGGAAACGGGATTTCCTCATATAATGTTACACAGAAGAATTCTCAGTAACTTATTTGTGGTGTGTGTATTAAACTCACAGAGTTGAACCTTCCTTCAGAAAGAGCAGATTTGAAACACTCTTTTTGTGGAGTTTCCATGTGGAGATTTCAATCGCTTTGAGACCAAAGGTAGAAATGGAAACATCTTCGTATAAAAACTAGACAGAATCATTCACAGAAACTACTTTGTGATGTGTGTGTTCAACGCAAGGAGTTTAACCTTTCTTTTGATGGAGCAGTTTGGAAGCACTCTGTCTGTAAAGTCTGCAAGCAGATATTTGGACCTCTTTGAGGCCTTCGTTGGAAACGGGATTTCTTCATATAATGTTTGATAGGAGAAGTCTCAGAAACTTCTTTGTGCTGTGTGTATTCAACTCATAGAGTTGAACTTTCCTTTAGAAGAGCAGATGTTAAACACCCTTTTTGTGGAATTTGCAGCTGGAGATTTCAAGCGCTTTGAGGCCTACGGTAGAAAAGGAAACATCTTCTTATAAAATCTAGACAGAATCATTCACAGAAACTTCTTTTTGATGTGTGTGTTCAGCTCACAGAGTTTAACCTTTCTTTTGATGGAGCAGTTTGGAAACACACTGTTTGTAATGTCTGCAAGTGGATATTTGGACCTCTTTGAGGCCTTCGTTGGAAACGGGATTTCTTCCTGTAATGTTCGACAGAAGAATTCTCAGTAACTTATTTGTGGTGTGTGTATTCAACTCACAGAGTTGAACCTTCCTTTAGACAGAGCAGATTTGA
The DNA here is from genome assembly GCF_000001405.40 of Homo sapiens. Classification (NCBI taxonomy): domain Eukaryota; kingdom Metazoa; phylum Chordata; class Mammalia; order Primates; family Hominidae; genus Homo; species Homo sapiens. The sequence goes on from NC_000012.12 coordinate 35,446,628, forward strand.
AACACCCTATTTGTGCAGTTCCCAGTTGGAGATTTCAATTGCTTTGAGACCAAATGTAGAAAAGGAAACATCTTCGTATAAAAACTAGACAGAATCATTCTCCGAAACTACTTTGTGATGTGTGCGTTCAACTCAAGGAGTTTAAGCTTTCTTTTCATAGAGTAGTTTGGAAACACTCTGTCTGTAAAGTCTGCAAGCAGATATTTGGACCTCTTTGGGGCCTTCGTTGGAAACGGGATTTCTTCATAGAACGCTAGAAAGAAGAATACTGAGTAAGTTCTTTGTGTTGCCTCTATTCAACTCACAGAGGTGAACTGTCCTTTAGGCAGAGCAGATGTGAAACCCTCTTTTTGTGATATTTGCAGGTGTAGATTTCAAGCGCTTTTAGGCCAAATGTAGAAAAGGAAATATCTTCGTATAAAAACTAGACAGAATCATTCTCAGAAACTACTTTGTGACGTGTGCGTTCAATTCACAGAGTATAACCTTTCTTTTGATGGAGGAGTTTGGAGACACTGTCTTTGTAAAGTCTGCAAGTGGATATTTGGACCTCTTTGAGGCCTTCGTTGGAAACGGGATTTCCTCATATAATGTTACACAGAAGAATTCTCAGTAACTTATTTGTGGTGTGTGTATTCAACTCACAGAGTTGAACCTTCCTTCAGAAAGAGCAGATTTGAAACACTCTTTTGGTGGAGTTTCCATGTGGAGATTTCAATCGCTTTGAGACCAAAGGTAGAAAAGGAAACATCTTCGTATAAAAACTAGACAGAAACATTCACAGAAACTACTTTGTGATGTGTGTGTTCAACTCAAGGAGTTTAACCTTTCTTTTGATGGAGCAGTTTGGAAACACTCTGTCTGTAAAGTCTGCAAGCAGATATTTGGACCTCTTTGAGGCCTTCGTTGGAAACGGGATTTCTTCATATAATGTTTGATAGGAGAAGTCTCAGTAACTTCTTTGTGCTGTGTGTATTCAACTCATAGAGTTGAACTTTCCTTTAGAAGAGCAGATGTTAAACACCCTTTTTGTGGAATTTGCAGCTGGAGATTTCAAGCGCTTTGAGGCCTACGGTAGAAAAGGAAACATCTTCTTATAAAATCTAGACAGAATCATTCACAGAAACTTCTTTTTGATGTGTGTGTTCAGCTCACAGAGTTTAACCTTTCTTTTGATGGAGCAGTTTGGAAACACTCTGTTTGTAATGTCTGCAAGTGGATTTTTGGACCTCTTTGAGGCCTTCGTTGGAAACGGGATTTCTTCAAGTAGTGTTCGAAAGAAGAATTCTCAGTAACTTATTTGTGGTGTGTGTATTCAACTCACAGGAGTTGAACCTTCCTTTAGGCAGAGCAGATTTGAAACACCCTATTTGTGCAGTTTCCAGTTGGAGATTTCAATCGCTTTGAGACCAAATGTAGAAAAGGAAACATCTTCGTATAAAAACTAGACAAAATCATTCTCAGAAACTACTTTGTGATGTGTGCGTTCAACTCAAGGAGTTTAAGCTTTCTTTTCATAGAGTACTTTGGAAACACTCTGTCTGTAAAGTCTGCAAGCAGATATTTGGACCGCATTGGGGTCTTCGTTGGAAACGGGATTTCTTCATAGAACGCTAGAAAGAAGAATACTGAGTAAGTTCTTTGTGTTGCCTCTATTCAACTCACAGAGGTGAACTGTCCTTTAGACAGAGCAGATGTGAAACCCTCTTTTTGTGATATTTGCAGGTGGAGATTTCAAGCACTTTCAGGCCAATTGTAGAAAAGGAAATATCTTCGTATAAAAACCAGACAGAATCATTCTCAGAAACTAGTTTGTGATGTGTGCGTTCAATTCACAGAGTATAACCTTTCTTTTGATGGAGGAGTTTGGAGACACTGTCTTTGTAAAGTCTGCAAGTGGATATTTGGACCTCTTTGAGGCCTTCGATGGAAACGGGATTTCCTCCTATAATGTTACACAGAAGAATTCTCAGTAACTTATTTGTGGTGTGTGTATTCAACTCACAGAGTTGAACCTTCCTTCAGAAAGAGCAGATTTGAAACACTCTTTTTGTGGAGTTTCCATGTGGAGATTTCAATCGCTTTGAGACCAAAGGTAGAAAAGGAAACATCTTCGTATAAAAACTAGACAGAATCATTCACAGAAACTACTTTGTGATGTGTGTGTTCAACTCAAGGAGTTTAACCTTTCTTTTGATGGAGCAGTTTGGAAACACTCTGTCTGTAAAGTCTGCAAGTAGATATTTGGACCTCTTTGAGGCCTTCGTTGGAAACGGGATTTCTTCATATAATGTTTGATAGGAGAAGTCTCAGTAACTTCTTTGTGCTGTGTGTATTCAACTCATAGAGTTGAACTTTCCTTTAGAAGAGCACATGTTAAACACCCTTTTTGTGGAATTTGCAACCAGAGATTTCAAGCGCTTTGAGGCCTACGGTAGAAAAGGAAACATCTTCTTATAAAATCTAGACAGAATCATTCACAGAAACTTCTTTTTGATGTGTGTGTTCAGCTCACAGAGTTTAACCTTTCTTTTGATGGAGCAGTTTGGAAACACACTGTTTGTAATGTCTGCAAGTGGACATTTGGACCTCTTTGAGGCCTTCGTTGGAAACGGGATTTCTTCATGTAATGTTCGACAGAAGAATTCTCAGTAACTTATTTGTGGTGTGTGTATTCAACTCACAGAGTTGAACCTTCCTTTAGACAGAGCAGATTTGAAACACCCTATTTGTGCAGTTTCCAGTTGGAGATTTCAATCGCTTTGAGACCAAATGTAGAAAAGGAATCATCTTCGTATAAAAACTAGACAGAATCATTCTCAGAAACTACTTTGTGATGTGTGCGTTCAACTCAAGGAGTTTAAGCTTTCTTTTCATAGAGTAGTTTGGAAACACTCTGTCTGTAAAGTCTGCAAGCAGATATTTGGACCTCTTTGAGGCCTTCGTTGGAAACGGGATTTCTTCATAGAACGGTAGAAAGAAGAATACTCAGTAACTCCTTTGTGCTGCCTCTATTCAACTCACAGAGGTGAACTGTCCTTTAGACAGAGCAGATGTGAAACCCTCTTTTTGTGATATTTGCAGGTGGAGATTTCAAGCGCTTTTAGGCCAAATGTAGAAAAGGAAATATCTTCGTATAAAAACTAGAGAGAATCATTCTCAGAAACTACTTTGTGATGTGTGCGTTCAATTCACAGAGTATAAGCTTTCTTTTGATGGAGGAGTTTGGAGACACTGTCTTTGTAAAGTCTGCAAGTGGATATTTGGACCTCTTTGAGGACTTCGTTGGAAACGGGATTTCCTCATATAATGTTACACAGAAGAATTCTCACTAACTTATTTGTGGTGTGTGTATTCAACTCAGAGAGATGAACCTTCCTTCAGAAAGAGCAGATTTGAAACACTCTTTTTGTGGAGTTTCCATGTGGAGATTTCAATCGCTTTGAGACCAAAGGTAGAAAAGGAAACATCTTCGTATAACAACTAGACAGAATCATTCACAGAAACTACTTTGTGATGTGTGTGTTCAACTCAAGGAGTTTAACCTTTCTTTTGATGGAGCAGTTTGGAAACACTCTGTCTGTAAAGTCTGCAAGCAGATATTTGGACCTCTTTGAGGCCTTCGTTGGAAACGGGATTTCTTCATATAATGTTTGATAGGAGAAGTCTCAGTAACTTCTTTGTGCTGTGTGTATTCAACTCATAGAGTTGAACTTTCCTTTAGAAGAGCAGATGTTAAACACCCGTTTTGTGGAATTTGCAGCTGGAGATTTCAAGCGCTTTGAGGCCTACGGTAGAAAAGGAAACATCTTCTTATAAAATCTAGACAGAATCATTCACAGAAACTTCTTTTTGATGTGTGTGTTCAGCTCACAGAGTTTAACCTTTCTTTTGATGGAGCAGTTTGGAAACACTCTGTTTGTAATGTCTGCAAGTGGATATTTGGACCTCTTTGAGGCCTTCGCTGGAAACGGGATTTCTTCCTGTAATGTTCGACAGAAGAATTCTCAGTAACTTATTTGTGGTGTGTGTATTCAACTCACAGAGTTGAACCTTCCTTTAGACAGAGCAGATTTGAAACACCCTATTTGTGCAGTTTCCAGTTGGAGATTTCAATCGCTTTGAGACCAAATGTAGAAAAGGAAACATCTTCGTACAAAAACTAGACAGCATCATTCTCAGAAACTACTTTGTGATGTGTGCGTTCAACTCAAGGAGTTTAAGCTTTCTTTTCATAGAGTAGTTTGGAAACACTCTGTCTGTAAAGTCTGCAAGCAGATATTTGGACCTCTTTAGGGCCTTCGGTTGGAAACGGGATTTCTTCATAGAACGCTAGAAAGAAGAATACTGAGTAAGTTCTTTGTGTTGCCTCTATTCAACTCACAGAGGTGAACTGTCCTTTAGACAGAGCAGATGTGAAACCCTCTTTTTGTGATATTTGCAGGTGGAGATTTCAAGCGCTTTTAGGCCAAATGTAGAAAAGGAAATATCTTCGTATAAAAACTAGACAGAATCATTCTCAGAAACCACTTTGTGATGTGTGCGTTCAATTCACAGAGTATAACCTTTCTTTTGATGGAGGAGTTTGGAGACACTGTCTTTGTAAAGTCTGCAAGTGGATATTTGGACCTCTTTGAGGCCTTCGTTGGAAACGGGATTTCCTCATATAATGTTACACAGAAGAATTCTCACTAACTTATTTGTGGTGTGTGTATTCAACTCACAGAGATGAACCTTCCTTCAGAAAGAGCAGATTTGAAACACTCTTTTTGTGGAGTTTCCATGTGGAGATTTCAATCGCTTTGAGACCAAAGGTAGAAAAGGAAACATCTTCGTATAACAACTAGACAGAATCATTCACAGAAACTACTTTGTGATGTGTGTGTTCAACTCAAGGAGTTTAACCTTTCTTTTGATGGAGCAGTTTGGAAACACTCTGTCTGTAAAGTCTGCAAGCAGATATTTGGACCTCTTTGAGGCCTTCGTTGGAAACGGGATTTCTTCATATAATGTTTGATAGGAGAAGTCTCAGTAACTTCTTTGTGCTGTGTGTATTCAACTCATAGAGTTGAACTTTCCTTTAGAAGAGCAGATGTTAAACACCCTTTTTGTGGAATTTGCAGCTGGAGATTTCAAGCGCTTTGAGGCCTACGGTAGAAAAGGAAACATCTTCTTATAAAATCTAGACAGAGTCATTCACAGAAACTTCTTTTCGATGTGTGTGTTCAGCTCACAGAGTTTAACCTTTCTTTTGATGGAGCAGTTTGGAAACACTCTGTTTGTAATGTCTGCAAGTGGATATTTGGACCTCTTTGAGGCCTTCGTTGGAAACGGGATTTCTTCAAGTAATGTTCGACAGAAGAATTCTCAGTAACTTATTTGTGGTGTGTGTATTCAACTCACAGAGTTGAACCTTCCTTTAGACAGAGCAGATTTGAAACACCCTATTTGTGCAGTTTCCAGTTGGAGATTTCAATCGCTTTGAGACCAAATGTAGAAAAGGAAACATCTTCGTATAAAAACTAGACAGAATCATTCTCAGTAACTACTTTGTGATGTGTGCGTTCAACTCAAGGAGTTTAAGCTTTCTTTTCATAGAGTAGTTTGGAAACACTCTGTCTGTAAAGTCTGCAAGCAGATATTTGGACCTCATTGGGGTCTTCGTTGGAAACGGGATTTCTTCATAGAACGCTAGAAAGAAGAATACTGAGTAAGTTCTTTGTGTTGCCTCTATTCAACTCACAGAGGTGAACTGTCCTTTAGACAGAGCAGATGTGAAACCCTCTTTTTGTGATATTTGCAGGTGGAGATTTCAAGCGCTTTTAGGCCAAATGTAGAAAAGGAAATATCTTCGTATAAAAACTAGACAGAATCATTCTCAGAAACTACTTTGTGATGTGTGCGTTCAATTCACAGAGTATAACCTTTCTTTTGATGGAGGAGTTTGGAGACACTGTCTTTGTAAAGTCTGCAAGTGGATATTTGGACCTCTTTGAGGCCTTCGTTGGAAACGGGATTTCCTCATATAATGTTACACAGAAGAATTCTCAGTAACTTATTTGTGGTGTGTGTATTCAACTCACAGAGTTGAACCTTCCTTCAGAAAGAGCAGATTTGAAACACTCTTTTTGTGGAGTTTCCATGTGGAGATTTCAATCGCTTTGAGACCAAAGGTAGAAAAGGAAACATCTTCGTATAAAAACTAGACAGAATCATTCACAGAAACTACTTTGTGATGTGTGTGTTCAACTCAAGGAGGTTAACCTTTCTTTTGATGGAGCAGTTTGGAAACACTCTGTCTGTAAAGTCTGCAAGCAGATATTTGGACCTCTTTGAGGCCTTCGTTGGAAACGGGATTTCTTCATATAATGTTTGATAGGAGAAGTCTCAGTAACTTCTTTGTGCTGTGTGTATTCAACTCATAGAGTTGAACTTTCCTTTAGAAGAGCAGATGTTAAACACCCTTTTTGTGGAATTTGCAGCTGGAGATTTCAAGCGCTTTGAGGCCTACGGTAGAAAAGGAAACATCTTCTTATAAAATCTAGACAGAATCATTCACAGAAACTTCTTTTTGATGTGTGTGTTCAGCTCACAGAGTTTAACCTTTCTTTTGATGGAGCAGTTTGGAAACACTCTGTTTGTAATGTCTGCAAGTGGATATTTGGACCTCTTTGAGGCCTTCGTTGGAAACGGGATTTCTTCAAGTAATGTTCGACAGAAGAATTCTCAGTAACTTATTTGTGGTGTGTGTATTCAACTCACAGAGTTGAACCTTCCTTTAGACAGAGCAGATTTGAAACACCCTATTTGTGCAGTTTCCAGTTGGAGATTTCAATCGCTTTGAGACCAAATGTAGAAAAGGAAACATCTTCGTATAAAAACTAGACAGAATCATTCTCAGAAACTACTTTGTGATGTGTGCGTTCAACTCAAGGAGTTTAAGCTTTCTTTTCATAGAGTAGTTTGGAAACACTCTGTCTGTAAAGTCTGCAATCAGATATTTGGACCTCTTTGAGGCCTTCGTTGGAAACGGGATTTCTTCATAGAACGCTAGAAAGAAGAATACTGAGTAAGTTCTTTGTGTTGCCTCTATTCAACTCACAGAGGTGAACTGTCCTTTAGACAGAGCAGATGTGAAACCCTCTTTTTGTGATATTTGCAGGTGGAGATTTCAAGCGATTTTAGGCCAAATGTAGAAAAGGAAATATCTTCGTATAAAAACTAGACAGAATCATTCTCAGAAACTACTTTGTGATGTGTGCGTTCAATTCACAGAGTATAACCTTTCTTTTGATGGAGGAGTTTGGAGACACTGTCTTTGTAAAGTCTGCAAGTGGATATTTGGACCTCTTTGAGGCCTTCGTTGGAAACGGGATTTCCTCATATAATGTTACCCAGAAGAATTCTCAGTAACTTATTTGTGGTGTGTGTATTCAACTCACAGATTTGAACCTTCCTTCAGAAAGAGCAGATTTGAAACACTCTTTTTGTGGAGTTTCCATGTGGAGATTTCAATCACTTTGAGACCAAAGGTAGAAAAGGAAACATCTTCGTATAAAAACTAGACAGAATCATTCACAGAAACTACTTTGTGATGTGTGTGTTCAACTCAAGGAGTTTAACCTTTCTTTTGATGGAGCAGTTTGGAAACACTCTGTCTGTAAAGTCTGCAAGCAGATATTTGGACCTCTTTGAGGCCTTCGTTAGAAACGGGATTTCTTCATATAATGTTTGATAGGAGAAGTCTCAGTAACTTCTTTGTGCTGTGTGTATTCAACTCATAGAGTTGAACTTTCCTTTAGAAGAGCAGATGTTAAACACCCTTTTTGTGGAATTTGCAGCTGGAGATTTCAAGCGCTTTGAGGCCTACGGTAGAAAAGGAAACATCTTCTTATAAAATCTAGACAGAATCATTCACAGAAACTTCTTTTTGATGTGTGTGTTCAGCTCACAGAGTTTAACCTTTCTTTTGATGGAGCAGTTTGGAAACACTCTGTTTGTAATGTCTGCAAGTGGATATTTGGACCTCTTTGAGGCCTTCGTTGGAAACGGGATTTCTTCATGTAATGTTCGACAGAAGAATTCTCAGTAACTTATTTGTGGTGTGTGTATTCAACTCACAGAGTTGAACCTTCCTTTAGACAGAGCAGATTTGAAACACCCTATTAGTGCAGTTTCCAGTTGGAGATTTCAATCGCTTTGAGGCCAATCATAGAAACGGAAATATCTTCGTATAAAAACAAGACAGAAATCATTCTCAGAAACTACTTTGTGATGTGTGCGTTCAACTCAAGGAGTTTAAGCTTTCTTTTCATAGAGTAGTTTGGAAACACTCTGTCTGTAAAGTGTGCAAGCAGATATTTGGACCTCTTTGAAGCCTTCGTTGGAAACGGGATTTCTTCATATAACGCTAGAAAGAAGAATACTGAGTAAGTTCTTTGTGTTGCCTCTATTCAACTCACAGAGGTGAACTGTCCTTTAGACAGAGCAGATGTGAAACCCTCTTTTTGTGATATTTGCAGGTGGAGATTTCAAGCGCTTTTAGGCCAAATGTAGAAAAGGAAATATCCTCGTATAAAAACTAGACAGAATCATTCTCAGAAACTACTTTGTGATGTGTGCGTTCAATTCACAGAGTATAACCTTTCTTTTTATGGAGGAGTTTGGAGACACTGTCTTTGTAAAGTCTGCAAGTGGATATTTGGACCTCTTTGAGGCCTTCGTTGGAAACGGGATTTCCTCATATAATGTTACACAGAAGAATTCTCAGTAACTTATTTGTGGTGTGTGTATTCAACTCACAGAGTTGAACCTTGCTTCAGAAAGAGCAGATTTGAAACACTCTTTTTGTGGAGTTTCCATGTGGAGACTTCAATCGCTTTGAGACCAAAGGTAGAAAAGGAAACATCTTCGTATAAAAACTAGACAGAATCATTCACAGAAACTACTTTGTGATGTGTGTGTTCAACTCAAGGAGGTTAACCTTTCTTTTGATGGAGCAGTTTGGAAACACTCTGTCTGTAAAGTCTGCAAGCAGATATTTGGACCTCTTTGAGGCCTTCGTTGGAAACGGGATTTCTTCATATAATGTTTGATAGGAGAAGTCTCAGTAACTTCTTTGTGCTGTGTGTATTCAACTCATAGAGTTGAACTTTCCTTTAGAAGAGCAGATGTTAAACACCCTTTTTGTGGAATTTGCAGCTGGAGATTTCAAGCGCTTTGAGGCCTACGGTAGAAAAGGAAACATCTTCTTATAAAATCTAGACAGAATCATTCACAGAAACTTCTTTTTGATGTGTGTGTTCAGCTCACAGAGTTTAACCTTTCTTTTGATGGAGCAGTTTGGAAACACTCTGTTTGTAATGTCTGCAAGTGGATATTTGGACCTCTTTGAGGCCTTCATTGGAAACGGGATTTCTTCAAGTAATGTTCGACAGAAGAATTCTCAGTAACTTATTTGTGGTGTGTGTATTCAACTCACAGAGTTGAACCTTCCTTTAGACAGAGCAGATTTGAAACACCCTATTTGTGCAGTTTCCAGTTGGAGATTTCAATCGCTTTGAGACCAAATGTAGAAAAGGAAACATCTTCGTATAAAAACTAGACAGAATCATTCTCAGAAACTACTTTGTGATGTGTGCGTTCAACTCAAGGAGTTTAAGCTTTCTTTTCATAGAGTAGTTTGGAAACACTCTGTCTGTAAAGTCTGCAAGCAGATATTTGGACCTCTTTGGTGCCTTCGTTGGAAACGGGATTTCTTCATAGAACGCTAGAAAGAAGAATACTGAGTAAGTTCTTTGTGTTGCCTCTATTCAACTCACAGAGGTGAACTGTCCTTTAGACAGAGCAGATGTGAAACCCTCTTTTTGTGATATTTGCAGGTGGAGATTTCAAGCGCTTTTAGGCCAAATGTAGAAAAGGAAATATCTTCGTATAAAAACTAGACAGAATCATTCTCAGAAACTACTTTGTGATGTGTGCGTTCAATTCACAGAGTATAACCATTCTTTCGATGGAGGAGTTTGGAGACACTGTCTTTGTAAAGTCTGCAAGTGGATATTTGGACCTCTTTGAGGCCTTCGTTGGAAACGGGATTTCCTCATATAATGTTACACAGAAGAATTCTCAGTAACTTATTTGTGGTGTGTGTATTCAACTCACAGAGTTGAACCTTCCTTCCGAAAGAGCAGATTTGAAACACTCTTTTTGTGGAGTTTCCATGTGGAGATTTCAATCGCTTTGAGACCAAAGGTAGAAAAGGAAACATCTTCGTATAAAAACTAGACAGAATCATTCACAGAAACTACTTTGTGATGTGTGTGTTCAACGCAAGGAGTTTAACCTTTCTTTTGATGGAGCAGTTTGGAAACACTCTGTCTGTAAAGTCTGCAAGCAGATATTTGGACCTCTTTGAGGCCTTCGTTGGAAACGGGATTTCTTCATATAATGTTTGATAGGAGAAGTCTCAGAAACTTCTTTGTGCTGTGTGTATTCAACTCATAGAGTTGAACTTTCCTTTAGAAGAGCAGATGTTAAACACCCTTTTTGTGGAATTTGCAGCTGGAGATTTCAAGCGCTTTGAGGCCTACGGTAGAAAAGGAAACATCTTCTTATAAAATCTAGACAGAATCATTCACAGAAACTTCTTTTTGATGTGTGTGTTCAGCTCACAGAGTTTAACCTTTCTTTTGATGGAGCAGTTTGCAAACACACTGTTTGTAATGTCTGCAAGTGGATATTTGGACCTCTTTGAGGCCTTCGTTGGTAACGGGATTTCTTCCTGTAATGTTCGACAGAAGAATTCTCAGTAACTTATGTGTGGTGTGTGTATTCAACTCACAGAGTTGAACCTTCCTTTAGAGAGAGCAGATTTGAAACACCCTATTTGTGCAGTTTCCAGTTGGAGATTTCAATCGCTTTGAGACCAAATGTAGAAAAGGAAACATCTTCGTATAAAAACTAGACAGAATCATTCTCAGAAACTACTTTGTGATGTGTGCGTTCAACTCAAGGAGTTTAAGCTTTCTTTTCATAGAGTAGTTTGGAAACACTCTGTCTGTAAAGTCTGCAAGCAGATATTTGGACCTCTTTGGGGCCTTCGTTGGAAACGGGATTTCTTCATAGAACGCTAGAAAGAAGAATACTGAGTAACTTCTTTGTGTTGCCTCTATTCAACTCACAGAGGTGAACTGTCCTTTAGACAGAGCAGATGTGAAACCCTCTTTTTGTGATATTTGCTGGTGGAGATTTCAAGCGCTTTTAGGCCAAATGTAGAAAAGGAAGTATCTTCGTATAAAAACTAGACAGAATCATTCTCAGAAACTACTTTGTGATGTGTGCGTTCAATTCACAGAGTATAACCTTTCTTTTGATGGAGGAGTTTGGAGACACTGTCTTTGTAAAGTCTGCAAGTGGATATTTGGACCTCTTTGAGGCCTTCGTTGGAAACGGGATTTCCTCATATAATGTTACACAGAAGAATTCTCAGTAACTTATTTGTGGTGTGTGTATTCAACTCACAGAGATGAACCTTCCTTCAGAAAGAGCAGATTTGAAACACTCTTTTTGTGGAGTTTCCATGTGGAGATTTCAATCGCATTGAGACCAAAGGTAGAAAAGGAAACATCTTCGTATAAAAACTAGACAGAATCATTCACAGAAACTACTTTGTGATGTGTGTGTTCAACTCAAGGAGTTTAACCTTTCTTTTGATGGAGCAGTTTGGAAACACTCTGTCTGTAAAGTCTGCAAGCAGATATTTGGACCTCTTTGAGGCCTTCGTTGGAAACGGGATTTCTTCATATAATGTTTGATAGGAGAAGTCTCAGTAACTTCTTTGTGCTGTGTGTATTCAACTCATAGAGTTGAACTTTCCTTTATAAGAGCAGATGTTAAACCCCCTTTTTGTGGAATTTGCAGCTGGAGATTTCTAGCGCTTTGAGGCCTACGGTAGAAAAGGAAACATCTTCTTATAAAATCTAGACAGAATCATTCACAGAAACTTCTTTTTGATGTGTGTGTTCAGCTCACAGAGTTTAACCTTTCTTTTCATGGAGCAGTTTGGAAACACTCTGTTTGTAATGTCTGCAAGTGGATATTTTGACCTCTTTGAGGCCTTCGTTGGAAACGGGATTTCTTCATGTAATGTTCGACAGAAGAATTCTCAGTAACTTATTTGTGGTGTGTGTATTCAACTCACAGAGTTGAACCTTCCTTTAGACAGAGCAGATTTGAAACACCCTATTTGTGCAGTTTCCAGTTGGAGATTTCAATCGCTTTGAGACCAAATGTAGAAAAGGAAACATCTTCGTATAAAAACTAGACAGAATCATTCTCAGAAACTACTTTGTGATGTGTGCGTTCAACTCAAGGAGTTTAAGCTTTCTTTTCATAGAGTAGTTTGGAAACACTCTGTCTGTAAAGTCTGCAAGCAGATATTTGAACCTCTTTGAGGCCTTCGTTGGAAACGGGATTTCTTCATAGAACGCTAGAAAGAAGAATACTAAGTTCTTTGTGTTGCCTCTATTCTACTCACAGAGGAGAACTGTCCTTTAGACAGAGCAGATGTGAAACCCTCTTTTTGGGATATTTGCAGGTGGAGATTTCAAGTGCTTTTAGGCCAAATGTAGAAAAGGAAATATCTTCGTATAAAAACTAGACAGAATCATTCTCAGAAACTACTTTGTGATGTGTGCGTTCAATTCACAGAGTATAACCTTTCTTTTGATGGAGGAGTTTGGAGACACTGTCTTTGTAAAGTCTGCAAGTGGATATTTGGACCTCTTTGAGGCCTTCGTTGGAAACGGGATTTCCTCATATAATGTTACACAGAAGAATTCTCAGTAACTTATTTGTGGTGTGTGTATTCAACTCACAGAGATGAACCTTCCTTCAGAAAGAGCAGATTTGAAACACTCTTTTTGTGGAGTTTCCATGTGGAGATTTCAATCGCTTTGAGACCAAAGGTAGAAAAGGAAACATCTTCGTATAAAAACTAGACAGAATCATTCACAGAAACTACTTTGTGATGTGTGTGTTCAACTCAAGGAGTTTAACCTTTCTTTTGATGGAGCAGTTTGGAAACACTCTGTCTGTAAAGTCTGCAAGCAGATATTTGGACCTCTTTGAGGCCTTCGTTGGAAACGGGATTTCTTCATATAATGTTTGATAGGAGAAGTCTCAGTAACTTCTTTGTGCTGTGTATATTCAACTCATAGAGTTGAACTTTCCTTTAGAAGAGCAGATGTTAAACACCCTTTTTGTGGAATTTGCAGCTGGAGATTTCAAGCGCTTTGAGGCCTACGGTAGAAAAGGAAACATCTTCTTATAAAATCTAGACAGAATCATTCACAGAAACTTCTTTTTGATGTGTGTGTTCAGCTCACAGAGTTTAACCTTTCTTTTGATGGAGCAGTTTGGAAACACTCTGTTTGTAACGTCTGCAAGTGGATATTTGGACCTCTTTGAGGCCTTCGTTGGAAACGGGATTTCTTCAAGTAATGTTCGACAGAAGAATTCTCAGTAACTTATTTGTGGTGTGTGTATTCAACTCACAGAGTTGAACCTTCCTTTAGACAGAGCAGATTTGAAACAGCCTATTTGTGCAGTTTCCAGTTGGAGATTTCAAGAGCTTTGAGACCAAATGTAGAAAAGGAAACATCTTCGTATAAAAACTAGACAGAATCATTCTCAGAAACTACTTTGTGATGTGTGCGTTCAACTCAAGGAGTTTAAGCTTTCTTTTCATAGAGTAGTTTGGAAACACTCTGTCTGTAAAGTCTGCAAGCAGATATTTGGACCTCTTTGGGGCCTTCGTTGGAAACGGGATTTCTTCATAGAATGCTAGAAAGAAGAATACTGAGTAAGTTCTTTGTGTTGCCTCTATTCAACTCACAGTAGGTGAACTGTCCTTTAGACAGAGCAGATGTGAAACCCTCTTTTTGTGATATTTGCAGGTGGAGATTTCAAGCGCTTTGAGGCCAAATGTAGAAAAGGAAATATCTTCGTATAAAAACTAGACACAATCATTCTCAGAAACTACTTTGTGATGTGTGCGTTCAATTCACAGAGTATAACCTTTCTTTTGATGGAGGAGTTTGGAGACACTGTCTTTGTAAAGTCTGCAAGTGGATATTTGGATCTCTTTGAGGCCTTCGTTGGAAACGGGATTTCCTCATATAATGTTACACAGAAGAATTCTCAGTAACTTATTTGTGGTGTGTGTATTCAACTCACAGAGTTGAACCTTCCTTCAGAAAGAGCAGATTTGAAACACTCTTTTTGTGGAGTTTCCATGTGGAGATTTCAATCGCTTTGAGACCAAAGGTAGAAAAGGAAACATCTTCGTATAAAAACTAGACAGAATCATTCACAGAAACTACTTTGTGATGTGTGTGTTCAACTCAAGGAGTTTAACCTTTCTTTTGATGGAGCAGTTTGGAAATACTCTGTCTGTAAAGTCTGCAAGCAGATATTTGGACCTCTTTGAGGCCTTCGTTGGAAACGGGATTTCTTCATATAATGTTTGATAGGAGAATACTGAGTAAGTTCTTTGTGTTGCCTCTATTCAACTCACAGAGGTGAACCTGTCCTTTAGACAGAGCAGATGTGAAACCCTCTTTTTGTGATATTTGCAGGTGGAGATTTCAAGCGCTTTTAGGCCAAATGTAGAAAAGGAAATATCTTCGTATAAAAACTAGACAGAATCATTCTCAGAAACTACTTTGTGATGTGTGCGTTCAATTCACAGAGTATAACCTTTCTTTTGATGGAGGAGTTTGGAGACACTGTCTTTGTAAAGTCTGCAAGTGGATATTTGGACCTCTTTGAGGCCTTCGTTGGAAACGGGATTTCCTCATATAATGTTACACAGAAGAATTCTCAGTAACTTATTAGTGGTGTGTGTATTCAACTCACAGAGTTGAACCTTCCTTCAGAAAGAGCAGATTTGAAACACTCTTTTTGTGGAGTTTCCATGTGGAGATTTCAATCGCATTGAGACCAAAGGTAGAAAAGGAAACATCTTCGTATAAAAACTAGACAGAATCATTCACAGAAACTACTTTGTGATGTGTGTGTTCAACTCAAGGAATTTAACCTTTCTTTTGATGGAGCAGTTTGGAAACACTCTGTCTGTAAAGTCTGCAAGCAGATATTTGGACCTCTTTGAGGCCTTCGTTGGAAACGGGATTTCTTCATATAATGTTTGATAGGAGAAGTCTCAGTAACTTCTTTGTGCTGTGTGTATTCAACTCATAGAGTTGAACTTTCCTTTAGAAGAGCAGATGTTAAACACCCTTTTTGTGGAATTTGCAGCTGGAGATTTCAAGCGCTTTGAGGCCTACGGTAGAAAAGGAAACATCTTCTTAGAAAATCTAGACAGAATCATTCACAGAAACTTCTTTTTGATGTGTGTGTTCAGCTCACAGAGTTTAACCTTTCTTTTGATGGAGCAGTTTGGAAACACACTATTTGTAATGTCTGCAAGTGGATATTTGGACCTCTTTGAGGCCTTCGTTGGAAACGGAATTTCTTCAAGGAATGTTTGACAGAAGATTTCTCAGTAACTTATTTGTGTTGTGTGTATTCAACTCACAGAGTTGAACCTTCCTTTAGACAGAGCAGATTTGAAACACCCTATTTGTGCACTTTGCAGTTGGAGATTTCAATCGCTTTGAGACCAAAGGTAGAAAAGGAAACATCTTCGTATAAAAACTAGACAGAATCATTCTCCGAAACTACTTTGTGATGTGTGCGTTCAACTCAAGGAGTTTAAGCTTTCTTTTCATAGAGTAGTTTGGAAACACTCTGTCTGTAAAGTCTGCAAGCAGATATTTGGACCTCTTTGGGGCCTTCGTTGGAAACGGGATTTCTTCATAGAACGCTAGAAAGAAGAATACTGAGTAAGTTCTTTGTGTTGCCTCTATTCAACTCACAGAGGTGAACTGTCCTTTAGACAGAGCAGATGTGAAACCCTCTTTTTGTGATATTTGCAGGTGGAGATTTCAAGCGCTTTGAGGCCAAATGTAGAAAAGGAAATATCTTCGTATAAAAACTAGACAGAATCATTCTCAGAAACTACTTTGTGATGTGTGCGTTCAATTCACAGAGTATAACCTTTCTTTTGATGGAGGAGTTTGGAGACACTGTCTTTGTAAAGTCTGCAAGTGGATATTTGGACCTCTTTGAGGCCTTCGTTGGAAACGGGATTTCCTCATATAATGTTACACAGAAGAATTCTCAGTAACTTATTTGTGGTGTGTGTATTCAACTCACAGAGTTGAACCTTCCTTCAGAAAGAGCAGATTTGAAACACTCTTTTTGTGGAGTTTCCATGTGGAGATTTCAATCGCTTTGAGACCAAAGGTAGAAAAGGAAACATCTTCGTATAAAAACTAGACAGAATCATTCACAGAAACTATTTTGTGATGTGTGTGTTCAACTCAAGGAGTTTAACCTTTCTTTTGATGGAGCAGTTTGGAAACACTCTGTCTGTAAAGTCTGCAAGCAGATATTTGGACCTCTTTGAGGCCTTCGTTGGAAACGGGATTTCTTCATATAATGTTTGATAGGAGAAGTCTCAGTAACTTCTTTCTGCTGTGTGTATTCAACTCATAGAGTTGAACTTTCCTTTAGAAGAGCAGATGTTAAACACCCTTTTTGTGGAATTTGCAGCTGGAGATTTCAAGCGCTTTGAGGCCTACGGTAGAAAAGGAAACATCTTCTTATAAAATCTAGACAGAATCATTCACAGAAACTTCTTTTTGATGTGTGTGTTCAGCTCACAGAGTTTAACCTTTCTTTTGATGGAGCAGTTGGGAAACACTCTGTTTGTAATGTCTGCAAGTGGATATTTGGACCTCTTTGAGGCCTTCGTTGGAAACGGGATTTCTTCAAGTAATGTTCGACAGAAGAATTCTCAGTAACTTATTTGTGGTGTGTGTATTCAACTCACAGAGTTGAACCTTCCTTTAGACAGAGCAGATTTGAAACACTCTTTTTGTGGAGTTTCCAGTTGGAGATTTCAATCGCTTTGAGACCAAATGTAGAAAAGGAAACATCTTCGTATAAAAACTAGACAGAATCATTCTCAGAAACTACTTTGTGATGTGTGCGTTCAACTCAAGGAGTTTAAGCTTTCTTTTCATAGAGTAGTTTGGAAACACTCTGTCTGTAAAGTCTGCAAGCAGATATTTGGACCTCTTTGGGGCCTTCGTTGGAAACGGGATTTCTTCATAGAACGCTAGAAAGAAGAATACTGAGTAAGTTCTTTGTGTTGCCTCTATTCAACTCACAGAGGTGAACTGTCCTTCAGACAGAGCAGATGTGAAACCCTCTTTTTGTGATATTTGCAGGTGGAGATTTCAAGCGCTTTTAGGCCAAATGTAGAAAAGGAAATATCTTCGTATAAAAACTAGACAGAATCATTCTCAGAAACTACTTTGTGATGTGTGCGTTCAATTCACGGAGTATAACCTTTCTTTTGATGGAGGAGTTTGGAGACACTGTCTTTGTAAAGTCTGCAAGTGGATATTTGGATCTCTTTGAGGCCTTCGTTGGAAACGGGATTTCCTCATATAATGTTACACAGAAGAATTCTCAGTAACTTATTTGTGGTGTGTGTATTCAACTCACAGAGATGAACCTTCCTTCAGAAAGAGCAGATTTGAAACACTCTTTTTGTGGAGTTTCCATGTGGAGATTTCAATAGCTTTGAGACCAAAGGTAGAAAAGGAAACATCTTCGTATAAAAACTGGACAGAATCATTCATGGAAACTACTTTGTGATGTGTGTGTTCAACTCAAGGAGTTTAACCTTTCTTTTGATGGAGCAGTTTAGAAACACTCTGTCTGTAAAGTCTGCAAGCAGATATTTGGACCTCTTTGAGGCCTTCGTTGGAAACGGGATTTCTTCATATAATGTTTGATAGGAGAAGTCTCAGTAACTTCTTTGTGCTGTGTGTATTCAACTCATAGAGTTGAACTTTCCTTTAGAAGAGCAGATGTTAAACACCCTTTTTGTGGAATTTGCAGCTGGAGATTTCAAGCGCTTTGAGGCCTACGGTAGAAAAGGAAATATCTTCTTATAAAATCTAGAAAGAATCATTCACAGAAACTTCTTTTTGATGTGTGTGTTCAGCTCACAGAGTTTAACCTTTCTTTTGATGGAGCAGGTTGGAAACAATCTGTTTGTAATGTCTGCAAGTGGATATTTGGACCTCTTTGAGGCCTTCGTTGGAAACGGGATTTCATCAAGTAATGTTCGACAGAAGAATTCTCAGTAACTTATTTGTGGTGTGTGTATTCAACTCACAGAGTTGAACCTTCCTTTAGACAGAGCAGATTTGAAACAGCCTATTTGTGCAGTTTCCAGTTGGAGATTTCAATCGCTTTGAGACCAAACGTAGAAAAGGAAACATCTTCGTATAAAAACTAGACAGAATCATTCTCAGAAACTACTTTGTGATGTGTGCGTTCAACTCAAGGAGTTTAAGCTTTCTTTTCATAGAGTAGTTTGGAAACACTCTGTCTGTAAAGTCTGCAAGCAGATATTTGGACCTCTTTGGGGCCTTCGTTAGAAACGGGATTTCTTCATAGAACGCTAGAAAGAAGAATACTGAGTAAGTTCTTTGTGTTGCCTCTATTCAACTCACAGAGGTGAACTGTCCTTTAGACAGAGCAGATGTGAAACCCTCTTTTTGTGATATTTGCAGGTGGAGATTTCAAGCGCTTTTAGGCCAAATGTAGAAAAGGAAATATCTTCGTATAAAAACTAGACAGAATCATTCTCAGAAACTACTTTGTGATGTGTGCGTTCAATTCACAGAGTATAACCTTTCTTTTGATGGAGGAGTTTGTAGAAACTGTCTTTGTAACGTCTGCAAGTGGATATTTGGACCTCTTTGAGGCCTTCGTTGGAAACGGGATTTCCTCACATAATGTTACACAGAAAGAATTCTCAGTAACTTATTTGTGGTGTGTGTATTCAACTCACAGAGTTGAACCTTCCTTCAGAAAGAGCAGATTTGAAACACTCTTTTTGTGGAGTTTCCATGTGGAGATTTCAATCGCATTGAGAACAAAGGTAGAAAAGGAAACATCTTCGTATAAAAACTAGACAGAATCATTCACAGAAACTACTTTGTGATGTGTGTGTTCAACTCAAGGAGTTTAACCTTTCTTTTGATGGAGCAGTTTGGAAACACTCTGTCTGTAAAGTCTGCAAGCAGATATTTGGACCTCTTTGAGGCCTTCGTTGGAAACGGGATTTCTTCATATAATGTTTGATAGGAGAAGTCTCAGTAACTTCTTTGTGCTGTGTGTATTCAACTCATAGAGTTGAACTTTCCTTTAGAAGAGCAGATGTTAAACACCCTTTTTGTGGAATTTGCAGCTGGAGATTTCAAGCGCTTTGAGGCCTACGGTAGAAAAGGAAACATCTTCTTATAAAATCTAGACAGAATCATTCACAGAAACTTCTTTTCGATGTGTGTGTTCAGCTCACAGAGTTTAACCTTTCTTTTGATGGAGCAGTTTGGAAACACTCTGTTTGTAATGTCTGCAAGTGGATATTTGGACCTCTTTGAGGCCTTCGTTGGAAACGGGATTTCTTCAGGTAATGTTCGACAGAAGAATTCTCAGTAACTTATTTGTGGTGTGTGTATTCAACTCACAGAGTTGAACCTTCCTTTAGACAGATCAGATTTGAAACTCCCTATTTGTGCAGTTTCCAGTTGGAGATTTCAATCGCTTTGAGACCAAATGTAGAAAAGGAAACATCTTCGTATAAAAACTAGACAGAATCATTCTCAGAAACTACTTTGTGATGTGTGCGTTCAACTCAAGGAGTTTAAGGTTTCTTTTCATAGAGTAGTTTGGAAACACTCTGTCTGTAAAGTCTGGAAGCAGATATTTGGACCTCTTTGAGGCCTTCATTGGAAACGGGATTTCTTCATAGAACGCTAGAAAGAAGAATACTGAGTAAGTTCTTTGTGTTGCCTCTATTCAACTCACAGAGGTGAACTGTCCTTTAGACAGAGCAGATGTGAAACCCTCTTTTTGTGATATTTGCAGGTGGAGATTTCAAGCGCTTTTAGGCCAAATGTAGAAAAGGAAATATCTTCGTATAAAAACTAGACAGAATCATTCTCAGAAACTACTTTGGGATGTGTGCGTTCAATTCACAGAGTATAACCTTTCTTTTGATGGAGGAGTTTGGAGACACTGTCTTTGTAAAGTCTGCAAGTGGATATTTGGACCTCTTTGAGGCCTTCGTTGGAAACGGGATTTCCTCATATAATGTTACACAGAAGAATTCTCAGTAACTTATTTGTGGTGTGTGTATTCAACTCACAGAGATGAACCTTCCTTCAGAAAGAGCAGATTTGAAACACTCTTTTTGTGGAGTTTCCATGTGGAGATTTCAATCGCTTTGAGACCAAAGGTAGAAAAGGAAACATCTTCGTATAAAAACTAGACAGAATCATTCACAGAAACTACTTTGTGATGTGTGTGTTCAACTCAAGGAGGTTAACCTTCCTTTTGATGGAGCAGTTTGGAAACACTCTGTCTGTAAAGTCTGCAAGCAGATATTTGGACCTCTTTGAGGCCTTCGTTGGAAACGGGATTTCTTCATATAATGTTTGATAGGAGAAGTCTCAGTAACTTCTTTGTGCTGTGTGTATTCAACTCATAGAGTTGAACTTTCCTTTAGAAGAGCAGATGTTAAACACTCTTTTTGTGGAATTTGCAGCTGGAGATTTCAAGCGGTTTGAGGCCTACGGTAGAAAAGGAAACATCTTCTTATAAAATCTAGACAGAATCATTCACAGAAACTTCTTTTTGATGTGTGTGTTCAGCTCACAGAGTTTAACCTTTCTTTTGATGGAGCAGTTGGGAAACACACTGTTTGTAATGTCTGCAAGTGGATATTTGGACCTCTTTGAGGCCTTCGTTGGAAACGGGATTTCTTCCTGTAATGTTCGACAGAAGAATTCTCAGTAACTTATTTGTGGTGTGTGTATTCAACTCACAGAGTTGAACCTTCCTTTAGACAGAGCAGATTTGAAACACCCTATTTGTGCAGTTTCCAGTTGGAGATTTCAATCGCTTTGAGACCAAATGTAGAAAAGGAAACATCTTCGTATAAAAACTAGACAGAATCATTCTCAGAAACTACTTTGTGATGTGTGCGTTCAACTCAAGGAGTTTAAGCTTTCTTTTACTAGAGTAGTTTGGAAACACTCTGTCTGTAAAGTCTGCAAGCAGATATTTGGACCTCATTGGGGCCTTCGTTGGAAACGGGATTTCTTCATAGAACGCTAGAAAGAAGAATACTGAGTAAGTTCTTTGTGTTGCCTCTATTCAACTCACAGAGGTGAACTGTCCTTTAGACAGAGCAGATGTGAAACCCTCTTTTTGTGATATTTGCAGGTGGAGATTTCAAGCACTTTTAGGCCAAATGTAGAAAAGGAAATATCTTCGTATAAAAACTAGACAGAATCATTCACAGAAACTACTTTGTGATGTGTGCGTTCAATTCACAGAGTATAACCTTTCTTTTGATGGAGGAGTTTGGAGACACTGTCTTTGTAAAGTCTGCAAGCAGATATTTGGACCTCTTTCAGGCCATCGTTAGAAACGGGATTTCTTCATATAATGTTTGATAGGAGAAGTCTCAGTAACTTCTTTGTGCTGTGTGTATTCAACTCATAGAGTTGAACTTTCCTTTAGAAGAGCAGATGTTAAACACCCTTTTTGTGGAATTTGCAGCTGGAGATTTCAAGCGCTTTGAGGCCTACGGTAGAAAAGGAAACATCTTGCTTACAAAATCTAGACAGAATCATTCACAGAAACTTCTTTTTGATGTGTGTGTTCAGCTCACAGAGTTTAACCTTTCTTTTGATGGAGCAGATTGGAAACACACTGTTTGTAATGTCTGCAAGTGGATATTTGGACCTCTTTGAGGCCTTCGTTGGAAACGGGATTTCTTCCTGTAATGTTCGACAGAAGAATTCTCAGTAACTTATTTGTGGTGTGTGTATTCAACTCACAGAGCTGAACCTTCCTTTAGACAGAGCAGATTTGAAACAGCCTATTTCTGCAGTTTCCAGTTGGAGATTTCAATCGCTTTGAGACCAAATGTAGAATAGGAAACATCTTCGTATAAAAACTAGACAGAATCATTCTCAGAAACTACTTTGTGATGTGTGCGTTCAACTCAAGGAGTTTAAGCTTTCTTTTCATAGAGTAGTTTGGAAACACTCTGTCTGTAAAGTGTGCAAGCAGATATGTGGACCTCTTTGGGGCCTTCGTTGGAAACGGGATTTCTTCATAGAACGCTAGAAAGAAGAATACTGAGTAAGTTCTTTGTGTTGCCTCTATTCAACTCACAGAGGTGAACTGTCCTTTAGACAGAGCAGATGTGAAACCCTCTTTTTGTGATATTTGCAGGTGGAGATTTCAAGCACTTTTAGGCCAAATGTAGAAAAGGAAATATCTTCGTATAAAAACTAGACAGAATCATTCTCAGAAACTACTTTGTGATGTGTGCGTTCAACTCAAGGAGTTTAAGCTTTCTTTTCATAGAGTAGTTTGGAAACACTCTGTCTGTAAAGTCTGCAAGCAGATATTTGACCTCTTTGAGGCCTTCGTTGGAAACGGGATTTCTTCATAGAACGCTAGAAAGAAGAATACTGAGTAAGTTCTTTGTGTTGCCTCTATTCAACTCACAGAGGTGAACTGTCCTTTAGACAGAGCAGATGTGAAACCCTCTTTTTGTGATATTTGCAGGTGGAGATTTCAAGCGCTTTTCGGCCAAATGTAGAAAAGGAAATATCTTCGTATAAAAACTAGACAGAATCATTCTCAGAAACTACTTTGTGATGTGTGCGTTCAATTCACAGAGTATAACCTTTCTTTTGATGGAGCAGTTTGGAGACACTGTCTTTTTAAAGTCTGCTAGTGGATATTTGGACCTCTTTGAGGCCTTCGTTGGAAACGGCATTTCCTCATATAATGTTACACAGAAGAATTCTCAGTAACTTATTTGTGGTGTGTGTATTCAACTCACAGAGTTGAACCTTCCTTCAGAAAGAGCAGATTTGAAACACTCTTTTTGTGGAGTTTCCATGTGGAGATTTCAATCGCTTTGAGACCAAAGGTAGAAAAGGAAACATCTTCGTATAAAAACTAGACAGAATCATTCACAGAAACTACTTTGTGATGTGTGTGTTCAACTCAAGGAGTTTAACCTTTCTTTTGATGGAGCAGTTTAGAAACATTCTGTCTGTAAAGTCTGCAAGCAGATATTTGGACCTCTTTGAGGCCTTCGTTGGAAACGGGATTTCTTCATATAATGTTTGATAGGAGAAGTCTCAGTAACTTCTTTGTGCTGTGTGTATTCAACTCATAGAGTTGAACTTTCCTTTAGAAGAGCAGATGTTAAACACCCTTTTTGTGGAATTTGCAGCTGGAGATTTCAAGCGCTTTGAGGCCTACGGTAGAAAAGGAAACATCTTCTTATAAAATCTAGACAGAATCATTCACAGCAAACTTCTTTTTGATGTGTGTGTTCAGCTCACAGAGTTTAACCTTTCTTTTGATGGAGCAGTTTGGAAACACTCTGTTTGTAACGTCTGCAAGTGGATATTTGGACCTGTTTGAGGCCTTCGTTGGAAACGGGATTTCTTCAAGTAATGTTCGACAGAAGAATTCTCAGTAACTTATTTGTGGTGTGTGTATTCAACTCACAGAGTTGAACCTTCCTTTAGACAGAGCAGATTTGAAACAGCCTATTTGTGCAGTTTCCAGTTGGAGATTTCAAGAGCTTTGAGACCAAATGTAGAAAAGGAAACATCTTCGTATAAAAACTAGACAGAATCATTCTCAGAAACTACTTTGTGATGTGTGCGTTCAACTCAAGGAGTTTAAGCTTTCTTTTCATAGAGTAGTTTGGAAACACTCTGTCTGTAAAGTCTGCAAGCAGATATTTGACCTCTTTGAGGCCTTCGTTGGAAACGGGATTTCTTCATAGAACGCTAGAAAGAAGAATACTGAGTAAGTTCTTTGTGTTGCCTCTATTCAACTCACAGAGGTGAACTGTCCTTTAGACAGAGCAGATGTGAAACCCTCTTTTTGTGATATTTGCAGGTGGAGATTTCAAGCGCTTTTAGGCCAAATGTAGAAAAGGAAATATCTTCGTATAAAAACTAGACAGAATCATTCTCAGAAACTACTTTGTGATGTGTGCGTTCAATTCACAGAGTATAACCTTTCTTTTGATGGAGGAGTTTGGAGACACTGTCTTTGTAAAGTCTGCAAGTGGATATTTGGACCTCTTTGAGGCCTTCGTTGGAAACGGGATTTCCTCATATAATGTTACACAGAAGAATTCTCAGTAACTTATTTGTGGTGTGTGTATTCAACTCACAGAGTTGAACCTTCCTTCAGAAAGAGCAGATTTGAAACACTCTTTTTGTGGAGTTTCCATGTGGAGATTTCAATCGCTTTGAGACCAAAGGTAGAAAAGGAAACATCTTCGTATAAAAACTAGACAGAAATCATTCACAGAAACTACTTTGTGATGTGTGTGTTCAACTCAAGGAGTTTAACCTTTCTTTTGATGGAGCAGTTTGGAAAAACTCTGTCTGTAAAGTCTGCAAGCAGATATTTGGACCTCTTTGAGGCCTTCGTTGGAAACAGGATTTCTTCATATAATGTTTGATAGGAGAAGTCTCAGTAACTTCTTTGTGCTGTGTGTATTCAACTCATAGTAGTTGAACTTTCCTTTAGAAGAGCAGATGTTAAACACCCTTTTTGGGGAATTTGCAGCTGGAGGTTTCAAGCGCTTTGAGGCCTACTGTAGAAAAGGAAACATCTTCTTATAAAATCTAGACAGAATCATTCACAGAAACTTCTTTTTGATGTGTGTGTTCAGCTCACAGAGTTTAACCTTTCTTTTGATGGAGCAGTTTGGAAACACTCTGTTTGTAATGTCTGCAAGTGGATATTTGGACCTCTTTGAGGCCTTCGTTGGAAACGGGATTTCTTCATGTAATGTTCGACAGAAGAATTCTCAGTAACTTATTTGTGGTGTGTGTATTCAACTCAAAGAGTTGAACCTTCCTTTAGACAGAGCAGATTTGAAACACCCTATTTGTGCAGTTTCCAGTTGGAGATTTCAATCGCTTTGAGACCAAATGTAGAAAAGGAAACATCTTCGTATAAAAACTAGACAGAATCATTCTCAGAAACTACTTTGTGATGTGTGCGTTCAACTCAAGGAGTTTAAGCTTTCTTTTCATAGAGTAGTTTGGAAACACTCTGTCTGTAAAGTCTGCAAGCAGATATTTGGACCTCTTTGGGGCCTTCGTTGGAAACGGGATTTCTTCATAGAACGCTAGAAAGAAGAATACTGAGTAAGTTCTTTGTGTTGCCTCTATTCAACTCACAGAGGTGAACTGTCCTTTAGACAGAGCAGATGTGAAACCCTCTTTTTATGATATTTGCAGGTGGAGATTTCAAGCGCTTTTAGGCCAAATGTAGAAAAGGAAATATCTTCGTATAAAAACTAGATAGAATCATTCTCAGAAACTACTTTGTGATGTGTGCGTTCAATTCACAGAGTATAACCTTTCTTTTGATGGAGGAGTTTGGAGACACTGTCTTTGTAAAGTCTGCAAGTGGATATTTGGACCTCTTTGAGGCCTTCGTTGGAAACGGGATTTCCTCATATAATGTTACACAGAAGAATTCTCAGTAACTTATTTGTGGTGTGTGTATTCAACTCACAGAGTTGAACCTTCCTTCAGAAAGAGCAGATTTGAAACACTCTTTTTGTGGAGTTTCCATGTGGAGATTTCAATCGCATTGAGACCAAAGGTAGAAAAGGAAACATCTTCGTATAAAAACTGGACAGAATCATTCACAGAAACTACTTTGTGATGTGTGTGTTCAACTCAAGGAGTTTAACCTTTCTTTTGATGGAGCAGTTTGGAAACACTCTGTCTGTAAAGTCTGCAAGCAGATATTTGGACCTCTTTGAGGCCTTCGTTGGAAACGGGATTTCTTCATATAATGTTTGATAGGAGAAGTCTCAGTAACTTCTTTATGCTGTGTGTATTCAACTCATAGAGTTGAACTTTCCTTTAGAAGAGCAGATGTTAAACACCCTTTTTATGGAATTTGCAGCTGGAGATTTCAAGCGCTTTGAGGCCTACGGTAGAAAAGGAAACATCTTCTTATAAAATCTAGACAGAATCATTCACAGAAACTTCTTTGTGATGTGTGTGTTCAGCTCACAGAGTTTAACCTTTCTTTTGATGGAGCAGTTTGGAAACACTCTGTTTGTAAAGTCTGCAAGTGGATATTTGGACCTCTTTGAGGCCTTCGTTGGAAACGGGATTTCTTCAAGTAATGTTCGACAGAAGAATTCTCAGTAACTTATTTGTGGTGTGTGTATTCAACTCACAGAGTTGAACCTTCCTTTAGACAGAGCAGATTTGAAACACCCTATTTGTGCAGTTTCCAGTTGGAGATTTCAATCGCTTTGAGACCAAATGTAGAAAAGGAAACATCTTCGTATAAAAACTAGACAGAATCATTCTCAGAAACTACTTTGTGATGTGTGCGTTCAACTCAAGGAGTTTAAGCTTTCTTTTCATAGAGTAGTTTGGAAACACTCTGTCTGTAAAGTCTGCAAGCAGATATTTGGACCTCTTTGAGGCCTTCGTTGGAAACGGGATTTCTTCATATAACGCTAGAAAGAAGAATACTGAGTAAGTACTTTGTGTTGCCTCTATTCAACTCACAGAGGTGAACTGTCCTTTAGACAGAGCAGATGTGAAACCCTCTTTTTCTGATATTTGCAGGTGGAGATTTCAAGCGCTTTTAGGCCAAATGTAGAAAAGGAAATATCTTCGTATAAAAACTAGACAGAATCATTCTCAGAAACTACTTTGTGATGTGTGCGTTCAATTCACAGAGTATAACCTTTCTTTTGATGGAGGAGTTTGGAGACACTGTCTTTGTAAAGTCTGCAAGTGGATATTTGGACCTCTTGCAGGCCTTCGTTGGAAACGGGATTTCCTCATATAATGTTACACAGAAGAATTCTCAGTAACTTATTTGTGGTGTGTGTATTCAACTCACAGAGTTGAACCTTCCTTCAGAAAGAGCAGATTTGAAACACTCTTTTTGTGGAGTTTCCATGTGGAGATTTCAATCGCTTTGAGACCAAAGGTAGAAAAGGAAACATCTTCGTATAAAAACTAGACAGAATCATTCACAGAAACTACTTTGTGATGTGTGTGTTCAACTCACAGAGTTTAACCTTTCTTTTGATGCAGCAGTTTGGAAACACTCTGTTTGTCACGTCTGCAAGTGGATATTTGGACCTCTTTGAGGCCTTCGTTAGAAACGGGATTTCTTCATATAATGTTTGATAGGAGAAGTCTCAGTAACTTCTTTGTGCTGTGTGTATTCAACTCATAGAGTTGAACTTTCCTTTAGAAGAGCAGATGTTAAACACCCTTTTTGTGGAATTTGCAGCTGGAGATTTCAAGCGCTTTGAGGCCTACGGTAGAAAAGGAAACATCTTCTTATAAAATCTAGACAGAATCATTCACAGAAACTTCTTTTTGATGTGTGTGTTCAGCTCACAGAGTTTAACCTTTCTTTTGATGGAGCAGTTTGGAAACACTCTGTTTGTAATGTCTGCAAGTGGATATTTGGACCTCTTTGAGGCCTTCTTTGGAAACGGGATTTCTTCAAGTAATGTTCGACAGAAGAATTCTCAGTAACTTATTTGTGGTGTGTGTATTCAACTCACAGAGTTGAACCTTCCTTTAGACAGAGCAGATTTGAAACACCCTATTTGTGCAGTTTCCAGTTGGAGATTTCAATCGCTTTGAGACCAAATGTAGAAAAGGAAACATCTTCGTATAAAAACTAGACAGAATCATTCTCCGAAACTACTTTGTGATGTGTGCGTTCAACTCAAGGAGTTTAAGCTTTCTTTTCATAGAGTAGTTTGGAAACACTCTGTCTGTAAAGTCTGCAAGCAGATATTTGGACCTCTTTGGGGCCTTCGTTGGAAACGGGATTTCTTCATAGAACGCTAGAAAGAAGAATACTGAGTAAGTTCTTTGTGTTGCCTCTATTCAACTCACAGAGGTGAACTGTCCTTTAGGCAGAGCAGATGTGAAACCCTCTTTTTGTGATATTTGCAGGTGGAGATTTCAAGCGCTTTTAGGCCAAATGTAGAAAAGGAAATATCTTCGTATAAAAACTAGACAGAATCATTCACAGAAACTACTTTGTGATGTGTGTGTTCAACTCAAGGAGTTTAACCTTTCTTTTGATGGAGCAGTTTGGAAACACTCTGTTTGTAATGTCTGCAAGTGGATATTTGGACCTCTTTGAGGCCTTCATTGGAAACGGGATTTCCTCATATAATGTTACACAGAAGAATTCTCAGTAACTTATTTGTGGTGTGTGTATTCAACTCACAGAGATGAACCTTCCTTCAGAAAGAGCAGATTTGAAACACTCTTTTTGTGGAGCTTCCATGTGGAGATTTCAATCGCTTTGAGACCAAAGGTAGAAAAGGAAACATCTTCGTATAAAAACTAGACAGAATCATTCACAGAAACTACTTTGTGATGTGTGTGTTCAACTCAAGGAGTTTAACCTTTCTTTTGATGGAGCAGTTTGGAAACACTCTGTCTGTAAAGTCTGCAAGCAGATATTTGGACCTCTTTGAGGCCTTCGTTGGAAACGGGATTTCTTCATATAATGTTTGATAGGAGAAGTCTCAGTAACTTCTTTGTGCTGTGTGTATTCAACTCGTAGAGTTGAACTTTCCTTTAGAAGGGCAGATGTTAAACACCATTTTTGTGGAATTTGCAGCTGGAGATTTCAAGCGCTTTGAGGCCTACGGTAGAAAAGGAAACATCTTCTTATAAAATCTAGACAGAATCATTCACAGAAACTTCTTTTTGATGTGTGTGTTCAGCTCACAGAGTTTAACCTTTCTTTTGATGGAGCAGTTTGGAAACACTCTGTTTGTAATGTCTGCAAGAGGATATTTGGACCTCTTTGAGGCCTTAGTTGGAAACGGGATTTCTTCAAGTAATTTTCGACAGAAGAATTCTCAGTAACTTATTTGTGGTGTGTGTATTCAACTCACAGAGTTGAACCTTCCTTTAGACAGAGCAGATTTGAAACACCCTATTTGTGCAGTTTCCAGTTGGAGATTTCAATCGCTTTGAGACCAAATGTAGAAAAGGAAACATCTTCGTATAAAAACTAGACAGAATCATTCTCAGAAACTACTTTGTGATGTGTGCGTTCAACTCAAGGAGTTTAAGCTTTCTTTTCATAGAGTAGTTTGGAAACACTCTGTCTGTAAAGTCTGCAAGCAGATATTTGAACCTCTTTGAGGCCTTCGTTGGAAACGGGATTTCTTCATAGAACGCTAGAAAGAAGAATACTAAGTTCTTTGTGTTGCCTCTATTCTACTCACAGAGGAGAACTGTCCTTTAGACAGAGCAGATGTGAAACCCTCTTTTTGGGATATTTGCAGGTGGAGATTTCAAGTGCTTTTAGGCCAAATGTAGAAAAGGAAATATCTTCGTATAAAAACTAGACAGAATCATTCTCAGAAACTACTTTGTGATGTGTGCGTTCAATTCACAGAGTATAACCTTTCTTTTGATGGAGGAGTTTGGAGACACTGTCTTTGTAAAGTCTGCAAGTGGATATTTGGACCTCTTTGAGGCCTTCGTTGGAAACGGGATTTCCTCATATAATGTTACACAGAAGAATTCTCAGTAACTTATTTGTGGTGTGTGTATTCAACTCACAGAGTTGAACCTTCCTTCAGAAAAGAGCAGATTTGAAACACTCTTTTTGTGGAGTTTCCATGTGGAGATTTCAATCGCATTGAGACCAAAGGTAGAAAAGGAAACATCTTCGTATAATAACTAGACAGAATCATTCACAGAAACTACTTTGTGATGTGTGTGTTCAACTCAAGGAGTTTAACCTTTCTTTTGATGGAGCAGTTTGGAAAAACTCTGTCTGTAAAGTCTGCAAGCAGATATTTGGACCTCTTTGAGGCCTTCGTTGGAAACGGGATTTCTTCATATAATGTTTGATAGGAGAAGTCTCAGTAACTTCTTTGTGCTGTGTGTATTCAACTCATAGAGTTGAACTTTCCTTTAGAAGAGCAGATGTTAAACACCCTTTTTGTGGAATTTGCAGCTGGAGATTTCAAGCGCTTTGAGGCCTACGGTAGAAAAGGAAACATCTTCTTATAAAATCTAGACAGAATCATTCACAGAAACTTCTTTTTGATGTGTGTGTTCAGCTCACAGAGTTTAACCTTTCTTTTGATGGAGCAGTTGGGAAACACACTGTTTGTAATGTCCGCAAGTGGATATTTGGACCTCTTTGAGGCCTTCATTGGAAACGGGATTTCTTCCTGTAATGTTCGACAGAAGAATTCTCAGTAACTTATTTGTGGTGTGTGTATTCAACTCACAGAGCTGAACCTTCCTTTAGACAGAGCAGATTTGAAACAGCCTATTTGTGCAGTTTCCAGTTGGAGATTTCAATCGCTTTCAGACCAAATGTAGAAAAGGAAACATCTTCGTATAAAAACTAGACAGAATCATTCTCAGAAACTACTTTGTGATGTGTGCGTTCAACTCAAGGAGTTTAAGCTTTCTTTTCATCGAGTAGTTTGGAAACACTCTGTCTGTAAAGTCTGCAAGCAGATATTTGACCTCTTTGAGGCCTTCGTTGGAAACGGGATTTCTTCATAGAATGCTAGAAAGAAGAATACTGAGTAAGTTCTTTGTGTTGCCTCTATTCAACTCACAGAGGTGAACTGTCCTTTAGACAGAGCAGATGTGAAACCCTCTTTTTGTGATATTTGCACGTGGAGATTTCAAGCGCTTTTAGGCCAAATGTAGAAAAGGAAATATCTTCGTATAAAAACTAGACAGAATCATTCTCAGAAACTACTTTGTGATGTGTGCGTTCAATTCACAGAGTATAACCTTTCTTTTGATGGAGGAGTTTGGAGACACTGTCTTTGTAAAGTCTGCAAGTGGATATTTGGACCTCTTTGAGACCTTCGTTGGAAACGGGATTTCCTCATATAATGTTACACAGAAGAATTCTCAGTAACTTATTTGTGGTGTTTGTATTCAACTCACAGAGTTGAACCTTCCTTCAGAAAGAGCAGATTTGAAACACTCTTTTTGTGGAGTTTCCATGTGGAGATTTCAATCGCTTTGAGACCAAAGGTAGAAAAGGAAACATCTTCGTATAAAAACTAGACAGAATCATTCACAGCAAACTACTTTGTGATGTGTGTGTTCAACTCAAGGAGTTTAACCTTTCTTTTGATGGAGCAGTTTGGAAACACTCTGTCTGTAAAGTCTGCAAGCAGATATTTGGACCTCTTTGAGGCCTTCGTTGGAAACGGGATTTCTTCATATAATGTTTGATAGCAGAAGTCTCAGTAACTTCTTTGTGCTGTGTGTATTCAACTCATAGAGTTCAACTTTCCTTTAGAAGAGCAGATGTTAAACACCCTTTTTGTGGAATTTGCAGCTGGAGATTTCAAGCGCTTTGAGGCCTACGGTAGAAAAGGAAACATCTTCTTATAAAATCTAGACAGAATCATTCACAGAAACTTCTTTTTGATGTGTGTGTTCAGCTCACAGAGTTTAACCTTTCTTTTGATGGAGCAGTTTGGAAACACTCTGTTTGTAATGTCTGCAAGTGGATATTTGGACCTCTTTGAGGTCTTCGTTGGAAAAGGGATTTCTTCAAGTAATGTTCGACAGAAGAATTCTCAGTAACTTATTTGTGGTGTGTGTATTCAACTCACAGAGTTGAACCTTCCTTTAGACAGAGCAGATTTGAAACACCCTATTTGTGCAGTTTCCAGTTGGAGATTTCAATCGCTTTGAGACCAAATGTAGAAAAGGAAACATCTTCGTATAAAAACTAGACAGAATCATTCTCAGAAACTACTTTGTGATGTGTGCGTTCAACTCAAGGAGTTTAAGCTTTCTTTTCATAGAGTAGTTTGGAAACACTCTGTCTGTAAAGTCTGCAAGCAGATATTTGGACCTCTTTGAGGCCTTCGTTGGAAACGGGATTTCTTCATAGAACGCTAGAAAGAAGAATACTGAGTAAATTCTTTGTGTTGCCTCTATTCAACTCACAGAGGTGAACTGTCCTTTAGAGAGAGCAGATGTGAAACCTTCTTTTTGTGATATTTGCAGGAGGAGATTTCAAGCGCTTTTAGGCCAAATGTAGAAAAGGAAATATCTTCGTATAAAAACTAGATAGAATCATTCTCAGAAACTACTTTGTGATGTGTGCGTTCAATTCACAGAGTATAACCTTTCTTTTGATGGAGGAGTTTGGAGACACTGTCTTTGTAAAGTCTGCAAGTGGATATTTGGACCTCTTTGAGGCCTTCGTTGGAAACGGGATTTCCTCATATAATGTTACACAGAAGAATTCTCAGTAACATATTTGTGGTGTGTGTATTCAACTCACAGAGTTGAACCTTCCTTCAGAAAGAGCAGATTTGAAACACTCTTTTTGTGGAGTTTCCATGTGGAGATTTCAATCGCTTTGAGACCAAAGGTAGAAAAGGAAACATCTTCGTATACAAACTAGACAGAATCATTCACAGAAACTACTTTGTGATGTGTGTGTTCAACTCACAGAGTTTAACCTTTCTTTTGATGGAGCAGTTTGGAAACACTCTGTTTGTCACGTCTGCAAGTGGATATTTGGACCTCTTTGAGGCCTTCGTTGGAAACGGGATTTCTTCATATAATGTTTGATAGGAGAAGTCTCAGTAACTTCTTTGTGCTGTGTGTATTCAACGCATAGAGTTGAACTTTCCTTTAGAAGAGCAGATGTTAAACACCCTTTTTGTGGAATTTGCAGCTGGAGATTTCAAGCGCTTTGAGGCCTACGGTAGAAAAGGAAACATCTTCTTATAAAATCTAGACAGAATCATTCACAGAAACTTCTTTTTGATGTGTGTGTTCAGCTCACAGAGTTTAACCTTTCTTTTGATGGAGCAGTTTGGAAACACTCTGTTTGTAATGTCTGCAAGTGGATATTTGGACCTCTTTGAGGCCTTCGTTGGAAACGGGATTTCTTCAAGTAATGTTTGACAGAAGAATTCTCAGTAACTTATTTGTGGTGTGTGTATTCAACTCACAGAGTTGAACCTTCCTTTAGACAGAGCAGATTTGAAACACCCTATTTGTGCAGTTTCCAGTTGGAGATTTCAATCGCTTTGAGACCAAATGTAGAAAAGGAAACATCTTCGTATAAAAACTGGACAGAATCATTCTCAGAAACTACTTTGTGATGTGTGCGTTCAACTCAAGGAGTTTAAGCTTTCTTTTCATAGAGTAGTTTGGAAACACTCTGTCTGTAAAGTGTGCAAGCAGATATTTGGACCTCTTTGGGGCCTTCGTTGGAAACGGGATTTCTTCATAGAACGCAAGAAAGAAGAATACTGAGTAAGTTCTTTGTGTTGCCTCTATTCAACTCACAAAGGTGAACTGTCCTTTAGACAGAGCAGATGTGAAACCCTCTTTTTGTGATATTTGCAGGTGGAGACTTCAAGCGCTTTTAGGCCAAATGTAGAAAAGGAAATATCTTCGTATAAAAACTAGACAGAATCATTCTCAGAAACTACTTTGTGATGTGTGCGTTCAATTCACAGAGTATAACCTTTCTTTTGATGGAGGAGTTTGGAGACACTGTCTTTGTAAAGTCTACAAGCAGATATTTGGACCTCTTTGAGGCCTTCGTTGGAAACGGGATTTCTTCATATAATGTTTGATAGGAGAAGTCTCAGTAACTTCTTTGGGCTGTGTGTATTCAACTCATTGAGTTGAACTTTCCTTTAGAAGAGCAGATGTTAAACACCCTTTTTGTGGAATTTGCAGCTGGAGATTTCAAGCACTTTGAGGCCTACGGTAGAAAAGGAAACATCTTCTTATAAAATCTAGACAGAATCATTCACAGAAACTTCTTTTTGATGTGTGTGTTCAGCTCACAGAGTTTAACCTTTCTTTTGATGGAGCAGTTTGGAAACACTCTGTTTGTAATGTCTGCAAGTGGATATTTGGACCTCTTTGAGGCCTTCGTTGGAAACGGGATTTCTTCATGTAATGTTCGACAGAAGAATTCTCAGTAACTTATTTGTGGTGTGTGTATTCAACTCACAGAGTTGAACCTTCCTTTAGACAGAGCAGATTTGAAACACCCTATTTGTGCAGTTTCCAGTTGGAGATTTCAATCGCTTTGAGACCAAATGTAGAAAAGGAAACATCTTCGTATAAAAACTAGACAGAATCATTCTCAGAAACTACTTTGTGATGTGTGCGTTCAACTCAAGGAGTTTAAGCTTTCTTTTCATAGAGTAGTTTGGAAACACACTGTCTGTAACGTCTGCAAGCAGATATTTGACCTCTTTGAGGCCTTCGTTGGAAACGGGATTTCTTCATAGAACGCTAGAAAGAAGAATACTGAGTAAGTTCTTTGTGTTGCCTCTATTCAACTCACAGAGGTAAACTCTCCTTTAGATAGAGCAGATGTGAAACCCTCTTTTTGTGATATTTGCAGGTGGAGATTTCAAGCGCTTTTAGGCCAAATGTAGAAAAGGAAATATCTTCGTATAAAAACTAGACAGAATCATTCTCAGAAACTACTTTGTGATGTGTGCGTTCAATTCACAGAGTATAACCTTTCTTTTGATGGAGGAGTTTGGAGACACTGTCTTTGTAAAGTCTGCAAGTGGATATTTGGACCTCTTTGAGGCCTTCGTTGGAAACGGGATTTCCTCATATAATTTTACACAGAAGAATTCTCAGTAACTTATTTGTGGTGTGTGTATTCAACTCACAGAGTTGAACCTTCCTTCAGAAAGAGCAGATTTGAAACACTCTTTTTGTGGAGTTTCCATGTGGAGATTTCAATCGCTTTGAGACCAAAGGTAGAAAAGGAAACATCTTCGTATAAAAACTAGACAGAATCATTCACAGAAACTACTTTGTGATGTGTGTGTTCAACTCAAGGAGTTTAACCTTTCTTTTGATGGAGCAGTTTGGAAACACTCTGTCTGTAAAGTCTGCAAGCAGATATTTGGACCTCTTTGAGGCCTTCGTTGGAAACGGGATTTCTTCATATAATGTTTGATAGGAGAAGTCTCAGTAACTTCTTTGTGCTGTGTGTATTCAACTCATAGAGTTGAACTTTCCTTTAGAAGAGCAGATGTTAAACACCCTTTTTGTGGAATTTGCAGCTGGAGATTTCAAGCGCTTTGAGGCCTACGGTAGAAAAGGAAACATCTTCTTATAAAATCTAGACAGAATCATTCACAGAAACTTCTTTTTGATGTGTGTGTTCAGCTCACAGAGTTTAACCTTTCTTTTGATGGAGCAGTTTGGAAACACACTGTGTGTAATGTCTGCAAGTGGATATTTGAACCTCTTTGAGGCCTTCGTTGGAAACGGGATTTCTTCATGTAATGTTCGACAGAAGAATTCTCAGTAACTTATTTGTGGTGTGTGTATTCAACTCAAAGAGTTGAACCTTCCTTTAGACAGAGCAGATTTGAAACACCCTATTTGTGCAGTTTCCAGTTGGAGATTTCAATCGCTTTGAGACCAAATGTAGAAAAGGAAACATCTTCGTATAAAAACTAGACAGAATCATTCTCAGAAACTACTTTGTGATGTGTGCGTTCAACTCAAGGAGTTTAAGCTTTCTTTTCATAGAGTAGTTTGGAAACACTCTGTCTGTAAAGTCTGCAAGCAGATATTTGGACCTCTTTGGGGCCTTCGTTGGAAACGGGATTTCTTCATAGAACGCTAGAAAGAAGAATACTGAGTAAGTTCTTTGTGTTGCCTCTATTCAACTCACAGAGGTGAACTGTCCTTCAGACAGAGCAGATGTGAAACCCTCTTTTTGTGATATTTGCAGGTGGAGATTTCAAGCGCTTTTAGGCCAAATGTAGAAAAGGAAATATCTTCGTATAAAAACTAGACAGAATCATTCTCAGAAACTACTTTGTGATGTGTGCGTTCAATTCACAGAGTATAACCTTTCTTTTGATGGAGGAGTTTGGAGACACTGTCTTTGTAAAGTCTGCAAGTGGATATTTGGACCTCTTTGAGGCCTTCGTTGGAAACGGGATTTCCTCATATAATGTTACCCAGAAGAATTCTCAGTAACTTATTTGTGGTGTGTGTATTCAACTCACAGAGTTGAACCTTCCTTCAGAAAGAGCAGATTTGAAACACTCTTTTTGTGGAGTTTCCATGTGGAGATTTCAATCGCTTTGAGACCAAAGGTAGAAAAGGAAACATCTTCGTATAAAAACTAGACAGAATCATTCACAGAAACTACTTTGTGATGTGTGTGTTCAACTCACGGAGTTTAAACTTTCTTTTGATGCAGCAGTTTGGAAACACTCTGTTTGTCACGTCTGCAAGTGGATATTTGGACCTCTTTGAGGCCTTCGTTGGAAAAGGGATTTCTTCTTATAACGCTAGAAAGAAGAAGTCTCAGTAACTTCTTTGTGCTGTGTGTATTCAACTCATAGAGTTGAACTTTCCTTTAGAAGAGCAGATGTTAAACACCCTTTTTGTGGAATTTGCAGCTGGAGATTTCAAGCGCTTTGAGGCCTACGGTAGAAAAGGAAACATCTTCTTATAAAATCTAGACAGAATCATTCACAGAAACTTCTTTTTGATGTGTGTGTTCAGCTCACAGAGTTTAACCTTTCTTTTGATGGAGCAGTTTGGAAACACTCTGTTTGTAATGTCTGCAAGTGGATATTTGGACCTCTTTGAGGCCTTCTTTGGAAACGGGATTTCTTCAAGTAATGTTCGACAGAAGAATTCTCAGTAACTTATTTGTGGTGTGTGTATTCAACTCACAGAGTTGAGCCTTCCTTTAGACAGAGCAGATTTGAAACACTCTTTTTGTGGAGTTTCCAGTTGGAGATTTCAATCACTTTGAGACCAAATGTAGAAAAGGAAACATCTTCGTATAAAAACTAGACAGAATCATTCTCAGAAACTACTTTGTGATGTGTGCGTTCAATTCACAGAGTATAACCTTTCTTTTGATGGAGGAGTTTGGAGACACTGTCTTTGTAAAGTCTACAAGCAGATATTTGGACCTCTTTGAGGCCTTCGTTGGAAACGGGATTTCTTCATAGATCGCTAGAAAGAAGAATACTGAGTAAGTTCTTTGTGTTGCCTCTACTCAACTCACAGAGGTGAACTGTCCTTTAGACAGAGCAGATGTGAAACCCTCTTTTTGTGATATTTGCAGGTGGAGATTTCAAGCGCTTTTAGGCCAAATGTAGAAAAGGAAATATCTTCGTATAAAAACTAGACAGAATCATTCTCAGAAACTACTTTGTGATGTGTGCGTTCAATTCACAGAGTATAACCTTTCTTTTGATGGAGGAGTTTGGAGACACTGTCTTTGTAAAGTCTGCAAGTGGATATTTGGACCTCTTTGAGGCCTTCGTTGGAAACGGGATTTCCTCATATAATGTTACACAGAAGAATTCTCAGTAACTTATTTGTGGTGTGTGTATTCAACTCACAGAGTTGAACCTTCCTTCAGAAAGAGCAGATTTGAAACACTCTTTTTGTGGAGTTTCCATGTGGAGATTTCAATCGCTTTGAGACCAAAGGTAGAAAAGGAAACATCTTCGTATAGAAACTAGACAGAATCATTCACAGAAACTACTTTGTGATGTGTGTGATCAACTCAAGGAGTTTAACCTTTCTTTTCATGGAGCAGTTTGGAAACACTCTATCTGTAAAGTCTGCAAACAGATATTTGGACCTCTTTGAGGCCTTCGTTGGAAACGGGATTTCTTCAAGTAATGTTCGACAGAAGAAGTCTCAGTAACTTCTTTGTGCTGTGTGTATTCAACGCATAGAGTTGAACTTTCCTTTAGAAGAGCAGATGTTAAACACCCTTTTTGTGGAATTTGCAGCTGGAGATTTCAAGCGCTTTGAGGCCTACGGTAAAAAAGGAAACATCTTCTTATAAAATCCAGACAGAATCATTCACAGAAA
Organism: Homo sapiens; assembly: GCF_000001405.40. NCBI lineage: Eukaryota > Metazoa > Chordata > Mammalia > Primates > Hominidae > Homo > Homo sapiens. Next base: position 35,484,787 of record NC_000012.12, read on the forward strand.
CTTCTTTTTGATGTGTGTGTTCAGCTCACAGAGTTTAACCTTTCTTTTGATGGAGCAGTTTGGAAACACACTGTTTGTAATGTCTGCAAGTGGATATTTGGACCTCTTTGAGGCCTTTGTTGGAAACGGGATTTCTTCATGTAATGTTCGACAGAAGAATTCTCAGTAACTTATTTGTGGTGTGTGTATTCAACTCACAGAGTTGAACCTTCCTTTAGACAGAGCAGATTTGAAACACCCTATTTGTGCAGTTTCCAGTTGGAGATTTCAATCGCTTTGAGACCAAATGTAGAAAAGGAAACATCTTCGTATAAAAACTAGACAGAATCATTCTCAGAAACTACTTTGTGATGTGTGCATTCAACTCACGGAGTTTAAGCTTTCTTTTCATAGAGTAGTTTGGAAACACTCTGTCTGTAAAGTCTGCAAGCAGATATTTGGACCTCTTTGAGGCCTTCGTTGGAAACGGGATATCTTCATAGAACGCTGGAAAGAAGAATACTGAGTAAGTTCTTTGTGTTGCCTCTATTCAACTCACAGAGGTGAACTGTCCTTTAGACAGAGCAGATGTGAAACCCTCTTTTTGTGATATTTGCAGGTGGAGATTTCAAGCGCTTTTAGGCCAAATGTAGAAAAGGAAATATCTTCGTATTAAAACTAGACAGAATCATTCTCAGAAACTACTTTGTGATGTGTGCGTTCAATTCACAGAGTATAACCTTTCTTTTGATGGAGGAGTTTGGAGACACTGTCTTTGTAAAGTCTGCAAGTGGATATTTGGACCTCTTTGAGGCCTTCGTTGGAAACGGGATTTCCTCATATAATGTTACACAGAAGAATTCTCAGTAACTTATTTGTGGTGTGTGTATTCAACTCACAGAGTTGAACCTTCCTTCAGAAAGAGCAGATTTGAAACACTCTTTTTGTGGAGTTTCCATGTGGAGATTTCAATCGCTTTGAGACCAAAGGTAGAAAAGGAAATATCTTCGTATAAAAACTGGACAGAATCATTCACAGAAACTACTTTGTGATGTGTGTGTTCAACTCAAGGAGTTTAACCTTTCTTTTGATGGAGCAGTTTGGAAACACTCTGTCTGTAAAGTCTGCAAGCAGATATTTGGACCTCTTTGAGGCCTTCTTTGGAAACGGGATTTCTTCATATAATGTTTGATAGGAGAAGTCTCAGTAACTTCTTTGTGCTGTGTGTATTCAACTCATACAGTTGAACTTTCCTTTAGAAGAGCAGATGGTAAACACCCTTTTTGTGGAATTTGCAGCTGGAGATTTCAAGCGCTTTGAGGCCTACGGTAGAAAAGGAAACATCTTCTTATAAAATCTAGACAGAATCATTCACAGAAACTTCTTTTTGATGTGTGTGTTCAGCTCACAGAGTTTGACCTTTCTTTTGATGGAGCAGTTTGGAAACACTCTGTTTGTAATGTCTGCAAGGGGTTATTTGGACCTCTTTGAGGCCTTCGTTGGAAACGGGATTTCTTCATGTAATGTTCGACAGAAGAATTCTCAGTAACTTATTTGTGGTGTGTGTATTCAACTCACAGAGTTGAACCTTCCTTTAGACAGAGCAGATTTGAAACACCCTATTTGTGCATTTTCCAGTTGGAGATTTCAATCGCTTTGAGGCCAATCATAGAAACGGAAATATCTTCGTATAAAAACAAGACAGAATCATTCTCAGAAACTACTTTGTGATGTGTGCGTTCAACTCAAGGAGTTTAAGCTTTCTTTTCATAGAGTAGTTTGGAAACACTCTGTCTGTAAAGTCTGCAAGCAGATATTTGGACCTCTTTGAGGCCTTCTTTGGAAACGGGATTTCTTCATATAACGCTAGAAAGAAGAATACTGAGTACGTTCTTTGTGTTGCCTCTATTCAACTCACAGAGGTGAACTGTCCTTTAGACAGAGCAGATGTGAAACCCTCTTTTTGTGATATTTGCAGGTGGAGATTTCAAGCGCTTTTAGGCCAAATGTAGAAAAGGAAATATCTTCGTATGAAAACTAGACAGAATCATTCTCAGAAACTACTTTGTGATGTGTGCGTTCAATTCACAGAGTATAACCTTTCTTTTGATGGAGGAGTTTGGAGACACTGTCTTTGTAAAGTCTGCAAGTGGATATTTGGACCTCTTTGAGGCCTTCGTTGGAAACGGGATTTCCTCATATAATGTTACACAGAAGAATTCTCAGTAACTTATTTGTGGTGTGTGTATTCAACTCACAGAGTTGAACCTTCCTTCAGACAGAGCAGATTTGAAACACTCTTTTTGTGGAGTTTCCATGTGGAGACTTCAATTGCTTTGAGACCAAAGGTAGAAAAGGAAACATCTTCGTATAAAAACTAGACAGAATCATTCACAGAAACTACTTTGTGATGTGTGTGTTCAACTCAAGGAGTTTAACCTTTCTTTTGATGGAGGAGTTTGGAAACACTCTGTCTGTAAAGTCTGCAAGTGGATATTTGGACCTCTTTGGGGCCTTCGTTGGAAACGGGATTTCTTCATATAATGTTTGATAGGAGAAGTCTCAGTAACTTCTTTGTGCTGTGTGTATTCAACTCATAGAGTTGAACTTTCCTTTAGAAGAGCAGATGTTAAACACCCTTTTTGGGGAATTTGCAGCTGGAGGTTTCAAGCGCTTTGAGGCCTACTGTAGAAAAGGAAACATCTTCTTATAAAATCTAGACAGAATCATTCACAGAAACTTCTTTTTGATGTGTGTGTTCAGCTCACAGGAGTTTAACATTTCCTTTGATGGAGCAGTTTGGAAACACTCAGTTTGTAATATCTGCAAGTGGATATATGGACCTCTTTGAGGCCTTGGTTGGAAACGGGATTTCTTCATGTAATGTTCGACAGAAGAATTCTCAGCAACTTATTTGTGGTGTGTGTATTCAACTCACAGAGTTGAACCTTCCTTCAGAAAGAGCAGATTTGAAACACTCATTTTGTGGAGTTTCCATGTGGAGATATCCATCGCTTTGAGACCAAAGGTAGAAAAGGAAACATCTTCGTATAAAAACTAGACAGAATCATTCACAGAAACTACTTTGTGATGTGTGTGTTCAGCTCACAGAGTTTAACCTTTCTTTTGATATGGCAGTTTGGAAACACTCTGTTTTTCACGTCTGCAAGTGGATATTTGGACTGCTTTGGGGCCTTCTTTGGAAACGGGATTTCTTCATATAATGTTTGATAGGAGAAGTCTCAGTAACTTCTTTGTGCTGTGTGTATTCAACTCATAGAGTTAAATTTTCCTTTAGAAGAGCAGATGTTAAACACCCTTTCTGTGGAATTTGCAGCTGGAGATTTCAAGCGCTTTGAGGCCTACGGTAGAAAAGGAAACATCTTCTTCTAAAATCTAGACAGAATCATTCACAGAAACATCTTTTTGATGTGTGTGTTCAGCTCACAGGGTTTAACCTTTCTTTTGATGGAGCAGTTTGGAAACACTCTGTTTGTAATGTCTGCAAGTGGATATTTGGACCTCTTTGAGGTCTTCGTTGGAAACGGGATTTCTTCATGTAATGTTCGACAGAAGAATTCTCAGTAACTTATTTGTGGTGTGTGTATTCAACTCAAAGAGTTGAACCTTCCTTTAGACAGAGCAGATTTGAAACACCCTATTTGTGCAGTTTCCAGTTGGAGATTTCAATCGCTTTGAGACCAAATGTAGAAAAGGAAACATCTTCGTATAAAAACTAGACAGAATCATTCTCAGAAACTACTTTGTGATGTGTGCGTTCAACTCAAGGAGTTTAAGCTTTCTTTTCATAGAGTAGTTTGGAAACACTCTGTCTGTAAAGTCTGCAAGCAGATATTTGACCTCTTTGAGGCCTTCGTTGGAAACGGGATTTCTTCATAGAACGCTAGAAAGAAGAATACTGAGTAAGTTCTTTGTGTTGCCTCTATTCAACTCACAGAGGTGAACTGTCCTTTAGACAGAGCAGATGTGAAACCCTCTTTTTGTGATATTTGCAGGTGGAGATTTCAAGCGCTTTTAGGCCAAATGTAGAAAAGGAAATATCTTCGTATAAAAACTAGACAGAATCATTCTCAGAAACTACTTTGTGATGTGTGCGTTCAATTCACAGAGTATAACCTTTCTTTTGATGGAGGAGTTTGGAGACACTGTCTTTGTAAAGTCTGCAAGTGGATATTTGGACCTCTTTGAGGCCTTCGTTGGAAACGGGATTTCCTCATATAATGTTACACAGAAGAATTCTCAGTAACTTATTTGTGGTGTGTGTATTCAACTCACAGAGTTGAACCTTCCTTCAGAAAGAGCAGATTTGAAACACTCTTTTTGTGGAGTTTCCATGTGGAGATTTCAATCGCTTTGAGACCAAAGGTAGAAAAGGAAACATCTTCGTATAAAAACTAGACAGAATCATTCACAGAAACTACTTTGTGATGTGTGTGTTCAACTCAAGGAGTTTAACCTTTCTTTTGATGGAGCAGTTTGGAAAAACTCTGTCTTTAAAGTCTGCAAGCAGATATTTGGACCTCTTTGAGGCCTTCGTTGGAAACGGGATTTCTTCATATAATGTTTGATAGGAGAAGTCTCAGCAACTTCTTTGTGCTGTGTGTATTCAACTCATAGAGTTGAACTTTCCTTTAGAAGAGCAGATGTTAAACACCCTTTTTGTGGAATTTGCAGCTGGAGATTTCAAGCGCTTTGAGGCCTACGGTAGAAAAGGAAACATCTTCTTATAAAATACTAGACAGAATCATTCACAGGAAACTTCTTTTTGATGTGTGTGTTCAGCTCACAGAGTTTAACCTTTCTTTTGATGGAGCAGTTTGGAAACACTCTGTTTGTAATGTCTGCAAGTGGATATTTGGACCTCTTTGAGGCCTTCGTTGGAAACGGGATTTCTTCAAGTAATGTTCGACAGAAGAATTCTCAGTAACTTATTTGTGGTGTGTGTATTCAACTCACAGAGTTGAACCTTCCTTTAGACAGAGCAGATTTGAAACACCCTATTTGTGCAGTTTCCAGTTGGAGATTTCAATCGCTTTGAGACCAAATGTAGAAAAGGAAACATCTTCGTATAAAAACTAGACAGAATCATTCTCAGAAACTACTTTGTGATGTGTGCGTTCAACTCAAGGAGTTTAAGCTTTCTTTTCATAGAGTAGTTTGGAAACACTCTGTCTGTAATGTCTGCAAGCAGATATTTGGACCTCTTTGTGGCCTTCGTTGGAAACGGGATTTCTTCATAGAACGCTAGAAAGAAGAATACTGAGTAAGTTCTTTGTGTTGCCTCTATTCAACTCACAAAAGTGAACTGTCCTTTAGACAGAGCAGATGTGAAACCCTCTTTTTGTGATATTTGCAGGTGGAGATTTCAAGCGCTTTTAGGCCAAATGTAGAAAAGAAAATATCTTCGTATAAAAAATAGACAGAATCATTCTCAGAAACTACTTTGTGATGTGTGCGTTCAATTCACAGAGTATAACCTTTCTTTTGATGGAGGAGTTTGGAGACACTGTCTTTGTAAAGTCTGCAAGCAGATATTTGGACCTCTTTGAGGCCTTCGTTGGAAACGGGATTTCTTCATATAATGTTTGATAGGAGAAGTCTCAGTAACTTCTTTGGGCTGTGTGTATTCAACTCATTGAGTTGAACTTTCCTTTAGAAGAGCAGATGTTAAACACCCTTTTTGTGGAATTTGCAGCTGGAGATTTCAAGCACTTTGAGGCCTACGGTAGAAAAGGAAACATCTTCTTATAAAATCTAGACAGAATCATTCACAGAAACTTCTTTTTGATGTGTGTGTTCAGCTCACAGAGTTTAACCTTTCTTTTGATGGAGCAGTTTGGAAACACTCTGTTTGTAATGTCTGCAAGTCGATATTTGGACCTCTTTGAGGCCTTCGTTGGAAACGGGATTTCTTCAAGTAATGTTCGACAGAAGAATTCTCAGTAACTTATTTGTGGTGTGTGTATTCAACTCAAAGAGTTGAACCTTCCTTTAGACAGAGCAGATTTGAAACACCCTATTTGTGCAGTTTCCAGTTGGAGATTTCAATCGCTTTGAGACCAAATGTAGAAAAGGAAACATCTTCGTATAAAAACTAGACAGAATCATTCTCAGAAACTACTTTGTTATGTGTGCGTTCAACTCAAGAAGTTTAAGCTTTCTTTTCATAGAGTAGTTTGGAAACACTCTGTCTGTAAAGTCTGCAAGCAGATATTTGGACCTCATTGGGGCCTTCGTTGGAAACGTGATTTCTTCATAGAACGCTAGAAAGAAGAATACTGAGTAAGTTCTTTGTGTTGCCTCTACTCAACTCACAGAGGTGAACTGTCCTTTAGACAGAGCAGATGTGAAACCCTCTTTTTGTGATATTTGCAGGTGGAGATTTCAAGCGCTTTTAGGCCAAATGTAGAAAAGGAAATATCTTCGTATAAAAACTAGACAGAATCATTCTCAGAAACTACTTTGTGATGTGTGCGTTCAATTCACAGAGTATAACCTTTCTTTTGATGGAGGAGTTTGGAGACACTGTCTTTGTAAAGTCTGCAAGTGGATATTTGGACCTCTTTGAGGCCTTCGTTGGAAACGGGATTTCCTCATATAATGTTACACAGAAGAATTCTCAGTAACTTATTTGTGGTGTGTGTATTCAACTCACAGAGTTGAACCTTCCTTCAGAAAGAGCAGATTTGAAACACTCTTTTTGTGGAGTTTCCATGTGGAGATTTCAATCGCTTTGAGACCAAAGGTAGAAAAGGAAACATCTTCGTATAAAAACTAGACAGAATCATTCACAGAAACTACTTTGTGATGTGTGTGTTCAACTCAAGGAGTTTAACCTTTCTTTTGATGGAGCAGTTTGGAAAAACTCTGTCTGTAAAGTCTGCAAGCAGATATTTGGACCTCTTTGGGGCCTTCGTTGGAAACGGGATTTCTTCATAGAATGCTAGAAAGAAGAATACTGAGTAAGTTCTTTGTGTTGCCTCTATTCAACTCACAGAGGTGAACTGTCCTTTAGACAGAGCAGATGTGAAACCCTCTTTTTGTGATATTTGCAGGTGGAGATTTCAAGCGCTTTTAGGCCAAATGTAGAAAAGGAAATATCTTCGTATAAAAACTAGACAGAATCATTCTCAGAAACTACTTTGTGATGTGTGCGTTCAATTCACAGAGTATAACCTTTCTTTTGATGGAGGAGTTTGGAGACACTGTCTTTGTAAAGTCTGCAAGTGGATATTTGGACCTCTTTGAGGCCTTCGTTGGAAACGGGATTTCCTCATATAATGTTACCCAGAAGAATTCTCAGTAACTTATTTGTGGTGTGTGTATTCAACTCAGAGAGATGAACCTTCCTTCAGAAAGAGCAGATTTGAAACACTCTTTTTGTGGAGTTTCCATGTGGAGATTTCAATCGCTTTGAGACCAAAGGTAGAAAAGGAAACATACTTCGTATAACAACTAGACAGAATCATTCACAGAAACTACTTTGTGATGTGTGTGTTCAACTCAAGGGGTTAAAACTTTCTTTTGATGGAGCAGTTTGGAAACACTCTGTCTGTAAAGTCTGCAAGCAGATATTTGGACCTCTTTGAGGCCTTCGTTGGAAACGGGATTTCTTCATATAATGTTTGATAGGAGAAGTCTCAGTAACTTCTTTGTGCTGTGTCTATTCAACTCATAGAGTTGAACTTTCCTTTAGAAGAGCAGATGTTTAACACCCTTTTTGTGGAATTTGCAGCTGGAGATTTCAAGCGCTTTGAGGCCTACGGTAGAAAAGGAAACATCTTCTTATAAAATCTAGACAGAATCATTCACAGAAACTTCTTTTTGATGTGTGTTCAGCTCACAGAGTTTAACCTTTCTTTTGATGGAGCAGTTTGGAAACACTCTGTTTGTAATATCTGCAAGTGGATATTTGGACCTCTTTGAGGCCTTCGTTGGAAACGGGATTTCTTCAACTAATGTTCGACAGAAGAATTCTCAGCAACTTATTTGTGGTGTGTGTATTCAACTCACAGAGTTGAACCTTCCTTTAGACAGAGCAGATTTGAAACACCCTATTTGTGCAGTTTCCATTTGGAGATTTCAATCGCTTTGAGACCAAATGTAGAAAAGGAAACATCTTCGTATAAAAACTAGACAGAATCATTCTCAGAAACTACTTTCTGATGTGTGCGTTCAACTCAAGGAGTTTAAGCTTTCTTTTCATAGAGTAGTTTGGAAACACTCTGTCTGTAAAGTCTGCAAGCAGATATTTGGACCTCTTTGAGGCCTTCGTTGGAAACGGGATTTCTTCATAGAACGCTAGAAAGAAATACTGAGTAAGTTCTTTGTGTTGCCTCTATTCAACTCACAGAGGTGAACTGTCCTTTAGACAGAGCAGATGTGAAACCCTCTTTTTGTGATATTTGCAGGTGGAGATTTCAAGCGCTTTTAGGCCAAATGTAGAAAAGGAAATATCTTCGTATAAAAACTAGACAGAATCATTCTCAGAAACTACTTTGTGATGTGTGCGTTCAATTCACAGAGTATAACCTTTCTTTTGATGGAGGAGTTTGGAGACACTGTCTTTGTAAAGTCTGCAAGTGGATATTTGGACCTCTTTGAGGCCTTCGTTGGAAACGGGATTTCCTCATATAATGTTACACAGAAGAATTCTCAGTAACTTATTCGTGGTGTCTGTATTCAACTCACAGAGTTGAACCTTCCTTCAGAAAGAGCAGATTTGAAACACTCTTTTGGTGGAGTTTCCATGTGGAGATTTCAATCGCTTTGAGACCAAAGGTAGAAAAGGAAACATCTTCGTATAAAAACTAGACAGAATCATTCACAGAAACTACTTTGTGATGTGTGTGTTCAACTCAAGGAGTTTAACCTTTCTTTTGATGGAGCAGTTTGGAAACACTCTGTCTGTAAAGTCTGCAAGCAGATATTTGGACCTCTTTGAGGCCTTCGTTGGAAACGGGATTTCTTCATATAATGTTTGATAGGAGAAGTCTCAGTAACTTCTTTGTGCTGTGTGTATTCAACTCATAGAGTTGAACTTTCCTTTAGAAGAGCAGATGTTAAACACCCTTTTTGTGGAATTTGCAGCTGGAGATTTCAAGCGCTTTGAGGCCTACGGTAGAAAAGGAAACATCTTCTTATAAAATCTAGACAGAATCATTCACAGAAACTTCTTTTTGATGTGTGTGTTCAGCTCACAGAGTTTAACCTTTCTTTTGATGGAGCAGTTGGGAAACACACTGTTTGTAATGTCTGCAAGTGGATATTTGGACCTCTTTGAGGCCTTCGTTGGAAACGGGATTTCTTCCTGTAATGTTCGACAGAAGAATTCTCAGTAACTTATTTGTGGTGTGTGTATTCAACTCACAGAGTTGAACCCTCTTTTAGACAGAGCAGATTTGAAACAGCCTATTTGTGCAGTTTCCAGTTGGAGATTTCAATCGCTTTGAGACCAATTGTAGAAAGGGAAACATCTTCGTATAAAAACTAGACAGAATGATTCTCAGAAACTACTTTGTGATGTGTGCGTTCAACTCAAGGAGTTTAAGCTTTCTTTTCATAGAGTAGTTTGGAAACACTCTGTCTGTAAAGTCTGCAAGCAGATATTTGACCTCTTTGAGGCCTTCGTTGGAAACGGGATTTCTTCATAGAACACTAGAAAGAAGAATACTGAGTAAGTTCTTTGTGTTGCCTCTATTCAACTCACAGAGGTGAACTGTCCTTTAGACAGAGCAGATGTGAAACCCTCTTTTTGTGATATTTGCAGGTGGAGATTTCCAGCGCTTTTAGGCCAAATGTAGAAAAGGAAATATCTTCGTATAAAAACTAGACAGAATCATTCTCAGAAACTACTTTGTGATGTGTGCGTTCAATTCACAGAGTATAACCTTTCTTTTGATGGAGGAGTTTGGAGACACTGTCTTTGTAAAGTCTGCAAGTGGATATTTGGACCTCTTTGAGGCCTTCGTTGGAAACGGGATTTCCTCATATAATGTTACACAGAAGAATTCTCAGTAACTTATTTGTGGTGTGTGTATTCAACTCACAGAGATGAACCTTCCTTCAGAAAGAGCAGATTTGAAACACTCTTTTTGTGGAGTTTCCATGTGGAGATTTCAATCGCTTTGAGACCAAAGGTAGAAAAGGAAACATCTTCGTATAAAAACTAGACAGAATCATTCACAGAAACTACTTTGTGATGTGTGTGTTCAACTCAAGGAGTTTAACCTTTCTTTTGATGGAGCAGTTTGGAAATACTCTGTCTGTAAAGTCTGCAAGCAGATATTTGGACCTCTTTGAGGCCTTCGTTGGAAACGGGATTTCTTCATATAATGTTTGATAGGAGAAGTCTCAGTAACTTCTTTGTGCTGTGTGTATTCAACTCATAGAGTTGAACTTTCCTTTAGAAGAGCAGATGTTAAACACCCTTTTTGTGGAATTTGCAGCTGGAGATTTCAAGCGCTTTGAGGCCTACGGTAGAAAAGGAAACATCTTCTTATAAAATCTAGACAGAATCATTCACAGAAACTTCTTTTTGATGTGTGTGTTCAGCTCACAGAGTTTAACCTTTCTTTTGATGGAGCAGTTTGGAAACACTCTGTTTGTAATGTCTGCAAGTGGATATTTGGACCTCTTTGAGGCCTTCGTTGGAAACGGGATTTCTTCATGTAATGTTCGACAGAAGAATTCTCAGTAACTTATTTGTGGTGTGTGTATTCAACTCACAGAGTTGAACCTTCCTTTAGACAGAGCAGATTTGAAACACCCTATTTGTGCAGTTTCCAGTTGGAGATTTCAATCGCTTTGAGACCAAATGTAGAAAAGGAAACATCTTCGTATAAAAACTAGACAGAATCATTCTCAGAAACTACTTTGTGATGTGTGCTTTCAACTCAAGGAGTTTAAGCTTTCTTTTCATAGAGTAGTTTGGAAACACTCTGTCTGTAAAGTCTGGAAGCAGATATTTGACCTCTTTGAGGCCTTCGTTGGAAACGGGATTTCTTCATAGAACGCTAGAAAGAAGAATACTGAGTAAGTTCTTTGTGTTGCCTCTATTCAACTCACAGAGGTGAACTGTCCTTTAGACAGAGCAGATGTGAAACCCTCTTTTTGTGATATTTGCAGGTGGAGATTTCAAGCGCTTTTAGGCCAAATGTAGAAAAGGAAATATCTTCGTATAAAAACTAGACAGAATCATTCTCAGAAACTACTTTGTGATGTGTGCGTTCAATTCACAGAGTATAACCTTTCTTTTGATGGAGGAGTTTGGAGACACTGTCTTTGTAAAGTCTGCAAGTGGATATTTGGATCTCTTTGAGGCCTTCGTTGGAAACGGGATTTCCTCATATAATGTTACACAGAAGAATTCTCAGTAACTTATTTGTGGTGTGTGTATTCAACTCACAGAGTTGAACCTTCCTTCAGAAAGAGCAGATTTGAAACACTCTTTTTGTGGAGTTTCCATGTGGAGATTTCAATCGCATTGAGACCAAAGGTAGAAAAGGAAACATCTTCGTATAAAAACTAGACAGAATCATTCACAGAAACTACTTTGTGATGTGTGTGTTCAACTCAAGGAGTTTAACCTTTCTTTTGATGGAGCAGTTTGGAAACACTCTGTCTGTAAAGTCTGCAAGCAGATATTTGGACCTCTTTGAGGCCTTCGTTGGAAACGGGATTTCTTCATATAATGTTTGATAGGAGAAGTCTCAGTAACTTCTTTGTGCTGTGTGTATTCAACTCATAGAGTTGAACTTTCCTTTAGAAGAGCAGATGTTAAACACCCTTTTTGTGGAATTTGCAGCTGGAGATTTCAAGCGCTTTGTGGCCTACGGTAGAAAAGGAAATATGTTCTTATAAAATCTAGACAGAATCATTCACAGGAAACTTCTTTTTGATGTGTGTGTTCAGCTCACAGAGTTTAACCTTTCTTTTGATGGAGCAGGTTGGAAACACTCTGTTTGTAATGTCTGCAAGTGGATATTTGGACCTCTTTGAGGCCTTCGTTGGAAACGGGATTTCTTCAAGTAATGTTCGACAGAAGAATTCTCAGTAACTTATTTGTGGTGTGTGTATTCAACTCACAGAGTTGAACCTTCCTTTAGACAGAGCAGATTTGAAACACCCTATTTGTGCAGTTTCCAGTTGGAGATTTCAATCGCTTTGAGACCAAATGTAGAAAAGGAAACATCTTCGTATAAAAACTAGACAGAATCATTCTCAGAAACTACTTTGTGATGTGTGCGTTCAACTCAAGGAGTTTAAGCTTTCTTTTCATAGAGTAGTTTGGAAACACTCTGTCTGTAAAGTCTGCAAGCAGATATTTGGACCTCTTTGGGGCCTTCGTTGGAAACGGGATTTCTTCATAGAACGCTAGAAAGAAGAATACTGAGTAAGTTCTTTGTGTTGCCTCTATTCAACTCACAGAGGTGAACTGTCCTTTAGACGGAGCAGATGTGAAACCCTCTTTTTGTGATATTTGCAGGTGGAGATTTCAAGCGCTTTTAGGCCAAATGTAGAAAAGGAAATATCTTCGTATAAAAACTAGACAGAATCATTCTCAGAAACTACTTTGTGATGTGTGCGTTCAATTCACAGAGTATAACCTTTCTTTTGATGGAGGAGTTTGGAGACACTGTCTTTGTAAAGTCTGCAAGTGGATATTTGGACCTCTTTGAGGCCTTCGTTGGAAACGGGATTTCCTCATATAATGTTACACAGAAGAATTCTCAGTAACTTATTTGTGGTGTGTGTATTCAACTCACAGAGTTGAACCTTCCTTCAGAAAGAGCAGATTTGAAACACTCTTTTTGTGGAGTTTCCATGTGGAGATTTCAATCGCTTTGAGACCAAAGGTAGAAAAGGAAACATCTTCGTATAAAAACTAGACAGAATCATTCACAGAAACTACTTTGTGATGTGTGTGTTCAACTCAAGGAGTTTAACCTTTGTTTTGATGGAGCAGTTTGGAAACACTCTGTCTGTAAAGTCTGCAAGCAGACATTTGGACCTCTTTGAGGCCTTCGTTGGAAACGGGATTTCTTCATATAATGTTTGATAGGAGAAGTCTCAGTAACTTCTTTGTGCTGTGTGTATTCAACTCATAGAGTTGAACTTTCCTTTAGAAGAGCAGATGTTAAACACCCTTTTTGTGGAATTTGCAGCTGGAGATTTCAAGCGCTTTGAGGCCTACGGTAGAAAAGGAAACATCTTCTTATAAAATCTAGACAGAATCATTCACAGAAACTTCTTTTCGATGTGTGTGTTCAGCTCACAGAGTTTAACCTTTCTTTTGATGGAGCAGTTTGGAAACACTCTGTTTGTAATGTCTGCAAGTGGATATTTGGACCTCTTTGAGGCCTTCGTTGGAAACGGGATTTCTTCAAGTAATGTTCGACAGAAGAATTCTCAGTAACTTATTTGTGGTGTGTGTATTCAACTCACAGAGTTGAACCTTCCTTTAGACAGAGCAGATTTGAAACACCCTATTTGTGCAGTTTCCAGTTGGAGATTTCAATCGCTTTGAGACCAAATGTAGAAAAGGAAACATCTTCGTATAAAAACTAGACAGAATCATTCTCAGAAACTACTTTGTGATGTGTGCATTCAACTCAAGGAGTTTAAGCTTTCTTTTCATAGAGTAGTTTGGAAACACTCTGTCTGTAAAGTCTGCAAGCAGATATTTGGACCTCTTTGGGGCCTTCGTTGGAAACGGGATTTCTTCATAGAACGCTAGAAAGAAGAATACTGAGTAAGTTCTTTGTGTTGCCTCTATTCAACTCACAGAGGTGAACTGTCCTTTAGACAGAGCAGATGTGAAACCCTCTTTTTGTGATATTTGCAGGTGGAGATTTCAAGCGCTTTTAGGCCAAATGTAGAAAAGGAAATATCTTCGTATAAAAACTAGACAGAATCATTCTCAGAAACTACTTTGTGATGTGTGCGTTCAATTCACAGAGTATAACCTTTCTTTTGATGGAGGAGTTTGGAGACACTGTCTTTGTAAAGTCTGCAAGTGGATATTTGGACCTCTTTGAGGCCTTCGTTGGAAACGGGATTTCCTCATATAATGTTACACAGAAGAATTCTCAGTAACTTATTTGTGGTGTGTGTATTCAACTCACAGAGATGAACCTTCCTTCAGAAAGAGCAGATTTGAAACACTCTTTTTGTGGAGTTTCCATGTGGAGATTTCAATCGCTTTGAGACCAAAGGTAGAAAAGGAAACATCTTCGTATAGCAACTAGACAGAATCATTCACAGAAACTACTTTGTGATGTGTGTGTTCAACTCAAGGAGTTTAACCTTTCTTTTGATGGAGCAGTTTGGAGACACTCTGTCTGTAAAGTCTGCAAGCAGATATTTGGACCTCTTTGAGGCCTTCGTTGGAAACGGGATTTCTTCATATAATGTTTGATAGGAGAAGTCTCAGCAACTTCTTTGTGCTGTGTGTATTCAACTCATAGAGTTGAACTTTCCTTTAGAAGAGCAGATGTTAAACACCCTTTTTGTGGAATTTGCAGCTGGAGATTTCAAGCGCTTTGAGGCCTACGGTAGAAAAGGAAACATCTTCTTATAAAATCTAGACAGAATCATTCACAGAAACTTCTTTTCGATGTGTGTGTTCAGCTCACAGAGTTTAACCTTTCTTTTGATGGAGCAGTTTGGAAACACTCTGTTTGTAATGTCTGCAAGTGGATATTTGGACCTCTTTGAGGCCTTCGTTGGAAACGGGATTTCTTCAAGTAATGTTCGACAGAAGAATTCTCAGTAACTTATTTGTGGTGTGTGTATTCAACTCAAAGAGTTGAACCTTCCTTTAGACAGAGCAGATTTGAAACACCCTATTTGTGCAGTTTCCAGTTGGAGATTTCAATCGCTTTGAGACCAAATGTAGAAAAGGAAACATCTTCGTATAAAAACTAGACAGAATCATTCTCAGAAACTACTTTGTGATGTGTGCGTTCAACTCAAGGAGTTTAAGCTTTCTTTTCATAGAGTAGTTTGGAAACACTCTGTCTGTAAAGTCTGCAAGCAGATATTTGGACCTCTTTGGGGCCTTCGTTGGAAACGGGATTTCTTCATAGAACGCTAGAAAGAAGAATACTGAGTAAGTTCTTTGTGTTGCCTCTATTCAACTCACAGAGGTGAACTGTCCTTTAGACAGAGCAGATGTGAAACCCTCTTTTTGTGATATTTGCAGGTGGAGATTACAAGCGCTTTTAGGCCAAATGTAGAAAAGGAAATATCTTCGTATAAAAACTAGACAGAATCATTCTCAGAAACTACTTTGTGATGTGTGCGTTCAATTCACAGAGTATAACCTTTCTTTTGATGGAGGAGTTTGGAGACACTGTCTTTGTAAAGTCTGCAAGTGGATATTTGGACCTCTTTGAGGCCTTCGTTGGAAACGGGATTTCCTCATATAATTTACACAGAAGAATTCTCAGTAACTTATTTGTGGTGTGTGTATTCAACTCACAGAGATGAACCTTCCTTCAGAAAGAGCAGATTTGAAACACTCTTTTTGTGGAGTTTCCATGTGGAGATTTCAATCGCTTTGAGACCAAAGGTAGAAAAGGAAACATCTTCGTATAACAACTAGACAGAATCATTCACAGAAACTACTTTGTGATGTGTGTGTTCAACTCAAGGAGTTTAACCTTTCTTTTGATGGAGCAGTTTGGAAAAACTCTGTCTGTAAAGTCTGCAAGCAGATATTTGGACCTCTTTGAGGCCTTCGTTGGAAACGGGATTTCTTCATATAATGTTTGATAGGAGAAGTCTCAGTAACTTCTTTGTGCTGTGTGTATTCAACTCATAGGGTTGAACTTTCCTTTAGAAGAGCAGATGTTAAACACCCTTTTTGTGGAATTTGCAGCTGGAGATTTCAAGCGCTTTGAGGCCTACGGTAGAAAAGGAAACATCTTCTTATAAAATCTAGACAGAATCATTCACAGAAACTTCTTTTTGATGTGTGTGTTCAGCTCACAGAGTTTAACATTTCTTTTGATGGAGTAGTTTGGAAACACTCTTTTTGCAATGTCTGCAAGTGGATATTTGGACCTCTTTGAGGCCTTCGTTGGAAACGGGATTTCTTCATGTAATGTTCGACAGAAGAATTCTCAGTAACTTATTTGTGGTGTGTGTATTCAACTCACAGAGTTGAACCTTCCTTTAGACAGAGCAGATTTCAAACACCCTATTTGTGCAGTTTCCAGTTGGAGATTTCAATCGCTTTGAAGCCATAGAAACGGAAATACCTTTGTATAAAAACAAGACAGAATCATTCTCAGAAACTACTTTGTGATGTGTGCGTTCAACTCAAGGAGTTTAAGCTTTCTTTTCATAGAGTAGTTTGGAAACACTCTGTCTGTAAAGTCTGCAAGCAGATATTTGGACCTCTTTGGGGCCTTCGTTGGAAACGGGATTTCTTAATAGAACGCTAGAAAAAAGAATACTGAGTAAGTTCTTTGTGTTGCCTCTATTCAACTCACAGAGGTGAACTGTCCTTTAGACAGAGCAGATGTGAAACCCTCTTTTTGTGATATTTGCAGGTGGAGATTTCAAGCGCTTTTAGGCCAAATGTAGAAAAGGAAATATCTTCGTATAAAAACTAGACAGAATCATTCTCAGAAACTATTTTGTGATGTGTGCGTTCAATTCACAGAGTATAACCTTTCTTTTGATGGAGGAGTTTGGAGACACTGTCTTTGTAAAGTCTGCAAGTGGATATTTGGACCTCTTTGAGGCCTTCGTTGGAAACGGGATTTCCTCATATAATGTTACACAGAAGAATTCTCAGTAACTTATTTGTGGTGTGTGTATTCAACTCACAGAGTTGAACCTTCCTTCAGAAAGAGCAGATTTGAAACACTCTTTTTGTGGAGTTTCCATGTGGAGATTTCAATCGCTTTGAGACCAAAGGTAGAAAAGGAAACATCTTCCTATAAAAACTAGACAGAATCATTCACAGAAACTACTTTGTGATGTGTGTGTTCAACTCAAGGAGTTTAACCTTTCTTTTGATGGAGCAGTTTGGAAAAACTCTGTCTTTAAAGTCTGCAAGCAGATATTTGGACCTCTTTGAGGCCTTCGTTGGAAACGGGATTTCTTCATATAATGTTTGATAGGAGAAGTCTCAGTAACTTCTTTGTGCTGTGTGTATTCAACTCATAGAGTTGAACTTTCCTTTAGAAGAGCAGATGTTAAACACCCTTTTTGTGGAATTTGCAGCTGGAGATTTCAAGCGCTTTGAGGCCTACGGTAGAAAAGGAAACATCTTCTTATAAAATCTAGACAGAATCATTCACAGAAACTTCTTTTCGATGTGTGTGTTCAGCTCACAGAGTTTAACCTTTCTTTTGATGGAGCAGTTTGGAAACACTCTGTTTGTAATGTCTGCAAGTGGATATTTGGACCTCTTTGAGGCCTTCGTTGGAAACGGGATTTCATCAAGTAATGGTCGACAGAAGAATTCTCAGTAACTTATTTGTGGTGTGTGTATTCAACTCACAGAGTTGAACCTTCCTTTAGACAGAGCAGATTTGAAACACCCTATTTGTGCAGTTTCCAGTTGGAGATTTCAATCGCTTTGAGACCAAATGTAGAAAAGGAAACATCTTCGTATAAAAACTAGACAGAATTATTCTCAGAAACTACTTTGTGATGTGTGCGTTCAACTCAAGGAGTTTAAGCTTTCTTTTCATAGAGTAGTTTGGAAACACTCTGTTTGTAAAGTCTGCAAGCAGATATTTGGACCTCATTGGGGTCTTCGTTGGAAACGGGATTTCTTCATAGAACGCTAGAAAGAAGAATACTGAGTAAGTTCTTTGTGTTGCCTCTATTCAACTCACAGAGGTGAACTGTCCTTTAGACAGAGCAGATGTGAAACCCTCTTTTTGTGATATTTGCAGGTGGAGATTTCAAGCGCTTTTAGGCCAAATGTAGAAAAGGAAATATCTTCGTATAAAAACTAGACAGAATCATTCTCAGAAACTACTTTGTGATGTGTGCGTTCAATTCACAGAGTATAACCTTTCTTTTGGTGGAGGAGTTTGGAGACACTGTCTTTGTAAAGTCTGCAAGTGGATATTTGGACCTCTTTGAGGCCTCCGTTGGAAACGGGATTTCCTCATATAATGTTACACAGAAGAATTCTCAGTAACTTATTTGTGGTGTGTGTATTCAAGTCACAGAGATGAACCTTCCTTCAGAAAGAGCAGATTTGAAACACTCTTTTTGTGGAGTTTCCATGTGGAGATTTCAATCGCTTTGAGACCAAAGGTAGAAAAGGAAACATCTTCGTATAACAACTAGACAGAATCATTCACAGAAACTACTTTGTGATGTGTGTGTTCAACTCAAGGAGTTTAACCTTTCTTTTGATGGAGCAGTTTGGAAACACTCTGTCTGTAAAGTCTGCAAGCAGATATTTGGACCTCTTTGAGGCCTTCGTTGGAAACGGGATTTCTTCATATAATGTTTGATAGGAGAAGTCTCAGTAACTTCTTTGTGCTGTGTGTATTCAACTCATAGAGTTCAACTTTCCTTTAGAAGAGCAGATGTTAAACACCCTTTTTGTGGAATTTGCAGCTGGAGATTTCAAGCGCTTTGAGGCCTACGGTAGAAAAGGAAACATCTTCTTATAAAATCTAGACAGAATCATTCACAGAAACTTCTTTTCGATGTGTGTGTTCAGCTCACAGAGTTTAACCTTTCTTTTGATGGAGCAGTTTGGAAACACTCTGTTTGTAATGTCTGCAAGTGGATATTTGGACCTCTTTGAGGCCTTCGTTGGAAACGGGATTTCTTCAAGTAATGTTCGACAGAAGAATTCTCAGTAACTTATTTGTGGTGTGTGTATTCAACTCACAGAGTTGAACCTTCCTTTAGACAGAGCAGATTTGAAACACCCTATTTGTGCAGTTTCCAGTTGGAGATTTCAATCGCTTTGAGACCAAATGTAGAAAAGGAAACATCTTCGTATAAAAACTAGACAGAATCATTCTCAGAAACTACTTTGTGATGTGTGCGTTCAACTCAAGGAGTTTAAGCTTTCTTTTCATAGAGTAGTTTGGAAACACTCTGTCTGTAAAGTCTGCAAGCAGATATTTGGACCTCTTTGGGGCCTTCGTTGGAAACGGGATTTCTTCATAGAACGCTAGAAAGAAGAATACTGAGTACGTTCTTTGTGTTGCCTCTATTCAACTCACAGAGGTGAACTGTCCTTTAGACAGAGCAGATGTGAAACCCTCTTTTTGTGATATTTGCAGGTGGAGATTTCAAGCGCTTTTAGGCCAAATGTAGAAAAGGAAATATCTTCGTATAAAAACTAGACAGAATCATTCTCAGAAACTACTTTGTGATGTGTGCGTTCAATTCACAGAGTATAACCTTTCTTTTGATGGAGGAGTTTGGAGACACTGCCTTTGTAAAGTCTGCAAGTGGATATTTGGACCTCTTTGAGGCCTTCGTTGGAAACGGGATTTCCTCATATAATGTTACACAGAAGAATTCTCAGTAACTTATTTGTGTTGCGTGTATTCAACTCACAGAGTTGAACCTTCCTTCAGAAAGAGCAGATTTGAAACACTCTTTTTGTGGAGTTTCCATGTGGAGATTTCAATCGCTTTGAGACGAAAGGTAGAAAAGGAAACATCTTCATATAAAAACTAGACAGAATCATTCACAGAAACTACTTTGTGATGTGTGTGTTCAACTCAAGGAGTTTAACCTTTCTTTTGATGGAGCAGTTTGGAAACACTCTGTCTGTAAAGTCTGCAAGCAGATATTTGGACCTCTTTGAGGCCTTCGTTGGAAACGGGATTTCTTCATATAATGTTTGATAGGAGAAGTCTCAGTAACTTCTTTGTGCTGTGTGTATTCAACTCATAGAGTTGAACTTTCCTTTAGAAGAGCAGATGTTAAACACCCTTTTTGTGGAATTTGCAGCTGGAGATTTCAAGCGCTTTGAGGCCTACGGTAGAAAAGGAAACATCTTCTTATAAAATCTAGACAGAATCATTCACAGAAACTTCTTTTTGATGTGTGTGTTCAGCTCACAGAGTTTAACCTTTCTTTTGATGGAGCAGTTTGGAAACACTCTGTTTGTAATGCCTGCAAGTGGATATTTGGACCTCTTTGAGGCCTTCGTTGGAAACGGGAATTCTTCATGTAATGTTCGACAGAAGAATTCTCAGTAACTTATTTGTGGTGTGTGTATTCAACTCACAGAGTTGAACCTTCCTTTAGACAGAGCAGATTTGAAACAGCCTATTTGTGCAGTTTCCAGTTGGAGATTTCAAGAGCTTTGAGACCAAATGTAGAAAAGGAAACATCCTTCGTATAAAAACTAGACAGAATCATTCTGAGAAACTACTTTGTGATGTGTGCGTTCAACTCAAGGAGTTTAAGCTTTGTTTTCGTAGAGTAGTTTGGAAACACTGTGTCTGTAATGTCTGCAAGCAGATATTTGGACCTCATTGAGGCCTTCGTTGGAAACGGGAATTCTTCATAGAACGCTAGAAAGAAGAATACTGAGTAAGTTCTTTGTGTTGCCTCTATTCAACTCACAGAGGTGAACTGTCCTTTAGACAGAGCAGATGGGAAACCCTCTTTTTGTGATATTTGCAGGTGGAGATTTCAAGCGCTTTTAGGCCAAATGTAGAAAAGGAAATATCTTCGTATAAAAACTAGACAGAATCATTCTCAGAAACTACTTTGTGATGTGTGTGTTCAACTCACAGAGTATAACCTTTCTTTTGATGGAGGAGTTTGGAGACACTGTCTTTGTAAAGTCTGCAAGCAGATATTTGGACCTCTTTGAGGCCATCGTTGGAAACGGGATTTCTTCATATAATGTTTGATAGGAGAATTCTCAGTAACTCATTTGTGGTGTGTGTATTCAACTCACAGAGTTGAACCTTCCTTCAGAAAGAGCAGATTTGAAACACTCTTTTTGTGGAGTTTCCATGTGGAGATTTCAATCGCTTTGAGACCAAAGGTAGAAAAGGAAACATCTTCGTATAAAAACTAGACAGAATCATTCACAGAAACTACTTTGTGATGTGTGTGTTCAACTCAAGGAGTTTAACCTTTCTTTTGATGGAGCAGTTTGGAAACACTCTGTCTGTAAAGTCTGCAAGCAGACATTTGGACCTCTTTGAGGCCTTCGTTGGAAACGGGATTTCTTCATATAATGTTTGATAGGAGAAGTCTCAGTAACTTCTTTGTGCTGTGTGTATTCAACTCATAGAGTTGAACTTTCCTTTAGAAGAGCAGATGTTAAACACCCTTTTTGTGGAATTTGCAGCTGGAGATTTCAAGCGCTTTGAGGCCTACGGTAGAAAAGGAAACATCTTCTTATAAAATCTAGACAGAATCATTCACAGAAACTTCTTTTTGATGTGTGTGTTCAGCTCACAGAGTTTAACCTTTCTTTTGATGGAGCAGTTGGGAAACACACTGTTTGTAATGTCCGCAAGTGGATATTTGGACCTCTTTGAGGCCTTCGTTGGAAACGGGATTTCTTCAAGTAATGTTCGACAGAAGAATTCTCAGTAACTTATTTGTGGTGTGTGTATTCAACACACAGAGCTGAACCTTCCTTTAGACAGAGCAGATTTGAAACAGCCTATTTGTGCAGTTTCCAGTTGGAGATTTCAATCGCTTTGAGACCAAATGTAGAAAAGGAAACATCTTCGTATAAAAACTAGACAGAATCATTCTCAGAAACTACTTTGTGATGTGTGCGTTCAACTCAAGGAGTTTAAGCTTTCTTTTCATAGAGTAGTTTGGAAACACTCTGTCTGTAAAGTCTGCAAGCAGATATTTGACCTCTTTGAGGCCTTCGTTGGAAACGGGATTTCTTCATAGAACGCTAGAAAGAAGAATACTGAGTAATTTCTTTGTGTTGCCTCTATTCAACTCACAGAGGTGAACTGTCCTTTAGACAGAGCAGATGTGAAACCCTCTTTTTGTGATATTTGCAGGTGGAGATTTCAAGCGCTTTTAGGCCAATTGTAGAAAAGGAAATATCTTCGTATAAAAACTAGACAGAATCATTCTCAGAAACTACTTTGTGATGTGTGCGTTCAATTCACAGAGTATAACCTTTCTTTTGATGGAGGAGTTTGGAGACACTGTCTTTGTAAAGTCTGCAAGTGGATATTTGGACCTCTTTAAGGCCTTCGTTGGAAACGGGATTTCCTCATATAATGTTACACAGAAGAATTCTCAGTAACTTATTTGTGGTGTGTGTATTCAACTCACAGAGTTGAACCTTCCTTCAGAAAGAGCAGATTTGAAACACTCTTTTTGTGGAGTTTCCATGTGGAGATTTCAATCGCTTTGAGACCAAAGGTAGAAAAGTAAACGTCTTCGTATAAAAACTAGACAGAATCATTCACAGAAACTACTTTGTGATGTGTGTGTTCAACTCAAGGAGTTTAACCTTTCTTTTGATGGAGCAGTTTGGAAACACACTGTCTGTAAAGTCTGCAAGCAGATATTTGGACCTCTTTGAGGCCTTCGTTGGAAACGGGATTTCTTCATATAATGTTTGATAGGAGAAGTCTCAGTAACTTCTTTGTGCTGTGTGTATTCAACTCACAGAGTTGAACTTTCCTTTAGAAGAGCAGATGTTAAACACCCTTTTTGTGGAATTTGCAGCTGGAGATTTCAAGCGCTTTGAGGCCTACAGTAGAAAAGGAAACATCTTCTTATAAAATCTAGACAGAATCATTCACAGAAACTTCTTTTTGATGTGTGTGTTCAGCTCACAGAGTTTAACCTTTCTTTTGATGGAGCAGTTGGGAAACACACTGTTTGTAATGTCTGCAAGTGGATATTTGGACCTCTTTGAGGCCTTCGTTGGAAACGGGATTTCTTCCTCTAATGTTCGACAGAAGAATTCTCAGTAACTTATTTGTGGTGTGTGTATTCAACTCACAGAGTTGAACCTTCCTTTAGACAGAGCAGATTTGAAACAGCCTATTTGTGCAGTTTCCAGTTGGAGATTTCAATCGCTTTGAGACCAAATGTAGAAAGGGAAACATCTTCGTATAAAAACTAGACGGAATCATTCTCAGAAACTACTTTGTGATGTGTGCGTTCAACTCAAGGAGTTTAAGCTTTCTTTTCATAGAGTAGTTTGGAAACACTCTGTCTGTAAAGTCTGCAAGCAGATATTTGACCTCTTTGAGGCCTTCGTTGGAAACGGGATTTCTTCATAGAACGCTGGAAAGAAGAATACTGAGTAAGTTCTTTGTGTTGCCTCTATTCAACTCACAGAGGTGAACTGTCCTTTAGACAGAGCAGATGTGAAACCCTCTTTTTGTGATATTTGCAGGTGGAGATTTCAAGCGCTTTTAGGCCAAATGTAGAAAAGGAAATATCTTCGTATAAAAACTAGACAGAATCATTCTCAGAAACTACTTTGTGATGTGTGCGTTCAATTCACAGAGTATAACCTTTCTTTTGATGGAGGAGTTTGGAGACACTGTCTTTGTAATGTCTGCAAGTGGATATTTGGACCTCTTTGAGGCCTTCGTTGGAAACGGGATTTCCTCATATAATGTTACACAGAAGAATTCTCAGTAACTTATTTGTGGTGTGTGTATTCAACTCACAGAGTTGAACCTTCCTTCAGAAAGAGCAGATTTGAAACACTCTTTTTGTGGAGTTTCCATGTGGAGATTTCAATCGCTTTGAGACCAAAGGTAGAAAAGGAAACATCTTCGTATAAAAACTAGACAGAATCATTCTCAGAAACTACTTTGTGATGTGTGTGTTCAACTCAAGGAGTTTAACCTTTCTTTTGATGGAGCAGTTTGGAAAAACTCTGTCTGTAAAGTCTGCAAGCAGATATTTGGACCTCTTTGGGGCCTTCGTTGGAAACGGGATTTCTTCATAGAATGCTAGAAAGAAGAATACTGAGTAAGTTCTTTGTGTTGCCTCTATTCAACTCACAGAGGTGAACTGTCCTTTAGACAGAGGAGATGTGAAACCCTCTTTTTGTGATATTTGCAGGTGGAGATTTCAAGCGCTTTTAGGCCAAATGTAGAAAAGGAAATATGTTCGTATAAAAACCAGACAGAATCATTCTCAGAAACTACTTTGTGATGTGTGCGTTCAATTCACAGAGTATAACCTTTCTTTTGATGGAGGAGTTTGGAGACACTGTCTTTGTAAAGTCTGCAAGTGGATATTTGGACCTCTTTGAGGCCTTCGTTGGAAACGGGATTTCCTCATATAATGTTACACAGAAGAATTCTCAGTAACTTATTTGTGGTGTGTGTATTCAACTCACAGAGTTGAACCTTCCTTCAGAAAGAGCAGATTTGAAACACTCTTTTTGTGGAGTTTCCATGTGGAGATTTCAATCGCTTTGAGACCAAAGGTAGAAAAGGAAACATCTTCGTATAAAAACTAGACAGAATCATTCACAGAAACTACTTTGTGATGTGTGTGTTCAACTCAAGGAGTTTAACCTTTCTTTTGATGGAGCTGTTGGGAAAAACTCTGTCTGTAAAGTCTGCAAGCAGATATTTGGACCTCTTTGAGGCCTTCGTTGGAAACGGGATTTCTTCATATAATGTTTGATAGGAGAAGTCTCAGTAACTTCTTTCTGCTGTGTGTATTCAACGCATAGGGTTGAACTTTCCTTTAGAAGAGCAGATGTTAAACACCCTTTTTGTGGAATTTGCAGCTGGAGATTTCAAGCGCTTTGAGGCCTACGGTAGAAAAGGAAACATCTTCTTAGAAAATCTAGACAGAATCATTCACAGAAACTTCTTTTTGATGTGTGTGTTCAGCTCACAGAGTTTAACCTTTCTTTTGATGGAGCAGTTTGGAAACACTCTGTTTGTAATGTCTGCAAGTGGATATTTGGACCTCTTTGAGGCCTTCGTTGGAAACGGCATTTCTTCATGTAATGTTCGACAGAAGAATTCTCAGTAACTTATTTGTGGTGTGTGTATTCAACTCACAGAGTTGAACCTTCCTTTAGACAGAGCAGATTTGAAACACCCTATTTGTGCAGTTTCCAGTTGGAGATTTCAATCGCTTTGAGACCAAATGTAGAAAAGGAAACATCTTCGTATAAAAACTAGACAGAATCATTCTCAGAAACTACTTTGTGATGTGTGCGTTCAACTCAAGGAGTTTAAGCTTTCTTTTCATAGAGTAGTTTGGAAACACTCTGTCTGTAAAGTCTGCAAGCAGATATTTGGACCTCTTTGAGGCCTTCGTTGGAAACGGGATTTCTTCATAGAACGGTAGAAAGAAGAATACTGAGTAAGTTCTTTGTGTTGCCTCTATTCAACTCACAGAGGTGAACTGTCCTTTAGACAGAGCAGATGTGAAACCCTCTTTTTGTGATATTTGCAGGTGGAGATTTCGAGCGCTTTTAGGCCAAATGTAGAAAAGGAAATATCTTCGTATAAAAACTAGACAGAATCATTCTCAGAAACTACTTTGTGATGTGTGCGATCAATTCACAGAGTATAACCTTTCTTTTGATGGAGGAGTTTGGATACACTGTCTTTGTAAAGTCTGCAAGTGGATATTTGGACCTCTTTGAGGCCTTCCTTGGAAAAGGGATTTCCTCATATAATTTTACACAGAAGAATTCTCAGTAACTTATTTGTGGTGTGTGTATTCAACTCACAGAGTTGAACCTTCCTTCAGAAAGAGCAGATTTGAAACACACTTTTTGTGGAGTTTCCATGTGGAGATTTCAATCGCTTTGAGACCAAAGGTAGAAAAGGAAACATCTTCGTATAAAAACTAGACAGAATCATTCACAGAAACTACTTTGTGATGTGTGTGTTCAACTCAAGGAGTTTAACCTTTCTTTTGATGGAGCAGTTTGGAAACACTCTGTCTGTAAAGTCTGCAAGCAGATATTTGGACCTCTTTGAGGCCTTCGTTGGAAACGGGATTTCTTCATATAATGTTTGATAGGAGAAGTCTCAGTAACTTCTTTGTGCTGTGTGTATTCATCTCATAGAGGTGAACTTTCCTTTAGAAGAGCAGATGTTAAACACCCTTTTTGTGGAATTTGCAGCTGGAGATTTCAAGCGCTTTGAGGCCTACGGTAGAAAAGGAAACATCTTCTTATAAAATCTAGACAGAATCATTCACAGAAACTTCTTTTTGATCTGTGTGTTCAGCTCACAGAGTTGAACCTTCCTTTAGACAGAGCAGATTTTAAGCACCCTATTTGTGCAGTTTCCAGTTGGAGATTTCAATCGCTTTGAGACCAAATGTAGAAAAGGAAACATCTTCTTAAAATATCTGGACAGAATCATTCTCAGAAACTACTTTGTGATGTGTGCGTTCAACTCAAGGAGTTTAAGCTTTCTTTTCATAGAGTAGTTTGGAAACACTCTGTCTGTAAAGTCTGCAAGCAGATATTTGAGCTCTTTGAGGCCTTCGTTGGAAACGGGATTTCTTCATAGAACGCTAGAAAGAAGAATACTGAGTAAGTTCTTTGTGTTGCCTCTATTCAACTCACAGAGGTGAACTGTCCTTTAGACAGAGCAGATGTGAAACCCTCTTTTTGTGATATTTGCAGGTGGAGATTTCAAGCGCTTTTAGGCCAAATGTAGAAAAGGAAATATCTTCGTATAAAAACTAGACAGAATCATTCTCAGAAACTACTTTGTGATGTGTGCGTTCAATTCACAGAGTATAACCTTTCTTTTGATGGAGGAGTTTGGAGACACTGTCTTTGTAAAGTCTGCAAGTGGATATTTGGACCTCTTTGAGGCCTTCGTTGGAAACGGGATTTCCTCATATAATGTTACACAGAAGAATTCTCAGTAACTTATTTGTGGTGTGTGTATTCAACTCACAGAGTTGAACCTTCCTTCAGAAAGAGCAGATTTGAAACACTCTTTTTGTGGAGTTTCCATGTGGAGATTTCAATCGCTTTGAGACCAAAGGTAGAAAAGGAAACATCTTCTTATAAAAACTAGACAGAATCATTCACAGAAACTACTTTGTGATGTGTGTGTTCAACTCAAGGAGTTTAACCTTTCTTTTGATGGAGCAGTTTGGAAAAACTCTGTCTGTAAAGTCTGCAAGCAGATATTTGGACCTCTTTGGGGCCTTCGTTGGAAACGGGATTTCTTCATAGAACGCTAGAAAGAAGAATACTGAGTAAGTTCTTTGTGTTGCCTCTATTCAACTCACAGAGGTGAACTGTCCTTTAGACAGAGCAGATGTGAAACCCTCTTTTTGTGATATTTGCAGGTGGAGATTTCAAGCGCTTTTAGGCCAAATGTAGAAAAGGAAATATCTTCGTATAAAAACTAGACAGAATCATTCTCAGAAACTACTTTGTGATGTGTGCGTTCAATTCACAGAGTATAACCTTTCTTTTGATGGAGGAGTTTGGAGACACTGTCTTTGTAAAGTCTGCAAGTGGATATTTGGACCTCTTTGACGCCTTCGTTGGAAACGGGATTTCCTCATATAATGTTACACAGAAGAATTCTCAGTAACTTATTTGTGGTGTGTGTATTCAACTCACAGAGTTGAACCTTCCTTCAGAAAGAGCAGATTTGAAACACTCTTTTTGTGGAGTTTCCATGTGGAGATTTCAATCGCTTTGAGACCAAAGGTAGAAAAGGAAACATCTTCGTATAAAAACTAGACAGAATCATTCTCAGAAACTACTTTGTGATGTGTGCGTTCAATTCACAGAGTATAACCTTTGTTTGGATGGAGGAGTTTGGAGACACTGTCTTTGTAAACTCTGCAAGTGGATATTTGGACCTCTTTGAGGCCTTCGTTGGAAACGGGTTTTCCTCATATAATGTTAAACAGAAGAATTCTCAGTAACTTATTTGTGGTGTGTGTATTCAACTCACAGAGTTGAACCTTCCTTCAGAAAGAGCAGATTTGAAACACTCTTTTTGTGGAGCTTCCATGTGGAGATTTCAATCGCATTGAGACCAAAAGTAGAAAAGGAAATATCTTCGTATAAAAACTAGACAGAATCATTCACAGAAACTTCTTTTTGATGTGTGTGTTCAGCTCACAGAGTTTAACCTTTCTTTTGATGGAGCAGTTTGGAAACACACTATTTGTAATGTCTGCAAGTGGATATTTGGACCTCTTTGAGGCCTTCGTTGGAAACGGAATTTCTTCAAGGAATGTTTGACAGAAGAATTCTCAGTAACTTATTTGTGGTGTGTGTATTCAACTCACAGAGTTGAACCTTCCTTTAGACAGAGAAGATTTGAAACACCCTATTTGTGCAGTTTTCAGTTGGAGATTTCAATCGCTTTGAGACCAAATGTAGAAAAGGAAACATCTTCGTATAAAAACTAGACAGAATCATTCTCAGAAACTACTTGGTGATGTGTGCGTTCAACTCAAGGAGTTTAAGCTTTCTTTTCATAGAGTAGTTTGGAAACACTCTGTCTGTAAAGTCTGCAAGCAGATATTTGGACCTCATTGGGGTCTTCATTGGAAACAGGATTTCTTCATAGAACGCTAGAAAGAAGAATACTGAGTAAGTTCTTTGTGTTGCCTCTATTCAACTCACAGAGGTGAACTGTCCTTTAGACAGAGCAGATGTGAAACCCTCTTTTTGTGATATTTGCAGGTGGAGATTTCAAGCGCTTTTAGGCCAAATGTAGAAAAGGAAATATCTTCGTATAAAAACTAGACAGAATCATTCTCAGAAACTACTTTGTGATGTGTGCGTTCAATTCACAGAGTATAACCTTTCTTTTGATGGAGGAGTTTGGAGACACTGTCTTTGTAAAGTCTGCAATTGCATATTTGGACCTCTTTGAGGCCTTCGTTGGAAACGGGATTTCCCCATATAATGTTACACAGAAGAATTCTCAGTAACTTATTTGTGGTGTGTGTATTCAACTCACAGAGTTGAACCTTCCTTCAGAAAGAGCAGATTTGAAACACTCTTTTTGTGGAGTTTCCATGTGGAGATTTCAATCGCTTTGAGACGAAAGGTAGAAAAGGAAACATCTTTGTATAAAAACTAGACAGAATCATTCACAGAAACTACTTTGTGATGTGTGTGTTCAACTCAAGGAGTTTAACCTTTCTTTTGATGGAGCAGTTTGGAAATACTCTGTCTGTAAAGTCTGCAAGCAGATATTTGGACCTCTTTGAGGCCTTCGTTGGAAACGGGATTTCTTCATATAATGTTTGATAGGAGAAGTCTCAGTAACTTCTTTGTGCTGTGTGTATTCAACTCATAGAGTTGAACTTTCCTTTAGAAGAGCAGATGTTAAACACCCTTTTTGTGGAATTTGCAGCTGGAGATTTCAAGCGCTTTGAGGCCTACGGTAGAAAAGGAAACATCTTCTTATAAAATCTAGACAGAATCATTCACAGAAACTTCTTTTTGATGTGTGTGTTCAGCTCACAGAGTTTAACCTTTCTTTTGATGGAGCAGTTTGGAAACACTCTGTTTGTAATGTCTGCAAGTGGATATTTGGACCTCTTTGAAGCCTTCATTGGAAACGGGATTTCTTCAAGTAATGTTCGACAGAAGAATTCTCAGTAACTTATTTGTGGTGTGTGTATTCAACTCACAGAGTTGAACCTTCATTTAGACAGAGCAGATTTGAAACACCCTATTTGTGCAGTTTCCAGTTGGAGATTTCAATCGCTTTGAGACCAAATGTAGAAAAGGAAACATCTTCGTATAAAAACTAGACAGAATCATTCTCAGAAACTACTTTGTGATGTGTGCGTTCAACTCAAGGAGTTTAAGCTTTCTTTTCATAGAGTAGTTTGGAAACACTCTGTCTGTAAAGTCTGCAAGCAGATATTTGGACCTCTTTGGGGCCTTCGTTGGAAACGGGATTTCTTCATAGAACGCTAGAAAGAAGAATACTGAGTAAGTTCTTTGTGTTGCCTCTATTCAACTCACAGAGGTGAACTGTCCTTTAGACAGAGCAGATGTGAAACCCTCTTTTTGTGATATTTGCAGGTGGAGATTTCAAGCGCTTTTAGGCCAAATGTAGAAAAGGAAATATCTTCGTATAAAAACTAGACAGAATCATTCTCAGAAACTACTTTGTGATGTGTGCGTTCAATTCACAGAGTATAACCTTTCTTTTGATGGAGGAGTTTGGAGACACTGTCTTTGTAAAGTCTGCAAGTGGATATTTGGACCTCTTTGAGGCCTTCGTTGGAAACGGGATTTCCTCATATAATGTTACACAGAAGAATTCTCAGTAACTTATTTGTGGTGTGTGTATTCAACTCACAGAGTTGAACCTTCCTTCAGAAAGAGCAGATTTGAAACACTCTTTTTGTGGAGTTTCCATGTGGAGATTTCAATCGCTTTGAGACCAAAGGTAGAAAAGGAAACATCTTCGTATAAAAACTAGACAGAATCATTCACAGAAACTACTTTGTGATGTGTGTGTTCAACTCAAGGAGTTTAACCTTTCTTTTGATGGAGCAGTTTGGAAACACTCTGTCTGTAAAGTCTGCAAGCAGATATTTGGACCTCTTTGAGGCCTTCGTTGGAAACGGGATTTCTTCATACAATGTTTGATAGGAGAAGTCTCAGTAACTTCTTTGTGCTGTGTGTATTCAACTCATAGAGTTGAACTTTCCTTTAGAAGAGCAGATGTTAAACACCCTTTTTGTGGAATTTGCAGCTGGAGATTTCAAGCGCTTTGAGGCCTACGGTAGAAAAGGAAACATCTTCTTATAAAATCTAGACAGAATCATTCACAGAAACTTCTTTTTGATGTGTGTGTTCAGCTCACAGAGTTTAACCTTTCTTTTGATGGAGCAGTTTGGAAACACACTGTTTGTAATGTCTGCAAGTGGATATTTGGACCTCTTTGAGGCCTTCGTTGAAAACGGGATTTCTTCCTGTAATGTTCGACAGAAGAATTCTCAGTAACTTATTTGTGGTGTGTGTATTCAACTCACAGAGTTGAACCTTCCTTTAGACAGAGCAGATTTGAAACACCCTATTTGTGCAGTTTCCAGTTGGAGATTTCAATCGCTTTGAGACCAAATGTAGAAAAGGAAACATCTTCGTATAAAAACTAGACAGAATCATTCTCCGAAACTACTTTGTGATGTGTGCGTTCAACTCAAGGAGTTTAAGCTTTCTTTTCATAGAGTAGTTTGGAAACACTCTGTCTGTAAAGTCTGCAAGCAGATATTTGGACCTCTTTGGGGCCTTCGTTGGAAACGGGATTTCTTCATAGAACGCTAGAAAGAAGAATACTGAGTAAGTTCTTTGTGTTGCCTCTATTCAACTCACAGAGGTGAACTGTCCTTTAGACAGAGCAGATGTGAAACCCTCTTTTTGTGATATTTGCAGGTGGAGATTTCAAGCGCTTTTAGGCCAAATGTAGAAAAGGAAATATCTTCGTATAAAAACTAGACAGAATCATTCTCAGAAACTACTTTGTGATGAGTGCGTTCAATTCACAGAGTATAACCTTTCTTTTGATGGAGGAGTTTGGAGACACTGTCTTTGTAAAGTCTGCAAGTGGATATTTGGACCTCTTTGAGGCCTTCGTTGGAAACGGGATTTCCTCATATAATGTTACACAGAAGAATTCTCAGTAACTTATTTGTGGTGTGTGTATTCAACTCACAGAGATGAACCTTCCTTCAGAAAGAGCAGATTTGAAACACTCTTTTTGTGGAGTTTCCATGTGGAGATTTCAATCGCTTTGAGACCAAAGGTAGAAAAGGAAACATCTTCGTATAACAACTAGACAGAATCATTCACAGAAACTACTTTGTGATGTGTGTGTTCAACTCAAGGAGTTTAACCTTTCTTTTGATGGAGCAGTTTGGAAACACTCTGTCTGTAAAGTCTGCAAGCAGATATTTGGACCTCTTTGAGGCCTTCGTTGGAAACGGTATTTCTTCATATAATGTTTGATAGGAGAAGTCTCAGTAACTTCTTTGTGCTGTGTGTATTCAACTCATAGAGTTGAACTTTCCTTTAGAAGAGCAGATGTTAAACACCCTTTTTGTGGAATTTGCAGCTGGAGATTTCAAGCGCTTTGAGGCCTACGGTAGAAAAGGAAACATCTTCTTATAAAATCTAGACAGAATCATTCACAGAAACTTCTTTTTGATGTGTGTGTTCAGCTCACAGAGTTTAACCTTTCTTTTGATGGAGCAGTTTGGAAACACTCTGTTTGTAATGTCTGCAAGTGGATATTTGGACCTCTTTGAGGCCTTCGTTGGAAATGGGATTTCTTCCTGTAATGTTCGACAGAAGAATTCTCAGTAACTTATTTGTGGTGTGTGTATTCAACTCACAGAGTTGAACCTTCCTTTAGACAGAGCAGATTTGAAACACCCTATTTGTGCAGTTTACAGTTGGAGATTTCAATCGCTTTGAGACCAAATGTAGAAAAGGAAACATCTTCGTATAAAAACTAGACAGAATCATTCTCAGAAACTACTTTGTGATGTGTGCGTTCAATTCACAGAGTATAACCTTTCTTTTGATGGAGGAGTTTGGAGACACTGTCTTTGTAAAGTCTGTAAGTGGATATTTGGACCTCTTTGAGGACTTCGTTGGAAACGGGATTTCCTCATATAATGTTACACAGAAGAATTCTCAGTAACTTATTTGTGGTGTGTGTATTCAACTCACAGAGTTGAACCTTCCTTCAGAAAGAGCAGATTTGAAACACTCTTTTTGTGGAGTTTCCATGTGGAGATTTCAATCGCTTTGAGACCAAAGGTAGAAAAGGAAACATCTTCGTATAAAAACTAGACAGAATCATTCACAGAAACTACTTTGTGATGTGTGTGTTCAACTCAAGGAGTTTAACCTTTCTTTTGATGGAGCAGTTTGGAAAAACTCTGTCTGTAAAGTCTGCAAGCAGATATTTGGACCTCTTTGAGGCCTTCGTTGGAAACGGGATTTCTTCATATAATGTTTGATAGGAGAAGTCTCAGTAGCTTCTTTGTGCTGTGTGTATTCAACTCATAGAGTTGAACTTTCCTTTAGAAGAGCAGATGTTAAACACCCTTTTTGTGGAATTTGCAGCTGGAGATTTCAAGCGCTTTGAGGCCTACGGTAGAAAAGGAAACATCTTCTTAGAAAATCTAGACAGAATCATTCACAGAAACTTCTTTTTGATGTGTGTGTTCAGCTCACAGAGTTTAACCTTTCTTTTGATGGAGCAGTTTGGAAACACTCTGTTTGTAATGTCTGCAAGTGGATATTTGGACCTCTTTGAGGCCTTCGCTGGAAACGGGATTTCTTCCTGTAATGTTCGACAGAAGAATTCTCAGTAACTTATTTGGGGTGTGTGTATTCAACTCACAGAGTTGAACCTTCCTTTAGACAGAGCAGATTTGAAACACCCTATTTTTGCAGTTTCCAGTTGGAGATTTCAATCGCTTTGAGACCAAATGTAGAAAAGGAAACATCTTCGTATAAAAACTAGACAGAATCATTCTCAGAAACTACTTTGTGATGTGTGCGTTCAACTCAAGGAGTTTAAGCTTTCTTTTCATAGAGTAGTTTGGAAACACTCTGTCTGTAAAGTCTGCAAGCAGATATTTGGACCTCTTTGGGGCCTTCGTTGGAAACGGGATTTCTTCATAGAACGCTAGAAAGAAGAATACTGAGTAAGTTCTTTGTGTTGCCTCTATTCAACTCACAGAGGTGAACTGTCCTTTAGACAGAGCAGATGTGAAACCCTCTTTTTGTGATATTTGCAGGTGGAGATTTCAAGCGCTTTGAGGCCAAATGTAGAAAAGGAAATATCTTCGTATAAAAACTAGACACAATCATTCTCAGAAACTACTTTGTGATGTGTGCGTTCAATTCACAGAGTATAACCTTTCTTTTGACGGAGGAGTTTGGAGACACTGTCTTTGTAAAGTCTGCAAGCAGATATTTGGACCTCTTTGGGGCCTTCGTTGGAAACGGGATTTCTTCATAGAATGCTAGAAAGAAGAATACTGAGTAAGTTCTTTGTGTTGCCTCTATTCAACTCACAGAGGTGAACTGTCCTTTAGACAGAGCAGATGTGAAACCCTCTTTTTGTGATATTTGCAGGTGGAGATTTCAAGCGCTTTTAGGCCAAATGTAGAAAAGGAAATATCTTCGTATAAAAACTAGACAGAATCATTCTCAGAAACTACTTTGTGATGTGTGCGTTCAATTCACAGAGTATAACCTTTCTTTTGATGGAGGAGTTTGGAGACACTGTCTTTGTAAAGTCTGCAAGTGGATATTTGGACCTCTTTGAGGCCTTCGTTGGAAACGGGATTTCCTCATATAATGTTACACAGAAGAATTCTCAGTAACTTATTTGTGGTGTGTGTATTCAACTCACAGAGATGAACCTTCCTTCAGAAAGAGCAGATTTGAAACACTCTTTTTGTGGAGTTTCCATGTGGAGATTTCAATCGCTTTGAGACCAAAGGTAGAAAAGGAAACATCTTCGTATAAAAACTAGACAGAATCATTCACAGAAACTACTTTGTGATGTGTGTGTTCAACTCAAGGAGTTTAACCTTTCTTTTGATGGAGCAGTTTGGAAACACTCTGTCTGTAAAGTCTGCAAGCAGATATTTGGACCTCTTTGAGGCCTTCGTTGGAAACGGGATTTCTTCATATAATGTTTGATAGGAGAAGTCTCAGTAACTTCTTTGTGCTGTGTGCATTCAACTCATAGAGTTGAACTTTCCTTTAGAAGAGCAGATGTTAAACACCCTTTTTGTGGAATTTGCAGCTGGAGATTTCAAGCGCTTTGAGGCCTACGGTAGAAAAGGAAACATCTTCTTATAAAATCTAGACAGAATCATTCACAGAAACTTCTTTTTGATCTGTGTGTCCAGCTCACAGCAGTTTAACCTTTCTTTTGATGGAGCAGTTGGGAAACACACTGTTTGTAATGTCTGCAAGTGGATATTTGGACCTCTTTGAGGCCTTCGTTGGAAACGGGATTTCTTCCTGTAATGTTCGACAGAAGAATTCTCAGTAACTTATTTGTGGTGTGTGTATTCAACTCACAGAGTTGAACCTTCCTTTAGACAGAGCAGATTTGAAACACCCTATTTGTGCAGTTTCCAGTTGGAGATTTCAATCGCTTTGAGACCAAATGTAGAAAAGGAAACATCTTCGTATAAAAACTGGACAGAATCATTCTCAGAAACTACTTTGTGATGTGTGCGTTCAACTCAAGGAGTTTAAGCTTTCTTTTCATAGAGTAGTTTGGAAACACTCTGTCTGTAAAGTGTGCAAGCAGATATTTGGACCTCTTTGGGGCCTTCGTTGGAAACGGGATTTCTTCATAGAACGCTAGAAAGAAGAATACTGAGTAAGTTCTTTGTGTTGCCTCTATTCAACTCACAGAGGTGAACTGTCCTTTAGACAGAGCAGATGTGAAACCCTCTTTTTGTGATATTTGCAGGTGGAGATTTCAAGCGCTTTTAGGCCAAATGTAGAAAAGGAAATATCTTCGTATAAAAACTAGACAGAATCATTCTCAGAAACTACTTTGTGATGTGTGCGTTCAATTCACAGAGTATAACCTTTCTTTTGATGGAGGAGTTTGGAGACACTGTCTTTGTAAAGTCTGCAAGTGGATATTTGGACCTCTTTGAGGCCTTCGTTGGAAACGGGATTTCCTCATATAATGTTACACAGAAGAATTCTCAGTAACTTATTTGTGGTGTGTGTATTCAACTCACAGAGTTGAACCTTCCTTCAGAAAGAGCAGATTTGAAACACTCTTTTTGTGGAGTTTCTATGTGGAGATTTCAATCGCTTTGAGACCAAAGGTAGAAAAGGAAACATCTTCGTATAAAAACTAGACAGAATCATTCACAGCAAACTATTTTCTGATGTGTGTGTTCAACTCAAGGAGTTTAACCTTTCTTTTGATGGAGCAGTTTGGAAACACTCTGTCTGTAAAGTCTGCAAGCAGATATTTGGACCTCTTTGAGGCCTTCGTTGGAAACGGGATTTCTTCATATAATGTTTGATAGGAGAAGTCTCAGTAACTTCTTTGTGCTGTGTGTATTCAACTCATAGAGTTGAACTTTCCTTTAGAAGAGCAGATGTTAAACACCCTTTTTGTGGAATTTGCAGCTGGAGATTTCAAGCGCTTTGAGGCCTACGGTAGAAAAGGAAACATCTTCTTATAAAATCTAGACAGAATCATTCACAGAAACTTCTTTTCGATGTGTGTGTTCAGCTCACAGAGTTTAACCTTTCTTTTGATGGAGCAGTTTGGAAACACTCTGTTTGTAATGTCTGCAAGTGGATATTTGGACCTCTTTGAGGCCTTCGTTGGAAACGGGATTTCTTCAAGTAATGGTCGACAGAAGAATTCTCAGTAACTTATTTGTGGTGTGTGTATTCAACTCACAGAGTTGAACCTTCCTTTAGACAGAGCAGATTTGAAACACCCTATTTGTGCAGTTTCCAGTTGGAGATTTCAATCGCTTTGAGACCAAATGTAGAAAAGGAAACATCTTCGTATAAAAACTAGACAGAATCATTCTCAGAAACTACTTTGTGATGTGTGCGTTCAACTCGAGGAGTTTAAGCTTTCTTTTCATAGAGTAGTTTGGAAACACTCTGTCTGTAAAGTCTGCAAGCAGATATTTGGACCTCTTTGGGGCCTTCGTTGGAAACGGGATTTCTTCATAGAACGCTAGAAAGAAGAATACTGAGTAAGTTCTTTGTGTTGCCTCTATTCAACTCACAGAGGTGAACTGTCCTTTAGACAGAGCAGATGTGAAACCCTCTTTTTGTGATACTTGCAGGTGGAGATTTCAAGCGCTTTTAGGCCAAATGTAGAAAAGGAAATGTCTTCGTATAAAAACTAGACAGAATCATTCTCAGAAACTACTTTGTGATGTGTGCGTTCAATTCACAGAGTATAACCTTTCTTTTGATGGAGGAGTTTGGAGACACTGTCTTTGTAAAGTCTGCAAGTGGATATTTGGACCTCTTTGAGGCCTTCGTTGGAAACGGGATTTCCTCATATAATTTACACAGAAGAATTCTCAGTAACTTATTTGTGGTGTGTGTATTCAACTCACAGAGATGAACCTTCCTTCAGAAAGAGCAGATTTGAAACACTCTTTTTGTGGAGTTTCCA
Source organism: Homo sapiens (assembly GCF_000001405.40). NCBI lineage: Eukaryota > Metazoa > Chordata > Mammalia > Primates > Hominidae > Homo > Homo sapiens. The sequence continues at coordinate 35,521,902 of NC_000012.12, forward strand.
TGTGGAGATTTCAATCGCTTTGAGACCAAAGGTAGAAAAGGAAACATCTTCGTATAACAACTAGACAGAATCATTCACAGAAACTACTTTGTGATGTGTGTGTTCAACTCAAGGAGTTTAACCTTTCTTTTGATGGAGCAGTTTGGAAAAACTCTGTCTGTAAAGTCTGCAAGCAGATATTTGGACCTCTTTGAGGCCTTCGTTGGAAACGGGATTTCTTCATATAATGTTTGATAGGAGAAGTCTCAGTAACTTCTTTGTGCTGTGTGTATTCAACTCATAGTGTTGAACTTTCCTTTAGAAGAGCAGATGTTAAACACCCTTTTTGTGGAATTTGCAGCTGGAGATTTCAAGCGCTTTGAGGCCTACGGTAGAAAAGGAAACATCTTCTTATAAAATCTAGACAGAATCATTCACAGAAACTTCTTTTTGATGTGTGTGTTCAGCTCACAGAGTTTAACTTTCTTTTGATGGAGCAGTTTGGAAACACACTGTTTGTAATGTCTCCAAGTGGATATTTGGACCTCTTTGAGGCCTTCGTTGGAAACGGGATTTCTTCATGTAATGTTCGACAGAAGAATTCTCAGTACCTTATTTGTGGTGTGTGTATTCAACTCACAGAGTTGAACCTTCCTTTAGACAGAGCAGATTTCAAACACCCTATTTGTGCAGTTTCCAGTTGGAGATTTCAATCGCTTTAAGACCAAATGTAGAAAAGGAAACATCTTCGTATAAAAATTAGACAGAATCATTCTCAGAAACTACTTTGTGATGTGTGCATTCAACTCAAGGAGTTTAAGCTTTCTTTTCATAGAGTAGTTTGGAAACACTCTGTCTGTAAAGTCTGCAAGCAGATATTTGGACCTCTTTGAGGCCTTCGTTGGAAAAGGGATTTCTTCATAGAACGCTAGAAAGAAGAATACTGAGTAAGTTCTTTGTGTTGCCTCTATTCAACTCACAGAGGTGAACTGTCCTTTAGACAGAGCAGATGTGAAACCCTCTTTTTGGGATATTTGCAGGTGGAGATTTCAAGCGCTTTTAGGCCAAATGTAGAAAAGGAAATATCTTCGTATAAAAACTAGACAGAATCATTCTCAGAAACTACTTTGTGATGTGTGCGTTCAATTCACAGAGTATAACTTTTCTTTTGATGGAGGAGTTTGGAGACACTGTCTTTGTAAAGTCTGCAAGTGGATATTTGGACCTTTTTGAGGCCTTCGTTGGAAACGGGATTTCCTCGTATAATGTTACACAGAAGAATTCTCAGTAACTTATTTGTGGTGTGTGTATTCAACTCACAGAGTTGAACCTTCCTTCAGAAAGAGCAGATTTGAAACACTCTTTTTGTGGAGTTTCCATGTGGACATTTCAATCGCTTTGAGACCAAAGGTAGAAAAGGAAACATCTTCGTATAAAAACTAGACAGAATCACTCACAGAAACTACTTTGTGATGTGTGTGTTCAACTCAAGGAGTTTAACCTTTCTTTTGATGGAGCAGTTTGGAAAAACTCTGTCTTTAAAGTCTGCAAGCAGATATTTGGACCTCTTTGAGGCCTTCGTTGGAAACGGGATTTCTTCATATAATGTTTGATAGGAGAAGTCTCAGTAACTTCTTTGTGCTGTGTGTATTCAACTCATAGAGTTGAACTTTCCTTTAGAAGAGCAGATGTTAAACACCCTTTTTGTGGAATTTGCAGCTGGAGATTTCAAGCGCTTTGAGGCCGACGGTAGAAAAGGAAACATCTTCTTATAAAATCTAGACAGAATCACTCACAGAAACTTCTTTTTGATGTGTGTGTTCAGCTCACAGACTTTAACCTTTCTTTTGATGGAGCAGTTTGGAAACACTCTGTAATGTCTGCAAGTGGATATTTGGACCTCTTTGAGGCCTTCGTTGGAAACGGGATTTCTTCATGTAATGTTCGACAGAAGAATTCTCAGTAACTTATTTGTGGTGTGTGTATTCAACTCACAGAGTTGAACCTTCCTTTAGACAGAGCAGATTTGAAACACCCTATTTGTGCAGTTTCCAGTTGGAGATTTCAATCGCTTTGAGACCAAATGTAGAAAAGGAAACATCTTCGTATAAAAACTAGACAGAATCATTCTCAGAAACTACTTTGTGATATGTGCGTTCAACTCAAGGAGTTTAAGCTTTCTTTTCATAAAGTTGTTTGGAAACACTCTGTCTGTAAAGTCTGCAAGCAGATATTTGGACCTCTTTGAGGCCTTCGTTGGAAACGGGTTTTCTTCATGGAACGCTAGAAAGAAGAATACTCAGTAACTTCTTTGTGTTGCCTCTATTCAACTCACAGAGGTGAACTGTCCTTTAGAGAGAGCAGATGTGAAACCCTCTTTTTGTGATATTTGCAGGTGGAGATTTCAAGCGCTTTCAGGCCAAATGTAGAAAAGGAAATATCTTCGCATAAAAACTAGACAGAATCATTCTCAGAAACTACTTTGTGATGTGTGCGTTCAATTCACAGAGTATAACCTTTCTTTTGATGGAGGAGTTTGGAGACACTGTCTTTGTAAAGTCTGCAAGTGGATATTTGGAACTCTTTGAGGCCTTCGTTGGAAACGGGATTTCCTCATATAATGTTACACAGAAGAATTCTCAGTAACTTATTTGTGGTGTGTGTATTCAACTCACAGATTTGAACCTTCCTTCAGAAAGAGCAGATTTGAAACACTCTTTTTGTGGAGTTTCCATGTGGAGATTTCAATCGCATTGAGACCAAAGGTAGAAAAGGAAACATCTTCGTATAAAAACTAGAAAGAATCACTCACAGAAACTACTTTGTGATGTGTGTGTTCAACTCAAGGAGGTTAACCTTTCTTTTGATGGAGCAGTTTGGAAACACTCTGTCTGTAAAGTTTGTGAGCAGAAATTTGGACTTCTTTGAGGCCTTCGTTGGAAGCGGGATTTCTTCATATAATGTTTGATAGGAGAAGTCTCAGTAACTTCTTTGTGCTGTGTGTATTCAACTCATAGAGTTGAACATTCCTTTAGAAGAGCAGATGTTAAACACCCTTTTTGTGGAATTTGCAGCTGGAGATTTCAAGCGCTTTGAGGCCTACGGTAGAAAAGGAAACATCTTCTTATAAAATCTAGACATAATCATTCACAGAAACTTCTTTTTGATGTGTGTGTTCAGCTCACAGAGTTTAACCTTTCTTTTGATGGAGCAGTTTGGAAACACTCTGTTTGTAATGTCTGCAAGTGGATATTTGGACCTCTTTGAGGCCTTCGTTGGAAACGGGATTTCTTCATGTAATGTTCGACAGAAGAATTCTCAGTAACTTATTTGTGGTGTGTGTATTCAACTCACAGAGTTGAACCTTCCTTTAGACAGAGCAGATTTGAAACACCCTATTTGTGCAGTTTCCAGTTGGAGATTTCAATCGCTTTGAGACGAAATGTAGAAAAGGAAACATCTTCGTATAAAAACTAGACAGAATCATTCTCAGAAACTACTTTGTGATGTGTGCGTTCAACTCAAGGAGTTTAAGCTTTCTTTTCATAGAGTAGTTTGGAAACACTCTGTAAAGTCTGCAAGCAGATATTTGGACCTCTTTGAGGCATTCGTTGGAAACGGGATTTCTTCATAGAACGGTAGAAAGAAGAATACTGAGTAAGTTCTTTGTGTTGCCTCTATTCAACTCACAGAGGTGAACTGTCCTTTAGACAGAGCAGATGTGAAACCCTCTTTTTGTGATATTTGCAGGTGGAGTTTTCAAGCGCTTTTATGCCAAATGTAGAAAAGGAAATATCTTCGTATAAAAACTAGACAGAATCATTCTCAGAAACTACTTTGTGATGTGTGCGTTCAATTCACAGAGTATAACCTTTCTTTTGATGGACGAGTTTGGAGACACTGTCTTTGTAAAGTCTGCAAGTGGATATTTGGACCTCTTTGAGGCCTTCGTTGGAAACGGGATTTCCTCATATAATGTTACACAGAAGAATTCTCAGTAACTTATTTGTGGTGTGTGTATTCAACTCACAGAGTTGAACCTTCCTTCAGAAAGAGCAGATTTGAAACACTCTTTTTGTGGAGTTTCCATGTGGAGATTTCAATCGCTTTGAGACCAAAGGTAGAAAAGGAAACATCTTCGTATAAAAACTAGACAGAATCATTCACAGAAACTACTTTGTGATGTGTGTGTTCAACTCAAGGAGTTTAACCTTTCTTTTGATGGAGCAGTTTGGAAACACTCTGTCTGTAAAGTCTGCAAGCAGATATTTGGACCTCTTTGAGGCCTTCGTTGCAAACGGGATTTCTTCATATAATGTTTGATAGGAGAAGTCTCAGTAACTTCTTTGTGCTGTGTGTATTCAACTCGTAGAGTTGAACTTTCCTTTAGAAGGGCAGATGTTAAACACCATTTTTGTGGAATTTGCAGCTGGAGATTTCAAGCGCTTTGAGGCCTACGGTAGAAAAGGAAACATCTTCTTATAAAATCTAGACAGAATCATTCACAGAAACTTCTTTTTCATGTGTGTGTTCAGCTCACAGAGTTTAACCTTTCTTTTGATGGAGCAGTTTTGAAACACTCTGTTTGTAATGTCTGCAAGTGGATATTTTGACCTCTTTGAGGCCTTCTTTGGAAACGGTATTTCTTCAAGTAATGTTCGACAGAAGAATTCTCAGTAACTTATTTGTGGTGTGTGTATTCAACTCACAGAGTTGAACCTTCCTTTAGACAGAGCAGATTTGAAACACCCTATTTGTGCAGTTTCCAGTTGGAGATTTCAATCGCTTTGAGACCAAATGTAGAAAAGGAAACATCTTCGTATAAAAACTAGACAGAATCATTCTCAGAAACTACTTTGTGATGTGTGCGTTCAACTCAAGGAGTTTAAGCTTTCTTTTCATAGAGTAGTTTGGAAACACTCTGTCTGTAAAGTGTGCAAGCAGATATTTGGACCTCTTTGAGGCCTTCGTTGGAAACGGGATTTCTTCATAGAACGCTAGAAAGAAGAATACTGAGTAAGTTCTTTGTGTTGCCTCTATTCAACTCACAGAGGTGAACTGTCCTTTAGACAGAGCAGATGTGAAACCCTCTTTTTGTGATATTTGCTGGTGGAGATTTCAAGCGCTTTTAGGCCAAATGTAGAAAAGGAAATATCTTCGTATGAAAACTAGACAGAATCATTCTCAGAAACTACTTTGTGATGTGTGCGTTCAATTCACAGAGTATAACCTTTCTTTTGATGGAGGAGTTTGGAGACACTGTCTTTGTAAAGTCTGCAAGTGGATATTTGGACCTCTTTGAGGCCTTCGTTGGAAACGGGATTTCCTCATATAATGTTACCCAGAAGAATTCTCAGTAACTTATTTGTGGTGTGTGTATTCAACTCACAGAGTTGAACCTTCCTTCAGAAAGAGCAGATTTGAAACACTCTTTTTGTGGAGTTTCCATGTGGAGATTTCAATTGCTTTGAGACCAAAGGTAGAAAAGGAAACATCTTCGTATAAAAACTAGACAGAATCATTCATGTAAACTACTTTGTGATGTGTGTGTTCAACTCAAGGAGTTTAACCTTTCTTTTGATGGAGCAGTTTGGAAACACTCTGTCTGTAAAGTCTGCAAGCAGATATTTGGACCTCTTTGAGGCCTTCGTTGGAAATGGGATTTCTTCATATAATGTTTGATAGGAGAAGTCTCAGTAACTTCTTTGTGCTGTGTGTATTCAACTCATAGAGTTAAACTTTCCTTTAGAAGAGCAGATGATAAACACCCTTTTTGTGGAATTTGCAGCTGGAGATTTCAAGCGCTTTGAGGCCTACGGTAGAAAAGGAAACATCTTCTTATAAAATCTAGACAGAATCATTCACAGAAACTTCTTTTTGATGTGTGTGTTCAGCTCACAGAGTTTAACCTTTGTTTTGAGGGAGCAGTTTGGAAACACACTGTTTGTAGTGTCTGCAAGTGGATATTTGGACCTCTTTGAGGCGTTCGTTGGAAACGGGATTTCTTCATGTAATGTTCGACAGAAGAATTCTCAGTAACTTATTTGTTGTGTGTGTATTCAACTCACAGAGTCGAACCTTCCTTTAGACAGAGCAGATTTGAAACACCCTATTTGTGCAGTTTCCAGTTGGAGATTTCAATCGCTTTGAGACCAAATGTAGAAAAGGAAACATCTTCGTATAAAAACTAGACAGAATCATTCTCAGAAACTACTTTGTGATGTGTGCGTTCAACTCAAGGAGTTTAAGCTTTCTTTTCATAGAGTAGTTTGGAAACACTCTGTCTGTAAAGTCTGCAAGCAGATATTTGGACCTCTTTGGGGCCTTCGTTGGAAACGGGATTTCTTCATAGAACGCTAGAAAGAAGAATACTGAGTAAGTTCTTTGTGTTGCCTCTATTCAACTCACAAAGGTGAACTGTCCTTTAGACAGAGCAGATGTGAAACCCTCTTTTTGTGATATTTGCAGGTGGAGACTTCAAGCGCTTTTAGGCCAAATGTAGAAAAGGAAATATCTTCGTATAAAAACTAGACAGAATCATTCTCAGAAACTACTTTGTGATGTGTGCGTTCAATTCACAGAGTATAACCTTTCTTTTGATGGAGGAGTTTGGAGACACTGTCTTTGTAAAGTCTGCAAGCAGATATTTGGACCTCTTTGAGGCCTTCGTTGGAAACGGGATTTCCTCATATAATGTTACACAGAAGAATTCTCAGTAACTTATTTGTGGTGTGTGTATTCAACTCACAGAGTTGAACCTTCCTTCAGAAAGAGCAGATTTGAAACATTCTTTTTGTGGAGTTTCCATGTGGAGATTTCAATGGCTTTGAGACCAAAGGTAGAAAAGGAAACATCTTCGTATAAAAACTAGACAGAGAATCATTCACAGGAAACTACTTTGTGATGTGTGTGTTCAACTCAAGGAGTTTAACCTTTCTTTTGATGGAGCAGTTTGGAAAAACTCTGTCTGTAAAGTCTGCAAGAAGATATTTGGACCTCTTTGAGGCCTTCGTTGGAAACGGGATTTCTTCATATAATGTTTGATAGGAGAAGTCTCAGTAACTTCTTTGTGCTGTGTGTATTCAACTCATTGAGTTGAAATTTCCTTTAGAAGAGCAGATGTTAAACACCGTTTTTGTGGAATTTGCAGCTGGAGATTTCAAGCGCTTTGAGTCCTACGGTAGAAAAGGAAACATCTTCTTATAAAATCTAGACAGAATCATTCACAGAAACTTCTTTTTGATGTGTGTGTTCAGCTCACAGAGTTTAACCTTTCTTTTGATGGAGCAGTTTGGAAACACTCTGTTTGTAATGTCTGCAAGTGGATATTTGGACCTCTTTGAGGCCTTCGTTGGAAACGGGATTTCTTCAAGTAATGTTCGACAGAAGAATTCTCAGTAACTTATTTGTGGTGTGTGTATTCAACTCAAAGAGTTGAACCTTCCTTTAGACAGAGCAGATTTGAAACACCCTATTTGTGCAGTTTCCAGTTGGAGATTTCAATCGCTTTGAGACCAAATGTAGAAAAGGAAACATCTTCGTATAAAAACTAGACAGAATCATTCTCAGAAACTACTTTGTGATGTGTGCGTTCAACTCAAGGAGTTTAAGCTTTCTTTTCATAGAGTAGTTTGGAAACACTCTGTCTGTAAAGTCTGCAAGCAGATATTTGGACCTCATTGGGGCCTTCGTTGGAAACGGGATTTCTTCATAGAACGCTAGAAAGAAGAATACTGAGTAAGTTCTTTGTGTTGCCTCTATTCAACTCACAGAGGTGAACTGTCCTTTAGACAGAGCAGATGTGAAACCCTCTTTTTGTGATATTTGCAGGTGGAGATTTCAAGCGCTTTTAGGCCAAATGTTGAAAAGGAAATATCTTCGTATAAAAACTAGACAGAATCATTCTCAGAAACTACTTTGTGATGTGTGCGTTCAATTCACAGAGTATAACCTTTCTTTTGATGGAGGAGTTTGGAGACACTGTCTTTGTAAAGTCTGCAAGTGGATATTTGGACCTCTTTGAGGCCTTCGTTGGAAACGGGATTTCCTCATATAATGTTACCCAGAAGAATTCTCAGTAACTTATTTGTGGTGTGTTTATTCAACTCACAGAGGTGAACCTTCCTTCAGAAAGAGCAGATTTGAAACACTCTTTTTGTGGAGTTTCCATGTGGAGATTTCAATCGCTTTGAGACCAAAGGTAGAAAAGGAAACATCTTCGTATAAAAACTAGACAGAATCATTCACAGAAACTACTTTGTGATGTGTGTGTTCAACTCAAGGAGTTTAACCTTTCTTTTGATGGAGCAGTTTGGAAACACTCTGTCTGTAAAGTCTGCAAGTAGATATTTGGACCTCTTTGAGGCCTTCGTTGGAAACGGGATTTCTTCATATAATGTTTGATAGGAGAAGTCTCAGTAACTTCTTTGTGCTGTGTGTATTCAACTCATAGAGTTGAACTTTTCTTTAGATGAGCAGATGTTAAACACCCTTTTTGTGGAATTTGCAGCTGGAGATTTCAAGCGCTTTGAGGCCTACGGTAGAAAAGGAAACATCTTCTTATAAAATCTAGACAGAATCATTCACAGAAACTTCTTTTTGATGTGTGTGTTCAGCTCACAGAGTTTAAACTTTCTTTTGATTGAGCAGTTTGGAAACACTCTGTTTGTAATGTCTGCAAGTGGATATTTGGACCTCTTTGAGGCCTTCGTTGGAAACGGGATTTCTTCATGTAATGTTCGACACAAGAATTCTCAGTAACTTATTTGTGGTGTGTGTATTCAACTCACAGAGTTGAACCTTCCTTTAGACAGAGCAGATTTGAAACACCCTATTTGTGCAGTTTCCAGTTGGAGATTTCAATCGCTTTGAGACCAAATGTAGAAAAGGAAACATCTTCGTATAAAAACTAGACAGAATCATTCTCAGAAACTACTTTGTGATGTGTGCGTTCAACTCAAGGAGTTTAAGCTTTCTTTTCATAGAGTAGTTTGGAAACACTCTGTCTGTAAAGTCTGCAAGCAGATATTTGGACCTCATTGGGGCCTTCGTTGGAAACGGGATTTCTTCATAGAACGCTAGAAAGAAGAATACTGACTAAGTTCTTTGTGTTGCCTCTATTCAACTCACAGAGGTGAACTGTCCTTTAGACAGAGCAGATGTGAAACCCTCTTTTTGTGATATTTGCAGGTGGAGATTTCAAGCGCTTTTAGGCCAAATGTAGAAAAGGAAATATCTTCGTATAAAAACTAGACAGAATCATTCTCAGAAACTCCCTTGTGATGTGTGCGTTCAATTCACAGAGTATAACCTTTCTTTTGATGGAGGAGTTTGGAGAAACTGTCTTTGTAAAGTCTGCAAGTGGATATTTGGACCTCTTTGAGGCCTTCGTTGGAAACGGGATTTCCTCATATAATGTTACACAGAAGAATTCTCAGTAACTTATTTGTGGTGTGTGTATTCAACTCACAGAGTTGAACCTTCCTTCAGAAAGAGCAGATTTGAAACACTCTTTTTGTGGAGTTTCCATGTGGAGATTTCAATCGCATTGAGACCAAAAGTAGAAAAGGAAATATCTTCGTATAAAAACTAGACAGAATCATTCACAGAAACTACTTTGTGATGTGTGTGTTCAACTCAAGGAGTTTAACCTTTCTTTTGATGGAGCAGTTTGGAAACACTCTGTCTGTAGATATTTGGACCTCTTTGAGGCCTTCGTTGGAAACGGGATTTCTTCATATAATGTTTGATAGGAGAAGTCTCAGTAACTTCTTTGTGCTGTGTGTATTCAACTCATAGAGTTGAACTTTCCTTTAGAAGAGCAGATGTTAAACACCCTTTTTGTGGAATTTGCAGCTGGAGATTTCAAGCGCTTTGAGGCCTACGGTAGAAAAGGAAACATCTTCTTATAAAATCTAGACAGAATCATTCACAGAAACTTCTTTTTGATGTGTGTGTTCAGCTCACAGAGTTTAACCTTTCTTTTGATGGAGCAGTTTGGAAACACTCTGTTTGTAATGTCTGCAAGTGGATATTTGGACCTCTTTGAGGCCTTCGTTGGAAACGGGATTTCTTCATGTAATGTTCGACAGAAGAATTCTCAGTAACTTATTTGTGGTGTGTGTATTCAACTCACAGAGTTGAACCTTCCTTTAGACAGAGCAGATTTGAAACACCCTATTTGTGCAGTTTCCAGTTGGAGATTTCAATCGCTTTGAGACCAAACGTAGAAAAGGAAACATCTTCGTATAAAAACTAGACAGAATCATTCTCAGAAACTACTCTGTGATGTGTGCGTTCAACTCAAGGAGTTTAATCTTTCTTTTCATAGAGTAGTTTGGAAACACTCTGTCTGTAAAGTCTGCAAGCAGATATTTGGACCTCTTTGGGGACTTCGTTGGAAACGGGATTTCTTCATAGAACGCTAGAAAGAAGAATACTGAGTAAGTTCTTTGTGTTGCTTCTATTCAACTCACAGAGGTGAACTGTCCTTTAGACAGAGCAGATGTGAAACCCTCTTTTTGTGATATTTGCAGGTGGAGATTTCAAGCGCTTTTAGGCCAAATGTAGAAAAGGAAATATCTTCGTATAAAAACTAGACAGAATCATTCTCAGAAACTACTTTGTGATGTGTGCGTTCAATTCACAGAGTATAACCTTTCTTTTGATGGAGGAGTTTGGAGACACTGTGTTTGTAAAGTCTGCAAGTGGATATTTGGATCTCTTTGAGGCCTTCGTTGGAAACGGGATTTCTTCATAGAACGCTAGAAAGAAGAATTCTCAGTAACTTATTTGTGGTGTGTGTATTCAACTCACAGAGTTGAACCTTCCTTCAGAAAGAGCAGATTTGAAACACTCTTTTTGAGGAGTTTCCATGTGGAGATTTCAATCGCTTTGAGACCAAAGGTAGAAAAGGAAACATCTTCTTATAAAAACTAGACAGAATCATTCACAGAAACTACTTTGTGATGTGTGTGTTCAACTCAAGGAGTTTAACCTTTCTTTTGATGGAGCAGTTTGGAAAAACTCTGTCTGTAAAGTCTGCAAGCAGATATTTGGATCTCTTTGGGGCCATCGTTGGAAACGGGATTTCTTCATAGAATGCTAGAAAGAAGAATACTGAGTAAGTTCCTTGTGTTGCCTCTATTCAACTCACAGAGGTGAACTGTCCTTTAGACAGAGCAGATGTGAAACCCTCTTTTTGTGATATTTGCAGGTGGAGATTTCAAGCGCTTTTAGGCCAAATGTAGAAAAGGAAATATCTTCGTATAAAAACTAGACAGAATCATTCTCAGAAACTACTTTGTGATGTGTGCGTTCAATTCACAGAGTATAACCTTTCTTTTGATGGAGGAGTTTGGAGACACTGTCTTTGTAAAGTCTGCAAGCAGATATTTGGACCTCTTTGAGGCCTTCGTTGGAAACGGGATTTCTTCATATAATGTTTGATAGGAGAAGTCTCAGTAACTTTTTTGTGCTGTGTGTATTCAACGCATAGAGTTGAACTTTCCTTTAGAAGAGCAGATGTTAAACACCCTTTTTGTGGAATTTGCAGCTGGAGATTTCAAGCGCTTTGAGGCCTACGGTAGAAAAGGAAACATCTTCTTATAAAATCTAGACAGAATCATTCACAGAAACTTCTTTTTGATGTGTGTGTTCAGCTCACAGAGTTTAACCTTTCTTTTGATGGAGCAGTCTGGAAACACTCTGTTTGTAATGTCTGCAAGTGGATATTTGGACCTCTTTGAGGCCTTCGTTGGAAACGGGATTTCTTCAAGTAGTGTTCGACAGAAGAATTCTCAGTAACTTATTTGTGGTGTGTGTATTCAACTCACAGAGTTGAACCTTCCTTTAGACAGAGCAGATTTGAAACACCCTATTTGTGCAGTTTCCAGTTGGAGATTTCAATCGCTTTGAGATCAAATGTAGAAAAGGAAACATCTTCGTATAAAAACTAGACAGAATCATTCTCAGAAACTACTTTGTGATGTGTGCGTTCAACTCAAGGAGTTTAAGCTTTCTTTTCATAGAGTAGTTTGGAAACACTCTGTCTGTAAAGTCTGCAAGCAGATATTTGGACCTCTTTGGGGCCTTCGTTGGAAACGGGATTTCTTCATAGAACGCTAGAAAGAAGAATACTGAGTAAGTTCTTTGTGTTGCCTCTATTCAACTCACAGAGGTGAACTGTCCTTTAGACAGAGCAGATGTGAAACCCTCTTTTTGTGATATTTGCAGGTGGAGATTTCAAGCGCTTTTAGGCCAAATGTAGAAAAGGAAATATCTTCGTATAAAAACTAGACAGAATCATTCTCAGAAACTACTTTGTGATGTGTGCGTTCAATTCACAGAGTATAACCTTTCTTTTGATGGAGGAGTTTGGAGACACTGTCTTTGTAAAGTCTGCAAGTGGATATTTGGATCTCTTTGAGGCCTTCGTTGGAAACGGGATTTCTTCATATAATGTTACACAGAAGAATTCTCAGTAACTTATTTGTGGTGTGTGTATTCAACTCACAGAGTTGAACCTTCCTTCAGAAAGAGCAGATTTGAAACACTCTTTTTGTGGAGTTTCCATGTGGAGATTTCAATCGCTTTGAGACCAAAGGTAGAAAAGGAAACATCTTCGTATAAAAACTAGACAGAATCATACACAGAAACTACTTTGTGATGTGTGTGTTCAACTCAAGGAGTTTAACCTTTCTTTTGGTGGAGCAGTTTGGAAACACTCTGTCTGTAAAGTCTGCAAGCAGATATTTGGACCTCTTTGAGGCCTTCGTTGGAAACGGGATTTCTTCATATAATGTTTGATAGGAGAAGTCTCAGTAACGTCTTTGTGCTGTGTGTATTGAACTCATAGGGTTGAACTTTCCTTTAGAAGAGCAGATGTGAAACACCCTTTTTGTGGAATTTGCAGCTGGAGATTTCAAGCGCTTTGAGGCCTACGGTAGAAAAGGAAACATCTTCTTATAAAATCTAGACAGAATCATTCACAGAAACTTCTTTTTGATGTGTGTGTTCAGCTCACAGAGTTTAACGTTTCTTTTGATGGAGCAGTTTGGAAACACTCTGTTTGTAATGTCTGCAAGTGGATATTTGGACCTCTTTGAGGCCTTCGTTGGAAACGGGATTTCTTCATGTAATGTTCGACAGAAGAATTCTCAGTAACTTATTTGTGGTGTGTGTATTCAACTCACAGAGCTGAACCTTCCTTTAGACAGAGCAGATTTGAAACAGCCTATTTGTGCAGTTTCCAGTTGGAGATTTCAATCGCTTTGAGACCAAATGTAGAAAAGGAAACATCTTCGTATAAAAACTAGACAGAATCATTCTCAGAAACTACTTTGTGATGTGTGCGTTCAACTCAAGGAGTTTAAGCTTTCTTTTCATAGAGTAGTTTGGAAACACTCTGTCTGTAAAGTCTGCAAGCAGATATTTGACCTCTTTGAGGCCTTCGTTGGAAACGGGATTTCTTCATAGAACGCTAGAAAGAAGAATACTGAGTACGTTCTTTGTGTTGCCTCTATTCAACTCACAGAGGTGAACTGTCCTTTAGACAGAGCAGATGTGAAACCCTCTTTTTGTGATATTTGCAGGTGGAGATTTCAAGCGCTTTTAGGCCAAATGTAGAAAAGGAAATATCTTCGTATAAAAACTAGACAGAATCATTCTCAGAAACTACTTTGTGATGTGTGCGTTCAATTCACAGAGTATAACCTTTCTTTTGATGGAGGAGTTTGGAGACACTGTCTTTGTAAAGTCTGCAAGTGGATATTTGGACCTCTTTGAGGCCTTCGTTGGAAACGGGATTTCCTCATATAATGTTACCCAGAAGAATTCTCAGTAACTTATTTGTGGTGTGTGTATTCAACTCACAGAGTTGAACCTTCCTTCAGAAAGAGCAGATTTGAAACACTCTTTTTGTGGGGTTTCCATGTGGAGATTTCAATCGCATTGAGACCAAAGGTAGAAAAGGAAACATCTTCGTATAAAAACTAGAAAGAATCATTCACAGAAACTACTTTGTGATGTGTGTGTTCAACTCAAGGAGTTTAACCTTTCTTTTGATGGAGCAGTTTGGAAACACTCTGTCTGTAAAGTCTGCAAGCAGATATTTAGACCTCTTTGAGGCCTTCGTTGGAAACGGGATTTCTTCATATAATGTTTGATAGGAGAAGTCTCAGTAACTTCTTTGTGCTGTGTGTATTCAACTCATAGAGTTGAACTTTCCTTTAGAAGAGCAGATGTTAAACACCCTTTTTGTGGAATTTGCAGCTGGAGATTTCAAGCGCTTTGAGGCCTACGGTAGAAAAGGAAACATCTTCTTATAAAATCTAGACAGAATCATTCACAGAAACTTCTTTTTGATGTGTGTGTTCAACTCACAGAGTTTAACCTTTCTTTTGATGGAGCAGTTTGGAAACACTCTGTTTGTAATGTCTGCAAGTGGATATTTGGACCTCTTTGAGGCCTTCGTTGGAAACGGGATTTCTTCATATAACGCTAGAAAGAAGAATACTCAGTAACTTCTTTGTGTTGCCTCTATTCAACTCACAGAGGTGAACTGTCCTTTAGACAGAGCAGATGTGAAACCCTCTTTTTGTGATATTTGCAGGTGGAGATTTCAAGCGCTTTTAGGCCAAATGTAGAAAAGGGAATATCTTCGTATAAAAACTAGACAGAATCATTCTCAGAAACTACTTTGTGATGTGTGCGTTCAATTCACAGAGTATAACCTTTCTTTTGATGGAGGAGTTTGGAGACACTGTCTTTGTAAAGTCTGTAAGTGGATATTTGGACCTCTTTGAGGACTTCGTTGGAAACGGGATTTCCTCATATAATGTTACACAGAAGAATTCTCAGTAACTTATTTGTGGTGTGTGTATTCAACTCACAGAGTTGAACCTTCCTTCAGAAAGAGCAGATTTGAAACACTCTTTTTGTGGAGTTTCCATGTGGAGATTTCAATCGCTTTGAGACCAAAGGTAGAAAAGGAAACATCTTCGTATAAAAACTAGACAGAATCATTCACAGAAACTACTTTGTGATGTGTGTGTTCAACTCAAGGAGTTTAACCTTTCTTTTGATGGAGCAGTTTGGAAACACTCTGTCTGTAAAGTCTGCAAGCAGATATTTGGACCTCTTTGAGGCCTTCGTTGGAAACGGGATTTCTTCATATAATGTTTGATAGGAGAAGTCTCAGTAACTTCTTTGTGCTGTGTGTATTCAACTCTTAGAGTTGAACTTTCCTTTAGAAGAGCAGATGTTAAACACCCTTTTTGTGGAATTTGCAGCTGGAGATTTCAAGCGCTTTGAGGCCTACGGTAGAAAAGGAAACATCTTCTTATAAAATCTAGACAGAATCATTCACAGAAACTTCTTTTCGATGTGTGTGTTCAGCTCACAGTAGTTTAACCTTTCTTTTGTTGGAGCAGTTTGGAAACACTCTGTTTGTAATGTCTGCAAGTGGATATTTGGACCTCTTTGAGGCCTTCGTTGGAAACGGGATTTCTTCAAGTAATGGTCGACAGAAGAATTCTCAGTAACTTATTTGTGGTGTGTGTATTCAACTCACAGAGTTGAACCTTCCTTTAGACAGAGCAGATTTGAAACACCCTATTTGTGCAGTTTCCAGTTGGAGATTTCAATCGCTTTGAGACCAAATGTAGAAAAGGAAACATCTTCGTATAAAAACTAGACAGAATCATTCTCAGAAACTACTTTGTGATGTGTGCGTTCAACTCAAGGAGTTTAAGCTTTCTTTTCATAGAGTAGTTTGGAAACACTCTGTCTGTAAAGTCTGCAAGCAGATATTTGGACCTCTTTGAGGCCTTCGTTGGAAACGGGATTTCTTCATAGAACGCTAGAAAGAAGAATACTGAGTAAGTTCTTTGTGTTGCCTCTATTCAACTCACAGAGGTGAACTGTCCTTTAGACAGAGCAGATGTGAAACCCTCTTTTTGTGATATTTGCACGTGGAGATTTCAAGCGCTTTTAGGCCAAATGTAGAAAAGGAAATATCTTCGTATAAAAACTAGACAGAATCATTCTCAGAAACTACTTTGTGATGTGTGCGTTCAATTCACAGAGTATAACCTTTCTTTTGATGGAGGAGTTTGGAGACACTGCCTTTGTAAAGTCTGCAAGTGGATATTTGGACCTCTTTGAGGCCTTCGTTGGAAACGGGATTTCCTCATATAATGTTACACAGAAGAATTCTCAGTAACTTATTTGTGGTGTGTGTATTCAACTCACAGAGTTGAACCTTCCTTCAGAAAGAGCAGATTTGAAACACTCTTTTTGTGGAGTTTCCATGTGGAGATTTCAATCGCTTTGAGACCAAAGGTAGAAAAGGAAACATCTTCGTATAAAAACTAGACAGAATCATTCACAGAAACTACTTTGTGATGTGTGTGTTCAACTCAAGGAGTTTAACCTTTCTTTTGATGGAGCAGTTTGGAAACACTCTGTCTGTAAAGTCTGCAAGCAGATATTTGGATCTCTTTGAGGCCTTCGTTGGAAAAGGGATTTCTTCATATAATGTTTGGTAGGAGAAGTCTCAGTAACTTCTTTGTGCTGTGTGTATTCAACTCATAGAGTTGAACTTTCCTTTAGAAGAGCAGATGTTAAAAACCCTTTTTGTGGAATTTGCAGCTGGAGATTTCAAGCGCTTTGAGTCCTACGGTAGAAAAGGAAACATCTTCTTATAAAATCTAGACAGAATCATTCACAGAAACTTCTTTTTGATGTGTGTGTTCAGCTCACAGAGTTTAACCTTTCTTTTGATGGAGCAGTTTGGAAACACTCTGTTTGTAATGTCTGCAAGTGGATATTTGGACCTCTTTGAGGCCTTCGTTGGAAACGGGATTCTTCAAGTAATGTTCGACAGAAGAATTCTCAGTAACTTATTTGTGGTGTGTGTATTCAACTCACAGAGTTGAACCTTCCTTTAGACAGAGCAGATTTGAAACACCCTATTTGTGCAGTTTCCAGTTGGAGATTTCAATCGCTTTGAGACCAAATGTAGAAAAGGAAACATCTTCGTATAAAAACTAGACAGAATCATTCTCAGAAACTACTTTGTGATGTGTGCATTCAACTCAAGGAGTTTAAGCTTTCTTTTCATAGAGTAGTTTGGAAACACTCTGTCTGTAAAGTCTGCAAGCAGATATTTGGACCTCTTTGGGGCCTTCGTTGGAAACGGGATTTCTTCATACAACGCTAGAAAGAAGAATACTGAGTAAGTTCTTTGTGTTGCCTCTATTCAACTCACAGAGGTGAACTGTCCTTTAGACAGAGCAGATGTGAAACCCTCTTTTTGTGATATTTGCACGTGGAGATTTCAAGCGCTTTTAGGCCAAATGTAGAAAAGGAAATATCTTCGTATAAAAACTAGACAGAATCATTCTCAGAAACTACTTTGTGATGTGTGCGTTCAATTCACAGAGTATAACCTTTCTTTTGATGGAGGAGTTTGGAGACACTGTGTTTGTAAAGTCTGCAAGTGGATATTTGGACCTCTTTGAGGCCTTCGTTGGAAACGGGATTTCCTCATATAATGTTACACAGAAAGAATTCTCAGTAACTTATTTGTGGTGTGTGTATTCAACTCACAGAGTTGAACCTTCCTTCAGAAAGAGCAGATTTGAAACACTCTTTTTGTGGAGTTTCCATGTGGAGATTTCAATCGCTTTGAGACCAAAGGTAGAAAAGGAAACATCTTCTTATAAAAACTAGACAGAATCATTCACAGAAACTACTTTGTGATGTGTGTGTTCAACTCAAGGAGTTTAACCTTTCTTTTGATGGAGCAGTTTGGAAAAACTCTGTCTGTAAAGTCTGCAAGCAGATATTTGGACCTCTTAGGGGCCTTCGTTGGAAACGGGATTTCTTCATAGAATGCTAGAAAGAAGAATACTGAGTAAGTTCTTTGTGTTGCCTCTATTCAACTCACAGAGGTGAACTGTCCTTTAGACAGAGCAGATGTGAAACCCTCTTTTTGTGATATTTGCAGGTGGAGATTTCAAGCGCTTTTAGGCCAAATGTAGAAAAGGAAATATCTTCGTATAAAAACTAGACAGAATCATTCTCAGAAACTACTTTGTGATGTGTGCATTCAATTCACAGAGTATAACCTTTCTTTTGATGGAGGAGTTTGGAGACACTGTCTTTGTAAAGTCTGCAAGTGGATATTTGGAACTCTTTAAGGCCTTCGTTGGAAACGGGATTTCCTCATATAATGTTACACAGAAGAATTCTCAGTAACTTATTTGTGGTGTGTGTATTCAACTCACAGAGTTGAACCTTCCTTCAGAAAGAGCAGATTTGAAACACTCTTTTTGTGGAGTTTCCATGTGGAGATTTCAATCGCTTTGAGACCAAAGGTAGAAAAGTAAACGTCTTCGTATAAAAACTAGACAGAATCATTCACAGAAACTACTTTGTGATGTGTGTGTTCAACTCAAGGAGTTTAACCTTTCTTTTGATGGAGCAGTTTGGAAACACACTGTCTGTAAAGTCTGCAAGCAGATATTTGGACCTCTTTGAGGCCTTCGTTGGAAACGGGATTTCTTCATATAATGTTTGATAGGAGAATTCTCAGTAACTTCTTTGTGCTGTGTGTATTCAACTCACAGACTTGAACTTTCCTTTAGAAGAGCAGATGTTAAACACCCTTTTTGTGTAATTTGCAGCTGGAGATTTCAAGCGCTTTGAGGCCTACGGTAGAAAAGGAAACATCTTCTTATAAAATCTAGACAGAATCATTCACAGAAACTTCTTTTTGATGTGTGTGTTCAGCTCACAGAGTTTAACCTTTCTTTTGATGGAGCAGTTGGGAAACACACTGTTTGTAATGTCTGCAAGTGGATATTTGGACCTCTTTGAGGCCTTCGTTGGAAACGGGATTTCTTCCTCTAATGTTCGACAGAAGAATTCTCAGTAACTTATTTGTGGTGTGTGTATTCAACTCACAGAGTTGAACCTTCCTTTAGACAGAGCAGATTTGAAACAGCCTATTTGTGCAGTTTCCAGTTGGAGATTTCAATCGCTTTGAGACCAAATGTAGAAAGGGAAACATCTTCGTATAAAAACTAGACAGAATCATTCTCAGAAACTACTTTGTGATGTGTGCGTTCAACTCAAGGAGTTTAAGCTTTCTTTTCATAGAGTAGTTTGGAAACACTCTGTCTGTAAAGTCTGCAAGCAGATATTTGACCTCTTTGAGGCCTTCGTTGGAAACGGGATTTCTTCATAGAATGCTAGAAAGAAGAATACTGAGTAAGTTCTTTGTGTTGCCTCTATTCAACTCACAGAGGTGAACTGTCCTTTAGACAGAGCAGATGTGAAACCCTCTTTTTGTGATATTTGCAGGTGGAGATTTCAAGCGCTTTTAGGCCAAATGTAGAAAAGGAAATATCTTCGTATAAAAACTAGACAGAATCATTCTCAGAAACTACTTTGTGATGTGTGCGTTCAATTCACAGAGTATAACCTTTCTTTTGATGGAGGAGTTTGGAGACACTGTCTTTGTAAAGTCTGCAAGTGGATATTTGGACCTCTTTGAGGCCTTCGTTGGAAACGGGATTTCCTCATATAATGTTACACAGAAGAATTCTCAGTAACTTATTTGTGGTGTGTGTATTCAACTCACAGAGTTGAACCTTCCTTCAGAAAGAGCAGATTTGAAACACTCTTTTTGTGGAGTTTCCATGTGGAGATTTCAATCGCTTTGAGACCAAAGGTAGAAAAGGAAACATCTTCGTATAAAAACTAGACAGAATCATTCACAGAAACTACTTTGTGATGTGTGTCTTCAACTCAAGGAGTTTAACCTTTCTTTTGATGGAGCAGTTTGGAAAAACTCTGTCTTTAAAGTCTGCAAGCAGATATTTGGACCTCTTTGAGGCCTTCGTTGGAAACGGGATTTCTTCATATAATGTTTGATAGGAGAAGTCTCAGTAACTTCTTTGTGCTGTGTGTATTCAACGCATAGAGTTGAACTTTCCTTTAGAAGAGCAGATGTTAAACACCCTTTTTGTGGAATTTGCAGCTGGAGATTTCAAGCGCTTTGTGGCCTACGGTAGAAAAGGAAATATCTTCTTATAAAATCTAGACAGAATCATTCACAGAAACTTCTTTTTGATGTGTGTGTTCAGCTCACAGAGTTTAACCTTTCTTTTGATGGAGCAGTTTGGAAACACTCTGTTTGTAATGTCTGCAAGTGGATATTTGGACCTCTTTGAGGCCTTCGCTGGAAACGGGATTTCTTCCTGTAATGTTCGACAGAAGAATTCTCAGTAACTTATTTGTGGTGTGTGTATTCAACTCACAGAGTTGAACCTTCCTTTAGACAGAGCAGATTTGAAACACCCTATTTGTGCAGTTTCCAGTTGGAGATTTCAATCGCTTTGAGACCAAATGTAGAAAAGGAAACATCTTCGTATAAAAACTAGACAGAATCATTCTCAGAAACTACTTTGTGATGTGTGCGTTCAACTCAAGGAGTTTAAGCTTTCTTTTCATAGAGTAGTTTGGAAACACTCTGTCTGTAAAGTCTGCAAGCAGATATTTGGACCTCTTTGGGGCCTTCGTTGGAAACGGGATTTCTTCATAGAACGCTAGAAAGAAGAATACTGAGTAAGTTCTTTGTGTTGCCTCTATTCAACTCACAGAGGTGAACTGTCCTTTAGACAGAGCAGATGTGAAACCCTCTTTTTGTGATATTTGCAGGTGGAGATTTCAAGCGCTTTTAGGCCAAATGTAGAAAAGGAAATTCTTCGTATGAAAACTAGACAGAATCATTCTCAGAAACTACTTTGTGATGTGTGCGTTCAATTCACAGAGTATAACCTTTCTTTTGATGGAGGAGTTTGGAGACACTGTCTTTGTAAAGTCTGCAAGTGGATATTTGGATCTATTTGAGGCCTTCGTTGGAAACGGAATTTCCTCATATAATGTTACACAGAAGAATTCTCAGTAACTTATTTGTGGTGTGTGTATTCAACTCACAGAGATGAACCTTCCTTCAGAAAGAGCAGATTTGAAACACTCTTTTTGTGGAGTTTCCATGTGGAGATTTCAATCGCTTTGAGACCAAAGGTAGAAAAGGAAACATCTTCGTATAACAACTAGACAGAATCATTCACAGAAACTACTTTGTGATGTGTGTGTTCAACTCAAGGAGTTTAACCTTTCTTTTGATGGAGCAGTTTGGAAACACTCTGTCTGTAAAGTCTGCAAGTAGATATTTGGACCTCTTTGAGGCCTTCGTTGGAAACGGGATTTCTTCATATAATGTTTGATAGGAGAAGTCTCAGTAACTTCTTTGTGCTGTGTGTATTCAACTCATAGAGTTGAACTTTCCTTTAGAAGAGCAGATGTTAAACACCCTTTTTGTGGAATTTGCAGCTGGAGATTTCAAGCGCTTTGAGGCCTACGGTAGAAAAGGAAACATCTTCTTATAAAATCTAGACAGAATCATTCACAGAAACTTCTTTTTGATGTGTGTGTTCAGCTCACAGAGTTTAACCTTTCTTTTGATGGAGCAGTTGGGAAACACACTGTTTGTAATGTCCGCAAGTGGATATTTGGACCTCTTTGAGGCCTTCGTTGGAAACGGGATTTCTTCAAGTAATGTTCGACAGAAGAATTCTCAGTAACTTATTTGTGGTGTGTGTATTCAACACACAGAGCTGAACCTTCCTTTAGACAGAGCAGATTTGAAACAGCCTATTTGTGCAGTTTCCAGTTGGAGATTTCAATCGCTTTGAGACCAAATGTAGAAAAGGAAACATCTTCGTATAAAAACTAGACAGAATCATTCTCAGAAACTACTTTGTGATGTGTGCGTTCAACTCAAGGAGTTTAAGCTTTCTTTTCATAGAGTAGTTTGGAAACACTCTGTCTGTAAAGTCTGCAAGCAGATATTTGGACCTCTTTGAGGCCTTCGTTGGAAACGGGATTTCTTCATAGAACGCTAGAAAGAAGAATACTGAGTAAGTTCTTTGTGTTGCCTCTATTCAACTCACAGAGGTGAACAGTCCATTAGACAGAGCAGGTGTGAAACCCTCTTTTTGTGATATTTGCACGTGGAGATTTCAAGCGCTTTTAGGCCAAATGTAGAAAAGGAAATATCTTCGTATAAAAACTAGACAGAATCATTCTCAGAAACTACTTTGTGATGTGTGCGTTCAATTCACAGAGTATAACCTTTCTTTTGATGGAGGAGTTTGGAGACACTGTCTTTGTAAAGTCTGCAAGTGGATATTTGGACCTCTTTGAGGCCTTCGTTGGAAACGGGATTTCCTCATATAATGTTTCACAGAAGAATTCTCAGTAACTTATTTGTGGTGTGTGTATTCAACTCACAGAGTTGAACCTTCCTTCAGAAAGAGTAGATTTGAAACACTCCTTTTGTGGTGTTTCCATGTGGAGATTTCAATCGCTTTGAGACCAAAGGTCGAAAAGGAAACATCTTCGTATAAAAACTAGACAGAATCATTCACAGAAACTACTTTGTGATGTGTGTGTTCAACTCAAGGAGTTTAACCTTTCTTTTGATGGAGCAGTTTGGAAACACTCTGTCTGTAAAGTCTGCAAGCAGATATTTGGACCTCTTTGAGGCCTTCGTTGGAAACGGGATTTCTTCATATAATGTTTGATAGGAGAAGTCTCAGTAACTTCTTTGTGCTGTGTGTATTCAACGCATAGAGTTGAACTTTCCTTTAGAAGAGCAGATGTTAAACACCCTTTTTGTGGAATTTGCAGCTGGAGATTTCAAGCGCTTTGAGGCCTACGGTAGAAAAGGAAACATCTTCTTATAAAATCTAGACAGAATCATTCACAGAAACTTCTTTTTGATGTGTGTGTTCAGCTCACAGAGTTTAACCTTTCTTTTGATGGAGCAGATTGGAAACACTCTGTTTGTAATGTCGGCAAGTGGATATTTGGACCTCTTTGAGGCCTTCGTTGGAAACGGGATTTCTTCAAGTAATGTTCGACAGAAGAATTCTCAGTAACTTATTTGTGGTGTGTGTATTCAATTCACAGAGTTGAACCTTCCTTTAGACAGAGCAGATTTGAAACACCCTAGTTGTGCAGTTTCCAGTTGGAGATTTCAGTGGCTTTGAGGCCAATCATAGAAACGGAAATATCTTCGTTTAAAAACAAGACAGAATCATTCTCAGAAACTACTTTGTGATGTGTGCGTTCAACTCAAGGAGTTTAAGCTTTCTTTTCATAGAGTAGTTTGGAAACACTCTGTCTGTAAAGTCTGCAAGCAGATATTTGGACCTCTTTGAGGCCTTCGTTGGAAACGGGATTTCTTCATATAATGTTTGATAGGAGAAGTCTCAGTAACTTCTTTGTGCTGTGTGAATTCAACTCATAGACTTGAACTTTCCTTTAGAAGAGCAGATGTTAAACACCCTTTTTGTGGAATTTGCAGCTGGAGATTTCAAGCGCTTTGAGGCCTACGGTAGAAAAGGAAACATCTTCTTATAAAATCTAGACAGAATCATTCACAGAAACTTCTCTTTGATGTGTGTGTTCAGCTCACAGAGTTTAACCTTTCTTTTGATGGAGCAGTTTGGAAACACTCTGTTTGTAATGTCTGCAAGTAGATATTTGGACCCCTTGAGGCCTTCTTTGGAAACGGGATTTCTTCATGTAATGTTCGACAGAAGAATTCTCAGTAACTTATTTGTGGTGTGTGTATTCAACTCACAGAGTTGAACCTTCCTTTAGACAGAGCAGATTTGAAACACCCTATTTGTGCAGTTTCCAGTTGGAGATTTCAATCGCTTTGAGACCAAATGTAGAAAAGGAAACATCTTCGTATAAAAACTAGACAGAATCATTCTCAGAAACTACTTTGTGATGTGTGCGTTCAACTCAAGGAGTTTAAGCTTTCTTTTCATAGAGTAGTTTGGAAACACTCTGTCTGTAAAGTCTGCAAGCAGATATTTGACCTCTTTGAGGCCTTCGTTGGAAACGGGATTTCTTCATAGAACGCTAGAAAGAAGAATACTGAGTAAGTTCTTTGTGTTGCCTGTATTCAACTCACAGAGGTGAACTGTCCTTTAGACAGAGCAGATGTGAAACCCTCTTTTTGTGATATTTGCAGGTGGAGATTTCAAGCGCTTTTAGGCCAAATGTAGAAAAGGAAATATCTTCGTATAAAAACTAGACAGAAGCATTCTCAGAAACTACTTTGTGATGTGTGCGTTCAATTCACAGAGTATAACCTTTCTTTTGATGGAGGAGTTTGGAGACACTGTCTTTGTATAGTCTGCAAGTGGATATTTGGACCTCTTTGAGGCCTTCGTTGGAAACGGGATTTCCTCATATAATGTTACACAGAAGAATTCTCAGTAACTTATTTGTGGTGTGTGTATTCAACTCACAGAGTTGAACCTTCCTTCAGAAAGAGCAGATTTGAAACACTCTTTTGGTGGAGTTTCCATGTGGAGATTTCAATCGCTTTGAGACCAAAGGTAGAAAAGGAAACATCTTCGTATAAAAACTAGACAGAATCATTCACAGAAACTACTTTGTGATGTGTGTGTTCAACTCAAGGAGTTTAACCTTTCTTTTGATGGAGCAGTTTGGAAACACTCTGTCTGTAAAGTCTGCAAGCAGATATTTGGACCTCTTTGAGGCCTTCGTTGAAAACGGGATTTCTTCATATAATGTTTGATAGGAGAAGTCTCAGTAACTTCTTTGTGCTGTGTGTATTCAACTCATAGAGTTGAACTTTCCTTTAGAAGAGCAGATGTTAAACACCCTTTTTGTGGAATTTGCAGCTGGAGATTTCAAGCGCTTTGAGGCCTACGGTAGAAAAGGAAACATCTTCTTATAAAATCTAGACAGAATCATTCACAGAAACTTCTTTTTGATGTGTGTGTTCAGCTCACAGAGTTTAACCTTTCTTTTGATGGAGCAGTTTGGAAACACTCTGTTTGTAATGTCTGCAAGTGGATATTTGGACCTCTTTGAGGCCTTCGTTGGAAACGGGATTTCTTCATGTAATGTTCGACAGAAGAATTCTCAGTAACTTATTTGTGGTGTGTGTATTCAACTCACAGAGTTGAACCTTCCTTTAGACAGAGCAGATTTGAAACACCCTATTTGTGCAGTTTCCAGTTGGAGATTTCAATCGCTTTGAGACCAAATGTAGAAAAGGAAACATCTTCGTATAAAAACTAGACAGAATCATTCTCAGAAACTACTTTGTGATGTGTGCGTTCAACTCAAGGAGTTTAAGCTTTCTTTTCATAGAGTAGTTTGGAAACACTCTGTCTGTAAAGTCTGCAAGCAGATATTTGGACCTCTTTGGGGCCTTCGTTGGAAACGGGATTTCTTCATAGAACGCTAGAAAGAAGAATACTGAGTAAGTTCTTTGTGTTGCCTCTATTCAACTCACAGAGGTGAACTGTCCTTTAGACAGAGCAGATGTGAAACCCTCTTTTTGTGATATTTGCAGGTGGAGATTTCAAGCGCTTTTAGGCCAAATGTAGAAAAGGAAATATCTTCGTATAAAAACTAGACAGAATCATTCTCAGAAACCACTTTGTGATGTGTGCGTTCAATTCACAGAGTATAACCTTTCTTTTGATGGAGGAGTTTGGAGACACTGTCTTTGTAAAGTCTGCAAGTGGATATTTGGACCTCTTTGAGGCCTTCGTTGGAAACGGGATTTCCTCATATAATGTTACACAGAAGAATTCTCACTAACTTATTTGTGGTGTGTGTATTCAACTCACAGAGATGAACCTTCCTTCAGAAAGAGCAGATTTGAAACACTCTTTTTGTGGAGTTTCCATGTGGAGATTTCAGTCGCTTTGAGACCAAAGGTAGAAAAGGAAACATCTTCGTATAACAACTAGACAGAATCATTCACAGAAACTACTTTGTGATGTGTGTGTTCAACTCAAGGAGTTTAACCTTTCTTTTGATGGAGCAGTTTGGAAACACTCTGTCTGTAAAGTCTGCAAGCAGATATTTGGACCTCTTTGAGGCCTTCGTTGGAAACGGGATTTCTTCATATAATATTTGATAGGAGAAGTCTCAGTAACTTCTTTGTGCTGTGTGTATTCAACTCATAGAGTTGAACTTTCCTTTAGAAGAGCAGATGTTAAACACCCTTTTTGTGGAATTTGCAGCTGGAGATTTCAAGCGCTTTGAGGCCTACGGTAGAAAAGGAAACATCTTCTTATAAAATCTAGACAGAATCATTCACAGAAACCTCTTTTTGATGTGTGTGTTCAGCTCACAGAGTTTAACCTTTCTTTTAATGGAGCAGTTTGGAAACACTCTGTTTGTAATGTCTGCAAGTGGATATTTGGACCTCTTTGAGGCCTTCGTTGGAAACGGGAATTCTTCATGTAATGTTCGACAGAAGAATTCTCAGTAACTTATTTGTGGTGTGTGTATTCAACTCACAGAGTTGAACCTTCCTTTAGACAGAGCAGATTTGAAACACCCTACTTGTGCAGTTTCCAGTTGGAGATTTCAATCGCTTTGAGACCAAATGTAGAAAAGGAAACATCTTCGTATAAAAACTAGACAGAATCATTCTCAGAAACTACTTTGTGATGTGTGCGTTCAACTCAAGGAGTTTAAGCTTTCTTTTCATAGAGTAGTTTGGAAACACTCTGTCTGTAAAGTCTGCAAGCAGATATTTGACCTCTTTGAGGCCTTCGTTGGAAACGGGATTTCTTCATAGAACGCTAGAAAGAAGAATACTGAGTAAGTTCTTTGTGTTGCCTCTATTCAACTCACAGAGGTGAACTGTCCTTTAGACAGAGCAGATGTGAAACCCTCTTTTTGTGATATTTGCAGGTGGAGATTTCAAGCGCTTTTAGGCCAAATGTAGAAAAGGAAATATCTTCGTATAAAAACTAGACAGAATCATTCTCAGAAACTACTTTGTGATGTGTGCGTTCAATTCACAGAGTATAACCTTTCTTTTGATGGAGGAGTTTGGAGACACTGTCTTTGTAAAGTCTGCAAGTGGATATTTGGACCTCTTTGAGGCCTTCGTTGGAAACGGGATTTCCTCATATAATGTTACACAGAAGAATTCTCAGTAACTTATTTGTGGTGTGTGTATTCAACTCACAGAGTTGAACCTTCCTACAGAAAGAGCAGATTTGAAACACTCTTTTTGTGGGGTTTCCATGTGGAGATTTCAATCGCATTGAGACCAAAGGTAGAAAAGGAAACATCTTCGTATAAAAATTAGACAGAATCATTCACAGAAACTACTTTGTGATGTGTGTGTTCAACTCAAGGAGTTTAACCTTTCTTTTGATGGAGCAGTTTGGAAACACTCTGTCTGTAAAGTCTGCAAGCAGATATTTGGACCTCTTTGAGGCCTTCGTTGGAAACGGGATTTCTTCAAGTAATGTTCGACAGAAGAATTCTCAGTAACTTATTTGTGGTGTGTGTATTCAACTCACAGAGTTGAACCTGCCTTTAGACAGAGCAGATTTGAAACACCCTATTTGTGCAGTTTCCAGTTGGAGATTTCAATCGCTTTGAGACCAAATGTAGAAAAGGAAACATCTTCGTATAAAAACTAGACAGAATCATTCTCAGAAACTACTTTGTGATGTGTGCGTTCAACTCAAGGAGTTTAAGCTTTCTTTTCATAGAGTACTTTGGAAACACTCTGTCTGTAAAGTCTGCAAGCAGATATTTGGACCTCATTGGGGTCTTCATTGGAAACGGGATTTCTTCATAGAACACTAGAAAGAAGAATACTGAGTAAGTTCTTTGTGTTGCCTCTATTCAACTCACAGAGGTGAACTGTCCTTTAGACAGAGCAGATGTGAAACCCTCTTTTTGTGATATTTGCAGGTGGAGATTTCAAGCGCTTTTAGGCCAAATGTAGAAAAGGAAATATCTTCGTATAAAAACTAGACAGAATCATTCTCAGAAACTACTTTGTGATGTGTGCATTCAATTCACAGAGTATAACCTTTCTTTTGATGGAGGAGTTTGGAGACACTGTCTTTGTAAAGTCTGCAAGTGGATATTTGGACCTCTTTGAGGCCTTCGTTGGAAACGGGATTTCCTCATATAATGTTACACAGAAGAATTCTCAGTAACTTATTTGTGGTGTGTGTATTCAACTCACAGAGATGAACCTTCCTTCAGAAAGAGCAGATTTGAAACACTCTTTTTGTGGAGTTTCCATGTGGAGATTTCAATCGCTTTGAGACCAAAGGTAGAAAAGGAAACATCTTCGTATAACAACTAGACAGAATCATTCACAGAAACTACTTTGTGATGTGTGTGTTCAACTCAAGGAGTTTAACCTTTCTTTTGATGGAGCAGTTTGGAAACACTCTGTCTGTAAAGTCTGCAAGCAGATATTTGGACCTCTTTGAGGCCTTCGTTGGAAACGGGATTTCTTCATATAATGTTTGATAGGAGAAGTCTCAGTAACTTCTTTGTGCTGTGTGTATTCAACTCATAGAGTTGAACTTTCCTTTAGAAGAGCAGATGTTAAACACCCTTTTTGTGGAATTTGCAGCTGGAGATTTCAAGCGCTTTGAGGCCTACGGTAGAAAAGGAAACATCTTCTTATAAAATCTAGACAGAATCATGCACAGAAACTTCTTTTTGATGTGTGTGTTCAGCTCACAGAGTTTAACCTTTCTTTTGATGGAGCAGTTTGGAAACACTCTGTTTGTAATGTCTGCAAGTGGATATTTGGACCTCTTTGAGGCCTTCGTTGGAAACGGGATTTCTTCAAGTAATGTTCGACAGAAGAATTCTCAGTAACTTATTTGTGGTGTGTGTATTCAACTCACAGAGTTGAACCTTCCTTTAGACAGAGCAGATTTGAAACACCCTATTTGTGCAGTTTCCAGTTGGAGATTTCAATCGCTTTGAGACCAAATGTAGAAAAGGAAACATCTTCGTATAAAAACTAGACAGAATCATTCTCAGAAACTACTTTGTGATGTGTGCGTTCAACACAAGGAGTTTAAGCTTTCTTTTCATAGAGTAGTTTGGAAACACTCTGTCTGTAAAGTCTGCAAGCAGATATTTGGACCTCATTGGGGTCTTCGTTGGAAACGGGATTTCTTCATAGAACGCTTGAAAGAAGAATACTGAGTAAGTTCTTTGTGTTGCCTCTATTCAACTCACAGAGGTGAACTGTCCTTTAGACAGAGCAGATGTGAAACCCTCTTTTTGTGATATTTGCAGGTGGAGATTTCAAGCGCTTTTAGGCCAAATGTAGAAAAGGAAATATCTTCGTATAAAAACTAGACAGAATCATTCTCAGAAACTACTTTGTGATGTGTGCGTTCAATTCACAGAGTATAACCTTTCTTTTGATGGAGGAGTTTGGAGACACTGTCTTTGTAAAGTCTGCAAGTGGATATTTCGACCTCTTTGAGGCCTTCGTTGGAAACGGGATTTCCTCATATAATGTTACACAGAAGAATTCTCAGTAACTTATTTGTGGTGTGTGTATTCAACTCACAGAGATGAACCTTCCTTCAGAAAGAGCAGATTTGAAACACTCTTTTTGTGGAGTTTCCATGTGGAGATTTCAATCGCTTTGAGACCAAAGGTAGAAAAGGAAACATCTTCGTATAAAAACTAGACAGAATCATTCACAGAAACTACTTTGTGATGTGTGTGTTCAACTCAAGGAGGTTAACCTTTCTTTTGATGGAGCAGTTTGGAAACACTCTGTCTGTAAAGTCTGCAAGCAGATATTTGGACCTCTTTGAGGCCTTCGTTGGAAACGGGATTTCTTCATATAATGTTTGATAGGAGAAGTCTCAGTAACTTCTTTGTGCTGTGTGTATTCAACTCATAGAGTTGAACTTTCCTTTAGAAGAGCAGATGTTAAACTCCCTTTTTGTGGAATTTGCAGCTGGAGATTTCAAGCGCTTTGAGGCCTATGGTAGAAAGGGAAACATCTTCTTATAAAATCTAGACAGAATCATTCACAGAAACTTCTTTTGATGTGTGTGTTCAGCTCACAGAGTTTAACCTTTCTTTTGATGGAGCAGTTTGGAAACACACTGTTTGTAATGTCTGCAAGTGGATATTTGGACCTCTTTGGGGCCTTCGTTGGAAACAGGATTTCTTCATGTAATGTTCGACAGAAGAATTCTCAGTAACTTATTTGTGGTGTGTGTATTCAACTCACAGAGTTGAACCTTCCTTTAGAAAGAGCAGATTTGAAACACCCTATTTGTGCAGTTTCCAGTTGGAGATTTCAATCGCTTTGAGACCAAATGTAGAAAAGGAAACATCTTCGTATAAAAACTAGACAGCATCATTCTCAGAAACTACTTTGTGATGTGTGCGTTCAACTCAAGGAGTTTAAGCTTTCTTTTCATAGAGTAGTTTGGAAACACTCTGTCTGTAAAGTCTGCAAGCAGATATTTGGACCTCTTTGGGGCCTTCGTTGGAAACGGGATTTCTTCATAGAACGCTAGAAAGAAGAATACTCAGTAAGTTCTTTGTGTTGCCTCTATTCAACTCACAGAGGTGAACTGTCCTTTAGACAGAGCAGATGTGAAACCCTCTTTTTGTGATATTTGCAGGTGGAGATTTCAAGCGCTTTTAGGCCAAATGTAGAAAAGGAAATATCTTCGTATAAAAACTAGACAGAATCATTCTCAGAAACTACTTTGTGATGTGTGCGTTCAATTCACAGAGTATAACCTTTCTTTTGATGGAGGAGTTTGGAGACACTGTCTTTGTAAAGTCTGCAAGTGGATATTTGGACCTCTTTGAGGCCTTCGTTGGAAACGGGATTTCCTCATATAATTTTACACAGAAGAATTCCCAGTAACTTATTTGTGGTGCGTGTATTCAACTCACAGAGTTGAACCTTCCTTCAGAAACAGCAGATTTGAAACACTCTTTTTGTGGAGTTTCCATGTGGAGATTTCAATCGCTTTGAGACCAAAGCTAGAAAAGGAAACATCTTCGTATAAAAACTAGACAGAATCATTCACAGAAACTACTTTGTGATGTGTGTGTTCAACTCAAGGAGTTTAACCTTTCTTTTGATGGAGCAGTTTGGAAAAACTCTGTCTTTAAAGTCTGCAAGCAGATATTTGGACCTCTTTGAGGCCTTCGTTGGAAACGGGATTTCTTCATATAATGTTTGATAGGAGAAGTCTCAGTAACTTCTTTGTGCTGTGTGTATTCAACTCATTGAGTTGAACTTTCCTTTAGAAGAGCAGATGTTAAACACCCTTTTTGTGGAATTTGCAGCTGGAGATTTCAAGCGCTTTGAGGCCTACGGTAGAAAAGGAAACATCTTCTTAGAAAATCTAGACAGAATCATTCACAGAAACTTCTTTTTGATGTGTGTGTTCAGCTCACAGAGTTTAACCTTTCTTTTGATGGAGCAGTTTGGAAACACTCTGTTTGTAACGTCTGCAAGTGGATATTTGGACCTCTTTGAGGCCTTCGTTGGAAACGGGATTTCTTCAAGTAATGTTCGACAGAAGAATTCTCAGTAACTTATTTGTGGTGTGTGTATTCAACTCACAGAGTTGAACCTTCCTTTAGACAGAGCAGATTTGAAACAGCCTATTTGTGCAGTTTCCAGTTGGAGATTTCAAGAGCTTTGAGACCAAATGTAGAAAAGGAAACATCTTCGTATAAAAACTAGACAGAATCATTCTCAGAAACTACTTTGTGATGTGTGCGTTCAACTCAAGGAGTTTACGCTTTCTTTTCATAGAGTAGTTTGGAAACACTCTGTCTGTAAAGTCTGCAAGCAGATCTTTGACCTCTTTGAGGCCTTCGTTGGAAACGGGATTTCTTCATAGAACGCTAGAAAGAAGAATACTGAGTAAGTTCTTTGTGTTGCCTCTATTCAACTCACAGAGGTGAACTGTCCTTTAGACAGAGCAGATGTGAAACCCTCTTTTTGTGATATTTGCAGGTGGAGATTTCAAGCGCTTTTAGGCCAAATGTAGAAAAGGAAATATCTTCGTATAAAAACTAGACAGAATCATTCTCAGAAACTACTTTGTGATGTGTGCGTTCAATTCACAGAGTATAACCTTTCTTTTGATGGAGGAGTTTGGAGACACTGTCTTTGTAAAGTCTGCAAGTGGATATTTGGACCTCTTTGAGGCCTTCGTTGGAAACGGGATTTCCTCATATAATGTTACACAGAAGAATTCTCAGTAACTTATTTGTGGTGTGTGTATTCAACTCACAGAGTTGAACCTTCCTTCAGAAAGAGCAGATTTGAAACACTCTTTTTGTGGAGTTTCCATGTGGAGATTTCAATCGCTTTGAGACCAAAGGTAGAAAAGGAAACATCTTCGTATAAAAACTAGACAGAATCATTCACAGAAACTATTTTGTGATGTGTGTGTTCAACTCAAGGAGTTTAACCTTTCTTTTGATGGAGCAGTTTGGAAAAACTCTGTCTGTAAAGTCTGCAAGCAGATATTTGGACCTCTTTGAGGCCTTCGTTGGAAACGGGATTTCTTCATATAATGTTTGATAGGAGAAGTCTCAGTAACTTCTTTGTGCTGTGTGTATTCAACTCATAGAGTTGAACTTTCCTTTAGAAGAGCAGATGTTAAACACCCTTTTTGTGGAATTTGCAGCTGGAGATTTCAAGCGCTTTGAGGCCTACGGTAGAAAAGGAAACATCTTCTTATAAAATCTAGACAGAATCATTCACAGAAACTTCTTTTTGATGTGTGTGTTCAGCTCACAGAGTTTAACCTTTCTTTTGATGGAGCAGTTTGGAAACACTCTGTTTGTAATGTCTGCAAGTGGATATTTGGACCTCTTTGAGGCCTTCGTTGGAAACGGGATTTCTTCCTGTAATGTTCGACAGAAGAATTCTCAGTAACTTATTTGTGGTGTGTGTATTCAACTCACAGAGTTGAACCTTCCTTTAGACAGAGCAGATTTGAAACACCCTATTTGTGCAGTTTCCAGTTGGAGATTTCAATCGCTTTGAGACCAAATGTAGAAAAGGAAACATCTTCGTATAAAAACTAGACAGAATCATTCTCAGAAACTACTTTGTGATGTGTGCATTCAACTCACGGAGTTTAAGCTTTCTTTTCATAGAGTAGTTTGGAAACACTCTGTCTGTAAAGTCTGCAAGCAGATATTTGGACCTCTTTGAGGCCTTCGTTGGAAACGGGAATTCTTCATAGAACGCTGGAAAGAAGAATGCTGAGTAAGTTCTTTGTGTTGCCTCTATTCAACTCACAGAGGTGAACTGTCCTTTAGACAGAGCAGATGTGAAACCCTCTTTTTGTGATATTTGCAGGTGGAGATTTCAAGCGCTTTTAGGCCAAATGTAGAAAAGGAAATATCTTCGTATAAAAACTAGACAGAATCATTCTCAGAAACTACTTTGTGATGTGTGCGTTCAATTCACAGAGTATAACCTTTCTTTTGATGGAGGAGTTTGGAGACACTGTCTTTGTAAAGTCTGCAAGTGGATATTTGGACCTCTTTGAGGCCTTTGTTGGAAACGGGATTTCCTCATATAATGTTACACAGGGAGAATTCTCAGTAACTTATTTGTGGTGTGTGTATTCAACTCACACAGTTGAACCTTCCTTCAGAAAGAGCAGATTTGAAACACTCTTTTTGTGGAGTTTCCATGTGGAGATTTCAATCGCTTTGAGACCAAAGGTAGAAAAGGAAACATCTTCCTATAAAAACTAGACAGAATCATTCACAGAAACTACTTTGTGATGTGTGTGTTCAGCTCACAGAGTTTAACCTTTCTTTTGATATGGCAGTTTGGAAACACTCTGTTTTTCACGTCTGCAAGTGGATATTTGGACTGCTTTGGGGCCTTCTTTGGAAACGGGATTTCTTCATATAATGTTTGATAGGAGAAGTCTCAGTAACTTCTTTGTGCTGTGTGTATTCAACTCATAGAGTTGAACTTTCCTTTAGAAGAGCAGATGTTAAACACCCTTTTTGTGGAATTTGCAGCTGGAGATTTCAAGCGCTTTGAGGCCTACGGTAGAAAAGGAAACATCTTCTTATAAAATCTAGACAGAATCATTCACAGAAACTTCTTTTTGATGTGTGTGTTCAGCTCACAGAGTTTAACCTTTCTTTTGATGGAGCAGTTTGGAAACACTCTGTTTGTAATGTCTGCAAGTGGATATTTGGACCTCTTTGAGGCCTTCGTTGGAAACGGGATTTCTTCCTGTAATGTTCGACAGAAGAATTCTCAGTAACTTATTTGTGGTGTGTGTATTCAACTCACAGAGTTGAACCTTCCTTTAGACAGAGCAGATTTGAAACACCCTATTTGTGCAGTTTCCAGTTGGAGATTTCAATCGCTTTGAGACCAAATGTAGAAAAGGAAACATCTTCGTATAAAAACTAGACAGAATCATTCTCAGAAACTACTTTGTGATGTGTGCGTACAACTCAAGGAGTTTAAGCTTTCTTTTCATAGAGTACTTTGGAAACACTCTGTCTGTAAAGTCTGCAAGCAGATATTTGGACCTCTTTGGGGCCTTCGTTGGAAACGGGATTTCTTCATAGAACGCTAGAAAGAAGAATAGTGAGTAAGTTCTTTGTGTTGCCTCTATTCAACTCACAGAGGTGAACTGTCCTTTAGACAGAGCAGATGTGAAACCCTCTTTTTGTGATATTTGCAGGTGGAGATTTCAAGCGCTTTTAGGCCAAATGTAGAAAAGGAAATATCTTCGTATAAAAACTAGACAGAATCATTCTCAGAAACTACTTTGTGATGTGTGCGTTCAATTCACAGAGTATAACCTTTCTTTTGATGGAGGAGTTTGGAGACACTGTCTTTGTAAAGTCTGCAAGTGGATATTTGGACCTCTTTGAGGCCTTCGTTGGAAACGGGATTTCCTCATATAATGTTACACAGAAGAATTCTCAGTAACTTATTTGTGGTGTGTGTATTCAACTCACAGAGTTGAACCTTCCTTAAGAAAGAGCAGATTTGAAACACTCTTTTTGTGGAGTTTCCATGTGGAGATTTCAATCGCTTTGAGACCAAAGGTAGAAAAGGAAACATCTTCGTATAAAAACTAGACAGAATCATTCACAGAAACTACTTTGTGATGTGTGTGTTCAACTCAAGGAGTTTAACCTTTCTTTTGATGGAGCAGTTTGGAAACACTCTGTCTGTAAAGTCTGCAAGCAGATATTTGGACCTCTTTGAGGCCTTCGTTGGAAACGGGATTTCTTCATATAATGTTTGATAGGAGAAGTCTCAGTAACTTCTTTGTGCTGTGTGTATTCAACTCATAGAGTTGAACTTTCCTTTAGAAGAGCAGATGTTAAACACCCTTTTTGTGGAATTTGCAGCTGGAGATTTCAAGCGCTTTGAGGCCTACGGTAGAAAAGGAAACATCTTCTTATAAAATCTAGACAGAATCATTCACAGAAACTTCTTTTTGATGTGTGTGTTCAGCTCACAGAGTTTAACCTTTCTTTTGATGGAGCAGTTTGGAAACACTCTGTTTGTAATGTCTGCAAGTGGATATTTGGACCTCTTTGAGGCCTTCGTTGGAAACGGGATTTCTTCAAGTAATGGTCGACAGAAGAATTCTCAGTAACTTATTTGTGGTGTGTGTATTCAACTCAAAGAGTTGAACCTTCCTTTAGACAGAGCAGATTTGAAACACCCTATTTGTGCAGTTTCCAGTTGGAGATTTCAATCGCTTTGAGACCAAATGTAGAAAAGGAAACATCTTCGTATAAAAACTAGACAGAATCATTCTCAGAAACTACTTTGTGATGTGTGCGTTCAACTCAAGAAGTTTAAGCTTTCTTTTCATAGTGTAGTTTGGAAACACTCTGTCTGTAAAGTCTGCAAGCAGATATTTGGACCTCATTGGGGCCTTCGTTGGAAACGTGATTTCTTCATAGAACGCTAGAAAGAAGAATACTGAGTAAGTTCTTTGTGTTGCCTCTATTCAACTCACAGAGGTGAACTGTCCTTTAGACAGAGCAGATGTGAAACCCTCTTTTTGTGATATTTGCAGGTGGAGATTTCAAGCGCTTTTAGGCCAAATGTAGAAAAGGAAATATCTTCGTATAAAAACTAGACAGAATCATTCTCAGAAACTACTTTGTGATGTGTGCGTTCAATTCACAGAGTATAACCTTTCTTTTGATGGAGGAGTTTGGAGACACTGTCTTTGTAAAGTCTACAAGTGGATATTTGGACCTCTTTGAGGCCTTCGTTGGAAACGGGATTTCCTCATATAATGTTACACAGAAGAATTCTCAGTAACTTATTTGTGGTGTGTGTATTCAACTCACAGAGATGAACCTTCCTTCAGAAAGAGCAGATTTGAAACACTCTTTTTGTGGAGTTTCCATGTGGAGATTTCAATCGCTTTGAGACCAAAGGTAGAAAAGGAAACATCTTCGTATAACAACTAGACAGAATCATTCACAGAAACTACTTTGTGATGTGTGTGTTCAACTCAAGGAGTTTAACCTTTCTTTTGATGGAGCAGTTTGGAAACACTCTGTCTGTAAAGTCTGCAAGCAGATATTTGGACCTCTTTGAGGCCTTCGTTGGAAACGGGATTTCTTCATATAATGTTTGATAGGAGAAGTCTCAGTAACTTCTTTGTGCTGTGTGTATTCAACTCATAGAGTTGAACTTTCCTTTAGAAGAGCAGATGTTAAACACCCTTTTTGTGGAATTTGCAGATGGAGATTTCAAGCGCTTTGAGGCCTATGGTAGAAAAGGAAACATCTTCCTATAAAATCTAGACAGAATCATTCACAGAAACTTCTTTTTGATGTGTGTGTTCAGCTCACAGAGTTTAACCATTCTTTTGATGGAGCAGTTTGGAAACACTCTGTTTGTAATGTCTGCAAGTGGATAATTGCACCTCTTTGAGGCCTTCGTTGGAAACGGGATTTCTTCATGTAATGTTCGACAGAAGAATTCTCAGTAACTTATTTGTGGTGTGTGTGTTCAACTCACAGAGTTGTACCTTCCTTTAGACAGAGCAGATTGGAAACACCCTATTTGTGCAGCTTCCAGTTGGAGATTTCAATGGCTTTGAGGCCAATCATAGAAACGGAAATATCTTCGTATAAAAACAAGACAGAATCATTCTCAGAAACTACTTTGCAATGGGTGCGTTCAACTCAAGGAGTTTAAGCTTTCTTTTCATAGAGTACTTTGGAAACACTCTGTCTGTAAAGTCTGCAAGCAGATATTTGGACCTCTTTGAGGCCTTCGTTTGAAACGGGATTTCTTCATATAACGCTAGAAAGAAGAATACTGGGTAAGTTCTTTGTGTTGCCTCTATTCAACTCACAGAGGTGAACTGTCCTTTAGACAGAGCAGATGTGAAACCCTCTTTTTGTGATATTTGCAGGTGGAGATTTCAAGCGCTTTTAGGCCAAATGTAGAAAAGGAAATATCTTCGTATAAAAACTAGACAGAATCATTCTCAGAAACTACTTTGTGATGTGTGCGTTCAATTCACAGAGTATAACCTTTCTTTTGATGGAGGAGTTTGGAGACACTGTCTTTGTAAAGTCTGCAAGTGGATATTTGGACCTCTTTGAGGCCTTCGTTGGAAACGGGATTTCCTCATATAATGTTACACAGAAGAATTCTCAGTAACTTATTTGTGGTGTGTGTATTCAACTCACAGAGTTGAACCTTCCTTCAGAAAGAGCAGATTTGAAACAATCTTTTTGTGGAGTTTCCATGTGGAGATTTCAATCGCTTTGAGACCAAAGGTAGAAAAGGAAACATCTTCGTATAAAAACTAGACAGAATCATTCACAGAAACTACTTTGTGATGTGTGTGTTCAACTCAAGGAGTTTAACCTTTCTTTTGATGGAGCTGTTTGGAAAAACTCTGTCTGTAAAGTCTGCAAGCAGATATTTGGACCTCTTTGGGGCCTTCGTTGGAAACGGGATTTCTTCATATAATGTTTGATAGGAGAAGTCTCAGTAACTTCTTTCTGCTGTGTTTATTCAACGCATAGAGTTGAACTTTCCTTTAGAAGAGCAGATGTTAAACACCCTTTTTGTAGAATTTGCAGCTGGAGATTTCAAGCGCTTTGAGGCCTACGGTAGAAAAGGAAACATCTTCTTATAAAATCTAGACAGAATCATTCACAGAAACTTCTTTTTCATGTGTGTGTTCAGCTCACAGAGTTTAACCTTTCTTTTGATGGAGCAGTTTTGAAACACTCTGTTTGTAATGTCTGCAAGTGGATATTTTGACCTCTTTGAGGCCTTCTTTGGAAACGGTATTTCTTCAAGTAATGTTCGACAGAAGAATTCTCAGTAACTTATTTGTGGTGTGTGTATTCAACTCACAGAGTTGAACCTTCCTTTAGACAGAGCAGATTTGAAACACCCTATTTGTGCAGTTTCCAGTTGGAGATTTCAATCGCTTTGAGACCAAATGTAGAAAAGGAAACATCTTCGTATAAAAACTAGACAGAATCATTCTCAGAAACTACTTTGTGATGTGTGCGTTCAACTCAAGGAGTTTAAGCTTTCTTTTCATAGAGTAGTTTGGAAACACTCTGTCTGTAAAGTCTGCAAGCAGATATTTGGACCTCTTTGGGGCCTTCGTTGGAAACGGGATTTCTTCATAGAACGCTAGAAAGAAGAATACTGAGTAAGTTCTTTGTGTTGCCTCTATTCAACTCACAGAGGTGAACTGTCCTTCAGACAGAGCAGATGTGAAACCCTCTTTTTGTGATATTTGCAGGTGGAGATTTCAAGCGCTTTTAGGCCAAATGTAGAAAAGGAAATATCTTCGTATAAAAACTAGACAGAATCATTCTCAGAAACTACTTTGTGATGTGTGCGTTCAATTCACGGAGTATAACCTTTCTTTTGATGGAGGAGTTTGGAGACACTGTCTTTGTAAAGTCTGCAAGTGGATATTTGGATCTCTTTGTGGCCTTCGTTGGAAACGGGATTTCCTCATATAATGTTACACAGAAGAATTCTCAGTAACTTATTTGTGGTGTGTGTATTCAACTCACAGAGATGAACCTTCCTTCAGAAAGAGCAGATTTGAAACACTCTTTTTGTGGAGTTTCCATTTGGAGATTTCAATCGCTTTGAGACCAAAGGTAGAAAAGGAAACATCTTCGTATAAAAACTAGACAGAATCATTCACAGAAACTACTTTGTGATGTGTGTGTTCAACTCAAGGAGTTTAACCTTTCTTTTGATGGAGCAGTTTGGAAACACTCTGTCTGTAAAGTCTGCAAGCAGATATTTGGACCTCTTTGAGGCCTTCGTTGGAAACGGGATTTCTTCATATAATGTTTGATAGGAGAAATCTCAGTAACTTCTTTGTGCTGTGTGTATTCAACTCATAGAGTTGAACTTTCCTTTAGAAGAGCAGATGTTAAACACCCTTTTTGTGGAATTTGCAGCTGGAGATTTCAAGCGCTTTGAGGCCTACGGTAGAAAAGGAAATATCTTCTTATAAAATCTAGTCAGAATCATTCACAGAAACTTCTTTTTGATGTGTGTGTTCAGCTCACAGAGTTTAACCTTTCTTTTGATGGAGCAGTTTGGAAACACTCTGTTTGTAATGTCTGCAAGTGGATATTTGGACCTCTTTGAGGCCTTCGTTGGAAACGGGATTTCTTCATGTAATGTTCGACAGAAGAATTCTCAGTAACTTATTTGTGGTGTGTGTATTCAACTCACAGAGTTGAACCTTCCTTTACAAAGAGCAGATTTGAAACACCCTATTTGTGCAGTTTCCAGTTGGAGATTTCAATCGCTTTGAGACCAAATGTAGAAAAGGAAACATCTTCGTATAAAAACTGGACAGAATCATTCTCAGAAACTACTTTGTGATGTGTGCGTTCAACTCAAGGAGTTTAAGCTTTCTTTTCATAGAGTAGTTTGGAAACACTCTGTCTGTAAAGTGTGCAAGCAGATATTTGGACCTCTTTGAGGCCTTCGTTGGAAACGGGATTTCTTCATAGAACGCTAGAAAGAAGAATACTGAGTAAGTTCATTGTGTTGCCTCTATTCAACTCACAGAGGTGAACTGTCCTTTAGACAGAGCAGATGTGAAACCCTCTTTTTGTGATATTTGCAGGTGGAGATTTCAAGCCCTTTTAGGCCAAATGTAGAAAAGGAAATATCTTCGTATAAAAACTAGACAGAATCATTCTCAGAAACTACTTTGTGATGTGTGCGTTCAATTCACAGAGTATAACCTTTCTTTTGATGGAGGAGTTTGGAGACACTGTCTTTGTAAAGTCTGCATGTGGATATTGGGACCTCTTTGAGGCCTTCGTTGGAAATGGGATTTCCTCATATAATGTTACACAGAAGAATTCTCAGTAACTTATTTGTGGCGTGTGTATTCAACTCACAGAGTTGAACCTTCCTTCAGAAAGAGCAGATTTGAAACACTCTTTTTGTGGAGTTTCCATGTGGAGATTTCAATCGCTTTGAGACCAAAGGTAGAAAAGGAAACATCTTCGTATAAAAACTAGACAGAATCATTCACAGAAACTACTTTGTGATGTGTGTGTTCAACTCAAGGAGTTTAACCTTTCTTTTGATGGAGGAGTTTGGAAACACTCTGTCTGTAAAGTCTGCAAGCAGATATTTGGACCTCTTTGAGGCCTTCGTTGGAAACGGCATTTCTTCATATAATGTTTGATAGGAGAAGTCTCAGTAACTTCTTTCTGCTGTGTGTATTCAACGCATAGGGTTGAACTTTCCTTTAGAAGAGAAGATGTTAAACACCCTCTTTGTGGAATTTGCAGCTGGAGATTTCAAGCGCTTTGAGGCCTACGGTAGAAAAGGAAACATCTTCTTACAAAATCTAGACAGAATCATTCACAGAAACTTCTTTTTGATGTGTGTGTTCAGCTCACAGAGTTTAACCTTTCTTTTGATGGAGCAGTTTGGAAACACTCTGTTTGTAATGTCTGCAAGTGGATATTTGGACCTCTTTGAGGCCTTCGTTGGAAACGGGATTTCTTCATATAATGTTTGATAGGAGAAGTCTCAGTAACTTCTTTGTGCTGTGTGTATTCAACTCATAGAGTTGAACTTTCCTTTAGAAGAGCAGATGTTAAACACCCTTTTTGTGGAATTTGCAGCTGGAGATTATAAGCGCTTTGAGGCCTACGGTAGAAAAGGAAACATCTTCTTATAAAATCTAGACAGAATCATTCACAGAAACTTCTTTTTGATGTGTGTGTTCAGCTCACAGAGTTTAACCTTTCTTTTGATGGAGCAGTTTGGAAACACTCTGTTTGTAATGTCTGCAAGTGGATATTTGGACCTCTTTGAGGCCTTCGTTGGAAACGGGATTTCTTCCTGTAATGTTCGACAGAAGAATTCTCAGTAACTTATTTATGGTGTGTGTATTCAACTCACAGGAGTTGAACCTTCCTTTAGACAGAGCAGATTTGAAACACCCTATTTGTGCAGTTTCCAGTTGGAGATTTCAATGGCTTTGAGACCAAATGTAGAAAAGGAAACATCTTCGTACAAAAACTAGACAGCATCATTCTCAGAAACTACTTGGTGATGTGTGCGTTCAACTCAAGGAGTTTAAGCTTTCTTTTCATAGAGTAGTTTGGAAACACTCTGTCTGTAAAGTCTGCAAGCAGATATTTGGACCTCATTGGGGTCTTCATTGGAAACGGGATTTCTTCATAGAACGCTAGAAAGAAGAATACTGAGTAAGTTCTTTGTGTTGCCTCTATTCAACTCACAGAGGTGAACTGTCCTTTAGACAGAGCAGATGTGAAACCCTCTTTTTGTGATATTTGCAGGTGGAGATTTCAAGCGCTTTTAGGCCAAATGTAGAAAAGGAAATATCTTCTTATAAAAACTAGACAGAATCATTCTCAGAAACTACTTTGTGATGTGTGCGTTCAATTCACAGAGTATAACCTTTCTTTTGATGGAGGAGTTTGGAGACACTGTCTTTGTAAAGTCTGCAAGTGGATATTTGGACCTCTTTGAGGCCTTCGTTGGAAACGGGATTTCCTCATATAATGTTACCCAGAAGAATTCTCAGTAACTTATTTGTGGTGTCTGTATTCAACTCACAGAGTTGAACCTTCCTTCAGAAAGAGCAGATTTGAAACACTCTTTTTGTGGAGTTTCCATGTGGAGATTTCAATCGCTTTGAGACCAAAGGTAGAAAAGGAAACATCTTCTTATAAAAACTAGACAGAATCATTCACAGAAACTACTTTGTGATGTGTGTGTTCAACTCAAGGAGTTTAACCTTTCTTTTGATGGAGCAGTTTGGAAAAACTCTGTCTGTAAAGTCTGCAAGCAGATATTTGGACCTCTTTGGGGCCTTCGTTGGAAACGGGATTTCTTCATAGAATGCTAGAAAGAAGAATACTGAGTAAGTTCTTTGTGTTGCCTCTATTCAACTCACAGAGGTGAACTGTCCTTTAGACAGAGCAGATGTGAAACCCTCTTTTTGTGATATTTGCAGGTGGAGATTTCAAGCGCTTTTAGGCCAAATGTAGAAAAGGAAATATCTTCGTATAAAAACTAGACAGAATCATTCTCAGAAACTACTTTGTGATGTGTGCGTTCAATTCACAGAGTATAACCTTTCTTTTGATGGAGGAGTTTGGAGACACTGTCTTTGTAAAGTCTGCAAGTGGATATTTGGACCTCTTTGAGGCCTTCGTTGGAAACGGGATTTCCTCATATAATGTTACACAGAAGAATTCTCAGTAACTTATTTGTGGTGTGTGTATTCAACTCACAGAGATGAACCTTCCTTCAGAAAGAGCAGATTTGAAACACTCTTTTTGTGGAGTTTCCATGTGGAGATTTCAATCGCTTTGAGACCAAAGGTAGAAAAGGAAACATCTTCGTATAAAAACTAGACAGAATCATTCACAGAAACTACTTTGTGATGTGTGTGTTCAACTCAAGGAGTTTAACCTTTCTTTTGATGGAGCAGTTTGGAAACACTCTGTCTGTAAAGTCTGCAAGCAGATATTTGGACCTCTTTGAGGCCTTCGTTGGAAACGGGATTTCTTCATATAATGTTTGATAGGAGAAGTCTCAGTAACTTCTTTGTGCTGTGTGTATTCAACTCATAGAGTTGAACTTTCCTTTAGAAGAGCAGATGTTAAACACCCTTTTTGTGGAATTTGCAGCTGGAGATTTCAAGCGCTTTGAGGCCTACGGTAGAAAAGGAAACATCTTCTTATAAAATCTAGACAGAATCATTCACAGAAACTTCTTTTTGATGTGTGTGTTCAGCTCACAGAGTTTAACCTTTCTTTTGATGGAGCAGTTGGGAAACACACTGTTTGTAATGTCTGCAAGTGGATATTTGGACCTCTTTGTGGTCTTCGTTGGAAACGGGATTTCTTCCTGTAATGTTCGACAGAAGAATTCTCAGTAACTTATTTGTGGTGTGTGTATTCAACTCACAGAGTTGAACCTTCTTTTAGACAGAGCAGATTTGAAACAGCCTATTTGTGCAGTTTCCAGTTGGAGATTTCAATCGCTTTGAGACCAAATGTAGAAAGGGAAACATCTTCGTATAAAAACTAGACAGAATCATTCTCAGAAACTACTTTGTGATGTGTGCGTTCAACTCAAGGAGTTTAAGCTTTCTTTTCATAGAGTAGTTTGGAAACACTCTGTCTGTAAAGTCTGCAAGCAGATATTTGACCTCTTTGAGGCCTTCGTTGGAAACGGGATTTCTTCATAGAACGCTAGAAAGAAGAATACTGAGTAAGTTCTTTGTGTTGCCTCTATTCAACTCACAGAGGTGAACTGTCCTTTAGACAGAGCAGATGTGAAACCCTCTTTTTGTGATATTTGCAGGTGGAGATTTCAAGCGCTTTTAGGCCAAATGTAGAAAAGGAAATATCTTCGTATAAAAACTAGACAGAATCATTCTCAGAAACTACTTTGTGATGTGTGCGTTCAATTCACAGAGTATAACCTTTCTTTTGATGGAGGAGTTTGGAGACACTGTCTTTGTAAAGTCTGCAAGTGGATATTTGGACCTCTTTGAGGCCTTCGTTGGAAACGGGATTTCCTCATATAATGTTACACAGAAGAATTCTCAGTAACTTATTTTTGGTGTGTGTATTCAACTCACAGAGATGAACCTTCCTTCAGAAAGAGCAGATTTGAAACACTCTTTTTGTGGAGTTTCCATGTGGAGATTTCAATCGCTTTGAGACCAAAGGTAGAAAAGGAAACATCTTCGTATAACAACTA
This sequence comes from Homo sapiens, assembly GCF_000001405.40. NCBI lineage: Eukaryota > Metazoa > Chordata > Mammalia > Primates > Hominidae > Homo > Homo sapiens. The sequence continues at coordinate 35,566,108 of NC_000012.12, forward strand.
GACAGAATCATTCACAGAAACTACTTTGTGATGTGTGTGTTCAACTCAAGGAGTTTAACCTTTCTTTTGATGGAGCAGTTTGGAAACACTCTGTCTGTAAAGTCTGCAAGCAGATATTTGGACCTCTTTGAGGCCTTCGTTGGAAACGGGATTTCTTCATATAATGTTTGATAGGAGAAGTCTCAGTAACTTCTTTGTGCTGTGTGTATTCAACGCATAGAGTTGAACTTTCCTTTAGAAGAGCAGAAGTTAAACACCCTTTTTGTGGAATTTGCAGGTGGAGATTTCAAGCGCTTTGAGGCCTACGGTAGAAAAGGAAACATCTTCTTATAAAATCTAGACAGAATCATTCACAGAAACTTCTTTTTGATGTGTGTGTTCAGCTCACAGAGTTTAACCTTTCTTTTGATGGAACAGTTTGGAAACACTCTGTTTGTAATGTCTGCAAGTGGATATTTGGACCTCTTTGAGGCCTTCGTTGGAAACGGGATTTCTTCAAGTAATGTTCGACAGAAGAATTCTCAGTAACTTATTTGTGGTGTGTGTATTCAACTCACAGAGTTGAACCTTCCTTTAGACAGAGCAGATTTGAAACACCCTATTTGTGCAGTTTCCAGTTGGAGATTTCAATCGCTTTGAGACCAAATGTAGAAAAGGAAACATCTTCGTATAAAAACTAGACAGAATCATTCTCAGAAACTACTTTGTGATGTGTGCGTTCAACTCAAGGAGTTTAAGCTTTCTTTTCATAGAGTAGTTTGGAAACACTCTGTCTGTAAAGTCTGCAAGCAGATATTTGGACCTCTTTGAGGCCTTCGTTGGAAACGGGATTTCTTCATATAACGCTAGAAAGAAGAATACTCAGTAACTTCTTTGTGTTGCCTCTATTCAACTCACAGAGGTGAACTGTCCTTTAGACAGAGCAGATGTGAAACCCTCTTTTTGTGATATTTGCAGGTGGAGATTTCAAGCGCTTTTAGGCCAAATGTAGAAAAGGAAATATCTTCGTATAAAAACTAGACAGAATCATTCTCAGAAACTACTTTGTGATGTGTGCGTTCAATTCACAGAGTATAACCTTTCTATTGATGGAGGAGTTTGGAGACACTGTCTTTGTAAAGTCTGCAAGTGGATATTTGGACCTCTTTGAGGCCTTCGTTGGAAACGGGATTTCCTCATATAATGTTACACAGAAGAATTCTCAGTAACTTATTTGTGGTGTGTGTATTCAACTCACAGAGTTGAACCTTCCTTCAGAAAGAGCAGATTTGAAACACTCTTTTTGTGGAGTTTCCATGTGGAGATTTCAATCGCTTTGAGACCAAAGGTAGAAAAGGAAACATCTTCGTATAAAAACTAGACAGAATCATTCACAGAAACTACTTTGTGATGTGTGTGTTCAACTCAAGGAGTTTAACCTTTCTTTTGATGGAGCAGTTTGGAAACACTCTGTCTGTAAAGTCTGCAAGCAGATATTTGGACCTCTTTGAGGCCTTCGTTGGAAACGGGATTTCTTCATATAATGTTTGATGGGAGAAGTCTCAGTAACTTCTTTGTGCTGTGTGTATTCAACTCATAGAGTTGAACTTTCCTTTAGAAGAGCAGATGTTAAACACCCTTTTTGTGGAATTTGCAGCTGGAGATTTCAAGCGCTTTGAGGCCTACGGTAGAAAAGGAAACATCTTCTTATAAAATCTAGACAGAATCATTCACAGAAACTTCTTTTTGATGTGTGTGTTCAGCTCACAGAGTTTAACCTTTCCTTTGATGGAGCAGTTTGGAAACACTCTGTTTGTAATGTCTGCAAGTGGATATTTGGACCTCTTTGAGGCCTTCGTTGGAAACGGGATTTCTTCATGTAATGTTCAACAGAAGAATTCTCAGTAACTTATTTGTTGTGTGTGTATTCAACTCACAGAGTTGAACCTTCCTTTAGACAGAGCAGATTTGAAACACCCTATTTGTGCAGTTTCCAGTTGGAGATTTCAATCGCTTTGAGGCCAATCATAGAAACGGAAAGATCTTGGTATAAAAACAAGGCAGAATCATTCTCAGAAACTATTTTGTGATGTGTGCGTTCAACTCAAGGATTTAAGCTTTCTTTTCATAGAGTAGTTTGGAAACACTCTGTCTGTAAAGTCTGCAAGCAGATATTTGGACCTCTTTGAGGCCTTCGTTGGAAACGGGATTTCTTCATAGAACGCTAGAAAGAAGAATACTGAGTAAGTTCTTTGTGTTGCCTCTATTCCACTCACAGAGGTGAACTGTCCTTTAGACAGAGCAGATGTGAAACCCTCTTTTTGTGATATTTGCAGGTGGAGATTTCACGCGCTTTTAGGCCAAATGTAGAAAAGGAAATATCTTCGTATAAAAACTAGACAGAATCATTCTCAGAAACTACTTTGTGATGTGTGCGTTCAATTCACAGAGTATAACCTTTCTTTTGATGGAGGAGTTTGGAGACACTGTCTTTGTAAAGTCTGCAAGTGGATATTTGGACCTCTTTGAGGCCTTCGTTGGAAACGGGATTTCCTCATATAATGTTACCCAGAAGAATTCTCAGTAACTTATTTGTGGTGTGTGTATTCAACTCACAGAGTTGAAACTTCCTTCAGAAAGAGCAGATTTGAAACACTCTTTTTGTGGAGTTTCCATGTGGAGATTTCAATCGCTTTGAGACCAAAGGTAGAAAAGGAAACATTCTTCGTATAAAAACTAGACAGAATCATTCACAGAAACTACTTTGTGATGTGTGTGTTCAGCTCACAGAGCTTAACCTTTCTTTTGATGGTGCAGTTTGGAAACACTCCGTTTGACAAGTCTGCAAGTGGATATTTGGACCTCTTTGAGGCCTTCGTTGGAAACGGGATTTCTTCATATAATGTTAGACAGAAGAATTCTCAGTAACTTATTTGTGGTGTGTGTATTCAACTCACAGAGTTGAACCTTCCTTTAGACAGAGCAGATTTGAATCACCCTATTTCTGCCGTTTCCAGTTGGAGATTTCAATCGCTTTGAGGCCAATCGTAGAAACGGAAATATCTTCATATAAAAACAAGACAGAATCATTCCCCAAAACTACTTAGTGATGTGTGCGTTCAACTCACGGAGTTTAAGCTTTCTTTTCATAGAGTAGTTTGGAAACACTGTGTCTGTAAACTCTGCAAGCAGATATTTGGACCTCTTTGAGGCCTTCTTTGGAAATGGGATTTCTTCATATAACGCTAGAAAGAAGAATACTGAGTAAGTTCTTTGTGTTGCCTCTATTCAACTCACAGAGGTGAACTGTCCTTTAGAGAGAGCAGATGTGAAACCCTCTTTTTGTGATATTTGCAGGTGGAGATTTCAAGCGCTTTTTGGCCAAATGTAGAAAAGGAAATATCTTCGTATAAAAACTAGACAGAATCATTCTCAGAAACTACTTTGTGATGTGTGCGTTCAATTCACAGAGTATAACCTTTCTTTTGATGGAGGAGTTTGGAGACACTGTCTTTGTAAAGTCTGCAAGTGGATATTTGGACCTCTTTGAGGCCTTCGTTGGAAACGGGATTTCCTCATATAATGTTACACAGAAGAATTCTCAGTAACTTATTTGTGGTGTGTGTATTCAACTCACAGAGATGAACCTTCCTTCAGAAAGAGCAGATTTGAAACACTCTTTTTGTGGAGTTTCCATGTGGAGATTTCAATCGCTTTGAGACCAAAGGTAGAAAAGGAAACATCTTCGTATAACAACTAGACAGAATCATTCACAGAAACTACTTTGTGATGTGTGTGTTCAACTCAAGGAGTTTAACCTTTCTTTTGATGGAGCAGTTTGGAAACACTCTGTCTGTAAAGTCTGCAAGCAGATATTTGGACCTCTTTGAGGCCTTCGTTGGAAACGGGATTTCTTCATATAATGTTTCATAGGAGAAGTCTCAGTAACTTCTTTGTGCTGTGTGTATTCAACTCATAGAGTTGAACTTTCCTTTAGAAGAGCAGATGTTAAACACCCTTTTTGAGGAATTTGCAGCTGGAGATTTCAAGCGCTTTGAGGCCTACGGTAGAAAAGGAAACATCTTCTTATAAAATCTAGACAGAATCATTCACAGAAACTTCTTTTCGATGTGTGTGTTCAGCTCACAGAGTTTAACCTTTCTTTTGATGGAGCAGTTTGGAAACACTCTGTTTGTAATGTCTGCAAGTGGATATTTGGACTTCTTTGAGGCCTTCGTTGGAAACGGGATTTCTTCAAGTAATGTTCGACAGAAGAATTCTCAGTAACTTATTTGTGGTGTGTGTATTCAACTCACAGAGTTGAACCTTCCTTTAGACAGAGCAGATTTGAAACAGCCTATCTGTGCAGTTTCCAGTTGGAGATTTCAATCGCTTTGAGACCAAATGTAGAAAAGGAAACATCTTCGTATAAAAACTAGACAGAATCATTCTCAGAAACTACTTTGTGATGTGTGCGTTCAACTCAAGGAGTTTAAGCTTTCTTTTCATAGAGTAGTTTGGAAACACTCTGTCTGTAAAGTCTGCAAGCAGATATTTGGACCTCTTTGGGGCCTTCGTTGGAAACGGGATTTCTTCATAGAACGCTAGAAAGAAGAATACTGAGTAAGTTCTTTGTGTTGCCTCTATTCAACTCACAGAGGTGAACTGTCCTTTAGGCAGAGCAGATGTGAAACCCTCTTTTTGTGATATTTGCAGGTGGAGATTTCAAGCGCTTTTAGGCCAAATGTAGAAAAGGAAATATCTTCGTATAAAAACTAGACAGAAATCATTCTCAGAAACTACTTTGTGATGTGTGTGTTCAATTCACAGAGTATAACCTTTCTTTTGATGGAGGAGTTTGGAGACACTGTCTTTGTAAAGTCTGCAAGTGGATATTTGGACCTCTTTGAGGCCTTCGTTGGAAACGGGATTTCCTCATATAATATTACACAGAAGAATTCTCAGTAACTTATTTGTGGTGTGTGTATTCAACTCACAGAGTTGAACCTTCCTTCAGAAAGAGCAGATTTGAAACACTCTTTTTGTGGAGTTTCCATGTGGAGATTTCAATCGCTTTGAGACCAAAGGTAGAAAAGGAAACATCTTCGTATAAAAACTAGACAGAATCATTCACAGAAACTACTTTGTGATGTGTGTGTTCAACTCAAGGAGTTTAACCTTTCTTTTGATGGAGCAGTTTGGAAACACTCTGTCTGTAAAGTCTGCAAGCAGATATTTGGACCTCTTTGAGGCCCTTCGTTGGAAACGGGATTTCTTCATATAATGTTTGATAGGAGAAGTCTCAGTAACTTCTTTGTGCTGTGTGTATTCAACTCATAGAGTTGAACTTTCCTTTAGAAGAGCAGATGTTAAACACCCTTTTTGTGGAATTTGCAGCTGGAGATTTCAAGCGCTTTGAGGCCTACGGTAGAAAAGGAAACATCTTCTTATAAAATCTAGACAGAATCATTCACAGAAACTTCTTTTTGATGTGTGTGTTCAGCTCACAGAGTTTAACCTTTCTTTTGATGGAGCAGTTGGGAAACACACTGTTTGTAATGTCTGCAAGTGGATATTTGGACCTCTTTGAGGCCTTCGTTGGAAACGGGATTTCTTCCTGTAATGTTCGACAGAAGAATTCTCAGTAACTTATTTGTGGTGTGTGTATTCAACTCACAGAGTTGAACCTTCCTTTAGACAGAGCAGATTTGAAACAGCCTATGTGTGCAGTTTCCAGTTGGAGATTTCAATCGCTTTGAGACCAAATGTAGAAAGGGAAACATCTTCGTATAAAAACTAGACAGAATCATTCTCAGAAACTACTTTGTGATGTGTGCGTTCAACTCAAGGAGTTTAAGCTTTCTTTTCATAGAGTAGTTTGGAAACACTCTGTCTGTAAAGTCTGCAAGCAGATATTTGACCTCTTTGAGGCCTTCGTTGGAAACGGGATTTCTTCATAGAACGCTAGAAAGAAGAATACTGAGTAAGTTCTTTGTGTTGCCTCTATTCAACTCACAGAGGTGAACTGTCCTTTAGACAGAGCAGATGTGAAACCCTCTTTTTGTGATATTTGCAGGTGGAGATTTCAAGCGCTTTTAGGCCAAATGTAGAAAAGGAAATATCTTCGTATAAAAACTAGACAGAATCATTCTCAGAAACTACTTTGTGATGTGTGCGTTCAATTCACAGAGTATAACCTTTCTTTTGATGGAGGAGTTTGGAGACACTGTCTTTGTAAAGTCTGCAAGTGGATATTTGGACCTCTTTGAGGCCTTCGTTGGAAACGGGATTTCCTCATATAATGTTACACAGAAGAATTCTCAGTAACTTATTTGTGGTGTGTGTATTCAACTCACAGAGATGAACCTTCCTTCAGAAAGAGCAGATTTGAAACACTCTTTTTGTGGAGTTTCCATGTGGAGATTTCAATCGCTTTGAGACCAAAGGTAGAAAAGGAAACATCTTCGTATAACAACTAGACAGAATCATTCACAGAAACTACTTTGTGATGTGTGTGTTCAACTCAAGGAGTTTAACCTTTCTTTTGATGGAGCAGTTTGGAAACACTCTGTCTGTAAAGTCTGCAAGCAGATATTTGGACCTCTTTGAGGCCTTCGTTGGAAACGGGATTTCTTCATATAATGTTTGATAGGAGAAGTCTCAGTAACTTCTTTGTGCTGTGTGTATTCAACTCATAGAGTTGAACTTTCCTTTAGAAGAGCAGATGTTAAACACCCTTTTTGTGGAATTTGCAGCTGGAGATTTCAAGCGCTTTGAGGCCTACGGTAGAAAAGGAAACATCTTCTTATAAAATCTAGACAGAATCATTCACAGAAACTTCTTTTTGATGTGTGTGTTCAGCTCACAGAGTTTAACCTTTCTTTTGATGGAGCAGTTTGGAAACACTCTGTTTGTAATGTCTGCAAGTGGATATTTGGACCTCTTTGAGGCCTTCGTTGGAAACGGGATTTCTTCAAGTAATGTTCGACAGAAGAATTCTCAGTAACTTATTTGTGGTGTGTGTATTCAACTCACAGAGTTGAACCTTCCTTTAGACAGAGCAGATTTGAAACACCCTATTTGTGCAGTTTCCAGTTGGAGATTTCAATCGCTTTGAGACCAAATGTAGAAAAGGAAACATCTTCGTATAAAAACTAGACAGAATCATTCTCAGAAACTACTTTGTGATGTGTGCGTTCAACTCAAGGAGTTTAAGCTTTCTTTTCATAGAGTAGTTTGGAAACACTCTGTCTGTAAAGTCTGCAAGCAGATATTTGGACCTCTTTGAGGCCTTCGTTGGAAACGGGATTTCTTCATAGAACGCTAGAAAGAAGAATAGTGAGTAAGTTCTTCGTGTTGCCTCTATTCAACTCACAGAGGTGAACTGTCCTTTAGACAGAGCAGATGTGAAACCCTCTTTTTGTGATATTTGCAGGTGGAGATTTCAAGCGCTTTTAGGCCAAATGTAGAAAAGGAAATATCTTCGTATAAAAACTAGACAGAATCATTCTCAGAAACTACTTTGTGATGTGTGCGTACAATTCACAGAGTATAACCTTTCTTTTGATGGAGGAGTTTGGAGACACTGTCTTTGTAAAGTCTGCGTGTGGATATTTGGACCTCTTTGAGGCCTTCGTTGGAAACGGGATTTCCTCATATAATGTTACACAGAATAATTCTCAGTAACTTATTTGTGGTGTGTGTATTCAACTCACAGAGTTGAACCTTCCTTCAGAAAGAGCAGATTTGAAACACTCTTTTTGTGGAGTTTCCATGTGGAGATTTCAATCGCTTTGAGACCAAAGGTAGAAAAGGAAACATCTTCGTATAAAAACTAGACAGAATCATTCACAGAAACTACATTGTGATGTGTGTGTTCAACTCAAGGAGTTTAACCTTTCTTTTGATGGAGCAGTTTGGAAAAACTCTGTCTGTAAAGTCTGCAAGCAGATATTTGGACCTCTTTGAGGCCTTCGTTGGAAACGGGATTTCTTCATATAATGTTTGATAGGAGAACTCTCAGTAACTTCTTTGTGCTGTGTGTATTCAACTCATAGAGTTGAACTTTCCTTTAGAAGAGCAGATGTTAAACACCCTTTTTGTGGAATTTGCAGCTGGAGATTTCAAGCGCTTTGAGGTCTACGGTAGAAAAGGAAACATCTTCTTATAAAATCTAGACAGAATCATTCACAGAAACTTCTTTTCGATGTGTGTGTTCAGCTCACAGAGTTTAACCTTTCTTTTGATGGAGCAGTTTGGAAACACTCTGTTTGTAATGTCTGCAAGTGGATATTTGGACCTCTTTGAGGCCTTCGTTGGAAACGGGATTTCTTCAAGTAATGGTCGACAGAAGAATTCTCAGTAACTTATTTGTGGTGTGTGTATTCAACTCACAGAGTTGAACCTTCCTTTAGACAGAGCAGATTTGAAACACCCTATTTGTGCAGTTTCCAGTTGGAGATTTCAATCGCTTTGAGACCAAATGTAGAAAAGGAAACATCTTCGTATAAAAACTAGACAGAATCATTCTCAGAAACTACTTTGTGATGTGTGCGTTCAACTCAAGGAGTTTAAGCTTTCTTTTCATAGAGTAGTTTGGAAACACTCTGTCTGTAAAGTCTGCAAGCAGATATTTGGACCTCTTTGGGGCCTTCGTTGGAAACGGGATTTCTTCATAGAACGCTAGAAAGAAGAATACTGAGTAAGTTCTTTGTGTTGCCTCTATTCAACTCACAGAGGTGAACTGTCCTTTAGACAGAGCAGATGTGAAACCCTCTTTTTGTGATATTTGCAGGTGGAGATTTCAAGCGCTTTTAGGCCAAATGTAGAAAAGGAAATATCTTCGTATAAAACTAGACAGAAATCATTCTCAGCAAACTACTTTGTGATGTGTGCGTTCAATTCACAGAGTATAACCTTTCTTTTGATGGAGGAGTTTGGAGACACTGTCTTTGTAAAGTCTGCAAGTGGATATTTGGACCTCTTTGAGGCCTTCGTTGGAAACGGGATTTCCTCATATAATGTTACACAGAAGAATTCTCAGTAACTTATTTGTGGTGTGTGTATTCAACTCACAGAGTTGAACCTTCCTTCAGAAAGAGCAGATTTGAAACACTCTTTTTGTGGAGTTTCCATGTGGAGATTTCAATCGCTTTGAGACCAAAGGTAGAAAAGGAAACATCTTCGTATAAAAACTAGACAGAATCATTCACAGAAACTACTTTGTGATGTGTGTGTTCAACTCAAGGAGTTTCACCTTTCTTTTGATGGAGCAGTTTGGAAACACTCTGTCTGTAAAGTCTGCAAGCAGATATTTGGACCTCTTTGAGGCCTTCGTTGGAAACGGGATTTCTTCATATAATGTTTGATAGGAGAAGTCTCAGTAACTTCTTTGTGCTGTGTGTATTCAACTCATAGAGTTGAACTTTCCTTTAGAAGAGCAGATGTTAAACACCCTTTTTGTGGAATTTGCAGCTGGAGATTTCAAGCGCTTTGAGGCCTATGGTAGAAAAGGAAACATCTTCTTATAAAATCTAGACAGAATCATTCACAGAAACTTCTTTTTGATGTGTGTGTTCAGCTCACAGAGTTTAACCTTTCTTTTGATGGAGCAGTTTGGAAACACTCTGTTTGTAATGTCTGCAAGTGGATATTTGGACCTCTTTGAGGCCTTCGTTGGAAACGGGATTTCTTCAAGTAATGTTCGACAGAAGAATTCTCAGTAACTTATTTGTGGTGTGTGTATTCAACTCACAGAGTTGAACCTTCCTTTAGACAGAGCAGATTTGAAACATCCTATTTGTGCAGTTTCCAGTTGGAGATTTCAATCGCTTTGAGACCAAATGTAGAAAAGGAAACATCTTCGTATAAAAACTAGACAGAATCATTCTCAGAAACTACTTTGTGATGTGTGCGTTCAACTCAAGGAGTTTAAGCTTTCTTTTCATAGAGTAGTTTGGAAACACTCTGTCTGTAAAGTCTGCAAGCAGATATTTGGACCTCATTGGGGTCTTCGTTGGAAACGGGATTTCTTCATAGAACGCTAGAAAGAAGAATACTGAGTAAGTTCTTTGTGTTGCCTCTATTCAACTCACAGAGGTGAACTGTCCTTTAGACAGAGTAGATGTGAAACCCTCTTTTTGTGATATTTGCAGGTGGAGATTTCAAGCGCTTTTAGGCCAAATGTAGAAAAGGAAATAACTTCGTATAAAAACTAGACAGAAGCATTCTCAGAAACTACTTTGTGATGTGTGCGTTCAATTCACAGAGTATAACCTTTCTTTTGATGGAGGAGTTTGGAGACACTGTCTTTGTAAAGTCTGCAAGTGGATATTTGGACCTCTTTGAGGCCTTCGTTGGAAACGGGATTTCCTCATATAATGTTACACAGAAGAATTCTCAGTAACTTATTTGTGGTGTGTGTATTCAACTCACAGAGATGAACCTTCCTTCAGAAAGAGCAGATTTGAAACACTCTTTTTGTGGAGTTTCCATGTGGAGATTTCAATCGCTTTGAGACCAAAGGTAGAAAAGGAAACATCTTCGTATAACAACTAGACAGAATCATTCACAGAAACTACTTTGTGATGTGTGTGTTCAACTCAAGGAGTTTAACCTTTCTTTTGATGGAGCAGTTTGGAAACACTCTGTCTGTAAAGTCTGCAAGCAGATATTTGGACCTCTTTGAGGCCTTCGTTGGAAACGGGATTTCTTCATATAATGTTTGATAGGAGAAGTCTCAGTAACTTCTTTGTGCTGTGTGTATTCAACTCATAGAGTTGAACTTTCCTTTAGAAGAGCAGATGTTAAACACCCTTTTTGTGGAATTTGCAGCTGGAGATTTCAAGCGCTTTGAGGCCTACGGTAGAAAAGGAAACATCTTCTTATAAAATCTAGACAGAATCATTCACAGAAACTTCTTTTTGATGTGTGTGTTCAGCTCACAGAGTTTAACCTTTCTTTTGATGGAGCAGTTTGGAAACACTCTGTTTGTAATGTCTGCAAGTGGATATTTGGACCTCTTTGAGGCCTTCGTTGGAAACGGGATTTCTTCATGTAATGTTCGACAGAAGAATTCTCAGTAACTTATTTGTGGTGTGTGTATTCAACTCACAGAGTTGAACCTTCCTTTAGACAGAGCAGATTAGAAACACCCTATTTGTGCAGTTTCCATTTGGAGATTTCAATCGCTTTGAGACCAAATGTAGAAAAGGAAACATCTTCGTATAAAAACTAGACAGAATCATTCTCAGAAACTACTTTGTGATGTGTGCGTTCAACTCAAGGAGTTTAAGCTTTCTTTTCATAGAGTAGTTTGGAAACACTCTGTCTGTAAAGTCTGCAAGCAGATATTTGACCTCTTTGAGGCCTTCGTTGGAAACGGGATTTCTTCATAGAACGCTAGAAAGAAGAATACTGAGTAAGTTCTTTGTATTGCCTCTATTCAACTCACAGAGGTGAACTCTCCTTTAGATAGAGCAGATGTGAAACCCTCTTTTTGTGATATTTGCAGGTGGAGATTTCAAGCGCTTTTAGGCCAAATGTAGAAAAGGAAATATCTTCGTATAAAAACTAGACAGAATCATTCTCAGAAACTACTTTGTGATGTGTGCGTTCAATTCACAGAGTATAACCTTTCTTTTGATGGAGGAGTTTGGAGACACTGTCTTTGTAAAGTCTGCAAGCAGATATTTGGACCTCTTTGGGGCCTTCGTTGGAAACGGGATTTCTTCATAGAATGCTAGAAAGAAGAATACTGAGTAAGTTCTTTGTGTTGCCTCTATTCAACTCACAGAGGTGAACTGTCCTTTAGACAGAGCAGATGTGAAACCCTCTTTTTGTGATATTTGCAGGTGGAGATTTCAAGCGCTTTTAGGCCAAATGTAGAAAAGGAAATATCCTCGTATAAAAACTAGACAGAATCATTCTCAGAAACTACTTTGTGATGTGTGCGTTCAATTCACAGAGTATAACCTTTCTTTTGACGGAGGAGTTTGGAGACACTGTCTTTGTAAAGTCTGCAAGCAGATATTTGGACCTCTTTGAGGCCTTCGTTGGAAACGGGATTTCTTCATAGAACGCTAGAAAGAAGAATTCTCAGTAACTTATTTGTGGTGTGTGTATTCAACTCACAGAGATGAACCTTCCTTCAGAAAGAGCAGATTTGAAACACTCTTTTTGTGGAGTTTCCATTTGGAGATTTCAATCGCTTTGAGACCAAAGGTAGAAAAGGAAACATCTTCGTATAAAAACTAGACAGAATCATTCACAGAAACTACTTTGTGATGTGTGTGTTCAACTCAAGGAGGTTAACCTTTCTTTTGATGGAGCAGTTTGGAAACACTCTGTCTGTAAAGTCTGCAAGCAGATATTTGGACCTCTTTGAGGCCTTCGTTGGAAACGGGATTTCTTCATATAATGTTTGATAGGAGAAGTCTCAGTAACTTCTTTGTGCTGTGTGTATTCAACTCATAGAGTTGAACTTTCCTTTAGAAGAGCAGATGTTAAACACCCTTTTTGTGGAATTTGCAGCTGGAGATTTCAAGCGCTTTGAGGCCTACGGTAGAAAAGGAAACATCTTCTTATAAAATCTAGACAGAATCATTCACAGAAACTTCTTTTTGATGTGTGTGTTCAGCTCACCGAGTTTAACCTTTCTTTTGATGGAGCAGTTTGGAAACACTCTGTTTGTAATGTCTGCAAGTGGATATTTGGACCTCTTTGAGGCCTTCGTTGGAAACGGGATTTCTTCCTGTAATGTTTGACAGAAGAATTCTCAGTAACTTATTTGTGGTGTGTGTATTCAACTCACAGAGTTGAACCTTCCTTTAGAAAGAGCAGATTTGAAACACCCTATTTGTGCAGTTTCCAGTTGGAGATTTCAATGGCTTTGAGGCCAATCATTGAAACGGAAATATCTTCGTATAAAAACAAGACAGAATCATTCTCAGAAACTACTTTGTGATGTGTGCGTTCAACTCAAGGAGTTTAAGCTTTCTTTTCATAGAGTAGTTTGGAAACACTCTGTCTGTAAAGTCTGCAAGCAGATATTTGGACCTCTTTGAGGCCTTCGTTGGAAACGGGATTTCTTCATAGAACGGTAGAAAGAAGAATACTGAGTAAGTTCTTTGTGTTGCCTCTATTCAACTCACAGAGGTGAACTGTCCTTTAGACAGAGCAGATGTGAAACCCTCTTTTTGTGATATTTGCAGGTGGAGATTTCAAGCGCTTTGAGGCCAAATGTAGAAAAGGAAATATCTTCGTATAAAAACTAGACAGAATCATTCTCAGAAACTACTTTGTGATGTGTGCGTTCAATTCACAGAGTATAACCTTTCTTTTGATGGAGGAGTTTGGAGACACTGTCTTTGTAAAGTCTGCAAGTGGATATTTGGACCTCTTTGAGGCCTTCGTTGGAAACGGGATTTCCTCATGTAATGTTACACAGAAGAATTCTCAGTAACTTCTTTGTGGTGTGTGTATTCAACTCACAGAGTTGAACCTTCCTTCAGAAAGAGCAGATTTGAAACACTCTTTTTGTGGAGTTTCCATGTGGAGATTTCAATCGCTTTGAGACCAAAGGTAGAAAAGGAAACATCTTCTTATAAAAACTAGACAGAATCATTCACAGAAACTACTTTGTGATGTGTGTGTTCAACTCAAGGAGTTTAACCTTTCTATTGATGGAGCAGTTTGGAAAAACTCTGTCTGTAAAGTCTGCAAGCAGATATTTGGACCTCTTTGGGGCCTTCGTTGGAAACGGGATTTCTTCATAGAATGCTAGAAAGAAGAATACTGAGTAAGTTCTTTGTGTTGCCTCTATTCAACTCACAGAGGTGAACTGTCCTTTAGACAGAGCAGATGTGAAACCCTCTTTTTGTGATATTTGCAGGTGGAGATTTCAAGCGCTTTTAGGCCAAATGTAGAAAAGGAAATATCTTCGTATAAAAACTAGACAGAATCATTCTCAGAAACTACTTTGTGATGTGTGCGTTCAATTCACAGAGTATAACCTTTCTTTTGATGGAGGAGTTTGGAGACACTGTCTTTGTAAAGTCTGCAAGTGGATATTTGGACCTCTTTGAGGCCTTCGTTGGAAACGGGATTTCCTCATATAATGTTACACAGAAGAATTCTCAGGAACTTATTTGTGGTGTGTGTATTCAACTCACAGAGTTGAACCTTCCTTCAGAAAGAGCAGATTTGAAACACTCTTTTTGGGGAGTTTCCATGTGGAGATTTCAATCGCTTTGAGACCAAAGGTAGAAAAGGAAACATCTTCGTATAGAAACTAGACAGAATCATTCACAGAAACTACTTTGTGATGTGTGTTTTCAACTCAAGGAGTTTAACCTTTCTTTTGATGGAGCAGTTTGGAAAAACTCTGTCTTTAAAGTCTGCAAGCAGATATTTGGACCTCTTTGAGGCCTTCGTTGGAAACGGGATTTCTTCATATAATGTTTGATAGGAGAAGTCTCAGTAACTTCTTTGTGCTGTGTGTATTCAACTCATAGAGTTGAACTTTCCTTTAGAAGAGCAGATGTTAAACACCCTTTTTGTGGAATTTGCAGCTGGAGATTTCAAGCGCTTTGAGTCCTACGGTAGAAATGGAAACATCTTATAAAATCTTGACAGAATCATTCACAGAAACTTCTTTTTGATGTGTGTGTTCAGCTCACAGAGTTTAACCTTTCTTTTGATGGAGCAGTTTGGAAACACTCTGTTTGTAATGTCTGCAAGTGGATATTTGGACCTCTTTGAGGCCTTCGTTGGAAACGGGATTTCTTCAAGTAATGTTCGACAGAAGAATTCTCAGTAACTTATTTGTGGTGTGTGTATTCAACTCACAGAGTTGAACCTTCCTTTAGACAGAGCAGATTTGAAACACCCTATTTGTGCAGTTTCCAGTTGGAGATTTCAATCGCTTTGAGACCAAATGTAGAAAAGGAAACATCTTCGTATAAAAACTAGACAGAATCATTCTCAGAAACTACTTTGTGATGTGTGCGTTCAACTCAAGGAGTTTAAGCTTTCTTTTCATAGAGTAGTTTGGAAACACTCTGTCTGTAAAGTCTGCAAGCAGATATTTGGACCTCTTTGAGGCCTTCGTTGGAAACGGGATTTCTTCATATAATGTTTGATAGGAGAAGTCTCAGTAACTTCTTTGTGCTGTGTGAATTCAACTCATAGACTTGAACTTTCCTTTAGAAGAGCAGATGTTAAACACCCTTTTTGTGGAATTTGCAGCTGGAGATTTCAAGCGCTTTGAGGCCTACGGTAGAAAAGGAAACATCTTCTTATAAAATCTAGACAGAATCATTCACAGAAACTTCTCTTTGATGTGTGTGTTCAGCTCACAGAGTTTAACCTTTCTTTTGATGGAGCAGTTTGGAAACACTCTGTTTGTAATGTCTGCAAGTGGATATTTGGACCCCTTGATGCCTTCTTTGGAAACGGGATTTCTTCATGTAATGTTCGACAGAAGAATTCTCAGTAACTTATTTGTGGTGTGTGTATTCAACTCACAGAGTTGAACCTTCCTTTAGACAGAGCAGATTTGAAACACCTTATTTGTGCAGTTTCCAGTTGGAGATTTCAATCGCTTTGAGACCAAATGTAGAAAAGGAAACATCTTCGTATAAAAACTAGACAGAATCATTCTCAGAAACTACTTTGTGATGTGTGCGTTCAACTCAAGGAGTTTAAGCTTTTTCTTCATAGAGTAGTTTGGAAACACTCTGTCTGTAAAGTCTGCAAGCAGATATTTGGACCTCTTTGAGGCCTTCGTTGGAAACGGGATTTCTTCATAGAACGCTAGAAAGAAGAATACTGAGTAAGTTCTTTGTGTTGCCTCTATTCAACTCACAGAGGTGAACTGTCCTTTAGACAGAGCAGATGTGAAACCCTCTTTTTGTGATATTTGCAGGTGGAGATTTCAAGCGCTTTTAGGCCAAATGTAGAAAAGGAAATATCTTCGTATAAAAACTAGACAGAATCATTCTCAGAAACTACTTTGTGATGTGTGCGTTCAATTCACAGAGTATAACCTTTCTTTTGATGGAGGAGTTTGGAGACACTGTCTTTGTAAAGTCTGCAAGTGGATATTTGGACCTCTTTGAGGCCTTCGTTGGAAACGGGATTTCCTCATATAATGTTACACAGAAGAATTCTCAGTAACTTATTTGTGGTGTGTGTATTCAACTCACAGAGTTGAACCTTCCTTCAGAAAGAGCAGATTTGAAACACTCTTTTTGTGGAGTTTCCATGTGGAGATTTCAATCGCTTTGAGACCAAAGGTAGAAAAGGAAACATCTTCGTATAAAAACTAGACAGAATCATTCACAGAAACTACTTTGTGATGTGTGTGTTCAACTCAAGGAGTTTAACCTTTCTTTTGATGGAGCAGTTTGGAAACACTCTGTCTGTAAAGTCTGCAAGCAGACATTTGGACCTCTTTGAGGCCTTCGTTGGAAACGGGATTTCTTCATATAATGTTTGATAGGAGAAGTCTCAGTAACTTCTTTGTGCTGTGTGTATTCAACTCATAGAGTTGAACTTTCCTTTAGAAGAGCAGATGTTAAACACCCTTTTTGTGGAATTTGCAGCTGGAGATTTCAAGCGCTTTGAGGCCTACGGTAGAAAAGGAAACATCTTCTTATAAAATCTAGACAGAATCATTCACAGAAACTTCTTTTTGATGTGTGTGTTCAGCTCACAGAGTTTAACCTTTCTTTTGATGGAGCAGTTGGGAAACACACTGTTTGTAATGTCCGCAAGTGGATATTTGGACCTCTTTGAGGCCTTCGTTGGAAACGGGATTTCCTCATAAAATGTTACACAGAAGAATTCTCAGTAACTTATTTGTGGTGTGTGTATTCAACTCACAGAGTTGAACCTTCCTTCAGAAAGAGCAGATTTGAAACACTCTTTTTGAGGAGTTTCCATGTGGAGATTTCAATCGCTTTGAGACCAAAGGTAGAAAAGGAAACATCTTCTTATAAAAACTAGACAGAATCATTCACAGAAACTACTTTGTGATGTGTGTGTTCAACTCAAGGAGTTTAACCTTTCTTTTGATGGAGCAGTTTGGAAAAACTCTGTCTGTAAAGTCTGCAAGCAGATATTTGGACCTCTTTGGGGCCTTCGTTGGAAACGGGATTTCTTCATAGAATGCTAGAAAGAAGAATACTGAGTAAGTTCTTTGTGTTGCCTCTATTCAACTCACAGAGGTGAACTGTCCTTTAGACAGAGCAGATGTGAAACCCTCTTTTTGTGATATTTGCAGGTGGAGATTTCAAGCGCTTTTAGGCCAAATGTAGAAAAGGAAATATCTTCGTATAAAAACTAGACAGAATCATTCTCAGAAACTACTTTGTGATGTGTGCGTTCAATTCACAGAGTATAACCTTTCTTTTGATGGAGGAGTTTGGAGACACTGTCTTTGTAAAGTCTGCAAGTGGATATTTGGACCTCTTTGAGGCCTTCGTTGGAAACGGGATTTCCTCATATAATGTTACACAGAAGAATTCTCAGTAACTTATTTGTGGTGTGTGTATTCAACTCACAGAGATGAACCTTCCTTCAGAAAGAGCAGATTTGAAACACTCTTTTTGTGGAGTTTCCATGTGGAGATTTCAATCGCTTTGAGACCAAAGGTAGAAAAGGAAACATCTTCGTATAAAAACTAGACAGAATCATTCACAGAAACTACTTTGTGATGTGTGTGTTCAACTCAAGGAGGTTAACCTTTCTTTTGATGGAGCAGTTTGGAAACACTCTGTCTGTAAAGTCTGCAAGCAGATATTTGGACCTCTTTGAGGCCTTCGTTGGAAACGGGATTTCTTCATATAATGTTTGATAGGAGAAGTCTCAGTAACTTCTTTGTGCTGTGTGTATTCAACTCATAGAGTTGAACTTTCCTTTAGAAGAGCAGATGTTAAACACTCTTTTTGTGGAATTTGCAGCTGGAGATTTCAAGCGGTTTGAGGCCTACGGTAGAAAAGGAAACATCTTCTTATAAAATCTAGACAGAATCATTCACAGAAACTTCTTTTTGATGTGTGTGTTCAGCTCACAGAGTTTAACCTTTCTTTTGATGGAGCAGTTTGGAAACACTCTGTTTGTAATGTCTGCAAGTGGATATTTGGACCTCTTTGAGGCCTTCGTTGGAAACGGGATTTCTTCAAGTAATGTTCGACAGAAGAATTCTCAGTAACTTATTTGTGGTGTGTGTATTCAACTCACTGAGTTGAACCTTCCTTTAGACAGAGCAGATTTGAAACACCCTATTTCTGCAGTTTCCAGTTGGAGATTTCAATCGCTTTGAGACCAAATGTAGAAAAGGAAACATCTTCGTATAAAAACTAGACAGCATCATTCTCAGAAACTACTTTGTGATGTGTGCGTTCAACTCAAGGAGTTTAAGCTTTCTTTTCATAGAGTAGTTTGAAAACACTCTGTCTGTAAAGTCTGCAAGCAGATATTAGGACCTCATTGGGGTCTTCGTTGGAAACGGGATTTTTCATAGAACGCTAGAAAGAAGAATACTGAGTAAGTTCTTTGTGTTGCCTCTATTCAACTCACAGAGGTGAACTGTCCTTTAGACAGAGCAGATGTGAAACCCTCTTTTTGTGATATTTGCAGGTGGAGATTTCAAGCGCTTTTAGGCCAAATGTAGAAAAGGAAATATCTTCGTATAAAAACTAGACAGAATCATTCTCAGAAACTACTTTGTGATGTGTGCGTTCAATTCACAGAGTATAACCTTTCTTTTGATGGAGGAGTTTGGAGACACTGTCTTTGTAAAGTCTGCAAGTGGATATTTGGACCTCTTTGAGGCCTTCGTTGGAAACGGGATTTCCTCATATAATGTTACACAGAAGAATTCTCAGTAACTTATTTGTGGTGTGTGTATTCAACTCACAGAGATGAACCTTCCTTCAGAAAGAGCAGATTTGAAACACTCTTTTTGTGGAGTTTCCATGTGGAGATTTCAATCGCTTTGAGACCAAAGGTAGAAAAGGAAACATCTTCGTATAACAACTAGACAGAATCATTCACAGAAACTACTTTGTGATGTGTGTGTTCAACTCAAGGAGTTTAACCTTTCTTTTGATGGAGCAGTTTGGAAACACTCTGTCTGTAAAGTCTGCAAGCAGATATTTGGACCTCTTTGAGGCCTTCGTTGGAAACGGGATTTCTTCATATAATGTTTGATAGGAGAAGTCTCAGTAACTTCTTTGTGCTGTGTGTATTCAACTCATAGAGTTGAACTTTCCTTTAGAAGAGCAGATGTTAAACACCCTTTTTGTGGAATTTGCAGCTGGAGATTTCAAGCGCTTTGAGGCCTACGGTAGAAAAGGAAACATCTTCTTATAAAATCTAGACAGAATCATTCACAGAAACTTCTTTTTGATGTGTGTGTTCAGCTCACAGAGTTTAACCTTTCTTTTGATGGAGCAGTTTGGAAACACTCTGTTTGTAATGTCTGCAAGTGGATATTTGGACCTCTTTGAGGCCTTCGTTGGAAACGGGATTTCTTCAAGTAATGTTCGACAGAAGAATTCTCAGTAACTTATTTGTGGTGTGTGTATTCAACTCACAGAGTTGAACCTTCCTTTAGACAGAGCAGATTTGAAACAGCCTATTTGTGCAGTTTCCAGTTGGAGATTTCAAGAGCTTTGAGACCAAATGTAGAAAAGGAAACATCTTCGTATAAAAACTAGACAGAATCATTCTCAGAAACTACTTTGTGATGTGTGCGTTCAACTCAAGGAGTTTAAGCTTTCTTTTCATAGAGTAGTTTGGAAACACTCTGTCTGTAAAGTCTGCAAGCAGATATTTGAGCTCTTTGAGGCCTTCGTTGGAAACGGGATTTCTTCATAGAACGCTAGAAAGAAGAATACTGAGTAAGTTCTTTGTGTTGCCTCTATTCAACTCACAGAGGTGAACTGTCCTTCAGACAGAGCAGATGTGAAACCCTCTTTTTGTGATATTTGCAGGTGGAGATTTCAAGCGCTTTTAGGCCAAATGTAGAAAAGGAAATATCTTCGTATAAAAACTAGACAGAATCATTCTCAGAAACTACTTTGTGATGTGTGCGTTCAATTCACAGAGTATAACCTTTCTTTTGATGGAGGAGTTTGGAGACACTGTCTTTGTAAAGTCTGCAAGTGGATATTTGGACCTCTTTGAGGCCTTCGTTGGAAACGGGATTTCCTCATATAATGTTACACAGAAGAATTCTCAGTAACTTATTTGTGGTGTGTGTATTCAACTCACAGAGTTGAACCTTCCTTCAGAAAGAGCAGATTTGAAACACTCTTTTTGAGGAGTTTCCATGTGGAGATTTCAATCGCTTTGAGACCAAAGGTAGAAAAGGAAACATCTTCTTATAAAAACTAGACAGAATCATTCACAGAAACTACTTTGTGATGTGTGTGTTCAACTCAAGGAGTTTAACCTTTCTTTTGATGGAGCAGTTTGGAAAAACTCTGTCTGTAAAGTCTGCAAGCAGATATTTGGACCTCTTAGGGGCCTTCGTTGGAAACGGGATTTCTTCATAGAATGCTAGAAAGAAGAAGTCTCAGTAACTTCTTTGTGCTGTGTGTATTCAACTCATAGAGTTGAACTTTCCTTTAGAAGAGCAGATGTTAAACACCCTTTTTGTGGAATTTGCAGCTGGAGATTTCAAGCGCTTTGAGGCCTACGGTAGAAAAGGAAACATCTTCTTATAAAATCTAGACAGAATCATTCACAGAAACTTCTTTTTGATGTGTGTGTTCAGCTCACAGAGTTTAACCTTTCTTTTGATGGAGCAGTTTGGAAACACTCTGTTTGTAATGTCTGCAAGTGGATATTTGGACCTCTTTGAGGCCTTCGTTGGAAACGGGATTTCTTCATGTAATGTTCGACAGAAGAATTCTCAGCAACTTATTTGTGGTGTGTGTATTCAACTCACAGAGTTGAACCTTCCTTTAGACAGAGCAGATTTGAAACACCCTATTTGTGCAGCTTCCAGTTGGAGATTTCAATGGCTTTGAGGCCAATCATAGAAACGGAAATATCTTCGTATAAAAACAAGACAGAATCATTCTCAGAAACTACTTTGCATTGTGTGCGTTCAACTCAAGGAGTTTAAGCTTTCTTTTCATAGAATAGTTTGGAAACACTCTGTCTGTAAAGTCTGCAAGCAGATATTTGGACCTCTTTGAGGCCTTCGTTGGAAACGGGATTTCTTCATATAACGCTAGAAAGAAGAATACTGAGTAAGTTCTTTGTGTTGCCTCTATTCAACTCACAGAGGTGAACTGTCCTTTAGACAGAGCAGATGTGAAACCCTCTTTTTGTGATATTTGCAGTGGAGATTTCAAGCGCTTTTAGGCCAAATGTAGAAAAGGAAATATCTTCGTATAAAAACTAGACAGAATCATTCTCAGGAAACTACTTTGTGATGTGTGCGTTCAATTCACAGAGTATAACCTTTCTTTTGATGGCGGAGTTTGGAGACACTGTCTTTGTAAAGTCTGCAAGTGGATATTTGGACCTCTTTGAGGCCTTCGTTGGAAACGGGATTTCCTCATATAATGTTACACAGAAGAATTCTCAGTAACTTATTTGTGGTGTGTGTATTCAACTCACAGAGTTGAACCTTCCTTCAGAAAGAGCAGATTTGAAACACTCTTTTTGTGGAGTTTCCATGTGGAGATTTCAATGGCTTTGAGACCAAAGGTAGAAAAGGAAACATCTTCGTATAAAAACTAGACAGAATCATTCACAGAAACTACTTTGTGATGTGTGTGTTCAACTCACAGAGTTTAACCTTTCTTTTGATGGAGCAGTTTGGAAACACTCTGTTTGTCACGTCTGCAAGTGGATATTTGGACCTCTTTGAGGCCTTCGTTGGAAACGGGATTTCTTCATATAATGTTTGATAGGAGAAGTCTCAGTAACTTCTTTGTGCTGTGTGTATTCAACTCATAGAGTTGAACTTTCCTTTAGAAGAGCAGATGTTAAACACCCTTTTTGTGGAATTTGCAGCTGGAGATTTCAAGCGCTTTGAGGCCTACGGTAGAAAAGGAAACATCTTCTTATAAAATCTAGACAGAATCATTCACAGAAACTTCTTTTTGATGTGTGTGTTCAGCTCACAGAGTTTAACCTTTCTTTTGATGGAGCAGTTTGGAAACACTCTCTTTGTAATGTCTGCAAGTGGATATTTGGACGTCTTTGAGGCCTTCGTTGGAAACGGGATTTCTTCATGTAATGTTCGACAGAAGAATTCTCAGTAACTTATTTGTGGTGTGTGTATTCAACTCACAGAGTTGAACCTTCCTTTAGACAGAGCAGATTTGAAACACCCTATTTGTGCAGTTTCCAGTTGGAGATTTCAATCGCTTTGAGACCAAATGTAGAAAAGGAAACATCTTCGTATAAAAACTAGACAGAATCATTCTCAGAAACTACTTTGTGATGTGTGCGTTCAACTCAAGGAGTTTAAGCTTTCTTTTCATAGAGTAGTTTGGAAACACTCTGTCTGTAAAGTCTGCAAGCAGATATTTGGACCTCTTTGGGGCCTTCGTTGGAAACGGGATTTCTTCATAGAACGCTAGAAAGAAGAATACTGAGTAAGTTCTTTGTGTTGCCTCTATTCAACTCACAGAGGTGAACTGTCCTTTAGACAGAGCAGATGTGAAACCCTCTTTTTGTGATATTTGCAGGTGGAGATTTCAAGCGCTTTTAGGCCAAATGTAGAAAAGGAAATATCTTCGTATAAAAACTAGACAGAATCATTCTCAGAAACTACTTTGTGATGTGTGCGTTCAATTCACAGAGTATAACCTTTCTTTTGATGGAGGAGTTTGGAGACACTGTCTTTGTAAAGTCTGCAAGTGGATATTTGGACCTCTTTGAGGCCTTCGTTGGAAACGGGATTTCCTCATATAATGTTACACAGAAGAATTCTCAGTAACTTATTGTGGTGTGTGTATTCAACTCACAGAGTTGAACCTTCCTTCAGAAAGAGCAGATTTGAAACACTCTTTTTGTGGAGTTTCCATGTGGAGATTTCAATCGCATTGAGACCAAAGGTAGAAAAGGAAACATCTTCGTATAAAAACTAGAAAGAATCATTCACAGAAACTACTTTGTGATGTGTGTGTTCAACTCACAGAGTTTAACCTTTCTTTGGATGGGGCAGTTTGGAAGCACTCTGTTTTTCACGTCTGCAAGTGGATATTTGGACCGCTTTGAGGCCTTCGTTGGAAACGGGATTTCTTCATATAATGTTTGATAGGAGAAGTCTCAGTAACTTCTTTGTGCTGTGTGTATTCAACTCATAGAGTTGAACTTTCCTTCAGAAGAGCAGATGTTAAACACCCTTTTTGTGGAATTTGCAGTTGGAGATTTCAAGCGCTTTGAGGCCTACGGTAGAAAAGGAAACATCTTCTTCTAAAATCTAGACAGAATCATTCACAGAAACTTCTTTTTGATGTGTGTGTTCAGCTCACAGAGTTTAACCTTTCTTTTGATGGAGCAGTTTGGAAACACTCTGTTTGTAATGTCTGCAAGTGGATATTTGTACCTCTTTGAGGTCTTCGTTCGAAACGGGATTTCTTCATGTAATGTTCGACAGAAGAATTCTCAGTAACTTATTTGTGGTGTGTGTATTCACCTCACAGAGTTGAACCTTCCTTTAGACAGAGCAGATTTGAAACAACCTATTTGTGCAGTTTCCAGTTGGAGATTTCAATCGCTTTGAGACCAAATGTAGAAAAGGAAACATCTTAGTATAAAAACTAGACAGAATCATTCTCAGAAACTACTTTGTGATGTGTGCGTTCAACTCAAGGAGTTTAAGCTTTCTTTTCATAGAGTAGTTTGGAAACACTCTGTCTGTAAAGTCTGCAAGCAGATATTTGGACCTCTTTGAGGCCTTCGTTGGAAACGGGATTTCTTCATAGAACGCTAGAAAGAAGAATACTGAGTAAGTTCTTTGTGTTGCCTCTATTCAACTCACAGAGGTGAACTGTCCTTTAGACAGAGCAGATGTGAAACCCTCTTTTTGTGATATTTGCAGGTGGAGATTTCAAGCGCTTTTAGGCCAAATGTAGAAAAGGAAATATCTTCGTATGAAAACTAGACAGAATCGTTCTCAGAAACTACTTTGTGATGTGTGCGTTCAATTCACAGAGTATAACCTTTCTTTTGATGGAGGAGTTTGGAGACACTGTCTTTGTAAAGTCTGCAAGTGGATATTTGGACCTCTTTGAGGCCTTCGTTGGAAACGGGATTTCCTCATATAATGTTACACAGAAGAATTCTCAGTAACTTATTTGTGGTGTGTGTATTCAACTCACAGAGTTGAACCTTCCTTCAGAAAGAGCAGATTTGAAACACTCTTTTTGTGGAGTTTCCATGTGGAGATTTCAATCGCTTTGAGACCAAAGGTAGAAAAGGAAACATCGTCGTATAAAAACTAGACAGAATCATTCACAGAAACTACTTTGTGATGTGTGTGTTCAACTCAAGGAGTTTAACCTTTCTTTTGATGGAGCAGTTTGGAAACACTCTGTCTGTAAAGTCTGCAAGCAGATATTTGGACCTCTTTGAGGCCTTCGTTGGAAACGGGATTTCTTCATATAATGTTTGATAGGAGAAGTCTCAGTAACTTCTTTGTGCTGTGTGTATTCAACTCATAGAGTTGAACTTTCCTTTAGAAGAGCAGATGTTAAACACCCTTTTTGTGGAATTTGCAGCTGGAGATTTCAAGCGCTTTGAGGCCTACGGTAGAAAAGGAAACATCTTCTTATAAAATCTAGACAGAATCATTCACAGAAACTTCTTTTTGATGTGTGTGTTCAGCTCACAGAGTTTAACCTTTCTTTTGATGGAGCAGTTTGGAAACACTCTGTTTGTAACGTCTGCAAGTGGATATTTGGACCTCTTTGAGGCCTTCGTTGGAAACGGGATTTCTTCAAGTAATGTTCGACAGAAGAATTCTCAGTAACTTATTTGTGGTGTGTGTATTCAACTCACAGAGTTGAACCTTCCTTTAGACAGAGCAGATTTGAAACAGCCTATTTGTGCAGTTTCCAGTTGGAGATTTCAAGAGCTTTGAGACCAAATGTAGAAAAGGAAACATCCTTCGTATAAAAACTAGACAGAATCATTCTCAGAAACTACTTTGTGATGTGTGCGTTCAACTCAAGGAGTTTAAGCTTTCTTTTCATAGAGTAGTTTGGAAACACTCTGTCTGTAAAGTCTGCAAGCAGATATTTGGACCTCTTTGGGGCCTTCGTTGGAAACGGGATTTCTTCATAGAACGCTAGAAAGAAGAATACTGAGTAAGTTCTTTGTGTTGCTTCTATTCAACTCACAGAGGTGAACTGTCCTTTAGACAGAGCAGATGTGAAACCCTCTTTTTGTGATATTTGCAGGTGGAGATTTCAAGCGCTTTTAGGCCAAATGTAGAAAAGGAAATATCTTCGTATAAAAACTAGACAGAATCATTCTCAGAAACTACTTTGTGATGTGTGCGTTCAATTCACAGAGTATAACCTTTCTTTTGATGGAGGAGTTTGGAGAGACTGTCTTTGTAAGTCTGCAAGTGGATATTTGGACCTCTTTGAGGCCTTCGTTGGAAACGGGATTTCCTCATATAATGTTACACAGAAGAATTCTCAGTAACTTATTTGTGGTGTGTGTATTCAACTCACAGAGTTGAACCTTCCTTCAGAAAGAGCAGATTTGAAACACTCTTTTTGTGGAGTTTCCATGTGGAGATTTCAATCGCATTGAGAACAAAGGTAGAAAAGGAAACATCTTCGTATAAAAACTAGACAGAATCATTCACTGAAACTACTTTGTGATGTGTGTGTTCAAGTCACAGACTTTAACCTTTCTTTGGATGGAGCAGTTTGGAAACACTCTGTTTGTCACGTCTGCAAGTGGATATTTGGACCTCCTTTGAGGCCTTCGTTGGAAACGGGATTTCTTCATATAATGTTTGATAGGAGAAGTCTCAGTAACTTCTTTGGGCTGTGTGTATTCAACTCATTGAGTTGAACTTTCCTTTAGAAGAGCAGATGTTAAACACCCATTTTGTGGAATTTGCAGCTGGAGATTTCAAGCACTTTGAGGCCTACGGTAGAAAAGGAAACATCTTCTTATAAAATCTAGACAGAATCATTCACAGAAACTTCTTTTTGATGTGTGTGTTCAGCTCACAGAGTTTAACCTTTCTTTTGATGGAGCAGTTTGGAAACACTCTGTTTGTAATGTCTGCAAGTGGATATTTGGACCTCTTTGAGGCCTTCGTTGGAAACGGGATTTCTTCAAGTAATGTTCGACAGAAGAATTCTCAGTAACTTATTTGTGGTGTGTGTATTCAACTCACAGAGTTGAACCTTCCTTTAGACAGAGCAGATTTGAAACACCCTATTTGTGCAGTTTCCAGTTGGAGATTTCAATCGCTTTGAGACCAAATGTAGAAAAGGAAACATCTTCGTATAAAAACTAGACAGAATCATTCTCCGAAACTACTTTGTGATGTGTGCGTTCAACTCAAGGAGTTTAAGCTTTCTTCTCATAGAGTAGTTTGGAAACACTCTGTCTGTAAAGTCTGCAAGCAGATATTTGGACCTCTTTGGGGCCTTCGTTGGAAACGGGATTTCTTCATAGAACGCTAGAAAGAAGAATACTGAGTAAGTTCTTTGTGTTGCCTCTATTCAACTCACAGAGGTGAACTGTCCTTTAGACAGAGCAGATGTGAAACCCTCTTTTTGTGATATTTGCAGGTGGAGATTTCAAGCACTTTTAGGCCAAATGTAGAAAAGGAAATATCTTCGTATAAAAACTAGACAGAATCATTCTCAGAAACTACTTTGTGATGTGTGCGTTCAATTCACAGAGTATAACCTTTCTTTTGATGGAGGAGTTTGGAGACACTGTCTTTGTAAAGTCTGCAAGTGGATATTTGGACCTCTTTGAGGCCTTCGTTGGAAACGGGATTTCCTCATATAATGTTACCCAGAAGAATTCTCAGTAACTTATTTGTGGTGTGTGTATTCAACTCACAGATTTGAACCTTCCTTCAGAAAGAGCAGATTTGAAACACTCTTTTTGTGGAGTTTCCATGTGGAGATTTCAATCACTTTGAGACCAAAGGTAGAAAAGGAAACATCTTCGTATAAAAACTAGACAGATCATTCACAGAAACTACTTTGTGATGTGTGTGTTCAACTCAAGGAGTTTAACCTTTCTTTTGATGGAGCAGTTTGGAAACACTCTGTCTGTAAAGTCTGCAAGCAGATATTTGGACCTCTTTGAGGCCTTCGTTGGAAACGGGATTTCTTCATATAATGTTTGATAGGAGAAGTCTCAGTAACTTCTTTGTGCTGTGTGTATTCAACTCATAGAGTTGAACTTTCCTTTAGAAGAGCAGATGTTAAACACCCTTTTTGTGGAATTTGCAGCTGGAGATTTCAAGCGCTTTGAGGCCTACGGTAGAAAAGGAAACATCTTCTTATAAAATCTAGACAGAATCATTCACAGAAACTTCTTTTTGATGTGTGTGTTCAGCTCACAGAGTTTAACCTTTCTTTTGATGGAGCAGTTTGGAAACACTCTGTTTGTAATGTCTGCAAGTGGATATTTGGACCTCTTTGAGGTCTTCGTTGGAAACGGGATTTCTTCAAGTAATGTTCGAAAGAAGAATTCTCAGTAACTTATTTGTGGTGTGTGTATTCAACTCAAAGAGTTGAACCTTCCTTTAGACAGAGCAGATTTGAAACACCCTATTTGTGCAGTTTCCAGTTGGAGATTTCAATCGCTTTGAGACCAAATGTAGAAAAGGAAACATCTTCGTATAAAAACTAGACAGAATCATTCTCAGAAACTACTTTGTGATGTGTGCGTTCAACTCAAGGAGTTTAAGCTTTCTTTTCATAGAGTAGTTTGGAAACACTCTGTCTGTAAAGTGTGCAAGCAGATATTTGGACCTCTTTGAGGCCTTCGTTGGAAACGGGATTTCTTCATAGAACGCTAGAAAGAAG
Organism: Homo sapiens; assembly: GCF_000001405.40. Classification (NCBI taxonomy): domain Eukaryota; kingdom Metazoa; phylum Chordata; class Mammalia; order Primates; family Hominidae; genus Homo; species Homo sapiens. The sequence continues at coordinate 35,594,139 of NC_000012.12, forward strand.
AATACTGAGTAAGTTCTTTGTGTTGCCTCTATTCAACTCACAGAGGTGAACTGTCCTTTAGACAGAGCAGATGTGAAACCCTCTTTTTGTGATATTTGCAGGTGGAGATTTCAAGCGCTTTTAGGCCAAATGTAGAAAAGGAAATATCTTCGTATGAAAACTAGACAGAATCGTTCTCAGAAACTACTTTGTGATGTGTGCGTTCAATTCACAGAGTATAACCTTTCTTTTGATGGAGGAGTTTGGAGACACTGTCTTTGTAAAGTCTGCAAGTGGATATTTGGACCTCTTTGAGGCCTTCGTTGGAAACGGGATTTCCTCATATAATGTTACACAGAAGAATTCTCAGTAACTTATTTGTGGTGTGTGTATTCAACTCACAGAGTTGAACCTTCCTTCAGAAAGAGCAGATTTGAAACACTCTTTTTGTGGAGTTTCCATGTGGAGATTTCAATCGCTTTGAGACCAAAGGTAGAAAAGGAAACATCTTCGTATAAAAACTAGACAGAATCATTCACAGAAACTACTTTGTGATGTGTGTGTTCAACTCAAGGAGTTTAACCTTTCTTTTGATGGAGCAGTTTGGAAACACTCTGTCTGTAAAGTCTGCAAGTAGATATTTGGACCTCTTTGAGGCCTTCGTTGGAAACGGGATTTCTTCATATAATGTTTGATAGGAGAAGTCTCAGTAACTTCTTTGTGCTGTGTGTATTCAACGCATAGAGTTGAACTTTCCTTTAGAAGAGCAGATGTTAAACACCCTTTTTGTGGAATTTGCAGCTGGAGATTTCAAGCGCTTTGAGGCCTACGGTAGAAAAGCAAACATCTTCTTATAAAATCTAGACAGAATCATTCACAGAAACTTCTTTTTGATGTGTGTGTTCAGCTCACAGAGTTTAACCTTTCTTTTGATGGAGCAGTTTGGAAACACTCTGTTTGTAATGTCTGCAAGTGGATATTTGGACCTCTTTGAGGCCTTCTTTGGAAACGGGATTTCTTCAAGTAATGTTCGACAGAAGAATTCTCAGTAACTTATTTGTGGTGTGTGTATTCAACTCACAGAGTTGAACCTTCCTTTAGAGAGAGCAGATTTGAAACACCCTATTTGTGCAGTTTCCAGTTAGAGATTTCAATCGCTTTGAAACCAAATGTAGAAAAGGAAACATCTTCGTATAAAAACTAGACAGAATCATTCTCAGAAACTTCTTTGTGATGTGTGCGTTCAACTCAAGGAGTTTAAGCTTTCTTTTCATAGAGTAGTTTGGAAACACTCTGTCTGTAAAGTCTGCAAGCAGATATTTGGACCTCTTTGAGGCCTTCGTTGGAAACGGGATTTCTTCATAGAACGCTAGAAAGAAGAATACTGAGTAAGTTCTTTGTGTTGCCTCTATTCAACTCACAGAGGTGAACAGTCCATTAGACAGAGCAGGTGTGAAACCCTCTTTTTGTGATATTTGCAGGTGGAGATTTCAAGCGCTTTTAGGCCAAATGTAGAAAAGGAAATATCTTCGTATAAAAACTAGACAGAATCATTCTCAGAAACTACTTTGTGATGTGTGCGTTCAATTCACAGAGTATAACCTTTCTTTTGATGGAGGAGTTTGGAGACACTGTCTTTGTAAAGTCTGCAAGTGGATATTTGGACCTCTTTGAGGCCTTCGTTGGAAACGGGATTTCCTCATATAATGTTACACAGAAGAATTCTCAGTAACTTATTTGTGGTGTGTGTATTCAACTCACAGAGTTGAACCTTCCTTCAGAAAGAGCAGATTTGAAACACTCTTTTTGTGGAGTTTCCATGTGGAGATTTCAATCGCTTTGAGACCAAAGGTAGAAAAGGAAACATCTTCGTATAAAAACTAGACAGAATCATTCACAGAAACTACTTTGTGATGTGTGTGTTCAACTCAAGGAGTTTAACCTTTCTTTTGATGGAGCAGTTTGGAAAAACTCTGTCTGTAAAGTCTGCAAGCACATATTTGGACCTCTTTGGGGCCTTCGTTGGAAACGGGATTTCTTCATAGAATGCTAGAAAGAAGAATACTGAGTAAGTTCTTTGTGTTGCCTCTATTCAACTCACAGAGGTGAACTGTCCTTTAGACAGAGCAGATGTGAAACCCTCTTTTGGTGATATTTGCAGGTGGAGATTTCAAGCGCTTTTAGGCCAAATGTAGAAAAGGAAATATCTTCGTATAAAAACTAGACAGAATCATTCTCAGAAACTACTTTGTGATGTGTGCGTTCAATTCACAGAGTATAACCTTTCTTTTGATGGAGGAGTTTGGAGACACTGTCTTTGTAAAGTCTGCAAGTGGATATTTGGACCTCTTTGAGGCCTTCGTTGGAAATGGGATTTCCTCATATAATGTTACACAGAAGAATTCTCAGTAACTTATTTGTGGTGTGTGTATTCAACTCACAGAGTTGAACCTTCCTTCAGAAAGAGCAGATTTGAAACACTCTTTTTGTGGAGTTTCCATGTGGAGATTTCAATCGCTTTGAGACCAAAGGTAGAAAAGGAAACATCTTCGTATAAAAACTAGACAGAATCATTCACAGAAACTACTTTGTGATGTGTGTGTTCAACTCAAGGAGTTTAACCTTTCTTTTGATGGAGCAGTTTGGAAATACTCTGTCTGTAAAGTCTGCAAGCAGATATTTGGACCTCTTTGAGGCCTTCGTTGGAAACGGGATTTCTTCATATAATGTTTGATAGGAGAAGTCTCAGTAACTTCTTTGTGCTGTGTGTATTCAACTCATAGAGTTGAACTTTCCTTTAGAAGAGCAGATGTTAAACACCCTTTTTGTGGAATTTGCAGCTGGAGATTTCAAGCGCTTTGAGGCCTACGGTAGAAAAGGAAACATCTTCTTATAAAATCTAGACAGAATCATTCACAGAAACTGCTTTTTGATGTGTGTGTTCAGCTCACAGAGTTTAACCTTTCTTTTGATGGAGCAGTTTGGAAACACTCTGTTTGTAATGTCTGCAAGTGGATATTTGGACCTCTTTGAGGCCTTCGTTGGAAACGGGATTTCTTCAAGTAATGTTCGACAGAAGAATTCTCAGTAACTTCTTTGTGGTGTGTGTATTCAACTCACAGAGTTGAACCTTCCTTTAGACAGAGCAGATTTGAAACAGCCTATTTGTGCAGTTTCCAGTTGGAGATTTCAATCGCTTTGAGACCAAATGTAGAAAAGGAAACATCTTCGTATAAAAACTAGACAGAATCATTCTCAGAAACTACTTTGTGATGTGTGCGTTCAACTCAAGGAGTTTAAGCTTTCTTTTCATAGAGTAGTTTGGAAACACTCTGTCTGTAAAGTCTGCAAGCAGATATTTGGACCTCTTTGGGGCCTTCGTTGGAAACGGGATTTCTTCATAGAACGCTAGAAAGAAGAATACTGAGTAAGTTCTTTGTGTTGCCTCTATTCAACTCACAGAGGTGAACTGTCCTTTAGACAGAGCAGATGTGAAACCCTCTTTTTGTGATATTTGCAGGTGGAGATTTCAAGCGCTTTTAGGCCAAATGTAGAAAAGGAAATATCTTCGTATAAAAACTAGACAGAATCATTCTCAGAAACTACTTTGTGATGTGTGCGTTCAATTCACAGAGTATAACCTTTCTTTTGATGGAGGAGTTTGGAGACACTGTCTTTGTAAAGTCTGCAAGTGGATATTTGGACCTCTTTGAGGCCTTTGTTGGAAACGGGATTTCCTCATATAATGTTACACAGAAGAATTCTCAGTAACTTATTTGTGGTGTGTGTATTCAACTCACAGAGATGAACCTTCCTTCAGAAAGAGCAGATTTGAAACACTCTTTTTGTGGAGTTTCCATGTGGAGATTTCAATCGCTTTGAGACCAAAGGTAGAAAAGGAAACATCTTCGTATAAAAACTAGACAGAATCATTCACAGAAACTACTTTGTGATGTGTGTGTTCAACTCAAGGAGTTTAACCTTTCTTTTGATGGAGCAGTTTGGAAACACTCTGTCTGTAAAGTCTGCAGGCAGATATTTGGACCTCTTTGAGGCCTTCGTTGGAATCGGGATTTCTTCATATAATGTTAGACAGAAGAAGTCTCAGTAACTTCTTTGTGCTGTGTGTATTCAACTCATAGAGTTGAACTTTCCTTTAGAAGAGCAGATGTTAAACACCCTTTTTGTGGAATTTGCAGCTGGAGATTTCAGGCGCTTTGAGGCCTACGGTAGAAAAGGAAACATCTTATAAAATCTAGACAGAATCATTCACAGAAACTTCTTTTTGATGTGTGTGTTCAGCTCACAGAGTTTAACCTTTCTTTTGATGGAGCAGTTTGGAAACACTCTGTTTGTAATGTCTGCAAGTGGATATTTGGACCTCTTTGAGGCCTTCGTTGGAAACGGGATTTCTTCATGTAATGTTCGACAGAAGAATTCTCAGTAACTTATTTGTGGTGTGTGTATTCAACTCACAGAGTTGAACCTTCCTTTAGACAGAGCAGATTTGAAACACCCTATTTGTGCAGTTTCCAGTTGGAGATTTCAATCGCTTTGAGACCAAATGTAGAAAAGGAAACATCTTCGTATAAAAACTAGACAGAATCATTCTCAGAAACTACTTTGTGATGTGTGCGTTCAACTCAAGGAGTTTAAGCTTTCTTTTCATAGAGTAGTTTGGAAACACTCTGTCTGTAAAGTCTGCAAGCAGATATTTGACCTCTTTGAGGCCTTCGTTGGAAACGGGATTTCTTCATAGAACGCTAGAAAGAAGAATACTGAGTAAGTTCTTTGTGTTGCCTCTATTCAACTCACAGAGGTGAACTGTCCTTTAGACAGAGCAGATGTGAAACCCTCTTTTTGTGATATTTGCAGGTGGAGATTTCAAGCGCTTTTAGGCCAAATGTAGAAAAGGAAATATCTTCGTATAAAAACTAGACAGAATCATTCTCAGAAACTACTTTGTGATGTGTGCGTTCAATTCACAGAGTATAACCTTTCTTTTGATGGAGGAGTTTGGAGACACTGTCTTTGTAAAGTCTGCAAATGGATATTTGGACCTCTTTGAGGCCTTCGTTGGAAACGGGATTTCCTCATATAATGTGACACAGAAGAATTCTCAGTAACTTATTTGTGGTGTGTGTATTCAACTCACAGAGTTGAACCTTCCTTCAGAAAGAGCAGATTTGAAACACTCTTTTTGTGGAGTTTCCATGTGGAGATTTCAATCGCATTGAGACCAAATGTAGAAAAGGAAACATCTTCGTATAAAAACTAGACAGAATCATTCACAGAAACTACTTTGTGATGTGTGTGTTCAACTCAAGGAGTTTAACCTTTCTTTTGATGGAGCAGTTTGGAAACACTCTGTCTGTAAAGTCTGCAAGCAGATATTTGGACCTCTTTGAGGCCTTCGTTGGAAACGGGATTTCTTCATATAATGTTTGATAGGAGAAGTCTCAGTAACTTCTTTGTGCTGTGTGTATTCAACTCATAGAGTTGAACTTTCCTTTAGAAGAGCAGATGTTAAACACCCTTTTTGTGGAATTTGCAGCTGGAGATTTCAAGCGCTTTGAGGCCTACGGTAGAAAAGGAAACATCTTCTTATAAAATCTAGACAGAATCATTCACAGAAACTTCTTTTTGATGTGTGTGTTCAGCTCACAGAGTTTAACCTTTCTTTTGATGGAGCAGTTTGGAAACACTCTGTTTGTAATGTCTGCAAGTGGATATTTGGACCTCTTTGAGGCCTTCGTTGGAAACGGGATTTCTTCATGTAATGTTCGACAGAAGAATTCTCAGTAACTTATTTGTGGTGTGTGTATTCAACTCACAGAGTTGAACCTTCCTTTAGACACAGCAGATTTGAAACACCCTATTTGTGCAGTTTCCAGTTGGAGATTTCAATCGCTTTGAGACCAAATGTAGAAAAGGAAACATCTTCGTATAAAAACTAGACAGAATCATTCTCAGAAACTACTTTGTGATGTGTGCGGTTCAACTCTAGGAGTTTAAGCTTTCTTTTCATAGAGTACTTTGGAAACACTCTGTCTGTGAAGTCTGCAAGCAGATATTTGGACCTCTTTGAGGCCTTCGTTGGAAACGGGATTTCTTCATAGAGCGCTAGAAAGAAGAATACTGAGTAAGTTCTTTGTGTTGCCTCTATTCAACTCACAGAGGTGAACTGTCCTTTAGACAGAGCAGGTGTGAAACCCTCTTTTTGTGATATTTGCACGTGGAGATTTCAAGCGCTTTTAGGCCAAATGTAGAAAAGGAAATATCTTCGTATAAAAACTAGACAGAATCATTCTCAGAAACTACTTTGTGATGTGTGCGTTCAATTCACAGAGTATAACCTTTCTTTTGATGGAGGAGTTTGGAGACACTGTCTTTGTAAAGTCTGCAAGCAGATATTTGGACCTCTTTGAGGCCTTCGTTGGAAACGGGATTTCTTCATATAATGTTTGATAGGAGAAGTCTCAGTAACTTTTTTGTGCTGTGTGTATTCAACGCATAGAGTTGAACTTTCCTTTAGAAGAGCAGATGTTAAACACCCTTTTTGTGGAATTTGCAGCTGGAGATTTCAAGCGCTTTGAGGCCTACGGTAGAAAAGGAAACATCTTCTTATAAAATCTAGACAGAATCATTCACAGAAACTACTTTGTGATGTGTGTGTTCAGCTCACAGAGTTTAACCTTTCTTTTGATGGTGCAGTTTGGAAACACTCCGTTTGACAAGTCTGCAAGTGGATATTTGGACCTCTTTGAGGCCTTCGTTGGAAACGGGATTTCTTCATATAATGTTAGACAGAAGAAGTCTCAGTAACTTCTTTGTGCTGTGTGTATTCAACTCACAGAGCTGAACTTTACTTTAGACAGAGCGGATGTTAAACACACTTTTTGTGGAATTTGCAGCTGGAGATTTCTAGCGCTTTGAGGCCTATGGTAGAAAAGGAAACATCTTCTTATAAAATCTAGACAGAATCATTCACAGAAACTTCTTTTTGATGTGTGTGTTCAGCTCACAGAGTTTAACCTTTCTTTTGATGGAGCAGTTTGGAAACACTCTGTTTGTAATGTCTGCAAGTGGATATTTGGACCTCTTTGAGGCCTTCGTTGGAAACGGGATTTCTTCAAGTAATGTTCGACAGAAGAATTCTCAGTAACTTATTTGTGGTGTGTGTATTCAACTCACAGAGTTGAACCTTCCTTTAGACAGAGCAGATTTGAAACACCCTATTTGTGCACTTTCCAGTTGGAGATTTCAATCGCTTTGAGACCAAATGTAGAAAAGGAAACATCTTCGTATAAAAACTAGACAGAATCATTCTCAGAAACTACTTTGTGATGTGTGCGTTCAACTCAAGGAGTTTAAGCTTTCTTTTCATAGAGTAGTTTGGAAACACTCTGTCTGTAAAGTCTGCAAGCAGATATTTGGACCTCATTGGGGCCTTCGTTGGAAACGGGATTTCTTCATAGAACGCTAGAAAGAAGAATACTGACTAAGTTCTTTGTGTTGCCTCTATTCAACTCACAGAGGTGAACTGTCCTTTAGACAGAGCAGATGTGAAACCCTCTTCTTGTGATATTTGCAGGTGGAGATTTCAAGCGCTTTTAGGCCAAATGTAGAAAAGGAAATATCTTCGTATAAAAACTAGACAGAATCATTCTCAGAAACTACTTTGTGATGTGTGCGTTCAATTCACAGAGTATAACCTTTCTTTTGATGGAGGAGTTTGGAGACACTGTCTTTGTAAAGTCTGCAAGTGGATATTTGGACCTCTTTGAGGCCTTCGTTGGAAACGGGATTTCCTCATATAATGTTACACAGAAGAATTCTCAGTAACTTATTTGTGGTGTGTGTATTCAACTCACAGAGATGAACCTTCCTTCAGAAAGAGCAGATTTGAAACACTCTTTTTGTGGAGTTTCCATGTGGAGATTTCAATCGCTTTGAGACCAAAGGTAGAAAAGGAAACATCTTCGTATAAAAACTAGACAGAATCATTCACAGAAACTACTTTGTGATGTGTGTGTTCAACTCAAGGAGTTTAACCTTTCTTTTGATGGAGCAGTTTGGAAACACTCTGTCTGTAAAGTCTGCAAGCAGATATTTGGACCTCTTTGAGGCCTTCGTTGGAAACGGGATTTCTTCATATAATGTTTGATAGGAGAAGTCTCAGTAACTTCTTTGTGCTGTGTGTATTCAACTCATAGAGTTGAACTTTCCTTTAGAAGAGCAGATGTTAAACACCCTTTTTGTGGAATTTGCAGCTGGAGATTTCAAGCGCTTTGAGGCCTACGGTAGAAAAGGAAATATCTTCTTATAAAATCTAGACAGAATCATTCACAGAAACTTCTTTTTGATGTGTGTGTTCAGCTCACAGAGTTTAACCTTTCTTTTGATGGAGCAGGTTGGAAACAATCTGTTTGTAATGTCTGCAAGTGGATATTTGGACCTCTTTGAGGCCTTCGTTGGAAACGGGATTTCTTCAAGTAATGTTCGACAGAAGAATTCTCAGTAACTTATTTGTGGTGTGTGTATTCAACTCACAGAGTTGAACCTTCCTTTAGACAGAGCAGATTTGAAACAGCCTATTTGTGCAGTTTCCAGTTGGAGATTTCAATCGCTTTGAGACCAAAGGTAGAAAAGGAAACATCTTCGTATAAAAACTAGACAGAATCATTCTCAGAAACTACTTTGTGATGTGTGCGTTCAACTCAAGGAGTTTAAGCTTTCTTTTCATAGAGTAGTTTGGAAACACTCTGTCTGTAAAGTCTGCAAGCAGATATTTGGACCTCTTTGGGGCCTTCGTTGGAAACGGGATTTCTTCATAGAACGCTAGAAAGAAGAATACTGAGTAAGTTCTTTGTGTTGCCTCTATTCAACTCACAGAGGTGAACTGTCCTTTAGACAGAGCAGATGTGAAACCCTCTTTTTGTGATATTTGCAGGTGGAGATTTCAAGCGCTTTTAGGCCAAATGTAGAAAAGGAAATATCTTCGTATAAAAACTAGACAGAATCATTCTCAGAAACTACTTTGTGATGTGTGCGTTCAATTCACAGAGTATAACCTTTCTTTTGATGGAGGAGTTTGGAGACACTGTCTTTGTAAAGTCTGCAAGTGGATATTTGGACCTCTTTGAGGCCTTCGTTGGAAACGGGATTTCCTCATATAATGTTACACAGAAGAATTCTCAGTAACTTATTTGTGGTGTGTGTATTCAACTCACAGAGATGAACCTTCCTTCAGAAAGAGCAGATTTGAAACACTCTTTTTGTGGAGTTTCCATGTGGAGATTTCAATCGCTTTGAGACCAAAGGTAGAAAAGGAAACATCTTCGTATAACAACTAGACAGAATCATTCACAGAAACTACTTTGTGATGTGTGTGTTCAACTCAAGGAGTTTAACCTTTCTTTTGATGGAGCAGTTTGGAAACACTCTGTCTGTAAAGTCTGCAAGCAGATATTTGGACCTCTTTGAGGCCTTCGTTGGAAACGGGATTTCTTCATATAATGTTTGATAGGAGAAGTCTCAGTAACTTCTTTGTGCTGTGTGTATTCAACTCATAGAGTTGAACTTTCCTTTAGAAGAGCAGATGTTAAACACCCTTTTTGTGGAATTTGCAGCTGGAGATTTCAAGCGCTTTGAGGCCTACGGTAGAAAAGGAAACATCTTCTTATAAAATCTAGACAGAATCATTCACAGAAACTTCTTTTCGATGTGTGTGTTCAGCTCACAGAGTTTAACCTTTCTTTTGATGGAGCAGTTTGGAAACACTCTGTTTGTAATGTCTGCAAGTGGATATTTGGACCTCTTTGAGGCCTTCATTGGAAACGGGATTTCTTCAAGTAATGTTCGACAGAAGAATTCTCAGTAACTTATTTGTGGTGTGTGTATTCAACTCACAGAGTTGAACCTTCCTTTAGACAGAGCAGATTTGAAACACCCTATTTGTGCAGTTTCCAGTTGGAGATTTCAATCGCTTTGAGACCAAATGTAGAAAAGGAAACATCTTCGTATAAAAACTAGACAGAATCATTCTCAGAAACTACTTTGTGATGTGTGCGTTCAACTCAAGGAGTTTAAGCTTTCTTTTCATAGAGTACTTTGGAAACACTCTGTCTGTAAAGTCTGCAAGCAGATATTTGGACCTCATTGGGGTCTTCGTTGGAAACGGGATTTCTTCATAGAACGCTAGAAAGAAGAATACTGAGTAAGTTCTTTGTGTTGCTTCTATTCAACTCACAGAGTTGAACTGTCCTTTAGACAGAGCAGATGTGAAACCCTCTTTTTGTGATATTTGCAGGTGGAGATTTCAAGCGCTTTTAGGCCAAATGTAGAAAAGGAAATATCTTCGTATAAAAACTAGACAGAATCATTCTCAGAAACTACTTTGTGATGTGTGCGTTCAATTCACAGAGTATAACCTTTCTTTTGATGGAGGAGTTTGGAGACACTGTCTTTGTAAAGTCTGCATGTGGATATTGGGACCTCTTTGAGGCCTTCGTTGGAAATGGGATTTCCTCATATAATGTTACACAGAAGAATTCTCAGTAACTTATTTGTGGCGTGTGTATTCAACTCACAGAGTTGAACCTTCCTTCAGAAAGAGCAGATTTGAAACACTCTTTTTGTGGAGTTTCCATGTGGAGATTTCAATCGCTTTGAGACCAAAGGTAGAAAAGGAAACATCTTCGTATAAAAACTAGACAGAATCATTCACAGAAACTACTTTGTGATGTGTGTGTTCAACTCAAGGAGTTTAACCTTTCTTTTGATGGAGGAGTTTGGAAACACTCTGTCTGTAAAGTCTGCAAGCAGATATTTGGACCTCTTTGAGGCCTTCGTTGGAAACGGCATTTCTTCATATAATGTTTGATAGGAGAAGTCTCAGTAACTTCTTTGTGCTGTGTGTATTCAACTCATAGAGTTGAACTTTCCTTTAGAAGAGCAGATGTTAAACACCCTTTTTGTGGAATTTGCAGCTGGAGATTTCAAGCCCTTTGAGGCCTACGGTAGAAAAGGAAACATCTTCTTATAAAATCTAGACAGAATCATTCACAGAAACTTCTTTTTGATGTGTGTGTTCAGCTCACAGAGTTTAACCTTTCCTTTGATGGAGCAGTTTGGAAACACTCTGTTTGTAATGTCTGCAAGTGGATATTTGGACCTCTTTGAGGCCTTCGTTGGAAACGGGATTTCTTCATGTAATGTTCGACAGAAGAATTCTCAGTAACTTATTTGTGGTGTGTGTATTCAACTCACAGAGTTGAACCTTCCTTTAGACAGAGCAGATTTGAGACACCCTATTTGTTCAGTTTCCAGTTGGAGATTTCAATCGCTTTGAGGCCAATCGTAGAAACGGAAATATCTTCGTATAAAAACAAGACAGAATCATTCTCAGAAACTACTTTGTGATGTGTGCATTCAACTCAAGGAGTTTAAGCTTTCTTTTCATAGAGTAGTTTGGAAACACTCTGTCTGTAAATCTGCAAGCAGATATTTGGACCTCTTTGAGGCCTTCGTTGGAAACGGGATTTCTTCATAGAACGCTAGAAAGAAGAATACTGAGTAAGTTCTTTGTGTTGCCTCTATTCAACTCACAGACGTGAACTGTCCTTTAGACAGAGCAGATGTGAAACCCTCTTTTTGTGATATTTGCACGTGGAGATTTCAAGCGCTTTTAGGCCAAATGTAGAAAAGGAAATATCTTCGAATAAAAACTAGACAGAATCATTCTCAGAAACTACTTTGTGATGAGTGCGTTCAATTCACAGTGTATAATATTTCTTCTGATGGAGGAGTTTGGAGACACTGTCTTTGTAAAGTCTGCAAGCAGATATTTGGACCTCTTTGGGGCCATCGTTGGAAACGGGATTTCTTCATATAATGTTTGATAGGAGAAGTCTCAGTAACTTCTTTGTGCTGTGTGTATTCAACTCATAGAGTTGAACTTTCCTTTAGAAGAGCAGATGTTAAACACCCTTTTTGTGGAATTTGCAGCTGGAGATTTCAAGCGCTTTGAGGCCTATGGTAGAAAAGGAAACATCTTCTTATAAAATCTAGACAGAATCATTCACAGAAACTTCTTTTTGATGTGTGTGTTCAGCTCACAGAGTTTAACCTTTCTTTTGATGGAGCAGTTTGGAAACACTCTGTTTGTAATGTCTGCAAGTGGATATTTGGACCTCTTTGAGGCCTTCGTTGGAAACGGGATTTCTTCAAGTAATGTTCGACAGAAGAATTCTCAGTAACTTATTTGTGGTGTGTGTATTCAACTCACAGAGTTGAACCTTCCTTTAGACAGAGCAGATTTGAAACCCCCTATTTGTGCAGTTTCCAGTTGGAGATTTCAATCGCTTTGAGACCAAATGTAGAAAAGGAAACATCTTCGTATAAAAACTAGACAGAATCATTCTCAGAAACTACTTTGTGATGTGTGCGTTCAACTCAAGGAGTTTAAGCTTTCTTTTCATAGAGTAGTTTGGAAACACTCTGTCTGTAAAGTCTGCAAGCAGATATTTGGATCTCTTTGGGGCCTTCGTTGGAAACGGGATTTCTTCATAGAACGCTAGAAAGAAGAATACTGAGTAAGTTCTTTGTGTTGCCTCTATTCAACTCACAGAGGTGAACTGTCCTTTAGACAGAGCAGATGTGAAACCCTCTTTTTGTGATATTTGCAGGTGGAGATTTCAAGCGCTTTTAGGCCAAATGTAGAAAAGGAAATATCTTCGTATAAAAACTAGACAGAATCATTCTCAGAAACTACTTTGTGATGTGTGCGTTCAATTCACAAAGTATAACCTTTCTTTTGATGGAGGAGTTTGGAGACACTGTCTTTGTAAAGTCTGCAAGTGGATATTTGGACCTCTTTGAGGCCTTCGTTGGAAACGGGATTTCCTCATATAATTTTACACAGAAGAATTCCCAGTAACTTATTTGTGGTGCGTGTATTCAACTCACAGAGTTGAACCTTCCTTCAGAAACAGCAGATTTGAAACACTCTTTTTGTGGAGTTACCATGTGGAGATTTCAATCGCTTTGAGACCAAAGGTAGAAAAGGAAACATCTTCGTATAAAAACTAGACAGAATCATTCACAGAAACTACTTTGTGATGTGTGTGTTCAACTCAAGGAGTTTAACCTTTCTTTTGATGGAGCAGTTTGGAAAAACTCTGTCTTTAAAGTCTGCAAGCAGATATTTGGACCTCTTTGAGGCCTTCGTTGGAAACGGGATTTCTTCATATAATGTTTGATAGGAGAAGTCTCAGTAACTTCTTTGTGCTGTGTGTATTCAACTCATAGAGTTGAACTTTCCTTTAGAAGAGCAGATGTTAAACACCCTTTTTGTGGAATTTGCAGCTGGAGATTTCAAGCGCTTTGAGTCCTACGGTAGAAATGGAAACATCTTATAAAATCTTGACAGAATCATTCACAGAAACTTCTTTTTGATGTGTGTGTTCAGCTCACAGAGTTTAACCTTTCTTTTGATGGAGCAGTTTGGAAACACTCTGTTTGTAATATCTGCAAGTGAATATTTGGACATCTTTGAGGCCTTCGTTGGAAACGGGATTTCTTCAAGTAATGTTCGACACAAGAATTCTCAGTAACTTATTTGTGGTGTGTGTATTCAACTCACAGAGTTGAACCTTCCTTTAGACAGAGCAGATTTGAAACACCCTATTTGTGCAGTTTCCAGTTGGAGATTTCAATCGCTTTGAGACCAAATGTAGAAAAGGAAACATCTTCGTATAAAAACTAGACAGAATCATTCTCAGAAACTACTGTGTGATGTGTGCGTTCAACTCAAGGAGTTTAAGCTTTCTTTTCATAGAGTAGTTTGGAAACACTCTGTCTGTAAAGTCTGCAAGCAGATATTTGGACCTCTTTGGGGCCTTCGTTGGAAACGGGATTTCTTCATAGAACGCTAGAAAGAAGAATACTGAGTAAGTTCTTTGTGTTGCCTCTATTCAACTCACAGAGGTGAACTGTCCTTTAGACAGAGCAGATGTGAAACCCTCTTTTTGTGGTATTTGCAGGTGGAGATTTCAAGCGCTTTTAGGCCAAATGTAGAAAAGGAAATATCTTCGTATAAAAACTAGACAGAATCATTCTCAGAAACTACTTTGTGATGTGTGCGTTCAATTCACAGAGTATAACCTTTCTTTTGATGGAGGAGTTTGGAGACACTGTCTTTGTAAAGTCTGCAAGTGGATATTTGGACCTCTTTGAGGCCTTCGTTGGAAACGGGATTTCCTCATATAATGTTACCCAGAAGAATTCTCAGTAACTTATTTGTGGTGTGTGCATTCAACTCACAGAGATGAACCTTCCTTCAGAAAGAGCAGATTTGAAACACTCTTTTTGTGGAGTTTCCATGTGGAGATTTCAATCGCTTTGAGACCAAAGGTAGAAAAGGAAACATCTTCGTATAAAAACTAGACAGAATCATTCACAGAAACTACTTTGTGATGTGTGTGTTCAACTCAAGGAGTTTAACCTTTCTTTTGATGGAGCAGTTTGGAAACACTCTGTCTGTAAAGTCTGCAGGCAGATATTTGGACCTCTTTGAGGCCTTCGTTGGAAACGGGATTTCTTCAAGTAATGTTCGACAGAAGAAGTCTCAGTAACTTCTTTGTGCTGTGTGTATTCAACTCATAGAGTTGAACTTTCCTTTAGAAGAGCAGATGTTAAACACCCTTTTTGTGGAATTTGCAGCTGGAGATTTCAAGCGCTTTGAGGCCTACGGTAGAAAAGGAAACATCTTCTTATAAAATCTAGACAGAATCATTCACAGAAACTTCTTTTTGATGTGTGTGTTCAGCTCACAGAGTTTAACCTTTCTTTTGATGGAGCAGTTGGGAAACACACTGTTTGTAATGTCTGCAAGTGGATATTTGGACCTCTTTGAGGCCTTCGTTGGAAACGGGATTTCTTCCTGTAATGTTCGACAGAAGAATTCTCAGTAACTTATTTGTGGTGTGTGTATTCAACTCACAGAGTTGAACCTTCCTTTAGACAGAGCAGATTTGAAACACCCTATTTGTGCAGTTTCCAGTTGGAGATTTCAATCGCTTTGAGACCAAATGTAGAAAAGGAAACATCTTCGTATAAAAACTAGACAGAATCATTCTCAGAAACTACTTTGTGATGTGTGCGTTCAACTCAAGGAGTTTAAGCTTTCTTTTCATAGAGTAGTTTGGAAACACTCTGTCTGTAAAGTCTGCAAGCAGATATTTGGACCTCTTTGGGGCCTTCGTTGGAAACGGGATTTCTTCGTAGAACGCTAGAAAGAAGAATACTGAGTAAGTTCTTTGTGTTGCCTCTATTCAACTCACAGAGGTGAACTGTCCTTTAGACAGAGCAGATGTGAAACCCTCTTTTTGTGGTATTTGCAGGTGGAGATTTCAAGCGCTTTTCGGCCAAATGTAGAAAAGGAAATATCTTCGTATAAAAACTAGACAGAATCATTCTCAGAAACTACTTTGTGATGTGTGCGTTCAATTCACAGAGTATAACCTTTCTTTTGATGGAGGAGTTTGGAGACACTGTCTTTGTAAAGTCTGCAAGCAGATATTTGGACCTCTTTGAGGCCTTCGTTGGAAACGGGATTTCTTCATATAATGTTTGATAGGAGAAGTCTCAGTAACTTCTTTGGGCTGTGTGTATTCAACTCATTGAGTTGAAATTTCCTTTAGAATAGCAGATGTTAAACACCCTTTTTGTGGAATATGCAGCTGGAGATTTCAAGCGCTTTGAGGCCTACGGTAGAAAAGGAAACATCTTCTTATAAAATCTAGACAGAATCATTCACAGAAACTTCTTTTTGATGTGTGTGTTCAGCTCACAGAGTTTAACCTTTCTTTTGATGGAGCAGTTTGGAAACACTCTGTTTGTAATGTCTGCAAGTGGATATTTGGACCTCTTTGAGGCCTTCGTTGGAAACGGGATTTCTTCATGTAATGTTCGACAGAAGAATTCTCAGTAACTTATTTGTGGTGTGTGTATTCAACTCACAGAGTTGAACCTTCCTTTAGACAGAGCAGATTTGAAACACCCTATTTGTGCAGTTTCCAGTTGGAGATTTCAATCGCTTTGAGGCAAATCATAGAAACGGAAATATCTTCGTATAAAAACAAGACAGAATCATTCTCAGAAACTACTTTGTGATGTGTGCGTTCAACTCAAGGAGTTTAAGCTTTCTTTTCATAGAGTAGTTTGGAAACACTCTGTCTGTAAAGTCTGCAAGCAGATATTTGGACCTCTTTGAGGCCTTCGTTGGAAACGGGATTTCTTCATAGAACGCTAGAAAGAAGAATACTGAGTAAGTTCTTTGTGTTGCCTCTATTCAACTCACAGAGGTGAACTGTCCTTTAGACAGAGCAGATGTGAAACCCTCTTTTTGTGATATTTGCAGGTGGAGATTTCAAGCGCTTTTAGGCCAAATGTAGAAAAGGAAATATCTTCGTATAAAAACTAGACAGAATCATTCTCAGAAACTACTTTGTGATGTGTGCGTTCAATTCACAGAGTATAACCATTCTTTCGATGGAGGAGTTTGGAGACACTGTCTTTGTAAAGTCTGCAAGTGGATATTTGGACCTCTTTGAGGCCTTCGTTGGAAACGGGATTTCCTCATATAATGTTACACAGAAGAATTCTCAGTAACTTATTTGTGGTGTGTGTATTCAACTCACAGAGTTGAACCTTCCTTCAGAAAGAGCAGATTTGAAACACTCTTTTTGTGGAGTTTCCATGTGGAGATTTCAATCGCTTTGAGACCAAAGGTAGAAAAGGAAACATCTTCGTATAAAAACTAGACAGAATCATTCACAGAAACTACTTTGTGATGTGTGTGTTCAACTCAAGGAGTTTAACCTTTCTTTTGATGGAGCAGTTTGGAAACACTCTGTCTGTAAAGTCTGCAAGCAGATATTTGGACCTCTTTGAGGCCTTCGTTGGAAACGGGATTTCTTCATATAATGTTTGATAGGAGAAGTCTCAGTAACTTCTTTGTGCTGTGTGTATTCAACTCATAGAGTTGAACTTTCCTTTAGAAGAGCAGATGTTAAACACCCTTTTTGTGGAATTTGCAGCTGGAGATTTCAAGCGCTTTGAGGCCTACGGTAGAAAAGGAAACATCTTCTTATAAAATCTAGACAGAATCATTCACAGAAACTTCTCTTTGATGTGTGTGTTCAGCTCACAGAGTTTAACCTTTCTTTTGATGGAGCAGTTTGGAAACATTCTGTTTGTAACGTCTGAAAGTGGATATTTGGACCTCTTTGAGGCCTTCGTTGGAAACGGGATTTCTTCATGTAATGTACGACAGAAGAATTCTCAGTAACTTATTTGTGGTGTGTGTATTCAACTCACAGAGTTGAACCTTCCTTTAGACAGAGCAGATTTGAAACACCCTATTTGTGCAGTTTCCAGTTGGAGATTTCAATCGCTTTGAGACCAAATGTAGAAAAGGAAACATCTTCGTATAAAAACTAGACAGAATCATTCTCAGAAACTACTTTGTGATGTGTGCGTTCAACTCAAGGAGTTTAAGCTTTCTTTTCATAGAGTAGTTTGGAAACACTCTGTCTGTAAAGTCTGCAAGCAGATATTTGGACCTCTTTGGGGCCTTCGTTGGAAACGGGATTTCTTCATAGAACGCTAGAAAGAAGAATACTGAGTAAGTTCTTTGTGTTGCCTCTATTCAACTCACGGAGGTGAACTGTCCTTTAGACAGAGCAGATGTGAAACCCTCTTTTTGTGATATTTGCAGGTGGAGATTTCAAGCGCTTTTAGGCCAAATGTAGAAAAGGAAATATCTTCGTATAAAAACTAGACAGAATCATTCTCAGAAACTACTTTGTGATGTGTGCGTTCAATTCACAGAGTATAACCTTTCTTTTGATGGAGGAGTTTGGAGACACTGTCTTTGTAAAGTCTGCAAGTGGATATTTGGACCTCTTTGAGGCCTTCGTTGGAAACGGGATTTCCTCATATAATGTTACACAGAAGAATTCTCAGTAACTTATTTGTGGTGTGTGTATTCAACTCACAGAGATGAACCTTCCTTCAGAAAGAGCAGATTTGAAACACTCTTTTTGTGGAGTTTCCATGTGGAGATTTCAATCGCTTTGAGACCAAAGGTAGAAAAGGAAACATCTTCGTATAACAACTAGACAGAATCATTCACAGAAACTACTTTGTGATGTGTGTGTTCAACTCAAGGAGTTTAACCTTTCTTTTGATGGAGCAGTTTGGAAACACTCTGTCTGTAAAGTCTGCAAGCAGATATTTGGACCTCTTTGAGGCCTTCGTTGGAAACGGGATTTCTTCATATAATGTTTGATAGGAGAAGTCTCAGTAACTTCTTTGTGCTGTGTGTATTCAACTCATAGAGTTCAACTTTCCTTTAGAAGAGCAGATGTTAAACACCCTTTTTGTGGAATTTGCAGCTGGAGATTTCAAGCGCTTTGAGACCTATGGTAGAAAAGGAAACATCTTCTTATAAAATCTAGACAGAATCATTCACAGAAACTTCTTTTCGATGTGTGTGTTCAGCTCACAGAGTTTAACCTTTCTTTTGATGGAGCAGTTTGGAAACACTCTGTTTGTAATGTCTGCAAGTGGATATTTGGACCTCTTTGAGGCCTTCGTTGGAAACGGGATTTCTTCAAGTAATGTTCGACAGAAGAATTCTCAGTAACTTATTTGTGGTGTGTGTATTCAACTCACAGAGTTGAACCTTCCTTTAGACAGAGCAGATTTGAAACACCCTATTTGTGCAGTTTCCAGTTGGAGATTTCAATCGCTTTGAGACCAAATGTAGAAAAGGAAACATCTTCGTATAAAAACTAGACAGAATCATTCTCAGAAACTACTTTGTGATGTGTGCGTTCAACTCAAGGAGTTTAAGCTTTCTTTTCATAGAGTAGTTTGGAAACACTCTGTCTGTAAAGTCTGCAAGCAGATATTTGGACCTCTTTGGGGCCTTCGTTGGAAACGGGATTTCTTCATAGAACGCTAGAAAGAAGAATACTGAGTAAGTTCTTTGTGTTGCCTCTATTCAACTCACAGAGGTGAACTGTCCTTTAGACAGAGCAGATGTGAAACCCTCTTTTTGTGATATTTGCAGGTGGAGATTTCAAGCCCTTTTAGGCCAAATGTAGAAAAGGAAATATCTTCGTATAAAAACTAGACAGAATCATTCTCAGAAACTACTTTGTGATGTGTGCGTTCAATTCACAGAGTATAACCTTTCTTTTGATGGAGGAGTTTGGAGACACTGTCTTTGTAAAGTCTGCAAGTGGATATTTGGACCTCTTTGAGGCCTTCGTTGGAAACGGGATTTCCTCATATAATGTTACACAGAAGAATTCTCAGTAACTCATTTGTGGTGTGTGTATTCAACTCACAGAGTTGAACCTTCCTTCAGAAAGAGCAGATTTGAAACACTCTTTTTGTGGAGTTTCCATGTGGAGATTTCAATCGCTTTGAGACCAAAGGTAGAAAAGGAACCATCTTCGTATAAAAACTAGACAGAATCATTCACAGAAACTACTTTGTGATGTGTGTGTTCAACTCAAGGAGTTTAACCTTTCTTCTGATGGAGCAGTTTGGAAAAACTCTGTCTGTAAAGTCTGCAAGCAGATATTTGGACCTCTTTGAGGCCTTCGTTGGAAACGGGATTTCTTCATATAATGTTTGATAGGAGAAGTCTCAGTAACTTCTTTGTGCTGTGTGTATTCAACTCATAGAGTTGAACTTTCCTTTAGAAGAGCAGATGTTAAACACCCTTTTTGTGGAATTTGCAGCTGGAGATTTCAAGCGCTTTGAGGCCTACGGTAGAAAAGGAAACATCTTCTTATAAAATCTAGACAGAATCATTCACAGAAACTTCTTTTTGATGTGTGTGTTCAGCTCACAGAGTTTAACCTTTCTTTTGATGGAGCAGTTTGGAAACACTCTGTTTGTAATGTCTGCAAGTGGATATTTGGACCTCTTTGAGGCCTTCGTTGGAAACGGGATTTCTTCCTGTAATGTTCGACAGAAGAATTCTCAGTAACTTATTTGTGGTGTGTGTATTCAACTCACAGAGTTGAACCTTCCTTTAGACAGAGCAGATTTGAAACACCCTATTTGTGCAGTTTCCAGTTGGAGATTTCAATCGCTTTGAGACCAAATGTAGAAAAGGAAACATCTTCGTATAAAAACTAGACAGAATCATTCTCAGAAACTACTTTGTGATGTGTGCATTTAACTCAAGGAGTTTAAGCTTTCTTTTCATAGAGTAGTTTGGAAACACTCTGTCTGTAAAGTCTGCAAGCAGATATTTGGACCTCTTTGGGGCCTTCGTTGGAAACGGGATTTCTTCATAGAACGCTAGAAAGAAGAATACTGAGTAAGTTCTTTGTGTTGCCTCTATTCAACTCACAGAGGTGAACTGTCCTTTAGAGAGAGCAGATGTGAAACCCTCTTTTTGTGATATTTGCAGGTGGAGATTTCAAGCGCTTTTAGGCCAAATGTAGAAAAGGAAATATCTTCGTATAAAAACTAGACAGAATCATTCTCAGAAACTACTTTGTGATGTGTGCGTTCAATTCACAGAGTATAACCTTTCTTTGATGGCGGAGTTTGGAGACACTGTCTTTGTAAAGTCTGCAAGTGGATATTTGGACCTCTTTGAGGCCTTCGTTGGAAACGGGATTTCCTCATATAATGTTACACAGAAGAATTCTCAGTAACTTATTTGTGGTGTGTGTATTCAACTCACAGAGATGAACCTTCCTTCAGAAAGAGCAGATTTGAAACACTCTTTTTGTGGAGTTTCCATGTGGAGATTTCAATCGCTTTGAGACCAAAGGTAGAAGAGGAAACATCTTCGTATAACAACTAGACAGAATCATTCACAGAAACTACTTTGTGATGTGTGTGTTCAACTCAAGGAGTTTAACCTTTCTTTTGATGGAGCAGTTTGGAAACACTCTGTCTGTAAAGTCTGCAAGCAGATATTTGGACCTCTTTGAGGCCTTCGTTGGAAACGGGATTTCTTCATATAATGTTTGATAGCAGAAGTC
This sequence comes from Homo sapiens, assembly GCF_000001405.40. Lineage (NCBI taxonomy): Eukaryota > Metazoa > Chordata > Mammalia > Primates > Hominidae > Homo > Homo sapiens. The sequence continues at coordinate 35,615,201 of NC_000012.12, forward strand.
TCAGTAACTTCTTTGTGCTGTGTGTATTCAACTCATAGAGTTGAACTTTCCTTTAGAAGAGCAGATGTTAAACACCCTTTTTCTGGAATTTGTAGTTGGAGATTTCAAGCGCTTTGAGGACTACAGTAGAAAAGGAAACATCTTCTTATAAAATCTGGACAGAATAATTCACAGAAACTTCTTTTTGATGTGTGTGTTCAGCTCACCGAGTTTAACCTTTCTTTTGATGGAGCAGTTTGGAAACACTCTGTTTGTAATATCTGCAAGTGGATATTTGGACCTCTTTGTGGCCTTCGTTGGAAACGGGATTTCTTCAAGTAATGTTCGACAGAAGAATTCTCAGTAACTTATTTGTGGTGTGTGTATTCAACTCACAGAGTTGAACCTTCCTTTAGACAGAGCAGATTTGAAACACCCTATTTGTGCAGTATCCAGTTGGAGATTTCAATCGCTTTGAGACCAAATGTAGAAAAGGAAACATCTTCGTATAAAAACTAGACAGAATCATTCTCAGAAACTAATTTGTGATGTGTGCGTTCAACTCAAGGAGTTTAAGCTTTCTTTTCATAGAGTAGTTTGGAAACATTCTGTCTGTAAAGTCTGCAGGCAGATATTTGGACCTCTTTGGGGCCTTCGTTGGAAACGGGATTTCTTCATAGAACGCCAGAAAGAAGAATACTCAGTAACTTCTTTGTGCTGCCTCTATTCAACTCACAGAGGTGAACTGTCCTTTAGACAGAGCAGATGTGAAATCCTGTTTTTGTGATATTTGCAGGTGGAGATTTCAAGCGCTTTTAGGCCAAATGTAGAAAAGGAAATATCTTCGTATAAAAACTAGACAGAAATCATTCTCAGCAAACTACTTTGTGATGTGTGCGTTCAATTCACAGAGGATAAGCTTTCTTTTGATGGAGGAGTTTGGAGACACTGTCTTTGTAAAGACTGCAAGTGGATATTTGGACCTCTTTGAGGCCTTCGTTGGAAACGGGATTTCCTCCTATAATGTTACACAGAAGAATTCTCAGTAACTTATTTGTGGTGTGTGTATTCAACTCACAGAGTTGAACCTTCCTTCAGAAAGAACAGATTTGAAACACTCTTTTTGTGGAGTTTCCATGTGGAGATTTCAATGGCTTTGAGACCAAATGTAGAAAAGGAAACATCTTCGTATAAAAACTAGACAGAATCATTCACTGAAACTACTTTGTGATGTGTGTGTTCAAGTCACAGACTTTAACCTTTCTTTGGATGGAGCAGTTTGGAAACACTCTGTTTGTCACGTCTGCAAGTGAATATTTGGACCTCTTTGAGGCCTTCGTTGGAAACGGGATTTCTTCATATAATGTTTGATAGGAGAAGTCTCAGTAACTTCTTTGTGCTGTGTGTATTCAACTCATGGAGTTGAACTTTCCTTTAGAAGAGCAGATGTTAAACTCCCTTTTTGTGGAATTTGCAGCTGGAGATTTCAAGCGCTTTGAGGCCTACAGTAGAAAAGGAAACATCTTCTTCTAAAGTCTAGACAGAATCATTCACAGAAACTTCTTTTTGATGTGTGTGTTCAGCTCACAGAGTTTAACCTTTCTTTTGATGGAGCAGTTTGGAAACACTCTGTTTGTAATGTCTGCAAGTGGATATTTGGACCTCTTTGAGGCCTTCGTTGGAAACGGGATTTCTTCATGTAATGTTCGACAGAAGAATTCTCAGTAACTTATTTGTGGTGTGTGTATTCAACTCACAGAGTTGAACCTTCCTTTAGACAGAGCAGATTTGAAACACCCTATTTGTGCAGTTTCCAGTTGGAGATTTCAATCGCTTTGAGACCAAATGTAGAAAAGGAAACATCTTCGTATAAAAACTAGACAGAATCATTCTCAGAAACTACTTTGTGATGTGTGCGTTCAACTCAAGGAGTTTAAGCTTTCTTTTCATAGAGTAGTTTGGAAACACTCTGTCTGTAAAGTCTGCAAGCAGATATTTGGACCTCTTTGGGGCCTTCGTTGGAAACGGGATTTCTTCATAGAACGCTAGAAAGAAGAATACTGAGTAAGTTCTTTGTGTTGCCTCTATTCAACTCACAGAGGTGAACTGTCCTTTAGACAGAGCAGATGTGAAACCCTCTTTTTGTGATATTTGCAGGTGGAGATTTCAAGCGCTTTTAGGCCAAATGTAGAAAAGGAAATATCTTCGTATAAAAACTAGACAGATCATTCTCAGAAACTACTTTGTGATGTGTGCGTTCAATTCACAGAGTATAACCTTTCTTTTGATGGAAGAGTTTGGAGACACTGTCTTTGTAAAGTCTGCAAGTGGATATTTGGACCTCTTTGAGGCCTTCTTTGGAAACGGGATTTCCTCATATAATGTTACACAGAAGAATTCTCAGTAACTTATTTGTGGTGTGTATATTCAACTCACAGAGATGAACCTTCCTTCAGAAAGAGCAGATTTGAAACACTCTTTTTGTGGAGTTTCCATGTGGAGATTTCAATCGCTTTGAGACCAAAGGTAGAAAAGGAAACATCTTCGTATAACAACTAGACAGAATCATTCACAGAAACTACTTTGTGATGTGTGTGTTCAACTCAAGGAGTTTAACCTTTCTTTTGATGGAGCAGTTTGGAAACACTCTGTCTGTAAAGTCTGCAAGCAGATATTTGGACCTCTTTGAGGCCTTCGTTGGAAACGGGATTTCTTCATATAATGTTTGATAGGAGAAGTCTCAGTAACTTCTTTGTGCTGTGTGTATTCAACGCATAGAGTTGAACTTTCCTTTAGAAGAGCACATGTTAAACACCCTTTTTGTGGAATTTGCAGCTGGAGATTTCAAGCGCTTTGAGGCCTACGGTAGAAAAGGAAACATCTTCTTATAAAATCTAGACAGAATCATTCACAGAAACTTCTTTTTGATGTGTGTGTTCAGCTCACAGAGTTTAACCTTTCTTTTGATGGAGCAGTTTGGAAACACTCTGTTTGTAATGTCTGCAAGTGGATATTTGGACCTCTTTGAGGCCTTCGTTGGAAACGGGATTTCTTCAAGTAATGGTCGACAGAAGAATTCTCAGTAACTTATTTGTGGTGTGTGTATTCAACTCACAGAGTTGAACCTTCCTTTAGACAGAGCAGATTTGAAACACCCTATTTGTGCAGTTTCCAGTTGGAGATTTCAATCGCTTTGAGACCAAATGTAGAAAAGGAAACATCTTCGTATAAAAACTAGACAGAATCATTCTCAGAAACTACTTTGTGATGTGTGCGTTCAACTCAAGGAGTTTAAGCTTTCTTTTCATAGAGTAGTTTGGAAACACTCTGTCTGTAAAGTCTGCAAGCAGATATTTGGACCTCTTTAGGGCCTTCGTTGGAAACGGGATTTCTTCATAGAACGCTAGAAAGAAGAATACTGAGTAAGTTCTTTGTGTTGACTCTATTCAACTCACAGAGGTGAACTGTCCTTTAGACAGAGCAGATGTGAAACCCTCTTTTTGTGATATTTGCAGGTGGAGATTTCAAGCGCTTTTAGGCCAAATGTAGAAAAGGAAATATCTTCGTATAAAAACTAGACAGAATCATTCTCAGAAACTACTTTGTGATGTGTGCGTTCAATTCACAGAGTATAACCTTTCTTTTGATGGAGGAGTTTGGAGACACTGTCTTTGTAAAGTCTGCAAGTGGATATTTGGACCTCTTTGAGGCCTTCGTTGGAAACGGGATTTCCTCATATAATGTTACACAGAAGAATTCTCACTAACTTATTTGTGGTGTGTGTATTCAACTCACAGAGATGAACCTTCCTTCAGAAAGAGCAGATTTGAAACACTCTTTTTGTGGAGTTTCCATGTGGAGATTTCAATCGCTTTGAGACCAAAGGTAGAAAAGGAAACATCTTCGTATAACAACTAGACAGAATCATTCACAGAAACTACTTTGTGATGTGTGTGTTCAACTCAAGGAGTTTAACCTTTCTTTTGATGGAGCAGTTTGGAAACACTCTGTCTGTAAAGTCTGCAAGCAGATATTTGGACCTCTTTGAGGCCTTCGTTGGAAACGGGATTTCTTCATATAATGTTTGATAGGAGAAGTCTCAGTAACTTATTTGTGCTGTGTGTATTCAACTCACAGAGCTGAACTTTACTTTAGACAGAGCGGATTTTAAACACACTTTTTGTGGAGTTTGCAGCTGGAGATTTCTAGCGCTTTGAGGCCTATGGTAGAAAAGGAAACATCTTCTTATAAAATCTAGACAGAATCATTCACAGAAACTTCTTTTTGATGTGTGTGTTCATCTCACAGAGTTTAACCTTTCTTTTGTTGGAGCAGTTTGCAAACACTGTGTTTGCCATGTCGGCAAGTGGATATTTGGACCTCTTTGAGGCCTTCGTTGGAAACGGGATTTCCTCATATAATGTTACACAGAAGAATTCTCAGTAACTTATTTGTGGTGTGTGTATTCAACTCACAGAGTTGAACCTTCCTTTAGACAGAGCAGATTTGAAACACCCTATTTGTGCAGTTTCCAGTTGGAGATTTCAATCGCTTTGAGGCCAATCATAGAAACGGAAATATCTTTGTATAAAAACAAGACAGAATCATTCTCAGAAACTACTTTGTGATGTGTGCGTTCAACTCAAGGAGTTTAAACTTTCTTTTCATAGAGTAGTTTGGAAACACTCTGTCTGTAAAGTCTGCAAGCAGATATTTGCACCTCTTTGAGGCCTTCGTTTTAAACGGGATTTCAACATATAACGCTAGAAAGAAGAATGCTGAGTAAGTTCTTTGTGTTGCCTCTATTCAACTCACAGAGGTGAAATGTCCTTTAGACAGAGCAGATGTGAAACCCTCTTTTTGTGATATTTGCAGGTGGAGATTTCAAGCGCTTTTAGGCCAAATGTAGAAAAGGAAATATCTTCGTATAAAAACTAGACAGAATCATTCTCAGAAAATACTTTGTGATGTGTGCGTTCAATTCACCGAGTATAACCTTTCTTTTGATGGAGGAGTTTGGAGACACTGTCTTTGTAAAGTCTGCAAGTGGATATTTGGACCTCTTTGAGGCCTTCGTTCAAACGGGATTTCCTCATATATTGTTACACAGAAGAATTCTCAGTAACTTATTTGTGGTGTGTGTATTCAACTCACAGAGTTGAACCTTCCTTCAGAAAGAGCAGATTTGAAACACTCTTTTTGTGGAGTTTCCATGTGGAGATTTCAATCGCTTTGTGACCAAAGGTAGAAAAGGAAACATCTTCGTATAAAAACTAGACAGAATCATTCACAGAAACTACTTTGTGATGTGTGTGTTCAACTCAAGGAGTTTAACCTTTCTTTTGATGGAGCAGTTTGGAAACACTCTGTCTGTAAAGTCTGCAAGCAGATATTTGGACCTCTTTGAGGCCTTCGTTGGAAACGGGATTTCTTCATATAATGTTTGATAGGAGAAGTCTCAGTAACTTCTTTGTGCTGTGTGTATTCAACCCATAGAGTTGAACTTTCCTTTAGAAGAGCAGATGTTAAACACCCTTTTTGTGGAATTTGCAGCCGTAGATTTGAAGCGCTTTGAGGCCTACGGTAGAAAAGGAAACATCTTCTTATAAAATCTAGACAGAATCATTCACAGAAACTTCTTTTTGATGTGTGTGTTCAGCTCACAGAGTTTAACCTTTCTTTTGATGGAGCAGTTTGGAAACACTCTGTTTGTAATGTCTGCAAGTGGATATTTGGACCTCTTTGAGGCCTTCGTTGGAAACGGGATTTCTTCATGGAATGTTCGACAGAAGAATTCTCAGTAACTTATTTGTGGTGTGTGTATTCAACTCACAGAGTTGAACCTTCCTTTAGACAGAGCAGATTTGAAACACCCTATTTGTGCAGTTTCCAGTTGGAGATTTCAATCGCTTTGAGACCAAATGTAGAAAAGGAAACATCTTCGTATAAAAACTAGACAGAATCATTCTCAGAAACTACTTTGTGATGTGTGCGTTCAATTCACAGAGTATAACCTTTCTTTTGATGGAGGAGTTTGGAGACACTGTCTTTGTAAAGTCTGCAAGTGGATATTTGGACCTCTTTGAGGCCTTCGTTGGAAACGGGATTTCCTCATATAATGTTACACAGAAGAATTCACAGTAACTTATTTGTGGTGTGTGTATTCAACTCACAGAGTTGAACCTTCCTTCAGAAAGAGCAGATTTGAAACACTCTTTTTGTGGAGTTTCCATGTGGAGATTTCAATCGCTTTGAGACCAAAGGTAGAAAAGGAAACATCTTCGTATAAAAACTGGACAGAATCATTCACAGAAACTACTTTGTGATGTGTGTGTTCAACTCAAGGAGTTTAACCTTTCTTTTGATGGAGCAGTTTGGAAACACTCTGTCTGTAAAGTCTGCAAGCAGATATTTGGACCTCTTTGAGGCCTTCGTTGGAAACGGGATTTCTTCATATAATGTTTGATAGGAGAAGTCTCAGTAACTTCTTTGTGCTGTGTGTATTCAACTCATAGAGTTGAACTTTCCTTTAGAAGAGCAGATGTTAAACACCCTTTTTGTGGAATTTGCAGCTGGAGATTTCAAGCGCTTTGAGGCCTACGGTAGAAAAGGAAACATCTTCTTATAAAATCTAGACAGAATCATTCACAGAAACTTCTTTTCGATGTGTGTGTTCAGCTCACAGAGCTTAACCTTTCTTTTGATGGAGCAGTTTGGAAACACTCTGTTTGTAATGTCTGCAAGTGGATATTTGGACCTCTTTGAGGCCTTCGTTGGAAACGGGATTTCTTCAAGTAATGTTCGACAGAAGAATTCTCAGTAACTTATTTGTGGTGTGTGTATTCAACTCACAGTGTTGAACCTTCCTTTAGACAGGGCAGATTTGAAACACCCTATTTGTGCAGTTTCCAGTTGGAGATTTCAATCGCTTTGAGACCAAATGTAGAAAAGGAAACATCTTCGTATAAAAACTTGACAGAATCATTCTCAGAAACTACTCTGTGATGTGTGCGTTCAACTCAAGGAGTTTAATCTTTCTTTTCATAGAGTAGTTTGGAAACACTCTGTCTGTAAAGTCTGCAAGCAGATATTTGGACCTCTTTGGGGCCTTCGTTGGAAACGGGATTTCTTCATAGAACGCTAGAAAGAAGAATACTGAGTAAGTTCTTTGTGTTGCCTCTATTCAACTCACAGAGGTGAACTGTCCTTTAGACAGAGCAGATGTGAAACCCTCTTTTTGTGATATTTGCAGGTGGAGATTTCAAGCGCTTTTAGGCCAAATGTAGAAAAGGAAATATCTTCGTATAAAAACTAGACAGAATCATTCTCAGAAACTACTTTGTGATGTGTGCGTTCAATTCACAGAGTATAACCTTTCTTTTGATGGAGGAGTTTGGAGACACTGTCTTTGTAAAGTCTGCAAGTGGATATTTGGACCTCTTTGAGGCCTTCGTTGGAAACGGGATTTCCTCATATAATGTTACACAGAAGAATTCTCAGTAACTTATTTGTGGTGTGTGTATTCAACTCACAGGGTTGAACCTTCCTTCAGAAAGAGCAGATTTGAAACACTCTTTTTGTGGAGTTTCCATGTGGAGATTTCAATCGCTTTGAGACCAAAGGTAGAAAAGGAAACATCTTCGTATAAAAACTAGACAGAATCATTCACAGAAACTACTTTGTGATGTGTGTGTTCAACTCAAGGAGTTTAACCTTTCTTTTGATGGAGCAGTTTGGAAAAACTCTGTCTGTAAAGTCTGCAAGCAGATATTTGGACCTCTTTGAGGCCTTCGTTGGAAACGGGATTTCTTCATATAATGTTTGATAGGAGAAGTCTCAGTAACTTCTTTGTGCTGTGTGTATTCAACTCATAGAGTTGAACTTTCCTTTAGAAGAGCAGATGTTAAACACCCTTTTTGTGGAATTTGCAGCTGGAGATTTCAAGCGCTTTGAGGCCTACGGTAGAAAAGGAAACATCTTCTTATAAAATCTAGACAGAATCATTCACAGAAACTTCTTTTTGATGTGTGTGTTCAGCTCACAGAGTTTAACCTTTCTTTTGATGGAGCAGTTTGGAAACACTCTGTTTGTAATGTCTGCAAGTGGATATTTGGACCTCTTTGAGGCCTTCGTTGGAAACGGGATTTCTTCATGTAATGTTCGACAGAAGAATTCTCAGTAACTTATTTGTGGTGTGTGTATTCAACTCACAGAGTTGAACCTTCCTTTAGACAGAGCAGATTTGAAACACCCTATTTGTGCAGTTTCCAGTTGGAGATTTCAATCGCTTTGAGGCAAATCATAGAAACGGAAATATCTTCGTATAAAAACAAGACAGAATCATTCTCAGAAACTACTTTGTGATGTGTGCGTTCAACTCAAGGAGTTTAAGCTTTCTTTTCATAGAGTAGTTTGGAAACACTCTGTCTGTAATGTCTGCAAGCAGATATTTGACCTCTTTGAGGCCTTCGTTGGAAACGGGATTTCTTCATAGAACGCTAGAAAGAAGAATACTGAGTAAGTTCTTTGTGTTGCCTCTATTCAACTCACAGAGGTGAACTGTCCTTTAGACAGAGCAGATGTGAAACCCTCTTTTTGTGATATTTGCAGGTGGAGATTTCAAGCGCTTTGAGGCCTACGGTAGAAAAGGAAACATCTTCTTATAAAATCTAGACAGAATCATTCACAGAAACTTCTTTTTGATGTGTGTGTTCAGCTCACAGAGTTTAACCTTTCTTTTGATGGAGCAGTTTGGAAACACTCTGTTTGTAATGTCTGCAAGTGGATATTTGGACCTCTTTGAGGCCTTCGTTGGAAACGGGATTTCTTCAAGTAATGTTCGACAGAAGAATTCTCAGTAACTTATTTGTGGTGTGTGTATTCAACTCACAGAGTTGAACCTTCCTTTAGACAGAGCAGATTTGAAACAGCCTATTTGTGCAGTTTCCAGTTGGAGATTTCAAGAGCTTTGAGACCAAATGTAGAAAAGGAAACATCTTCGTATAAAAACTAGACAGAATCATTCTCAGAAACTACTTTGTGATGTGTGCGTTCAACTCAAGGAGTTTAAGCTTTCTTTTCATAGAGTAGTTTGGAAACACTCTGTCTGTAAAGTCTGCAAGCAGATATTTGACCTCTTTGAGGCCTTCGTTGGAAACGGGATTTCTTCATAGAACGCTAGAAAGAAGAATACTGAGTAAGTTCTTTGTGTTGCCTCTATTCAACTCACAGAGGTGAACTGTCCTTTAGACAGAGCAGATGTGAAACCCTCTTTTTGTGATATTTGCACGTGGAGATTTCAAGCGCTTTTAGGCCAAATGTAGAAAAGGAAATATCTTCGTATAAAAACTAGACAGAATCATTCTCAGAAACTACTTTGTGATGTGTGCGTTCAATTCACAGAGTATAACCTTTCTTTTGATGGAGGAGTTTGGAGACACTGTCTTTGTAAAGTCTGCAAGTGGATATTTGGACCTCTTTGAGGCCTTCGTTGGAAACGGGATTTCCTCATATAATGTTACCCAGAAGAATTCTCAGTAACTTATTTGTGGTGTGTGTATTCAACTCACAGAGTTGAACCTTCCTTCAGAAAGAGCAGATTTGAAACACTCTTTTTGTGGAGTTTCCATGTGGAGATTTCAATCGCTTTGAGACCAAAGGTAGAAAAGGAAACATCTTCGTATAAAAACTAGACAGAATCATTCACAGAAACTTCTTTGTGATGTGTGTGTTCAGCTCACAGAGTTTAACCTTTCCTTTGATGGTGCAGTTTGCAAACACTCTGTTTGACAAGTCTGCAAGTGGATATTTGGACCTCTTTGAGGCCTTCTTTGGAAAAGGGATTTCTTCATATAATGTTAGACAGAAGAATTCTCAGTAACTTATTTGTGGTGTGTGTATTCAACTCACAGAGTTGAACCTTCCTTTAGACAGAGCAGATTTGAAACACCCTATTTGTGCAGTTTCCAGTTGGAGATTTCAATCGCTTTGAGACCAAATGTAGAAAAGGAAACATCTTCGTATAAAAACTAGACAGAATCATTCTCAGAAACTACTTTGTGATGTGTGCGTTCAACTCAAGGAGTTTAAGCTTTCTTTTCATAGAGTAGTTTGGAAACACTCTGTCTGTAATGTGTGCAAGCAGATATTTGGACCTCTTTGGGGCCTTCGTTGGAAACGGGATTTCTTCAAGTAATGTTCGACAGAAGAATTCTCAGTAACTTATTTGTGGTGTGTGTATTCAACTAACAGAGTTGAACCTTCCTTTAGACAGAGCAGATTTGAAGCACCCTATTTGTGCAGTTTCCAGTTGGAGATTTCAATCGCTTTGAGACCAAATGTAGAAAAGGAAACATCTTCGTATAAAAACTAGACAGAATCATTCTCAGAAACTACTTTGTGATGTGTGCGTTCAACTCAAGGAGTTTAAGCTTTCTTTTCATAGAGTAGTTTGGAAACACTCTGTCTGTAAAGTCTGCAAGCAGATATTTGGACCTCTTTGGGGCCTTCGTTGGAAACGGGATTTCTTCATAGAACGCTAGAAAGAAGAATACTGAGTAAGTTCTTTGTGTTGCCTCTATTCAACTCACAGAGGTGAACTGTCCTTTAGAAAGAGCAGATGTGAAACCCTCTTTTTGTGATATTTGCACGTGGAGATTTCAAGCGCTTTTAGGCCAAATGTAGAAAAGGAAATATCTTCATATAAAAACTAGACAGAATCATTCTCAGAAACTACTTTGTGATGTGTGCGTTCAATTCACAGAGTATAACCTTTCTTTTGATGGAGGAGTTTGGAGACACTGTCTTTGTAAAGTCTGCAAGCAGATATTTGGACCTCTTTGAGGCCTTCGTTGGAAACGGGATTTCTTCATATAATGTTTGATAGGAGAAGTCTCAGTAACTTCTTTGTGCTGTGTGTATTCAACTCATAGAGTTGAACTTTCCTTTAGAAGAGCAGATGTTAAACACCCTTTTTGTGGAATTTGCAGCTGGAGATTTCAAGCGCTTTGAGGCCTACGGTAGAAAAGGAAACATCTTCTTATAAAATCTAGACAGAATCATTCACAGAAACTTCTTTTTGATGTGTGTGTTCAGCTCACAGAGTTTAACCTTTCTTTTGATGGAGCAGTTTGGAAACACTCTGTTTGTAATGTCTGCAAGTGGATATTTGGACCTCTTTGAGGCCTTCGTTGGAAACGGGATTTCTTCAAGTAATGTTCGACAGAAGAATTCTCAGTAACTTATTTGTGGTGTGTGTATTCAACTCACAGAGTTGAACCTTCCTTTAGACAGAGCAGATTTGAAACACCGTATTTGTGCAGTTTCCAGTTGGAGATTTCAATCGCTTTGAGACCAAATGTAGAAAAGGAAACATCTTCGTATAAAAACTAGACAGAATCATTCTCAGAAACTACTTTGTGATGTGTGCGTTCAACTCAAGGAGTTTAAGCTTTCTTTTCATAGAGTAGTTTGGAAACACTCTGTCTGTAAAGTCTGCAAGCAGATATTTGGACCTCTTTGGGGCCTTCGTTGGAAACGGGATTTCTTCATAGAACGCTAGAAAGAAGAATACTGAGTAAGTTCTTTGTGTTGCCTCTATTCAACTCACAGAGGTGAACTGTCCTTTAGACAGAGCAGATGTGAAACCCTCTTTTTGTGATATTTGCAGGTGGAGATTTCAAGCGCTTTGAGGCCAAATGTAGAAAAGGAAATATCTTCGTATAAAAACTAGACACAATCATTCTCAGAAACTACTTTGTGATGTGTGCGTTCAATTCACAGAGTATAACCTTTCTTTTGATGGAGGAGTTTGGAGACACTGTCTTTGTAAAGTCTGCAAGTGGATATTTGGATCTCTTTGAGGCCTTCGTTGGAAACGGGATTTCCTCATATAATGTTACACAGAAGAATTCTCAGTAATTTATTTGTGGTGTGTGTATTCAACTCACAGAGTTGAACCTTCCTTCAGAAAGAGCAGATTTGAAACACTCTTTTTGTGGAGTTTCCATGTGGAGATTTCAATCGCTTTGAGACCAAAGGTAGAAAAGGAAACATCTTCGTATAAAAACTAGACAGAATCATTCACAGAAACTACTTTGTGATGTGTGTGTTCAACTCAAGGAGTTTAACCTTTCTTTTGATGGAGCAGTTTGGAAACACTCTGTCTGTAAAGTCTGCAAGCAGATATTTGGACCTCTTTGAGGTCTTCGTTGGAAACGGGATTTCTTCATATAATGTTTGATAGGAGAAGTCTCAGTAACTTCTTTGTGCTGTGTGTATTCAACTCATAGAGTTGAACTTTCCTTTAGAAGAGCAGATGTTAAACACCCTTTTTGTGGAATTTGCAGCTGGAGATTTCAAGCGCTTTGAGGCCTACGGTAGAAAAGGAAACATCTTCTTATAAAATCTAGACAGAATCATTCACAGAAACTTCTTTTTGATGTGTGTGTTCAGCTCACAGAGTTTAACCTTTCTTTTGATGGAGCAGTTTGGAAACACTCTGTTTGTAACGTCTGCAAGTGGATATTTGGACCTCTTTGAGGCCTTCGTTGGAAACGGGATTTCTTCAAGTAATGTTCGACAGAAGAATTCTCAGTAACTTATTTGTGGTGTGTGTATTCAACTCACAGAGTTGAACCTTCCTTTAGACAGAGCAGATTTGAAACAGCCTATTTGTGCAGTTTCCAGTTGGAGATTTCAAGAGCTTTGAGACCAAATGTAGAAAAGGAAACATCTTCGTATAAAAACTAGACAGAATCATTCTCAGAAACTACTTTGTGATGTGTGCGTTCAACTCAAGGAGTTTAAGCTTTCTTTTCATAGAGTAGTTTGGAAACACTCTGTCTGTAAAGTCTGCAAGCAGATATTTGGACCTCTTTGAGGCCTTCGTTGGAAACGGGATTTCTTCAAGTAATGTTCGACAGAAGAATTCTCAGTAACTTATTTGTGGTGTGTGTATTCAACTCACAGAGTTGAACCTTCTTTAGACAGAGCAGATTTGATACACCCTATTTGTGCAGTTTCCAGTTGGAGATTTCAATCGCTTTGAGACCAAATGTAGAAAAGGAAACATCTTCGTATAAAAACTAGACAGAATCATTCTCAGAAACTACTTTGTGATGTGTGCGTTCAACTCAAGGAGTTTAAGCTTTCTTTTCATAGAGTAGTTTGGAAACACTCTGTCTGTAAAGTCTGCAAGCAGATATTTGACCTCTTTGCGGCCTTCGTTGGAAACGGGATTTCTTCATAGAACGCTAGAAAGAAGAATACTGAGTAAGTTCTTTGTGTTGCCTCTATTCAACTCACAGAGGTGAACTGTCCTTTAGACAGAGCAGATGTGAAAACCTCTTTTTGTGATATTTGCAGGTGGAGATTTCAAGCGCTTTTAGGCCAAATGTAGAAAAGGAAACATCTTCGTATAAAAACTAGACAGCATCATTCTCAGAAACTACTTTGTGATGTGTGCGTTCAATTCACAGAGTATAACCTTTCTTTTGATGGAGGAGTTTGGAGACACTGTCTTTGTAAGTCTGCAAGTGGATATTTGGACCTCTTTGAGGCCTTCGTTGGAAACGGGATTTCCTCATATAATGTTACACAGAAGAATTCTCAGTAACTTATTTGTGGTGTGTGTATTCAACTCACAGAGTTGAACCTTCCTTCAGAAAGAGCAGATTTGAAACACTCTTTTTGTGGAGTTTCCATGTGGAGATTTCAATCGCATTGAGAACAAAGGTAGAAAAGGAAACATCTTCGTATAAAAACTAGACAGAATCATTCACAGAAACTACTTTGTGATGTGTGTGTTCAACTCAAGGAGTTTAACCTTTCTTTTGATGGAGCAGTTTGGAAACACTCTGTCTGTAAAGTCTGCAAGCAGATATTTGGACCTCTTTGAGGCCTTCGTTGGAAACGGGATTTCTTCATATAATGTTTGATAGGAGAAGTCTCAGTAACTTCTTTGTGCTGTGTGTATTCAACTCATAGAGTTGAACTTTCCTTTAGAAGAGCAGATGTTAAACACCCTTTTTGTGGAATTTGCAGCTGGAGATTTCAAGCGCTTTGAGGCCTACGGTAGAAAAGGAAACATCTTCTTATAAAATCTAGACAGAATCATTCACAGAAACTTCTTTTTGATGTGTGTGTTCAGCTCACAGAGTTTAACCTTTCTTTTGATGGAGCAGTTTGGAAACACTCTGTTTGTAATGTCTGCAAGTGGATATTTGGACCTCTTTGAGGCCTTCGTTGGAAACGGGATTTCTTCAAGTAATGTTCGACAGAAGAATTCTCAGTAACTTGTTTGTGGTTTGTGTATTCAACTCACAGAGTTGAACCTTCCTTTAGACAGAGCAGATTTGAAACACCCTATTTGTGCAGTTTCCACTTGGAGATTTCAATCGCTTTGAGACCAAATGTAGAAAAGGAAACATCTTCGTATAAAAACTAGACAGAATCATTCTCAGAAACTACTTTGTGATGTGTGCGTTCAACTCAAGGAGTTTAAGCTTTCTTTTCATAGAGTAGTTTGGAAACACTCTGTCTGTAAAGTCTGCAAGCAGATATTTGGACCTCTTTGGGGCCTTCGTTGGAAACGGGATTTCTTCATAGAACGCTAGAAAGAAGAATACTGAGTAAGTTCTTTGTGTTGCCTCTATTCAACTCACAGAGGTGAACTGTCCTTTAGACAGAGCAGATGTGAAACCCTCTTTTTGTGATATTTGCAGGTGGAGATTTCAAGCGCTTTTAGGCCAAATGTAGAAAAGGAAATATCTTCGTATAAAAACTAGACAGAATCATTCTCAGAAACTACTTTGTGATGTGTGCGTTCAATTCACAGAGTATAACCTTTCTTTTGATGGAGGAGTTTGGAGACACTGTCTTTGTAAAGTCTGCAAGTGGATATTTGGATCTCTTCGAGGCCTTCGTTGGAAACGGGATTTCCTCATATAATGTTACACAGAAGAATTCTCAGTAACTTATTTGTGGTGTGTGTATTCAACTCACAGAGTTGAACCTTCCTTCAGAAAGAGCAGATTTGAAACACTCTTTTTGTGGAGTTTCCATGTGGAGATTTCAATCGCATTGAGACCAAAGGTAGAAAAGGAAACATCTTCGTATAAAAACTAGACAGAATCATTCACAGAAACTACTTTGTGATGTGTGTGTTCAACTCAAGGAGTTTAACCTTTCTTTTGATGGAGCAGTTTGGAAACACTCTGTCTGTAAAGTCTGCAAGCAGATATTTGGACCTCTTTGAGGCCTTCGTTGGAAACAGGATTTCTTCATATAATGTTAGACAGAAGAAGTCTCAGTAACTTCTTTGTGCTGTGTGTATTCAACTCATAGAGTTGAACTTTCCTTTAGAAGAGCAGATGTTAAACACCCTTTTTGTGGAATTTGCAGCTGGAGATTTCAAGCGCTTTGAGGCCTACGGTAGAAAAGGAAACATCTTCTTATAAAATCTAGACAGAATCATTCACAGAAACTTCTTTTTGATGTGTGTGTTCAGCTCACAGAGTTTAACCTTTCTTTTGATGGAGCAGTTTGGAAACACTCTGTTTGTAATGTCTGCAAGTGGATATTTGGACCTCTTTGAGGCCTTCGTTGGAAACGGGATTTCTTCAAGTAATGTTCCACAGAAGAATTCTCAGTAACTTATTTGTGGTGTGTGTATTCAACTCACAGAGTTGAACCTTCCTTTAGACAGAGCAGATTTGAAACACCCTATTTGTGCAGTTTCCAGTTGGAGATTTCAATCGCTTTGAGACCAAATGTAGAAAAGGAAACATCTTCGTATAAAAACTAGACAGAATCATTCTCAGAAACTACTTTGTGATGTGTGCATTCAACTCAAGGAGTTTAAGCTTTCTTTTCATAGAGTAGTTTGGAAACACTCTGTCTGTAAAGTCTGCAAGCAGATATTTGGACCTCTTTGAGGCCTTCGTTGGAAACGGGATTTCTTCATAGAACGCTAGAAAGAAGAATACTGAGTAAGTTCTTTGTGTTGCCTCTATTCAACTCACAGAGGTGAACTGTCCTTTAGACAGAGCAGATGTGAAACCCTCTTTTTGTGATATTTGCAGGTGGAGATTTCAAGCGGTTTTAGGCCAAATGTAGAAAAGGAAATATCTCCGTATAAAAACTAGACAGAATCATTCTCAGAAACTACTTTGTGATGTGTGCGTTCAATTCACAGAGTATAACCTTTCTTTTGATGGAGGAGTTTGGAGACACTGTCTTTGTAAAGTCTGCAAGTGGATATTTGGACCTCTTTGAGGCCTTCGTTGGAAACGGGTTTCCTCATATAATGTTACACAGAAGAATTCTCAGTAACTTATTTGTGGTGTGTGTATTCAACTCACAGAGTTGAACCTTCCTTCAGAAAGAGCAGATTTGAAACACTCTTTTTGTGGAGTTTCCATGTGGAGATTTCAATCGCTTTGAGACCAAAGGTAGAAAAGGAAACATCTTCGTATAAAAACTAGACAGAATCATTCACAGAAACTACTTTGTGATGTGTGTGTTCAACTCAAGGAGTTTAACCTTTCTTTTGATGGAGCAGTTTGGAAAAACTCTGTCTTTAAAGTCTGCAAGCAGATATTTGGACCTCTTTGAGGCCTTCGTTGGAAACGGGATTTCTTCATATAATGTTTGATAGGAGAAGTCTCAGTAACTTCTTTGTGCTGTGTGTATTCAACTCATAGAGTTGAACTTTCCTTTAGAAGAGCAGATGTTAAAAACCCTTTTTGTGGAATTTGCAGCTGGAGATTTCAAGCGCTTTGAGTCCTACAGTAGAAAAGGAAACATCTTCTTATAAAATCTAGACAGAATCATTCACAGAAACTTCTTTTTGATGTGTGTGTTCAGCTCACAGAGTTTAACCTTTCTTTTGATGGAGCAGTTTGGAAACACTCTGTTTGTAATGTCTGCAAGTGGATATTTGGACCTCTTTGAGGCCTTCGTTGGAAACGGGATTCTTCAAGTAATGTTCGACAGAAGAATTCTCAGTAACTTATTTGTGGTGTGTGTATTCAACTCAAAGAGTTGAACCTTCCTTTAGACAGAGCAGATTTGAAACACCCTATTTGTGCAGTTTCCAGTTGGAGATTTCAATCGCTTTGAGACCAAATGTAGAAAAGGAAACATCTTCGTATAAAAACTAGACAGAAACATTCTCAGAAACTACTTTGTGATGTGTGCGTTCAACTCAAGGAGTTTAAGCTTTCTTTTCATATAGTAGTTTGGAAACACTCTGTAAAGTCTGCAAGCAGATATTTGGACCTCTTTGAGGCCTTCGTTGGAAAAGGGATTTCTTCATAGAACGCTAGAAAGAAAGAATACTGAGTAAGTTCCTTGTGTTGCCTCTATTCAACTCACAGAGGTGAACTGTCCTTTAGACAGAGCAGATGTGAAACCCTCTTTTTGTGATATTTGCAGGTGGAGATTTCAAGCGCTTTTAGGCCAAATGTAGAAAAGGAAATATCTTCGTATAAAAACTAGACAGAATCATTCTCAGAAACTACTTTGTGATGTGTGCCTTCAATTCACAGAGTATAACCTTTCTTTTGATGGAGGAGTTTGGAGACACTGACTTTGTAAAGTCTGCAAGTGGATATTTGGACCTCTTTGAGGCCTTCGTTGGAAACGGGATTTCCTCATATAATGTTACACAGAAGAATTCTCAGTAACTTATTTGTGGTGTGTGTATTCAACTCACAGAGTTGAACCTTCCTTCAGAAAGAGCAGATTTGAAACACTCTTTTTGTGGAGTTTCCATGTGGAGATTTCAATCGCTTTGAGACCAAAGGTAGAAAAGGAAACATCTTCGTATAAAAACTAGACAGAATCATTCACAGAAACTACTTTGTGATGTGTGTGTTCAACTCAAGGAGTTTAACCTTTCTTTTGATGGAGCAGTTTTGAAACAATCTGTCTGTAAAGTCTGCAAGCAGATATTTGGACCTCTTTGAGGCCTTCGTTGGAAACGGGATTTCTTCATATAATGTTTGATAAGAGAAGTCTTAGTAACTTCTTTGTGCTGTGTGTATTCAACTCATAGAGTTGAACTTTCCTTTAGAAGAGCAGATGTTAAACACCCTTTTGGTGGAATTTGCAGCTGGAGATTTCAAGCGCTTTGAGGCCTACGGTAGAAAAGGAAACATCTTCTTATACAATCTAGACAGAATCATTCACAGAAACTTCCTTTTGATGTGTGTGTTCAGCTCACAGAGTTTAACCTTTCTTTTGATGGAGCAGTTTGGAAACACTCTGTTTGTAATGTCTGCAAGGGGATATTTGGACCTCTTTGAGGCCTTCATTGGAAACGGGATTTCTTCATGTAATGTTGGACAGAAGAATTCTCAGTAACTTCTTTGTGGTGTGTGTATTCAACTCACAGAGTTGAACCTTCCTTTAGACAGAGCAGATTTGAAACACCCTATTTGTGCAGTTTCCAGTTGGAGATTTCAATCGCTTTGGGGCCAATCATAGAAACGGAAATATCTTCATATAAAAACAAGACAGAATCATTCTCAGAAACTACTTTGTGATGTGTGCGTTCAACTCAAGGAGTTTAAGCTTTCTTTTCATAGAGTAGTTTGGAAACACTCTGTCTGTAAAGTCTGCAAGCTGATATTTGGACCTCTTTGAGGCCTTCGTTGGAAACGGGGTTTCTTCATAGAACACTAGAAAGAAGAATACTGAGTAAGTTCTTTGTGTTGCCTCTATTCAACTCACAGAGGTGAACTGTCCTTTAGACAGAGCAGATGTGAAACCCTCTTTTTGTGATATTTGCAGGTGGAGATTTCAAGCGATTTTAGGCCAAATGTAGAAAAGGAAATATCTTCGTATAAAAACCAGACAGATAATCATTCTCAGAAACTACTTTGTGATGTGTGCGTTCAATTCACAGAGTATAACCTTTCTTTTGATGGAGGAGTTTGGAGACACTGTCTTTGTAAAGTCTGCAAGTGGATATTTGGACCTCTTTGAGGCCTTCGTTGGAAACGGGATTTCCTCATGTAATGTTACACAGAAGAATTCTCAGTAACTTATTTGTGGTGTGTGTATTCAACTCACAGAGATGAACCTTCCTTCAGAAAGAGCAGATTTGAAACACTCTTTTTGTGGAGTTTCCATGTGGATATTTCAATCGCTTTGAGACCAAAGGTAGAAAAGGAAACATCTTCGTATAAAAACTAGACAGAATCATTCACAGAAACTACTTTGTGATGTGTGTGTTCAACTCAAGGAGTTTAACCTTTCTTTTGATGGAGCAGTTTGGAAACACTCTGTCTGTAAAGTCTGCAAGCAGATATTTGGACCTCTTTGAGGCCTTCGTTGGAAACGGGATTTCTTCATATAATGTTAGACAGAAGAAGTCTCAGTAACTTCTTTGTGCTATGTGTATTCAACTCATAGAGTTGAACTTTCCTTTAGAAGAGCAGATGTTAACCACCCTTTTTGTGGAATTTGCAGCTGGAGATTTCAAGCACTTTGAGGCCTACGGTAGAAAAGGAAACATCTTCTTATAAAATCTAGACAGAATCATTCACAGAAACTTCTTTTTGATGTGTGTGTTCAGCTCACAGAGTTTAACCTTTCTTTTGATGGAGCAGTTTGGAAACACTCTGTTTGTAATGTCTGCAAGTGGATATTTGGACCTCTTTGAGGCCTTCGTTGGAAACGGGATTTCTTCCTGTAATGTTCGACAGAAGAATTCTCAGTAACTTATTTATGGTGTGTGTATTCAACTCACAGAGTTGAACCTTCCTTTAGACAGAGCAGATTTGAAACACCCTATTTGTGCAGTTTCCAGTTGGAGATTTCAATGGCTTTGAGACCAAATGTAGAAAAGGAAACATCTTCGTACAAAAACTAGACAGCATCATTCTCAGAAACTACTTTGTGATGTGTGCGTTCAACTCAAGGAGTTTAAGCTTTCTTTTCATAGAGTAGTTTGGAAACACTCTGTCTGTAAAGTCTGCAAGCAGATATTTGGACCTCTTTGAGGCCTTCGTTGGAAACGGGATTTCTTCATAGAACGGTAGAAAGAAGAATACTGAGTAAGTTCTTTGTGTTGCCTCTATTCAACTCACAGAGGTGAACTGTCCTTTAGACAGAGCAGATGTGAAACCCTCTTTTTGTGATATTTGCAGGTGGAGATTTCAAGCGCTTTGAGGCCAAATGTAGAAAAGGAAATATCTTCGTATAAAAACTAGACAGAATCATTCTCAGAAACTACTTTGTGATGTGTGCGTTCAATTCACAGAGTATAACCTTTCTTTTGACGGAGGAGTTTGGAGACACTGTCTTTGTAAAGTCTGCAAGCAGATATTTGGACCTCTTTGAGGCCTTCGTTGGAAACGGGATTTCTTCATAGAACGCTAGAAAGAAGAATTCTCAGTAACTTATTTGTGGTGTGTGTATTCAACTCACAGATTTGAACCTTCCTTCAGAAAGAGCAGATTTGAAACACTCTTTTTGTGGAGTTTCCATGTGGAGATTTCAATCACTTTGAGACCAAAGGTAGAAAAGGAAACATCTTCGTATAAAAACTAGACAGAATCATTCACAGAAACTACTTTGTGATGTGTGTGTTCAACTCAAGGAGTTTAACCTTTCTTTTGATGGAGCAGTTTGGAAAAACTCTGTCTGTAAAGTCTGCAAGCAGATATTTGGACCTCTTTGAGGCCTTCGTTGGAAACGGGATTTCTTCATATAATGTTTGATAGGAGAAGTCTCAGTAACTTCTTTGTGCTGTGTGTATTCAACTCATAGAGTTGAACTTTCCTTTAGAAGAGCAGATGTTAAACACCCTTTTTGTGGAATTTGCAGCTGGAGATTTCAAGCGCTTTGAGGCCTACGGTAGAAAAGGAAACATCTTCTTATAAAATCTAGACAGAATCATTCACAGAAACTTCTTTTTGATGTGTGTGTTCAGCTCACAGAGTTTAACCTTTCTTTTGATGGAGCAGTTTGGAAACACTCTGTTTGTAATGTCTGCAAGTGGATATTTGGACCTCTTTGAGGCCTTCGTTGGAAACGGGATTTCTTCAAGTAATGTTCGACAGAAGAATTCTCAGTAACTTATTTGTGGTGTGTGTATTCAACTCACAGAGTTGAACCTTCCTTTAGACAGAGCAGATTTGAAACACCCTGTTTGTGCAGTTTCCAGTAGGAGATTTCAATCGCTTTGAGACCAAATGTAGAAAAGGAAACATCTTCATATAAAAACTAGACAGAATCATTCTCAGAAACTACTTTGTGATGTGTGCGTTCAACTCAAGGAGTTTAAGCTTTCTTTTCATAGAGTAGTTTGGAAACACTCTGTCTGTAAAGTCTGCAAGCAGATATTTGGACCTCTTTGAGGCCTTCGTTGGAAACGGGATTTCTTCATAGAACGCTAGAAAGAAGAATACTGAGTAAGTTCTTTGTGTTGCCTCTATTCAACTCACAGAGGTGAACTGTCCTTTAGACAGAGCAGATGTGAAACCCTCTTTTTGTGATATTTGCAGGTGGAGATTTCAAGCGCTTTTAGGCCAAATGTAGAAAAGGAAATATCTTCGTATAAAAACTAGACAGAATCATTCTCAGAAACTACTTTGTGATGTGTGCGTTCAATTCACAGAGTATAACCTTTCTTTTGATGGAGGAGTTTGGAGACACTGTCTTTGTAAAGTCTGCAAGTGGATATTTGGACCTCTTTGAGGCCTTCGTTGGAAACGGGATTTCTTCATATAATGTTACACAGAAGAATTCTCAGTAACTTATTTGTGGTGTGTGTATTCAACTCACAGAGTTGAACCTTCCTTCAGAAAGAGCAGATTTGAAACACTCTTTTTGTGGAGTTTCCATGTGGAGATTTCAATCGCTTTGAGACCAAAGGTAGAAAAGGAAACATCTTCGTATAAAAACTAGACAGAATCATTCACAGAAACTACTTTGTGATGTGTGTGTTCAACTCAAGGAGTTTAACCTTTCTTTTGATGGAGCAGTTTGGAAATACTCTGTCTGTAAAGTCTGCAAGCAGATATTTGGACCTCTTTGAGGCCTTCGTTGGAAACGGGATTTCTTCATATAATGTTTGATAGGAGAAGTCTCAGTAACTTCTTTGTGCTGTGTGTATTCAACTCATAGAGTTGAACTTTCCTTTAGAAGAGCAGATGTTAAACACCCTTTTTGTGGAATTTGCAGCTGGAGATTTCAAGCGCTTTGAGGCCTACGGTAGAAAAGGAAACATCTTCTTATAAAATCTAGACAGAATCATTCACAGAAACTTCTTTTCGATATGTGTGTTCAGCTCACAGAGTTTAACCTTTCTTTTGATGGAGCAGTTTGGAAACACTCTGTAATGCCTGCAAGTGGATATTTGGACCTCTTTGAGGCCTTCGTTGGAAACGGGATTTCTTCATGTAATGTTCGACAGAAGAATTCTCAGTAACTTATTTGTGGTGTGTGTATTCAACTCACAGAGTTGAACGTTCCTTTAGACAGAGCAGATTTGAAACAACCTATTTGTGCAGTTTGCACTTGGAGATTTCAATCGCTTTGAGACCAAATGTAGAAAAGGAAACATCTTCGTATAAAAACTAGACACAATCATTCTCAGAAACTACTTTGTGATGTGTGCGTTTAACTCAAGGAGTTTAAGCTTTCTTTTCATAGAGTAGTTTGGAAACACTCTGTCTGTAAAGTCTGCAAGCAGATATTTGGACCTCTTTGAGGCCTTCGTTGGAAACGGGATTTCTTCATAGAACGCTAGAAAGAAGAATACTGAGTAAGTTCTTTGTGTTGCCTCTATTCAACTCACAGAGGTGAACTGTCCTTTAGACAGAGCAGATGTGAAACCCTCTTTTTGTGATATTTGCAGGTGGAGATTTCAAGCGCTTTTAGGCCAAATGTAGAAAAGGAAATATCTTCGTATAAAAACTAGACAGAATCATTCTCAGAAACTACTTTGTGATGTGTGCGTTCAATTCACAGAGTATAACCTTTCTTTTGATGGCGGAGTTTGGAGACACTGTCTTTGTAAAGTCTGCAAGTGGATATTTGGACCTCTTTGAGGCCTTCGTTGGAAACGGGATTTCCTCATATAATGTTACACAGAAGAATTCTCAGTAACTTATTTGTGGTGTGTGTATTCAACTCACAGAGTTGAACCTTCCTTCAGAAAGAGCAGATTTGAAACACTCTTTTTGTGGAGTTTCCATGTGGAGATTTCAATCGCATTGAGACCAAAGGTAGAAAAGGAAACATCTTCGTATAAAAACTAGACAGAATCATTCACAGAAACTACTTTGTGATGTGTGTGTTCAACTCAAGGAGTTTAACCTTTCTTTTGATGGAGCAGTTTGGAAACACTCTGTCTGTAAAGTCTGCAAGCAGATATTTGGACCTCTTTGAGGCCTTCGTTGGAAACGGGATTTCTTCATATAATGTTTGATAGGAGAAGTCTCAGTAACTTCTTTGTGCTGTGTGTATTCAACTCATAGAGTTGAACTTTCCTTTAGAAGAGCAGATGTTAAACACCCTTTTTGTGGAATTTGCAGGTGGAGATTTCAAGCGCTTTGAGGCCTACGGTAGAAAAGGAAACATCTTCTTATAAAATCTAGACAGAATCATTCACAGAAACTTCTTTTCGATGTGTGTGTTCAGCTCACAGAGTTTAACCTTTCTTTTGATGGAGCAGTTTGGAAACACACTGTTTGTAATGTCTGCAAGTGGAGGTTTGGACCTCTTTGAGGCCTTCGTTGGAAACGGGATTTCTTCATGTAATGTTCAACAGAAGAATTCTCAGTAACTTATTTGTGGTGTGTGTATTCAACTCACAGAGTTGACCCTTCCTTTAGACAGATCAGATTTGGAACTCCCTATTTGTGCAGTTTCCAGGTGGAGATTTCAATCGCTTTGAGACCAAATGTAGAAAAGGAAACATCTTCGTATAAAAACTAGACAGAATCATTCTCAGAAACTACTTTGTGATGTGTGCGTTCAACTCAAGGAGTTTAAGCTTTCTTTTCATAGAGTAGTTTGGAAACACTCTGTCTGTAAAGTCTGCAAGCAGATATTTGGACCTCTTTGAGGCCTTCGTTGGAAACGGGATTTCTTCATAGAACGCTAGAAAGAAGAATACTGAGTAAGTTCTTTGTGTTGCCTCTATTCAACTCACAGAGGTGAACTGTCCTTTAGACAGAGCAGATGTGAAACCCTCTTTTTGTGATATTTGCAGGTGGAGTTTTCAAGCGCTTTTATGCCAAATGTAGAAAAGGAAATATCTTCGTATAAAAACTAAACAGAATCATTCTCAGAAACTACTTTGTGATGTGTGCGTTCAATTCACAGAGTATAACCTTTCTTTTGATGGAGGAGTTTGGAGACACTGTCTTTGTAAGTCTGCAAGTGGATATTTGGACCTCTTTGAGGCCTTCGTTGGAAACGGGATTTCCTCATATAATGTTACACAGAAGAATTCTCAGTAACTTATTTGTGGTGTGTGTATTCAACTCACAGATTTGAACCTTCCTTCAGAAAGAGCAGATTTGAAACACTCTTTTTGTGGAGTTTCCATGTGGAGATTTCAATCACTTTGAGACCAAAGGTAGAAAAGGAAACATCTTCGTATAAAAACTAGACAGAATCATTCACAGAAACTACTTTGTGATGTGTGTGTTCAACTCAAGGAGTTTAACCTTTCTTTTGATGGAGCAGTTTGGAAACACACTGTCTGTAAAGTCTGCAAGCAGATATTTGGACCTCTTTGAGGCCTTCGTTGGAAACGGGATTTCTTCATATAATGTTTGATAGGAGAAGTCTCAGTAACTTCTTTGTGCTGTGTGTATTCAACTCACAGAGTTGAACTTTCCTTTAGAAGAGCAGATGTTAAACACCCTTTTTGTGGAATTTGCAGCTGGAGATTTCAAGCGCTTTGAGGCCTACGGTAGAAAAGGAAACATCTTCTTATAAAATCTAGACAGAATCATTCACAGAAACTTCTTTTTGATGTGTGTGTTCAGCTCACAGAGTTTAACCTTTCTTTTGATGGAGCAGTTGGGAAACACACTGTTTGTAATGTCTGCAAGTGGATATTTGGACCTCTTTGAGGTCTTCGTTGGAAACGGGATTTCTTCCTGTAATGTTCGACAGAAGAATTCTCAGTAACTTATTTGTGGTGTGTGTATTCAACTCACAGAGTTGAACCTTCTTTTAGACAGAGCAGATTTCAAACAGCCTATTTGTGCAGTTTCCAGTTGGAGATTTCAATCGCTTTGAGACCAAATGTAGAAAGGGAAACATCTTCGTATAAAAACTAGACAGAATCATTCTCAGAAACTACTTTGTGATGTGTGCGTTCAACTCAAGGAGTTTAAGCTTTCTTTTCATAGAGTAGTTTGGAAACACTCTGTCTGTAAAGTCTGCAAGCAGATATTTGACCTCTTTGAGGCCTTCGTTGGAAACGGGATTTCTTCATAGAACGCTAGAAAGAAGAATACTGAGTAAGTTCTTTGTGTTGCCTCTATTCAACTCACAGAGGTGAACTGTCCTTTAGACAGAGCAGATGTGAAACCCTCTTTTTGTGATATTTCCAGGTGGAGATTTCAAGCGCTTTTAGGCCAAATGTAGAAAAGGAAATATCTTCGTATAAAAACTAGACAGAATCATTCTCAGAAACTACTTTGTGATGTGTGCGTTCAATTCACAGAGTATAACCTTTCTTTTGATGGAGGAGTTTGGAGACACTGTCTTTGTAAAGTCTGCAAGTGGATATTTGGACCTCTTTGAGGCCTTCGTTGGAAACGGGATTTCCTCATATAATGTTACACAGAAGAATTCTCAGTAACTCATTTGTGGTGTGTGTATTCAACTCACAGAGTTGAACCTTCCTTCAGAAAGAGCAGATTTGAAACACTCTTTTTGTGGAGTTTCCATGTGGAGATTTCAATCGCTTTGAGACCAAAGGTAGAAAAGGAAACATCTTCGTATAAAAACTAGACAGAATCATTCACAGAAACTACTTTGTGATGTGTGTGTTCAACTCAAGGAGTTTAACCTTTCTTTTGATGGAGCAGTTTGGAAACACTCTGTCTGTAAAGTCTGCAAGCAGACATTTGGACCTCTTTGAGGCCTTCGTTGGAAACGGGATTTCTTCATATAATGTTTGATAGGAGAAGTCTCAGTAACTTCTTTGTGCTGTGTGTATTCAACTCATAGAGTTGAACTTTCCTTTAGAAGAGCAGATGTTAAACACCCTTTTTGTGGAATTTGCAGCTGGAGATTTCAAGCGCTTTGAGGCCTACGGTAGAAAAGGAAACATCTTCTTATAAAATCTAGACAGAATCATTCACAGAAACTTCTTTTTGATGTGTGTGTTCAGCTCACAGAGTTTAACCTTTCTTTTGATGGAGCAGTTGGGAAACACACTGTTTGTAATGTCCGCAAGTGGATATTTGGACCTCTTTGAGGCCTTCGTTGGAAACGGGATTTCCTCATATAATGTTACACAGAAGAATTCTCAGTAACTTATTTGTGGTGTGTGTATTCAACTCACAGAGTTGAACCTTCCTTCAGAAAGAGCAGATTTGAAACACTCTTTTTGAGGAGTTTCCATGTGGAGATTTCAATCGCTTTGAGACCAAAGGTAGAAAAGGAAACATCTTCTTATAAAAACTAGACAGAATCATTCACAGAAACTACTTTGTGATGTGTGTGTTCAACTCAAGGAGTTTAACCTTTCTTTTGATGGAGCAGTTTGGAAAAACTCTGTCTGTAAAGTCTGCAAGCAGATATTTGGACCTCTTTGGGGCCTTCGTTGGAAACGGGATTTCTTCATAGAATGCTAGAAAGAAGAATACTGAGTAAGTTCTTTGTGTTGCCTCTATTCAACTCACAGAGGTGAACTGTCCTTTAGACAGAGCAGATGTGAAACCCTCTTTTTGTGATATTTGCAGGTGGAGATTTCAAGCACTTTTAGGCCAAATGTAGAAAAGGAAATATCTTCGTATAAAAACTAGACAGAATCATTCTCAGAAACTACTTTGTGATGTGTGCGTTCAATTCACAGAGTATAACCTTTCTTTTGATGGAGGAGTTTGGAGACACTGTCTTTGTAAAGTCTGCAAGTGGATATTTGGACCTCTTTGAGGCCTTCGTTGGAAACGGGATTTCCTCATATAATGTTACACAGAAGAATTCTCAGTAACTTATTTGTGGTGTGTGTATTCAACTCACAGAGTTGAACCTTCCTTCAGAAAGAGCAGATTTGAAACACTCTTTTTGTGGAGTTTCCATGTGGAGATTTCAATCGCTTTGAGACCAAAGGTAGAAAAGGAAACATCTTCGTATAAAAACTAGACAGAATCATTCACAGAAACTACTTTGTGATGTGTGTGTTCAACTCAAGGAGTTTAACCTTTCTTTTGATGGAGCAGTTTGGAAATACTCTGTCTGTAAAGTCTGCAAGCAGATATTTGGACCTCTTTGAGGCCTTCGTTGGAAACGGGATTTCTTCATATAATGTTTGATAGGAGAAGTCTCAGTAACTTCTTTGTGCTGTGTGCATTCAACTCATAGAGTTGAACTTTCCTTTAGAAGAGCAGATGTTAAACACCCTTTTTGTGGAATTTGCAGCTGGAGATTTCAAGCGCTTTGAGGCCTACTGTAGAAAAGGAAACATCTTCTTATAAAATCTAGACAGAATCATTCACAGAAACTTCTTTTCGATGTGTGTGTTCAGCTCACAGAGTTTAACCTTTCTTTTGATGGAGCAGTTTGGAAACACTCTGTTTGTAATGTCTGCAAGTGGATATTTGGACCTCTTTGAGGCCTTCGTTGGAAACGGGATTTCTTCAAGTAATGTTCGACAGAAGAATTCTCAGTAACTTATTTGTGGAGTGTGTATTCAACTCACAGAGTTGAACCTTCCTTTAGACAGAGCAGATTTGAAACACCCTATTTGTGCAGTT
Source organism: Homo sapiens (assembly GCF_000001405.40). Lineage (NCBI taxonomy): Eukaryota > Metazoa > Chordata > Mammalia > Primates > Hominidae > Homo > Homo sapiens. Next base: position 35,643,139 of record NC_000012.12, read on the forward strand.
CCCAGTTGGACATTTCAATCGTTTTGAGACCAAATGTAGAAAAGGAAACATCTTCGTATAAAAACTAGACAGAATCATTCTCAGAAACTACTTTGTGATGTGTGCGTTCAACTCAAGGAGTTTAAGCTTTCTTTTCATAGAGTAGTTTGGAAACACTCTGTCTGTAAAGTCTGCAAGCAGATATTTGGACCTCTTTTGGGCCTTCGTTGGAAACGGGATTTCTTCATAGAACGCTAGAAAGAAGAATACTGAGTAAGTTCTTTGTGTTGCCTCTATTCAACTCACAGAGGTGAACTGTCCTTTAGACAGAGCAGATGTGAAACCCTCTTTTTGTGATATTTGCAGGTGGAGATTTCAAGCGCTTTTAGGCCAAATGTAGAAAAGGAAATATCTTCGTATAAAAACTAGACAGAATCATTCTCAGAAACCACTTTGTGATGTGTGCGTTCAATTCACAGAGTATAACCTTTCTTTTGATGGAGGAGTTTGGAGACACTGTCTTTGTAAAGTCTGCAAGTGGATATTTGGACCTCTTTCAGGCCTTCGTTGGAAACGGGATTTCCTCATATAATGTTACACAGAAGAATTCTCACTAACTTATTTGTGGTGTGTGTATTCAACTCACAGAGATGAACCTTCCTTCAGAAAGAGCAGATTTGAAACACTCTTTTTGTGGAGTTTCCATGTGGAGATTTCAATCGCTTTGAGACCAAAGGTAGAAAAGGAAACATCTTCGTATAACAACTAGACAGAATCATTCACAGAAACTACTTTGTGATGTGTGTGTTCAACTCAAGGAGTTTAACCTTTCTTTTGATGGAGCAGTTTGGAAACACTCTGTCTGTAAAGTCTGCAAGCAGATATTTGGACCTCTTTGAGGCCTTCGTTGGAAACGGGATTTCTTCATATAATGTTTGATAGGAGAAGTCTCAGTAACTTCTTTGTGCTGTGTGTATTCAACTCATAGAGTTGAACTTTCCTTTAGAAGAGCAGATGTTAAACACCCTTTTTGTGGAATTTGCAGCTGGAGATTTCAAGCGCTTTGAGGCCTACGGTAGAAAAGGAAACATCTTCTTATAAAATCTAGACAGAATCATTCACAGAAACTTCTTTTTGATGTGTGTGTTCAGCTCACAGAGTTTAACCTTTCTTTTGATGGAGCAGTTTGGAAACACTCTGTTTGTAATGTCTGCAAGTGGATATTTGGACCTCTTTGAGGCCTTCTTTGGAAACGGGATTTCTTCAAGTAATGTTCGACAGAAGAATTCTCAGTAACTTATTTGTGGTGTGTGTATTCAACTCACAGAGTTGAACCTTCCTTTAGACAGAGCAGATTTGAAACACCCTATTTGTGCAGTTTCCAGTTGGAGATTTCAATCGCTTTGAGACCAAATGTAGAAAAGGAAACATCTTCGTATAAAAACTAGACAGAATCATTCTCAGAAACTACTTTGTGATGTGTGCGTTCAACTCAAGGAGTTTAAGCTTTCTTTTCATAGAGTAGTTTGGAAACACTCTGTCTGTAAAGTCTGCAAGCAGATATTTGGACCTCTTTGGGGCCTTCGTTGGAAACGGGATTTCTTCATAGAACGCTAGAAAGAAGAATACTGAGTAAGTTCTTTGTGTTGCCTCTATTCAACTCACAGAGGTGAACTGTCCTTTAGACAGAGCAGATGTGAAACCCTCTTTTTGTGATATTTGCAGGTGGAGATTTCAAGCGCTTTTAGGCCAAATGTAGAAAAGGAAACATCTTCGTATAAAAACTAGACAGAATCATTCTCAGAAACTACTTTGTGATGTGTGCGTTCAATTCACAGAGTATAACCTTTCTTTTGATGGAGGAGTTTGGAGACACTGTCTTTGTAAAGTCTGCAAGTGGATATTTGGACCTCTTTGAGGCCTTCGTTGGAAACGGGATTTCCTCATATAATGTTACACAGAAGAATTCTCAGTAACTTATTTGTGGTGTGTGTATTCAACTCACAGAGATGAAACTTCCTTCAGAAAGAGCAGATTTGAAACACTCTTTTTGTGGAGTTTCCATGTGGAGATTTCAATCGCTTTGAGACCAAAGGTAGAAAAGGAAACATCTTCGTATAACAAATAGACAGAATCATTCACAGAAACTACTTTGTGATGTGTGTGTTCAACTCAAGGAGTTTAACCTTTCTTTTGATGGAGCAGTTTGGAAACACTCTGTCTGTAAAGTCTGCAAGCAGATATTTGGACCTCTTTGAGGCCTTCGTTGGAAACGGGATTTCTTCATATAATGTTTGATAGGAGAAGTCTCAGTAACTTCTTTGTGCTGTGTGTATTCAACTCATAGAGTTGAACTTTCCTTTAGAAGAGCAGATGTTAAACACCCTTTTTGTGGAATTTGCAGCTGGAGATTTCAAGCGCTTTGAGGCCTACGGTAGAAAAGGAAACATCTTCTTATAAAATCTAGACAGAATCATTCACAGAAACTTCTTTTTGATGTGTGTGTTCAGCTCACAGAGTTTAACCTTTCTTTTGATGGAGCAGTTTGGAAACACTCTGTTTGTAATGTCTGCAAGTGGATATTTGGACCTCTTTGAGGCCTTCTTTGGAAACGGGATTTCTTCAAGTAATGTTCGACAGAAGAATTCTCCAGTAACTTATTTGTGGTGTGTGTATTCAACTCACAGAGTTGAACCTTCCTTTAGACAGAGCAGATTTGAAACACCCTATTTGTGCAGTTTCCAGTTGGAGATTTCAATCGCTTTGAGACCAAATGTAGAAAAGGAAACATCTTCGTATAAAAACTAGACAGAATCATTCTCAGAAACTACTTTGTGATGTGTGCGTTCAACTCAAGGAGTTTAAGCTTTCTTTTCATAGAGTAGTTTGGAAACACTCTGTCTGTAAAGTCTGCAAGCAGATATTTGGACCTCTTTGGGGCCTTCGTTGGAAACGGGATTTCTTCATAGAACGCTAGAAAGAAGAATACTGAGTACGTTCTTTGTGTTGCCTCTATTCAACTCACAGAGGTGAACTGTCCTTTAGACAGAGCAGATGTGAAACCCTCTTTTTGTGATATTTGCAGGTGGAGATTTCAAGCGCTTTTAGGCCAAATGTAGAAAAGGAAATATCTTCGTATAAAAACTAGACAGAATCATTCTCAGAAACTACTTTGTGATGTGTGCGTTCAATTCACAGAGTATAACCTTTCTTTTGATGGAGGAGTTTGGAGACACTGTCTTTGTAAAGTCTGCAAGTGGATATTTGGATCTCTTTCAGGCCTTCGTTGGAAACGGGATTTCCTCATATAATGTTACACAGAAGAATTCTCAGTAACTTATTTGTGGTGTGTGTATTCAACTCACAGAGTTGAACCTTCCTTCAGAAAGAGCAGATTTGAAACACTCTTTTTGTGGAGTTTCCATGTGGAGATTTCAATCGCATTGAGACCAAAGGTAGAAAAGGAAACATCTTCGTATAAAAACTAGACAGAATCATACACAGAAACTACTTTGTGATGTGTGTGTTCAACTCAAGGAGTTTAACCTTTCTTTTGGTGGAGCAGTTTGGAAACACTCTGTCTGTAAAGTCTGCAAGCAGATATTTGGACCTCTTTGAGGCCTTCGTTGGAAACGGGATTTCTTCATATAATGTTTGATAGGAGAAGTCTCAGTAACTTCTTTGGGCTGTGTGTATTCAACTCATAGGGTTGAACTTTCCTTTAGAAGAGCAGATGTTAAACACCCTTTTTGTGGAATTTGCAGCTGGAGATTTCAAGCGCTTTGAGGCCTACGGTAGAAAAGGAAACATCTTCTTATAAAATCTAGACAGAATCATTCACAGAAACTTCTTTTTGATGTGTGTGTTCAGCTCACAGAGTTTAACCTTTCTTTTGATGGAGCAGTTTGGAAACACTCTGTTTGTAATGTCTGCAAGTGGATATTTGGACCTCTTTGAGGCCTTCGTTGGAAACGGGATTCTTCAAGTAATGTTCGACAGAAGAATTCTCAGTAACTTATTTGTGGTGTGTGTATTCAACTCACAGAGTTGAACCTTCCTTTAGACAGAGCAGATTTGAAACACCCTATTTGTGCAGTTTCCAGTTGGAGATTTCAATCGCTTTGAGACCAAATGTAGAAAAGGAAACATCTTCGTATAAAAACTAGACAGAATCATTCTCAGAAACTACTTTGTGATGTGTGCGTTCAACTCAAGGAGTTTAAGCTTTCTTTTCATAGAGTAGTTTGGAAACACTCTGTCTGTAAAGTCTGCAAGCAGATATTTGGACCTCTTTGGGGCCTTCGTTGGAAACGGGATTTCTTCATACAACGCTAGAAAGAAGAATACTGAGTACGTTCTTTGTGTTGCCTCTATTCAACTCACAGAGGTGAACTGTCCTTTAGACAGAGCAGATGTGAAACCCTCTTTTTGTGATATTTGCAGGTGGAGATTTCAAGCGCTTTTAGGCCAAATGTAGAAAAGGAAATATCTTCGTATAAAAACTAGACAGAATCATTCTCAGAAACTACTTTGTGATGTGTGCGTTCAATTCACAGAGTATAACCTTTCTTTTGATGGAGGAGTTTGGAGACACTGTCTTTGTAAAGTCTGCAAGTGGATATTTGGATCTCTTTGAGGCCTTCGTTGGAAACGGGATTTCCTCATATAATGTTACACAGAAGAATTCTCAGTAACTTATTTGTGGTGTGTGTATTCAACTCACAGAGTTGAACCTTCCTTCAGAAAGAGCAGATTTGAAACACTCTTTTTGTGGAGTTTCCATGTGGAGATTTCAATCGCATTGAGACCAAAGGTAGAAAAGGAAACATCTTCGTATAAAAACTAGACAGAATCATTCACAGAAACTACCTTGTGATGTGTGTGTTCAACTCAAGGAGTTTAACCTTTCTTTTGATGGAGCAGTTTGGAAACACTCTGTCTGTAAAGTCTGCAAGCAGATATTTGGACCTCTTTGAGGCCTTCGTTGGAAACGGGATTTCTTCATATAATGTTTGATAGGAGAAGTCTCAGTAACTTCTTTCTGCTGTGTGTATTCAACTCATAGAGTTGAACTTTCCTTTAGTAGAGCAGATGTTAAACACCCTTTTTGTGGAATTTGCAGCTGGAGATTTCAAGCGCTTTGAGGCCTACTGTAGAAAAGGAAACATCTTCTTACAAAATCTAGACAGAATCATTCACAGAAACTAATTTTTGATGTGTGTGTTCAGCTCACAGAGTTTAACCTTTCTTTTGATGGAGCAGTTTGGAAACACACTGTTTGTAATGTCTGCAAGTGGATATTTGGACCTCTTTGAGGCCTTCGTTGGAAACGGGATTTCTTCATGTAATGTTCGACAGAAGAATTCTCAGTAACTTATTTGTGGTGTGTGTATTCAACTCACAGAGTTGAACCTTCCTTTAGACAGAGCAGATTTGAAACACCCTATTTGTGCAGTTTCCAGTTGGAGATTTCAATCGCTTTGAGACCAAATGTAGAAAAGGAAACATCTTCGTATAAAAACTAGACAGAATCATTCTCAGAAACTACTTTGTGATGTGTGCGTTCAACTCAAGGAGTTTAAGCTTTCTTTTCATAGAGTAGTTTGGAAACACTCTGTCTGTAAAGTCTGCAAGCAGATATTTGGACCTCATTGGGGCCTTCGTTGGAAACGGGATTTCTTCATAGAACGCTAGAAAGAAGAATACTGAGTAAGTTCTTTGTGTTGCCTCTATTCAACTCACAGAGGTGAACTGTCCTTTAGACAGAGCAGATGTGAAACCCTCTTTTTGTGATATTTGCAGGTGGAGATTTCAAGCGCTTTTAGGCCAAATGTAGAAAAGGAAATATCTTCGTATAAAAACTAGACAGAATCATTCTCAGAAACTACTTTGTGATGTGTGCGTTGAATTCACAGAGTATAACCTTTCTTTTGATGGAGGAGTTTGGAGACACTGTCTTTGTAAAGTCTGCAAGTGGATATTTGGACCTCTTTGAGGCCTTCGTTGGAAACGGGATTTCCTCATATAATGTTACACAGAAGAATTCTCAGTAACTTATTTGTGGTGTGTGTATTCAACTCACAGAGTTGAACCTTCCTTCAGAAAGAGCAGATTTGAAACACTCTTTTTGTGGAGTTTCCATGTGGAGATTTCAATCGCTTTGAGGCCAAAGGTAGAAAAGCAAACATCTTCGTATAAAAACTAGACAGAATCATTCACAGAAACTACTTTGTGATGTGTGTGTTCAACTCAAGGAGTTTAACCTTTCTTTTGATGGAGCAGTTTGGAAACACACTGTCTGTAAAGTCTGCAAGCAGATATTTGGACCTCTTTGAGGCCTTCGTTGGAAACGGGATTTCTTCATATAATGTTTGATAGGAGAAGTCTCAGTAACTTCTTTGTGCTGTGTGTATTCAACTCACAGAGTTGAACTTTCCTTTAGAAGAGCAGATGTTAAACACCCTTTTTGTGGAATTTGCAGCTGGAGATTTCAAGCGCTTTGAGGCCTACGGTAGAAAAGGAAACATCTTCTTATAAAATCTAGACAGAATCATTCACAGAAACTTCTTTTTGATGTGTGTGTTCAGCTCACAGAGTTTAACCTTTCTTTTGATGGAGCAGTTGGGAAACACACTGTTTGTAATGTCTGCAAGTGGATATTTGGACCTCTTTGAGGCCTTCGTTGGAAACGGGATTTCTTCCTGTAATGTTCGACAGAAGAATTCTCAGTAACTTATTTGTGGTGTGTGTATTCAACTCACAGAGTTGAACCTTCCTTTAGACAGAGCAGATTTGAAACACCCTATTTGTGCAGTTTCCAGTTGGAGATTTCAATCGCTTTGAGACCAAATGTAGAAAAGGAAACATCTTCGTATAAAAACTAGACAGAATCATTCTCAGAAACTACTTTGTGATGTGTGCGTTCAACTCAAGGAGTTTAAGCTTTCTTTTCATAGAGTAGTTTGGAAACACTCTGTCTGTAAAGTCTGCAAGCAGATATTTGGACCTCTTTGGGGCCTTCGTTGGAAACGGGATTTCTTCATAGAACGCTAGAAAGAAGAATACTGAGTAAGTTCTTTGTGTTGCCTCTATTCAACTCACAGAGGTGAACTGTCCTTTAGACAGAGCAGATGTGAAACTCTCTTTTTGTGATATTTGCAGGTGGAGATTTCAAGCGCTTTTAGGCCAAATGTAGAAAAGGAAATATCTTCGTATAAAAACTAGACAGAATCATTCTCAGAATCTACTTTGTGATGTGTGCGTTCAATTCACAGAGTATAACCATTCTTTTGATGGAGGAGTTTGGAGACACTGTCTTTGTAAAGTCTGCAACTGGATATTTGGACCTCTTTGAGGCCTTCGTTGGAAACGGGATTTCCTCATATAATGTTACACAGAAGAATTCTCAGTAACTTATTTGTGGTGTGTGTATTCAACTCACAGAGTTGAACCTTACTTCAGAAAGAGCAGATTTGAAACACTCTTTTTGTGGAGTTTCCATGTGGAGATTTCAATCGCTTTGAGACCAAAGGTAGAAAAGGAAACATCTTCGTATAAAAACTAGACAGAATCATTCACAGAAACTACTTTGTGATGTGTGTGTTCAACTCAAGGAGGTTAAACTTTCTTTTGATGGAGCAGTTTGGAAACACTCTGTCTGTAAAGTCTGCAAGCAGATATTTGGACCTCTTTGAGGCCTTCGTTGGAAACGGGATTTCTTCATATAATGTTTGATAGGAGAAGTCTCAGTAACTACTTTGTGCTGTGTTTATTCAACTCATAGAGTTGAACTTTCCTTTAGAAGAGCAGATGTTAAACACCCTTTTTGTGGAATTTGCAGCTGTAGAAAAGGAAACATCTTCTTATAAAATCTAGACAGAATCATTCACAGAAACTTCTTTTTGATGTGTGTGTTCAGCTCACAGAGATTAACCTTTCTTTTGATGGAGCAGTTTGGAAACACTCTGTTTGTAATGTCTGCAAGTGGATATTTGGACCTCTTTGAGGCCTTCGTTGGAAACGGGATTTCTTCATGTAACGTTTGACAGAAGAATTCTCAGTAACTTATTTGTGGTGTGTGTATTCAACTCACAGAGTTGAACCTTCCTTTAGACAGAGCAGATTTCAAACACCCTATTTGTGCAGTTTCCAGTTGGAGATTTCAATCGCTTTGAGGCCAATCATAGAAACGGAAATAACTTTGTATAAAAACAAGACAGAATCATTCTCAGAAACTACTTTGTGATGTGTGCGTTCAACTCAAGGAGTTTAAGCTTTCTTTTCATAGAGTAGTTTGGAAACACTCTGTCTATAAAGTCTGCAAGCAGATATTTGGACCTCTTCGAGGCATTCGTTGGAAACGGGATTTCTTCATAGAACGCTAGAAAGAAGAATACTGAGTAAGTTCTTTGTGTTGCCTCTATTCAACTCACAGAGGTGAACTGTCCTTTAGACAGAGCAGATGTGAAACCCTCTTTTTGTGATATTTGCAGGTGGAGATTTCAAGCGCTTTTAGGCCAAATGTAGAAAAGGAAATATTCTTCGTATAAAAACTAGACAGAATCATTCTCAGAAACTACTTTGTGATGTGTGCGTTCAATTCACAGAGTATAACCTTTCTTTTGATGGAGGAGTTTGGAGACACTGTCTTTGTAAAGTCTGCAAGTGGATATTTGGACCTCTTTGAGGCCTTCGTTGGAAACGGGATTTCCTCATATAATGTTACCCAGAAGAATTCTCAGTAACTTATTTTTGGTGTGTGTATTCAACTCACAGAGATGAACCTTCCTTCAGAAAGAGCAGATTTGAAACACTCTTTTTGTGGAGTTTCCATGTGGAGATTTCAATCGCTTTGAGACCAAAGGTAGAAAAGGAAACATCTTCGTATAACAACTAGACAGAATCATTCACAGAAACTACTTTGTGATGTGTGTGTTCAACTCAAGGAGTTTAACCTTTCTTTTGATGGAGCAGTTTGGAAACACTCTGTCTGTAAAGTCTGCAAGCAGATATTTGGACCTCTTTGAGGCCTTCGTTGGAAACGGGATTTCTTCATATAATGTTTGATAGGAGAAGTCTCAGTAACTTCTTTGTGCTGTGTGTATTCAACTCATAGAGTTGAACTTTCCTTTAGAAGAGCAGATGTTAAACACCCTTTTTGTGGAATTTGCAGCTGGAGATTTCAAGCGCTTTGAGGCCTACGGTAGAAAAGGAAACATCTTCTTATAAAATCTAGACAGAATCATTCACAGAAACTTCTTTTCGATGTGTGTGTTCAGCTCACAGAGTTTAACCTTTCTTTTGATGGAGCAGTTTGGAAACACTCTGTTTGTAATGTCTGCAAGTGGATATTTGGACCTCTTTGAGGCCTTCGTTGGAAACGGGATTTCTTCAAGTAATGGTCGACAGAAGAATTCTCAGTAACTTATTTGTGGTGTGTGTATTCAACTCACAGAGTTGAACCTTCCTTTAGACAGAGCAGATTTGAAACACCCTATTTGTGCAGTTTCCAGTTGGAGATTTCAATCGCTTTGAGACCAAATGTAGAAAAGGAAACATCTTCGTATAAAAACTAGACAGAATCATTCTCAGAAACTACTTTGTGATGTGTGCGTTCAACTCAAGGAGTTTAAGCTTTCTTTTCATAGAGTAGTTTGGAAACACTCTGTCTGTAAAGTCTGCAAGCAGATATTTGGACCTCTTTGGGGCCTTCGTTGGAAACGGGATTTCTTCATAGAACGCTAGAAAGAAGAATACTGAGTAAGTTCTTTGTGTTGCCTCTATTCAACTCACAGAGGTGAACTGTCCTTTAGACAGAGCAGATGTGAAACCCTCTTTTTGTGATATTTGCAGGTGGAGATTTCAAGCGCTTTTAGGCCAAATGTAGGAAAGGAAATATCTTCGTATAAAAACTAGACAGAATCATTCTCAGAAACTACTTTGTGATGTGTGCGTTCAATTCACAGAGTATAACCTTTCTTTTGATGGAGGAGTTTGGAGACACTGTCTTTGTAAAGTCTGCAAGTGGATATTTGGACCTCTTTGAGGCCTTCGTTGGAAACGGGATTTCCTCATATAATGTTACACAGAAGAATTCTCAGTAACTTATTTGTGGTGTGTGTATTCAACTCACAGAGTTGAACCTTCCTTCAGAAAGAGCAGATTTGAAACACTCTTTTTGTGGAGTTTCCATGTGGAGATTTCAATCGCTTTGAGACCAAAGGTAGAAAAGGAAACATCTTCGTATAAAAACTAGACAGAATCATTCACAGAAACTACTTTGTGATGTGTGTGTTCAACTCGAGGAGTTTAACCTTTCTTCTGATGGAGCAGTTTGGAAAAACTCTGTCTGTAAAGTCTGCAAGCAGATATTTGGACCTCTTTGAGGCCTTCGTTGGAAACGGGATTTCTTCATATAATGTTTGATAGGAGAAGTCTCAGTAACTTCTTTGTGCTGTGTGTATTCAACTCATAGAGTTGAACTTTCCTTTAGAAGAGCAGATGTTAAACACCCTTTTTGTGGAATTTGCAGCTGGAGATTTCAAGCGCTTTGAGGCCTACGGTAGAAAAGGAAACATCTTCTTATAAAATCTAGACAGAATCATTCACAGAAACTTCTTTTTGATGTGTGTGTTCAGCTCACAGAGTTTAACCTTTCTTTTGATGGAGCAGTTGGGAAACACACTGTTTGTAATGTCTGCAAGTGGATATTTGGAGCTCTTTGAGGCCTTCGTTGGAAACGGGATTTCTTCCTGTAATGTTCGACAGAAGAATTCTCAGTAACTTATTTGTGGTGTGTGTATTCAACTCACAGAGCTGAACCTTCCTTTAGACAGAGCAGATTTGAAACAGCCTATTTCTGCAGTTTCCAGTTGGAGATTTCAATCGCTTTGAGACCAAATGTAGAAAAGGAAACATCTTCGTATAAAAACTAGACAGAATCATTCTCAGAAACTACTTTGTGATGTGTGCGTTCAACTCAAGGAGTTTAAGCTTTCTTTTCATAGAGTAGTTTGGAAACACTCTGTCTGTAAAGTCTGCAAGCAGATATTTGGACCTCTTTGAGGCCTTCGTTGGAAACGGGATTTCTTCATAGAACGCTAGAAAGAAGAATACTGAGTAAGTTCTTTGTGTTGCCTCTATTCAACTCACAGAGGTGAACAGTCCATTAGACAGAGCAGGTGTGAAACCCTCTTTTTGTGATATTTGCAGGTGGAGATTTCAAGCGCTTTTAGGCCAAATGTAGAAAAGGAAATATCTTCGTATAAAAACTAGACAGAATCATTCTCAGAAACTACTTTGTGATGTGTGCGTTCAATTCACAGAGTATAACCTTTCTTTTGATGGAGGAGTTTGGAGACACTGTCTTTGTAAAGTCTGCAAGTGGATATTTGGACCTCTTTGAGGCCTTCGTTGGAAACGGGATTTCCTCATATAATGTTACACAGAAGAATTCTCAGTAACTTATTTGTGGTGTGTGTATTCAACTCACAGAGATGAACCTTCCTTCAGAAAGAGCAGATTTGAAACACTCTTTTTGTGGAGTTTCCATGTGGAGATTTCATTCGCTTTGAGACCAAAGGTAGAAAAGGAAACATCTTCGTATAAAAACTAGACAGAATTATTCACAGAAACTACTTTGTGATGTGTGTGTTCAACTGAAGGAGTTTAACCTTTCTTTTGATGGAGCAGTTTGGAAACACTCTGTCTGTAAAGTCTGCAAGCAGATATTTGGACCTCTTTGAGGCCTTCGTTGGAAACGGGATTTCTTCATATAATGTTTGATAGGAGAAGTCTCAGTAACTTCTTTGTGCTGTGTGTATTCAACTCATAGAGTTGAACTTTCCTTTAGAAGAGCAGATGTTAAACACCCTTTTTGTGGAATTTGCAGCTGGAGATTTCAAGCGCTTTGAGGCCTACGGTAGAAAAGGAAACATCTTCTTATAAAATCTAGACAGAATCATTCACAGAAACTTCTTTTTGATGTGTGTGTTCAGCTCACAGAGTTTAACCTTTCTTTTGATGGAGCAGTTTGGAAACACTCTGTAATGTCTGCAAGTGGATATTTGGACCTCTTTGAGGCCTTTGTTGGAAAAGGGATTTCTTCATGTAGTGTTCGACAGAAGAATTCTCAGTAACTTATTTGTGGTGTGTGTATTCAACTCACAGAGTTGAACCTTCCTTTAGACAGAGCAGATTTGAAACACCCTATTTGTGCAGTTTCCAGTTGGAGATTTCAATCGCTTTGAGACCAAATGTAGAAAAGGAAACATCTTCGTATAAAAACTAGACAGAATCATTCTCAGAAACTACTTTGTGATGTCTGCGTTCAACTCAAGGAGTTTAAGCTTTCTTTTCATAGAGTAGTTTGGAAACACTCTGTCTGTAAAGTCTGCAAGCAGATATTTGAACCTCTTTGAGGCCTTCGTTGGAAACGGGATTTCTTCATAGAACGCTAGAAAGAAGAATACTAAGTTCTTTGTGTTGCCTCTATTCTACTCACAGAGGTGAACTGTCCTTTAGACAGAGCAGATGTGAAACCCTCTTTTTGTGATATTTGCAGGTGGAGATTTCAAGCGCTTTTAGGCCAAATGTAGAAAAGGAAATATCTTCGTATAAAAACTAGACAGAATCATTCTCAGAAACTACTTTGTGATGTGTGCGTTCAATTCACAGAGTATAACCTTTCTTTTGATGGAGGAGTTTGGAGACACTGTCTTTGTAAAGTCTGCAAGCAGATATTTGGACCTCTTTGAGGCCATCGTTGGAAACGGGATTTCTTCATATAATGTTTGATAGCAGAAGTCTCAGTAACTTCTTTGTGCTGTGTGTCTTCAACTCATAGAGTTGAACTTTCCTTTAGAAGAGCAGATGTTAAACACCCTTTTTGTGGAATTTGCAGCTGGAGATTTCAAGCGCTTTGAGGCCTACGGTAGAAAAGGAAGCATCTTCTTATAAAATCTACACAGAATCATTCACAGAAACTTCTTTTTGATGTGTGTGTTCAGCTCACAGAGTTTAACTTTTCTTTTGATGGAGCAGTTTGGAAACACTCTGTTTGTAATGTCTGCAAGTGGATATTTGGACCTCTTTGAGGCCTTCGTTGGAAACGGGATTTCTTCAAGTAATATTCGACAGAAGAATTCTCAGTAACTTATTTGTGGTGTGTGTATTCAACTCACAGAGTTGAACCTTCCTTTAGACAGAGCAGATTTGAAACAGCCTATTTGTGCAGTTTCCAGTTGGAGATTTCAATCGCTTTGAGACCAAATGTAGAAAAGGAAACATCTTCGTATAAAAACTAGACAGAATCATTCTCAGAAACTACTTTGTGATGTGTGCGTTCAACTCAAGGAGTTTAAGCTTTCTTTTCATAGAGTAGTTTGGAAACACTCTGTCTGTAAAGTCTGCAAGCAGATATTTGACCTCTTTGAGGCCTTCGTTGGAAACGGGATTTCTTCATAGAACGCTAGAAAGAAGAATACTGAGTAAGTTCTTTGTGTTGCCTCTATTCAACTCACAGAGGTGAACTGTCCTTTAGACAGAGCAGATGTGAAACCCTCTTTTTGTGATATTTGCAGGTGGAGATTTCAAGCGCTTTTAGGCCAAATGTAGAAAAGGAAATATCTTCGTATAAAAACTAGACAGAATCATTCTCAGAAACTACTTTGTGATGTGTGCGTTCAATTCACAGAGTATAACCTTTCTTTTGATGGAGGAGTTTGGAGACACTGTCTTTGTAAAGTCTGCAAGTGGATATTTGGACCTCTTTGAGGCCTTCGTTGGAAACGGGATTTCCTCATATAATGTTACACAGAAGAATTCTCAGTAACTTATTTGTGGTGTGTGTATTCAACTCACAGAGTTGAACCTTCCTTCAGAAAGAGCAGATTTGAAACACTCTTTTTGTGGAGTTTCCATGTGGAGATTTCAATCGCTTTGAGACCAAAGGTAGAAAAGGAAACATCTTCGTATAGAAACTAGACAGAATCATTCACAGAAACTACTTTGTGATGTGTGTGTTCAACTCAAGGAGGTTAACCTTTCTTTTGATGGAGCAGTTGGGAAACACTCTGTCTGTAAAGTCTGCAAGCAGATATTTGGACCTCTTTGAGGCCTTCGTTGGAAACGGGATTGCTTCATATAATGTTTGATAGGAGAAGTCTCAGTAACTTCTTTGTGCTGTGTGTATTCAACTCATAGAGTTGAACTTTCCTTTAGAAGACCAGATGTTAAACACCCTTTTTGTGGAATTTGCAGCTGGAGATTTCAAGCGCTTTGAGGCCTACGGTAGAAAAGGAAACATCTTCTTATAAAATCTAGACAGAATCATTCACAGAAACTTCTTTTTGATGTGTCTGTTCAGCTCACAGAGTTTAACCTTTCTTTTGATGGAGCAGTTTGGAAACACTCTGTTTGTAATGTCTGCATGTGGATATTTGGACCTCTTTGAGGCCTTCGTTGGAAACGGGATTTCTTCCTGTAATGTTTGACAGAAGAATTCTCAGCAACTTATTTGTGGTGTGTGTATTCAACTCACAGAGTTGAACCTTCCTTTAGACAGAGCAGATTTGAAACACCCTATTTGTGCAGTTTCCAGTTGGAGATTTCAATTGCTTTGAGGCCATAGAAACGGAAATACATTTGTATAAAAACAAGACAGAATCATTCTCAGAAACTACTTTGTGATGTGTGCGTTCAACTCAAGGAGTTTAAGCTTTCTTTTCATAGAGTAGTTTGGAAACACTCTGTCTGTAAAGTCTGCAAGCAGATATTTGGACCTCTTTGGGGCCTTCGTTGGAAAAGGGATTTCTTCATAGAACGCTAGAAAGAAGAATACTGAGTAAGTTCTTTGTGTTGCCTCTATTCAACTCACAGAGGTGAACTGTCCTTTAGACAGAGCAGATGTGAAACCCTGTTTTTGTGATATTTGCACGTGGAGATTTCAAGCGCTTTCAGGCCAAATGTAGAAAAGGAAATATCTTCGTATAAAAACTAGACAGAATCATTCTCAGAAACTACTTTGTGATGTGTGCGTTCAATTCACAGAGTATAACCTTTCTTTTGATGGAGGAGTTTGGAGACACTGTCTTTGTAAGTCTGCAAGTGGATATTTGGACCTCTTTGAGGCCTTCGTTGGAAACGGGATTTCCTCATATAATGTTACACAGAAGAATTCTCAGTAACTTATTTGTGGTGTGTGTATTCAACTCACAGAGTTGAACCTTCCTTCAGAAAGAGCAGATTTGAAACACTCTTTTTGTGGAGTTTCCATGTGGAGATTTCAATCGCATTGAGACCAAAGGTAGAAAAGGAAACATCTTCGTATAAAAACTAGACAGAATCATTCACAGAAACTACTTTGTGATGTGTGTGTTCAACTCAAGGAGTTTAACCTTTCTTTTGATGGAGCAGTTTGGAAAAACTCTGTCTGTAAAGTCTGCAAGCAGATATTTGGACCTCTTTGAGGCCTTCTTTGGAAACGGGATTTCTTCATATAATGTTTGATAGGAGAAGTCTCAGTAACTTCTTTGTGCTGTGTGTATTCAACTCATAGAGTTGAACTTTCCTTTAGAAGAGCAGATGTTAAACACCCTTTTTGTGGAATTTGCAGCTGGAGATTTCAAGCGCTTTGAGGCCTACGGTAGAAAAGGAAACATCTTCTTATAAAATCTAGACAGAATCATTCACAGAAACTTCTTTTTGATATGTGTGTTCAGCTCACAGAGTTTAACCTTTCTTTTGATGGAGCAGTTTGGAAACACTCTGTTTGTAATGTCTGCAAGTGGATATTTGGACCTCTTTGAGGCCTTCGTTGGAAACGGGATTTCTTCAAGTAATGTTCGACAGAAGAATTCTCAGTAACTTATTTGTGGTGTGTGTATTCAACTCACAGAGTTGAACCTTCCTTTAGACAGAGCAGATTTGAAACACCCTATTTGTGCAGTTTCCAGTTGGAGATTTCAATCGCTTTGAGACCAAATGTAGAAAAGGAAACATCTTCGTATAAAAACTAGACAGAATCATTCTCAGAAACTACTTTGTGATGTGTGCGTTCAACTCAAGGAGTTTAAGCTTTCTTTTCATAGAGTAGTTTGGAAACACTCTGTCTGTAAAGTCTGCAAGCAGATATTTGGACCTCTTTAGGGCCTTCGTTGGAAACGGGATTTCTTCATAGAACGCTAGAAAGAAGAATACTGAGTAAGTTCTTTGTGTTGCCTCTATTCAACTCACAGAGGTGAACTGTCCTTTAGACAGAGCAGGTGTGAAACCCTCTTTTTGTGATATTTGCACGTGGAGTTTTCAAGCGCTTTTAGGCCAAATGTAGAAAAGGAAATATCTTCGTATAAAAACTAGACAGAATCATTCTCAGAAACTACTTTGTGATGTGTGCGTTCAATTCACAGAGTATAACCTTTCTTTTGATGGAGGAGTTTGGAGACACTGTCTTTGTAAAGTCTGCAAGTGGATATTTGGACCTCTTTGAGGCCTTCGTTGGAAACGGGATTTCCTCATATACTGTTACACAGAAGAATTCTCAGTAACTTATTTGTGGTGTGTGTATTCAACTCACAGAGATGAACCTTCCTTCAGAAAGAGCAGATTTGAAACACTCTTTTTGTGGAGTTTCCATGTGGAGATTTCAATCGCTTTGAGACCAAAGGTAGAAAAGGAAACATCTTCGTATAAAAACTAGACAGAATCATTCACAGAAACTACTTTGTGATGTGTGTGTTCAACTCAAGGAGGTTAACCTTTCTTTTGATGGAGCAGTTTGGAAACACTCTGTCTGTAAAGTCTGCAAGCAGATATTTGGACCTCTTTGAGGCCTTCGTTGGAAACGGGATTTCTTCATATAATGTTTGATAGGAGAAGTCTCAGTAACTTCTTTGTGCTGTGTGTATTCAACTCATAGAGTTGAACTTTCCTTTAGAAGAGCAGATGTTAAACACCCTTTTTGTGGAATTTGCAGCTGGAGATTTCAAGCGCTTTGAGGCCTACGGTAGAAAAGGAAACATCTTCTTATAAAATCTAGACAGAATCATTCACAGAAACTTCTTTTCGATGTGTGTGTTCAGCTCACAGAGTTTAACCTTTCTTTTGATGGAGCAGTTTGGAAACACTCTGTTTGTAATGTCTGCAAGTGGATATTTGGACCTCTTTGAGGCCTTCGTTGGAAACGGGATTTCATCAAGTAATGGTCGACAGAAGAATTCTCAGTAACTTATTTGTGGTGTGTGTATTCAACTCACAGAGTTGAACCTTCCTTTAGACAGAGCAGATTTGAAACACCCTATTTGTGCAGTTTCCAGTTGGAGATTTCAATCGCTTTGAGACCAAATGTAGAAAAGGAAACATCTTCGTATAAAAACTAGACAGAATCATTCTCAGAAACTACTTTGTGATGTGTGCGTTCAACTCAAGGAGTTTAAGCTTTCTTTTCATAGAGTAGTTTGGAAACACTCTGTCTGTAAAGTCTGCAAGCAGATATTTGGACCTCTTTGGGGCCTTCGTTGGAAACGGGATTTCTTCATAGAACGCTAGAAAGAAGAATACTGAGTAAGTTCTTTGTGTTGCCTCTATTCAACTCACAGAGGTGAACTGTCCTTTAGACAGAGCAGATGTGAAACCCTCTTTTTGTGATATTTGCAGGTGGAGATTTCAAGCGCTTTTAGGCCAAATGTAGAAAAGGAAATATCTTCGTATAAAAACTAGACAGAATCATTCTCAGAAACTACTTTGTGATGTGTGCGTTCAATTCACAGAGTATAACCTTTCTTTTGATGGAGGAGTTTGGAGACACTGTCTTTGTAAAGTCTGCAAGTGGATATTTGGACCTCTTTGAGGCCTTCGTTGGAAACGGGATTTCCTCATATAATGTTACACAGAAGAATTCTCAGTAACTTATTTGTGGTGTGTGTATTCAACTCACAGAGATGAACCTTCCTTCAGAAAGAGCAGATTTGAAACACTCTTTTTGTGGAGTTTCCATGTGGAGATTTCAATCGCTTTGAGACCAAAGGTAGAAAAGGAAACATCTTCGTATAACAACTAGACAGAATCATTCACAGAAACTACTTTGTGATGTGTGTGTTCAACTCAAGGAGTTTAACCTTTCTTTTGATGGAGCAGTTTGGAAACACTCTGTCTGTAAAGTCTGCAAGCAGATATTTGGACCTCTTTGAGGCCTTCGTTGGAAACGGGATTTCTTCATATAATGTTTGATAGCAGAAGTCTCAGTAACTTCTTTGTGCTGTGTGTATTCAACTCATAGAGTTGAACTTTCCTTTAGAAGAGCAGATGTTAAACACCCTTTTTGTGGAATTTGCAGCTGGAGATTTCAAGCGCTTTGAGGCCTACGGTAGAAAAGGAAACATCTTCTTATAAAATCTAGACAGAATCATTCACAGAAACTTCTTTTCGATGTGTGTGTTCAGCTCACAGAGTTTAACCTTTCTTTTGATGGAGCAGTTTGGAAACACTCTGTTTGTAATGTCTGCAAGTGGATATTTGGACCTCTTTGAGGCCTTCGTTGGAAACGGGATTTCTTCAAGTAATGGTCGACAGAAGAATTCTCAGTAACTTATTTGTGGTGTGTGTATTCAACTCACAGAGTTGAACCTTCCTTTAGACAGAGCAGATTTGAAACACCCTATTTGTGCAGTTTCCAGTTGGAGATTTCAATCGCTTTGAGACCAAATGTAGAAAAGGAAACATCTTCGTATAAAAACTAGACAGAATCATTCTCAGAAACTACTTTGTGATGTGTGCGTTCAACTCAAGGAGTTTAAGCTTTCTTTTCATAGAGTAGTTTGGAAACACTCTGTCTGTAAAGTCTGCAAGCAGATATTTGGACCTCTTTGGGGCCTTTGTTGGAAACGGGATTTCTTCATAGAACGCTAGAAAGAAGAATACTGAGTAAGTTCTTTGTGTTGCCTCTATTCAACTCACAGAGGTGAACTGTCCTTTAGACAGAGCAGATGTGAAACCCTCTTTTTGTGATATTTGCAGGTGGAGATTTCAAGCACTTTTAGGCCAAATGTAGAAAAGGAAATATCTTCGTATAAAAACTAGACAGAATCATTCTCAGAAACTACTTTGTGATGTGTGCGTTCAATTCACAGAGTATAACCTTTCTTTTGATGGAGGAGTTTGGAGACACTGTCTTTGTAAAGTCTGCAAGTGGATATTTGGACCTCTTTGAGGCCTTCGTTGGAAACGGGATTTCCTCATATAATGTTACCCAGAAGAATTCTCAGTAACTTATTTGTGGTGTGTGTATTCAACTCACAGAGTTGAACCTTCCTTCAGAAAGAGCAGATTTGAAACACTCTTTTTGTGGAGTTTCCATGTGGAGATTTCAATCGCTTTGAGACCAAAGGTAGAAAAGGAAACATCTTCGTATAAAAACTAGACAGAATCATTCACAGAAACTACTTTGTGATGTGTGTGTTCAACTCAAGGAGTTTAACCTTTCTTTTGATGGAGCAGTTTGGAAAAACTCTGTCTGTAAAGTCTGCAAGCAGATATTTGGACCTCTTTGGGGCCTTCGTTGGAAACGGGATTTCTTCATAGAATGCTAGAAAGAAGAATACTGAGTAAGTTCCTTGTGTTGCCTCTATTCAACTCACAGAGGTGAACTGTCCTTTAGACAGAGCAGATGTGAAACCCTCTTTTTGTGATATTTGCAGGTGGAGATTTCAAGCGCTTTTAGGCCAAATGTAGAAAAGGAAATATCTTCGTATAAAAACTAGACAGAATCATTCTCAGAAACTACTTTGTGATGTGTGCGTTCAATTCACAGAGTATAACCTTTCTTTTGATGGAGGAGTTTGGAGACACTGTCTTTGTAAAGTCTGCAAGTGGATATTTGGACCTCTTTGAGGCCTTCGTTGGAAACGGGATTTCCTCATATAATGTTACACAGAAGAATTCTCAGTAACTTATTTGTGGTGTGTGTATTCAACTCACAGAGTTGAACCTTCCTTCAGAAAGAGCAGATTTGAAAAACTCTTTTTGTGGAGTTTCCATGTGGAGATTTCAATCGCTTTGAGACCAAAGGTAGAAAAGGAAACATCTTCGTATAAAAACTAGACAGAATCATTCACAGAAACTACTTTGTGATGTGTGTGTTCAACTCAAGGAGTTTAACCTTTCTTTTGATAGAGCAGTTTGGAAAAACTCTGTCTGTAAAGTCTGCAAGCAGATATTTGGACCTCTTTGAGGCCTTCATTGGAAACGGGATTTCTTCATATAATGTTTGATAGGAGAAGTCTCAGAAACTTCTTTGTGCTGTGTGTATTCAACTCATAGAGTTGAACTTTCCTTTAGAAGAGCAGATGTTAAACACCCTTTTTGTGGAATTTGCAGCTGGAGATTTCAAGCGCTTTGAGGCCTACGGTAGAAAAGGAAACATCTTCTTATAAAATCTAGAGAGAATCATTCACAGAAACTTCTTTTTGATGTGTGTGTTCAGCTCACAGAGTTTAACCTTTCTTTTGATGGAGCAGTTTGCAAACACACTGTTTGTAATGTCTGCAAGTGGATATTTGGACCTCTTTGAGGCCTTCGTTGGTAACGGGATTTCTTCCTGTAATGTTCGACAGAAGAATTCTCAGTAACTTATGTGTGGTGTGTGTATTCAACTCACAGAGTTGAACCTTCCTTTAGACAGAGCAGATTTGAAACACCCTATTTGTGCAGTTTCCAGTTGGAGATTTCAATCGCTTTGAGACCAAATGTAGAAAAGGAAACATCTTCGTATAAAAACTAGACAGAATCATTCTCAGAAACTACTTTGTGATGTGTGCGTTCAACTCAAGGAGTTTAAGCTTTCTTTTCATAGAGTAGTTTGGAAACACTCTGTCTGTAAAGTCTGCAAGCAGATATTTGGACCTCTTTGGGGCCTTCGTTGGAAACGGGATTTCTTCATAGAACGCTAGAAAGAAGAATACTGAGTAAGTTCTTTGTGTTGCCTCTATTCAACTCACAGAGGTGAACTGTCCTTTAGACAGAGCAGATGTGAAACCCTCTTTTTGTGATATTTGCAGGTGGAGATTTCAAGCGCTTTTAGGCCAAATGTAGAAAAGGAGATATCTTCGTATAAAAACTAGACAGAATCATTCTCAGAAACTACTTTGTGATGTGTGCGTTCAATTCACAGAGTATAACCTTTCTTTTGATGGAGGAGTTTGGAGACACTGTCTTTGTAAAGTCTGCAAGTGGATATTTGGACCTCTTTGAGGCCTTTGTTGGAAACGGGATTTCCTCATATAATGTTACACAGGGAGAATTCTCAGTAACTTATTTGTGGTGTGTGTATTCAACTCACAGAGTTGAACCTTCCTTCAGAAAGAGCAGATTTGAAACACTCTTTTGGTGGAGTTTCCATGTGGAGATTTCAATCGCTTTGAGACCAAAGGTAGAAAAGGAAACATCTTCGTATAAAAACTAGACAGAATCATTCACAGAAACTACTTTGTGATGTGTGTGTTCAACTCAAGGAGTTTAACCTTTCTTTTGATGGAGCAGTTTGGAAACACTCTGTCTGTAAAGTCTGCAAGCAGATATTTGGACCTCTTTGAGGCCTTCGTTGGAAACGGGATTTCTTCATATAATGTTTGATAGGAGAAGTCTCAGTAACTTCTTTGTGCTGTGTGTATTCAACTCATAGAGTTGAACTTTCCTTTAGAAGAGCAGATGTTAAACACCCTTTTTGTGGAATTTGCAGGTGGAGATTTCAAGCGCTTTGAGGCCTACGGTAGAAAAGGAAACATCTTCTTATAAAATCTAGACAGAATCATTCACAGAAACTTCTTTTTGATGTGTGTGTTCAGCTCACAGAGTTTAACCTTTCTTTTGATGGAGCAGTTTGGAAACACTCTGTTTGTAATGTCTGCAAGTGGATATTTGGACGTCTTTGAGGCCTTCGTTGGAAACGGGATTTCTTCATGTAATGTTCGACAGAAGAATTCTCAGTAACTTATTTGTGGTGTGTGTATTCAACTCACAGAGTTGAACCTTCCTTTAGACAGAGCAGATTTGAAACACCCTATTTGTGCAGTTTCCAGTTGGAGATTTGAATCGCTTTGAGACCAAATGTAGAAAAGGAAACATCTTCGTATAAAAACTAGACAGAATCATTCTCAGAAACTACTTTGTGATGTGTGCGTTCAACTCAAGGAGTTTAAGCTTTCTTTTCATAGAGTAGTTTGGAAACACTCTGTCTGTAAAGTCTGCAAGCAGATATTTGGACCTCTTTGGGGCCTTCGTTGGAAACGGGATTTCTTCGTAGAACGCTAGAAAGAAGAATACTGAGTAAGTTCTTTGTGTTGCCTCTATTCAACTCACAGAGGTGAACTGTCCTTTAAACAGAGCAGATGTGAAACCCTCTTTTTGTGATATTTGCAGGTGGAGATTTCAAGCGCTTTTAGGCCAAATGTAGAAAAGGAAATATCTTCGTATAAAAACTAGACAGAATCATTCTCAGAAACTACTTTGTGATGTGTGCTGTTCAATTCACAGAGTATAACCTTTCTTTTGATGGAGGAGTTTGGAGACACTGTCTTTGTAAAGTCTGCAAGTGGATATTTGGACCTCTTTGAGGCCTTCGTTGGAAACGGGATTTCCTCATATAATGTTACACAGAAGAATTCTCAGTAACTTATTTGTGGTGTGTGTATTCAACTCACAGAGTTGAACCTTCCTTCAGAAAGAGCAGATTTGAAACACTCTTTTTGTGGAGTTTCCATGTGGAGATTTCAATCGCTTTGAGACCAAAGGTAGAAAAGGAAACATCTTCGTATAAAAACTAGACAGAATCATTCACAGAAACTACTTTGTGATGTGTGTGTTCAACTCAAGGGGTTAAAACTTTCTTTTGATGGAGCAGTTTGGAAACACTCTGTCTGTAAAGTCTGCAAGCAGATATTTGGACCTCTTTGAGGCCTTCGTTGGAAACGGGATTTCTTCATATAATGTTTGATAGGAGAAGTCTCAGTAACTTCTTTGTGCTGTGTCTATTCAACTCATAGAGTTGAACTTTCCTTTAGAAGAGCAGATGTTTAACACCCTTTTTGTGGAATTTGCAGCTGGAGATTTCAAGCGCTTTGAGGCCTACGGTAGAAAAGGAAACATCTTCTTATAAAATCTAGACAGAATCATTCACAGAAACTTCTTTTCGATGTGTGTGTTCAGCTCACAGAGTTTAACCTTTCTTTTGATGGAGCAGTTTGGAAACACTCTGTTTGTAATGTCTGCAAGTGGATATTTGGACCTCTTTGAGGCCTTCGTTGGAAACGGGATTTCTTCAAGTAATGGTCGACAGAAGAATTCTCAGTAACTTATTTGTGGTGTGTGTATTCAACTCACAGAGTTGAACCTTCCTTTAGACAGAGCAGATTTGAAACACCCTATTTGTGCAGTTTCCAGTTGGAGATTTCAATCGCTTTGAGACCAAATGTAGAAAAGGAAACATCTTCGTATAAAAACTAGACAGAATCATTCTCAGAAACTACTTTGTGATGTGTGCGTTCAACTCAAGGAGTTTAAGCTTTCTTTTCATAGAGTAGTTTGGAAACAATCTGTCTGTAAAGTCTGCAAGCAGATATTTGGACCTATTTGGGGCCTTCGTTGGAAACGGGATTTCTTCATAGAACGCTAGAAAGAAGAATACTGAGTAAGTTCTTTGTGTTGCCTCTATTCAACTCACAGAGGTGAACTGTCCTTCAGACAGAGCAGATGTGAAACCCTCTTTTTGTGATATTTGCAGGTGGAGATTTCAAGCGCTTTTAGGCCAAATGTAGAAAAGGAAATATCTTCGTATAAAAACTAGACAGAATCATTCTCAGAAACTACTTTGTGATGTGTGCGTTCAATTCACAGAGTATAACCTTTCTTTTGATGGAGGAGTTTGGAGACACTGTCTTTGTAAAGTCTGCAAGTGGATATTTGGACCTCTTTGAGGCCTTCGTTGGAAACGGGATTTCCTCATATAATGTTACACAGAAGAATTCTCAGTAACTTATTTGTGGTGTGTGTATTCAACTCACAGAGTTGAACCTTCCTTCAGAAAGAGCAGATTTGAAACACTCTTTTTGTGGAGTTTCCATGTGGAGATTTCAATCGCTTTGAGACCAAAGGTAGAAAAGTAAACGTCTTCGTATAAAAACTAGACAGAATCATTCACAGAAACTACTTTGTGATGTGTGTGTTCAACTCAAGGAGTTTAACCTTTCTTTTGATGGAGCAGTTTGGAAAAACTCTGTCTGTAAAGTCTGCAAGCAGATATTTGGACCTCTTTGAGGCCTTCGTTGGAAACGGGATTTCTTCATATAATGTTTGATAGGAGAAGTCTCAGTAACTTCTTTGTGCTGTGTGTATTCAACTCATAGAGTTGAACTTTCCTTTAGAAGAGCAGATGTTAAACACCCTTTTTGTGGAATTTGCAGCTGGAGATTTCAAGCGCTTTGAGGCCTACGGTAGAAAAGGAAACATCTTCTTATAAAATCTAGACAGAATCATTCACAGAAACTTCTTTTTGATGTGTGTGTTCAGCTCACAGAGTTTAACCTTTCTTTTGATGGAGCAGTTTGGAAACACTCTGTTTGTAATGTCTGCAAGTGGATATTTGGACCTCTTTGAGGCCTTCGTTGGAAACGGGATTTCTTCATGTAATGTTCGAGAGAAGAATTCTCAGTAACTTATTTGTGGTGTGTGTATTCAACTCACAGAGTTGAACCTTCCTTTAGACAGAGCAGATTTGAAACACCCTATTTGTGCAGTTTCCAGTTGGAGATTTCAATCGCTTTGAGGCCAATCATAGAAACGGAAATATCTTTGTATAAAAACAAGACAGAATCATTCTCAGAAACTACTTTGTGATGTGTGCGTTCAACTCAAGGAGTTTAAACTTTCTTTTCATAGAGTAGTTTGGAAACACTCTGTCTGTAAAGTCTGCCAGCAGATATTTGCACCTCTTTGAGGCCTTCGTTTTAAACGGGATTTCAACATATAACGCTAGAAAGAAGAATACTGAGTAAGTTCTTTGTGTTGCCTCTATTCAACTCACAGAGGTGAACTGTCCTTTAGACAGAGCAGATGTGAAACCCTCTTTTTGTGATATTTGCAGGTGGAGATTTCAAGCGCTTTTAGGCCAAATGTAGAAAAGGAAATATCTTCGTATAAAAACTAGACAGAATCATTCTCAGAAACTACTTTGTGATGTGTGCGTTCAATTCACAGAGTATTACCTTTCTTTTGATGGAGGAGTTTGGAGACACTGTCTTTGTAATGTCTGCAAGTGGATATTTGGACCTTTTTAAGGCCTTCGTTGGAAACGGGATTTCCTCATATAATGTTACACAGAAGAATTCCCAGTAACTTATTTGTGGTGTGTGTATTCAACTCACAGAGTTGAACCTTCCTTCAGAAAGAGCAGATTTGAAACACTCTTTTTGTGGAGTTTCCATGTGGAGATTTCAATCGCTTTGAGACCAAAGGTAGAAAAGGAAACATCTTCGTATAAAAACTAGACAGAATCATTCACAGAAACTACTTTGTGATGTGTGTGTTCAACTCAAGGAGTTTAACCTTTCTTTTGATGGAGCAGTTTGGAAACACACTGTCTGTAAAGTCTGCAAGCAGATATTTGGACCTCTTTGAGGCCTTCGTTGGAAACGGGATTTCTTCATATAATGTTTGATAGGAGAAGTCTCAGTAACTTCTTTGTGCTGTGTGTATTCAACTCATAGTGTTGAACATTCCTTTAGAAGAGCAGATGTTAAACACCCTTTTTGTGGAATTTGCAGCTGGAGATTTCAAGCGCTTTGAGGCCTACGGTAGAAAAGGAAACATCTTCTTATAAAATCTAGACAGAATCATTCACAGAAACTTCTTTTTGATGTGTGTGTTCAGCTCACAGAGTTTAACCTTTCTTTTCATGGAGCAGTTTGGAAACACTCTGTTTGTAATGTCTGCAAGTGGATATTTGGACCTATTTGAGGCCTTCGTTGGAAACGGGATTTCTTCATGTAATGTTACACAGAAGAATTCTCAGTAACTTATTTGTGGTGTGTGTATTCAACTCACAGAGTTGAACCTTCCTTCAGAAAGAGCAGATTTGAAACACTCTTTTTGTGGAGTTTCCATGTGGAGATTTCAATCGCTTTGAGACCAAAGGTAGAAAAGGAAACATCTTCGTATAAAAACTAGACAGAATCATTCACAGAAACTATTTTGTGATGTGTGTGTTCAACTCAAGGAGTTTAACCTTTCTTTTGATGGAGCAGTTTGGAAAAACTCTGTCTGTAAAGTCTGCAAGCAGATATTTGGACCTCTTTGAGGCCTTCGTTGGAAACGGGATTTCTTCATATAATGTTTGATAGGAGAAGTCTCAGTAACTTCTTTGTGCTGTGTGTATTCAACTCATAGAGTTGAACTTTCCTTTAGAAGAGCAGATGTTAAACACCCTTTTTGTGGAATTTGCAGCTGGAGATTTCAAGCGCTTTGAGGCCTACGGTAGAAAAGGAAACATCTTCTTATAAAATCTAGACAGAATCATTCACAGAAACTTCTTTTTGATGTGTGTGTTCAGCTCACAGAGTTTAACCTTTCTTTTGATGGAGCAGTTGGGAAACACACTGTTTGTAATGTCCGCAAGTGGATATTTGGACCTCTTTGAGGCCTTCGTTGGAAACGGGATTTCTTCCTGTAATGTTCGACAGAAGAATTCTCAGTAACTTATTTGTGGTGTGTGTATTCAACACACAGAGCTGAACCTTCCTTTAGACAGAGCAGACTTGAAACAGCCTATTTGTGCAGTTTCCAGTTGGAGATTTCAATCGCTTTGAGACCAAATGTAGAAAAGGAAACATCTTCGTATAAAAACTAGACAGAATCATTCTCAGAAACTAC
This sequence comes from Homo sapiens, assembly GCF_000001405.40. Taxonomy (NCBI): domain Eukaryota; kingdom Metazoa; phylum Chordata; class Mammalia; order Primates; family Hominidae; genus Homo; species Homo sapiens. The sequence continues at coordinate 35,670,031 of NC_000012.12, forward strand.
TTTGTGATGTGTGCGTTCAACTCAAGGAGTTTAAGCTTTCTTTTCATAGAGTAGTTTGGAAACACTCTGTCTGTAAAGTCTGCAAGCAGATATTTGACCTCTTTGAGGCCTTCGTTGGAAACGGGATTTCTTCATAGAACGCTAGAAAGAAGAATACTGAGTAAGTTCTTTGTGTTGCCTCTATTCAACTCACAGAGGTGAACTGTCCTTTAGACAGAGCAGATGTGAAACCCTCTTTTTGTGATATTTGCAGGTGGAGATTTCAAGCGCTTTTAGGCCAAATGTAGAAAAGGAAATATCTTCGTATAAAAACTAGACAGAATCATTCTCAGAAACTACTTTGTGATGTGTGCGTTCAATTCACAGAGTATAACCTTTCTTTTGATGGAGGAGTTTGGAGACACTGTCTTTGTAAAGTCTGCAAGTGGATATTTGGACCTCTTTGAGGCCTTCGTTGGAAACGGGATTTCCTCATATAATGTTACACAGAAGAATACTGAGTAAGTTCTTTGTGTTGCCTCTATTCAACTCACAGAGGTGAACTGTCCTTTAGACAGAGCAGATGTGAAACCCTCTTTTTCTGATATTTGCAGGTGGAGATTTCAAGCACTTTTAGGCCAAATGTAGAAAAGGAAACATCTTCGTATAAAAACTAGACAGAATCATTCTCAGAAACTACTTTGTGATGTGTGCGTTCAACTCAAGGAGTTTAAGCTTTCTTTTCATAGAGTAGTTTGGAAACACTCTGTCTCTAAAGTCTGCAAGCAGATATTTGGACCTCTTTGGGGTCTTCGTTGGAAACCGGATTTCTTCATAGAACGCTAGAAAGAAGAATTCTCAGTAACTTATTTGTGGTGTGTGTATTCAACTCACAGAGTTGAACCTTCCTTTAGACAGAGCAGATTTGAAACCCTCTTTTTGTGATATTTGCAGGTGGAGATTTCAAGCGCTTTTAGGCCAAATGTAGAAAAGGAAATATCTTCGTATAAAAACTAGACAGAATCATTCTCAGAAACTACTTTGTGATGTGTGCATTCAATTCACAGAGTATAACCTTTCTTTTGATGGAGGAGTTTGGAGACACTGTCTTTGAAAAGTCTGCAAGTGGATATTTGGACCTCTTTCAGGCCTTCGTTGGAAACGGGATTTCCTCATATAATGTTACACAGAAGAATTCTCAGTAACTTATTTGTGGTGTGTGTATTCAACTCACAGAGATGAACCTTCCTTCAGAAAGAGCAGATTTGAAACACTCTTTTTGTGGAGTTTCCATGTGGAGATTTCAATCGCTTTGAGACCAAAGGTAGAAAAGGAAACATCTTCGTATAACAACTAGACAGAATCATTCACAGAAACTACTTTGTGATGTGTGTGTTCAACTCAAGGAGTTTAACCTTTCTTTTGATGGAGCAGTTTGGAAACACTCTGTCTGTAAAGTCTGCAAGCAGATATTTGGACCTCTTTGAGGCCTTCGTTGGAAACGGGATTTCTTCATATAATGTTTGATAGGAGAAGTCTCAGTAACTTCTTTGTGCTGTGTGTATTCAACTCATAGAGTTGAACTTTCCTTTAGAAGAGCAGATGTTAAACACCCTTTTTGTGGAATTTGCAGCTGGAGATTTCAAGCGCTTTGAGGCCTACGGTAGAAAAGGAAACATCTTCTTATAAAATCTAGACAGAATCATTCACAGAAACTTCTTTTCGATGTGTGTGTTCAGCTCACAGAGTTTAACCTTTCTTTTGATGGAGCAGTTTGGAAACACTCTGTTTGTAATGTCTGCAAGTGGATATTTGGACCTCTTTGAGGCCTTCGTTGGAAACGGGATTTCATCAAGTAATGGTCGACAGAAGAATTCTCAGTAACTTATTTGTGGTGTGTGTATTCAACTCACAGAGTTGAACCTTCCTTTAGACAGAGCAGATTTGAAACACCCTATTTGTGCAGTTTCCAGTTGGAGATTTCAATCGCTTTGAGACCAAATGTAGAAAAGGAAACATCTTCGTATAAAAACTAGACAGAATCATTCTCAGAAACTACTTTGTGATGTGTGCGTTCAACTCAAGGAGTTTAAGCTTTCTTTTCATAGAGTAGTTTGGAAACACTCTGTCTGTAAAGTCTGCAAGCAGATATCTGGACCTCTTTGGGGCCTTCGTTGGAAACGGGATTTCTTCATAGAACGCTAGAAAGAAGAATACTGAGTAAGTTCTTTGTGTTGCCTCTATTCAACTCACAGAGGTGAACTGTCCTTTAGACAGAGCAGATGTGAAACCCTCTTTTTGTGATATTTGCAGGTGGAGATTTCAAGCGCTTTTAGGCCAAATGTAGAAAAGGAAATATCTTCGTATAAAAACTAGACAGAATCATTCTCAGAAACTACTTTGTGATGTGTGCGTTCAATTCACATAGTATAACCTTTCTTTTGATGGAGGAGTTTGGAGACACTGTCTTTGTAAAGTCTGCAAGTGGATATTTGGACCTCTTTGAGGCCTTCGTTGGAAACGGGATTTCCTCATATAATGTTACACAGAAGAATTCTCAGTAACTTATTTGTGGTGTGTGTATTCAACTCACAGAGTTGAACCTTCCTTCAGAAAGAGCAGATTTGAAACACTCTTTTTGTGGAGTTTCCATGTGGAGACTTCAATCGCTTTGAGACCAAAGGTAGAAAAGGAAACATCTTCGTATAAAAACTAGACAGAATCATTCACAGAAACTACTTTGTGATGTGTGTGTTCAACTCAAGGAGTTTAACCTTTCTTTTGATGGAGCAGTTTGGAAACACTCTGTCTGTAAAGTCTGCAAGCAGATATTTGGACCTCTTTGAGGCCTTCGTTGGAAACGGGATTTCTTCATATAATGTTTGATAGGAGAAGTCTCAGTAACTTCTTTGTGCTGTGTGTATTCAACTCATAGAGTTGAACTTTCCTTTAGAAGAGCAGATGTTAAACACCCTTTTTGTGGAATTTGCAGCTGGAGATTTCAAGCGCTTTGAGGTCTATGGTAGAAAAGGAAACATCTTCTTATAAAATCTAGACAGAATCATTCACAGAAACTTCTTTTTGATGTGTGTGTTCAGCTCACAGAGTTTAACCTTTCTTTTGATGGAGCAGTTGGGAAACACACTGTTTGTAATGTCTGCAAGTGGATATTTGGAGCTCTTTGAGGCCTTCGTTGGAAACGGGATTTCTTCCTGTAATGTTCGACAGAAGAATTCACAGTAACTTATTTGTGGTGTGTGTATTCAACTCACAGAGTTGACCCTTCCTTTAGACAGATCAGATTTGAAACTCCCTATTTGTGCAGTTTCCAGTTGGAGATTTCAATCGCTTTGAGACCAAATGTAGAAAAGGAAACATCTTCGTATAAAAACTAGACAGAATCATTCTCAGAAACTACTTTGTGATGTGTGCATTCAACTCACGGAGTTTAAGCTTTCTTTTCATAGAGTAGTTTGGAAACACTCTGTCTGTAAAGTCTGCAAGCAGATATTTGGACCTCTTTGAGGCCTTCGTTGGAAACGGGATTTCTTCATAGAACGCTAGAAAGAAGAATAGTGAGTAAGTTCTTTGTGTTGCCTCTATTCAACTCACAGAGGTGAACTGTCCTTTAGACAGAGCAGATGTGAAACCCTCTTTTTGTGATATTTGCAGGTGGAGATTTCAAGCGCTTTTAGGCCAAATGTAGAAAAGGAAATATCTTCGTATAAAAACTAGACAGAATCATTCTCAGAAACTACTTTGTGATGTGTGCGTTCAATTCACAGAGTATAACCTTTCTTTTGATGGAGGAGTTTGGAGACACTGTCTTTGTAAAGTCTGCAAGTGGATATTTGGATCTCTTTGAGGCCTTCGTTGGAAACGGGATTTCCTCATATAATGTTACACAGAAGAATTCTCAGTAACTTATTTGTGGTGTGTGTATTCAACTCACAGAGTTGGACCTTCCTTCAGAAAGAGCAGATTTGAAACACTCTTTTTGTGGAGTTTCCATATGGAGATTTCAATCGCTTTGAGACCAAAGGTAGAAAAGGAAACATCTTCGTATAAAAACTAGACAGAATCATTCACAGAAACTACTTTGTGATGTGTGTGTTCAACTCAAGGAGTTTAACCTTTCTTTTGATGGAGCAGTTTGGAAACACTCTGTCTGTAAAGTCTGCAGGCAGATATTTGGACCTCTTTGAGGCCTTCGTTGGAATCGGGATTTCTTCATATAATGTTAGACAGAAGAAGTCTCAGTAACTTCTTTGTGCTGTGTGTATTCAACTCATAGAGTTGAACTTTCCTTTAGAAGAGCAGATGTTAAACACCCTTTTTGTGGAATTTGCAGCTGGAGATTTCAAGCGCTTTGAGGCCTACGGTAGAAAAGGAAACATCTTCTTATAAAATCTAGACAGAATCATTCACAGAAACTTCTTTTTGATGTGTGTGTTCAGCTCACAGAGTTTAACCTTTCTTTTGATGGAGCAGTTTGGAAACACTCTGTTTGTAATGTCTGCAAGTGGATATTTGGACGTCTTTGAGGCCTTCGTTGGAAACGGGATTTCTTCATGTAATGTTCGACAGAAGAATTCTCAGTAACTTATTTGTGGTGTGTGTATTCAACTCACAGAGTTGAACCTTCCTTTAGACAGAGCAGATTTGAAACACCCTATTTGTGCAGTTTCCAGTTGGAGATTTCAATCGCTTTGAGACCAAATGTTGAAAAGGAAACATCTTCGTATAAAAACTAGACAGAATCATTCTCAGAAACTACTTTGTGATGTGTGCGTTCAACTCAGGGAGTTTAAGCTTTCTTTTCATAGAGTAGTTTGGAAACACTTTGTCTGTAAAGTCTGCAAGCAGATATTTGGACCTCTTTGAGGCCTTCGTTGGAAACGGGATTTCTTCATAGAACGCTAGAAAGAAGAATACTGAGTAAGTTCTTTGTGTTGCCTCTATTCAACTCACAGAGGTGAACTGTCCTTTAGACAGAGCAGATGTGAAACCCTCTTTTTGTGATATTTGCAGGTGGAGATTTCAAGCGCTTTTAGGCCAAATGTAGAAAAGGAAATATCTTCGTATAAAAACTAGACAGAATCATTCTCAGAAACTACTTTTTGATGTGTGCGTTCAATTCACAGAGTATAACCTTTCTTTTGATGGAGGAGTTTGGAGACACTGTCTTTGTAAAGTCTGCAAGTGGATATTTGGACCTCTTTGAGGCCTTCGTTGGAAACGGGATTTCCTCATATAATGTTACAGAGAAGAATTCTCAGTAACTTATTTGTGGTGTGTGTATTCAACTCACAGAGTTGAACCTTCCTTCAGAAAGAGCAGATTTGAAACACTCTTTTTGTGGAGTTTCCATGTGGAGATTTCAATCGCTTTGAGACCAAAGGTAGAAAAGGAAACATCTTCGTATAAAAACTAGACAGAATCATTCACAGAAACTATTTTGTGATGTGTGTGTTCAACTCAAGGAGTTTAACCTTTCTTTTGATGGAGCAGTTTGGAAACACTCTGTCTGTAAAGTCTGCAAGCAGATATTTGGACCTCTTTGAGGCCTTCGTTGGAAACGGGATTTCTTCATATAATGTTTGATAGGAGAAGTCTCAGTAACTTCTTTGTGCTGTGTGTATTCAACTCATAGAGTTGAACTTTCCTTTAGAAGAGCAGATGTTAAACACCCTTTTTGTGGAATTTGCAGCTGGAGATTTCAAGCGCTTTGAGGCCTACGGTAGAAAAGGAAACATCTTCTTATAAAATCTAGACAGAATCATTCACAGAAACTTCTTTTTTATGTGTGTGTTCAGCTCACAGAGTTTAACCTTTCTTTTGATGGAGCAGTTTGGAAACACTCTGTTTGTAATGTCTGCAAGTGGTTATTTGGACCTCTTTGAGGCCTTCATTGGAAACGGGATTTCTTCAAGTAATGTTCGACAGAAGAATTCTCAGTAACTTATTTGTGGTGTGTGTATTCAACTCACAGAGTTGAACCTTCCTTTAGACAGAGCAGATTTGAAACACCCTATTTGTGCAGTTTCCAGTTGGAGATTTCAATCGCTTTGAGACCAAATGTAGAAAAGGAAACATCTTCGTATAAAAACTAGACAGAATCATTCTCAGAAACTACTTTGTGATGTGTGCGTTCAACTCAAGGAGTTTAAGCTTTCTTTTCATAGAGTAGTTTGGAAACACTCTGTCTGTAAAGTCTGCAAGCAGATATTTGGACCTATTTGAGGCCTTCGTTGGAAAAGGGATTTCTTCATAGAACGCTGGAAAGAAGAATACTGAGTAAGTTCTTTGTGTTGCCTCTATTCAACTCACAGAGGTGAACTGTCCTTTAGACAGAGCAGATGTGAAACCCTCTTTTTGTGATATTTGCAGGTGGAGATTTCAAGCGCTTTTAGGCCAAATGTAGAAAAGGAAATATCTTCGTATAAAAACTAGACAGAATCATTCTCAGAAACTACTTTGTGATGTGTGCGTTCAATTCACAGAGTATAACCTTTCTTTTGATGGAGGAGTTTGGAGACACTGTCTTTGTAAAGTCTGCAAGTGGATATTTGGACCTCTTTGAGGCCTTCGTTGGAAACGGGATTTCCTCATATAATGTTACACAGAAGAATTATCAGTAACTTATTTGTGGTGTGTGTATTCAACTCACAGAGTTGAACCTTCCTTCAGAGAGAGCAGATTTGAAACACTCTTTTTGTGGAGTTTCCATGTGGAGATTTCAATAGCTTTGAGACCAAAGGTAGAAAAGGAAACATCTTCGTATAAAAACTAGACAGAATCATTCACAGAAACTACTTTGTGATGTGTGTGTTCAACTCAAGGAGTTTAACCTTTCTTTTGATGGAGCAGTTTGGAAACACTCTGTCTGTAAAGTCTGCAAGCAGATATTTGGACCTCTTTGAGGCCTTCGTTGGAAACGGGATTTCTTCATATAATGTTTGATAGGAGAAGTCTCAGTAACTTCTTTGTGCTGTGTGTATTCAACTCATAGAGTTGAACTTTCCTTTAGAAGAGCAGATGTTAAACACCCTTTTTGTGGAATTTGCAGCTGGAGATTTCAAGCGCTTTGAGGCCTACGGTAGAAAAGGAAACATCTTCTTATAAAATCTAGACAGAATCATTCACAGTAAACTTCTTTTTGATGTGTGTGTTCAGCTCACAGAGTTTAACCTTTCTTTTGATGGAGCAGTTTGGAAACACTCTGTTTGTAATGTCTGCAAGTGGATATTTGGACCTCTTTGAGGCCTTCATTGGAAACGGGATTTCTTCAAGTAATGTTCGACAGAAGAATTCTCAGTAACTTATTTGTGGTGTGTGTATTCAACTCACAGAGTTGAACCTTCCTTTAGACAGAGCAGATTTGAAACACCCTATTTGTGCAGTTTCCAGTTGGAGATTTCAATCGCTTTGAGACCAAATGTAGAAAAGGAAACATCTTCGTATAAAAACTAGACAGAATCATTCTCAGAAACTACTTTGTGATGTGTGCGTTCAACTCAAGGAGTTTAAGCTTTCTTTTCATAGAGTAGTTTGGAAACACTCTGTCTGTAAAGTCTGCAAGCAGATATTTGGACCTCTTTTGGGCCTTCGTTGGAAACGGGATTTCTTCATAGAACGCTAGAAAGAAGAATACTGAGTAAGTTCTTTGTGTTGCCTCTATTCAACTCACAGAGGTGAACTGTCCTTTAGACAGAGCAGATGTGAAACCCTCTTTTTGTGATATTTGCAGGTGGAGATTTCAAGCGCTTTTAGGCCAAATGTAGAAAAGGAAATATCTTCGTATAAAAACTAGACAGAATCATTCTCAGAAACTACTTTGTGATGTGTGCGTTCAATTCACAGAGTATAACCTTTCTTTTGATGGAGGAGTTTGGAGACACTGTCTTTGTAAAGTCTGCAAGTGGATATTTGGACCTCTTTGAGGCCTTCGTTGGAAACGGGATTTCCTCATATAATGTTACACAGAAGAATTCTCAGTAACTTATTTGTGGTGTGTGTATTCAACTCACAGAGTTGAACCTTCCTTCACAAAGAGCAGATTTGAAACACTCTTTTTGTGGAGTTTCCATGTGGAGATTTCAATCGCTTTGAGACCAAAGGTAGAAAAGGAAACATCTTCGTATAAAAACTAGACAGAATCATTCACAGAAACTACTTTGTGATGTGTGTGTTCAACTCAAGGAGTTTAACCTTTCTTTTGATGGAGCTGTTTGGAAAAACTCTGTCTGTAAAGTCTGCAAGCAGATATTTGGACCTCTTTGGGGCCTTCGTTGGAAACGGGATTTCTTCATATAATGTTTGATAGGAGAAGTCTCAGTAACTTCTTTCTGCTGTGTTTATTCAACGCATAGAGTTGAACTTTCCTTTAGAAGAGCAGATGTTAAACACCCTTTTTGTAGAATTTGCAGCTGGAGATTTCAAGCGTTTTGAGGCCTACGGTAGAAAAGGAAACATCTTCTTATAAAATCTAGACAGAATCATTCACAGAAACTTCTTTTTCATGTGTGTGTTCAGCTCACAGAGTTTAACCTTTCTTTTCATGGAGCAGTTTTGAAACACTCTGTTTGTAATGTCTGCAAGTGGATATTTTGACCTCTTTGAGGCCTTCTTTGGAAACGGTATTTCTTCAAGTAATGTTCGACAGAAGAATTCTCAGTAACTTATTTGTGGTGTGTGTATTCAACTCACAGAGTTGAACCTTCCTTTAGACAGAGCAGATTTGAAACACCCTATTTGTGCAGTTTCCAGTTGGAGATTTCAATCGCTTTGAGACCAAATGTAGAAAAGGAAACATCTTCGTATAAAAACTAGACAGAATCATTCTCAGAAACTACTTTGTGATGTGTGCGTTCAACTCAAGGAGTTTAAGCTTTCTTTTCATAGAGTAGTTTGGAAACACTCTGTCTGTAAAGTGTGCAAGCAGATATTTGGACCTCTTTGAGGCCTTCGTTGGAAACGGGATTTCTTCATAGAACGCTAGAAAGAAGAATACTGAGTAAGTTCTTTGTGTTGCCTCTATTCAACTCACAGAGGTGAACTGTCCTTTAGACAGAGCAGATGTGAAACCCTCTTTTTGTGATATTTGCAGGTGGAGATTTCAAGCGCTTTTAGGCCAAATGTAGAAAAGGAAATATCTTCGTATGAAAATTAGACAGAATCATTCTCAGAAACTACTTTGTGATGTGTGCGTTCAATTCACAGAGTATAACCTTTCTTTTGATGGAGGAGTTTGGAGACACTGTCTTTGTAAAGTCTGCAAGTGGATATTTGGACCTCTTTGAGGTCTTCGTTGAAAACGGGATTTCTTCATATAATGTTTGATAGGAGAAGTCTCAGTAACTTCTTTGTGCTGTGTGTATTCAACTCATAGAGTTGAACTTTCCTTTAGAAGTGCAGATGTTAAACACCCTTTTTGTGGAATTTGCAGCTGGAGATTTCAAGCGCTTTGAGGCCTACGGTAGAAAAGGAAACATCTTCTTATAAAATCTAGACAGAATCATTCACAGAAACTTCTTTTTGATGTGTGTGTTCAGCTCACAGAGTTTAACCTTTCTTTTAATGGAGCAGTTTGGAAACACACTGTTTGTAATGTCTGCAAGTGGATATTTGGACCTCTTTGAGGCCTTCGTTGGAAACGGGATTTCTTCATGTAATATTCGACAGAAGAATTCTCAGTAACTTATTTGTGGTGTGTGTATTCAACTCACAGAGTTGAACCTTCCTTTAGACAGAGCAGATTTGAAACACCCTATTTGTGCAGTTTCCAGTTGGAGATTTCAATCGCTTTGAGACCAAATGTAGAAAAGGAAACATCTTCGTATAAAAACTAGACAGAATCATTCTCAGAAACTACTTTGTGATGTGTGCGTTCAACTCAAGGAGTTTAAGCTTTCTTTTCATAGAGTAGTTTGGAAACACTCTGTCTGTAAAGTCTGCAAGCAGATATTTGGACCTCTTTGGGGCCTTCGTTGGAAACGGGATTTCTTCATAGAACGCTAGAAAGAAGAATACTGAGTAAGTTCTTTGTGTTGCCTCTATTCAACTCACAGAGGTGAACTGTCCTTTAGACAGAGCAGATGTGAAACCCTCTTTTTGTGATATTTGCAGGTGGAGATTTCAAGCGCTTTTAGGCCAAATGTAGAAAAGGAAATATCTTCGTATAAAAACTAGACAGAATCATTCTCAGAAACTACTTTGTGATGTGTGCGTTCAATTCACAGAGTATAACCTTTCTTTTGATGGAGGAGTTTGGAGACACTGTCTTTGTAAAGTCTGCAAGTGGATATTTGGACCTCTTTGAGGCCTTCGTTGGAAACGGGATTTCCTCATATAATGTTACACAGAAGAATTCTCAGTAACTTATTTGTGGTGTGTGTATTCAACTCACAGAGTTGAACCTTCCTTCAGAAAGAGCAGATTTGAAACACTCTTTTTGTGGAGTTTCCATGTGGAGATTTCAATCGCTTTGAGACCAAAGGTAGAAAAGGAAACATCTTCGTATAACAACTAGACAGAATCATTCACAGAAACTACTTTGTGATGTGTGTGTTCAACTCAAGGAGTTTAACCTTTCTTTTGATGGAGCAGTTTGGAAACACTCTGTCTGTAAAGTCTGCAAGCAGATATTTGGACCTCTTTGAGGCCTTCGTTGGAAACGGGATTTCTTCATATAATGTTTGATAGGAGAAGTCTCAGTAACTTCTTTGTGCTGTGTGTATTCAACTCATAGAGTTGAACTTTCCTTTAGAAGAGCAGATGTTAAACACCCTTTTTGTGGAATTTGCAGCTGGAGATTTCAAGCGCTTTGAGGCCTACGGTAGAAAAGGAAACATCTTCTTATAAAATCTAGACAGAATCATTCACAGAAACTTCTTTTTGATGTGTGTGTTCAGCTCACAGAGTTTAACCTATCTTTTGATGGAGCAGTTTGGAAACACTCTGTTTGTAATGTCTGCAAGTGGATATTTGGACCTCTTTGAGGCCTTCGTTGGAAACGGGATTTCTTCAAGTAATGTTCGACAGAAGAATTCTCAGTAACTTATTTGTGGTGTGTGTATTCAACTCACAGAGTTGAACCTTCCTTTAGACAGACCAGATTTGAAACAGCCTATTTGTGCAGTTTCCAGTTGGAGATTTCAATCGCTTTGAGACCAAATGTAGAAAAGGAAACATCTTCGTATGAAAACTAGACAGAATCATTCTCCGAAACTACATTGTGATGTGTGCGTTCAACTCAAGGAGTTTAAGCTTTCTTTTCATAGAGTAGTTTGGAAACACTCTGTCTGTAAAGTCTGCAAGCAGATATTTGGACCTCTTTGGGGCCTTCGTTGGAAACGGGATTTCTTCATAGAACGCTAGAAAGAAGAATACTGAGTAAGTTCTTTGTGTTGCCTCTATTCAACTCACAGAGGTGAACTGTCCTTTAGGCAGAGCAGATGTGAAACCCTCTTTTTGTGATATTTGCAGGTGGAGATTTCAAGCGCTTTTAGGCCAAATGTAGAAAAGGAAATATCTTCGTATAAAAACTAGACAGAATCATTCTCAGAAACTACATTGTGATGTGTGCTCAATTCACAGAGTATAACCTTTCTTTGATGGAGGAGTTTGGAGACACTGTCTTTGTAAAGTCTGCAAGTGGACATTTGGACCTCTTTGAGGCCTTCGTTGCAAACGGGATTTCTTCATATAACGCTAGAAAGAAGAATACTCAGTAACTTCTTTGTGTTGCCTCTATTCAACTCACAGAGGTGAACTGTCCTTTAGACAGAGGAGATGTGAAACCCTCTTTTTGTGATATTTGCAGGTGGAGATTTCATGCGCTTTTAGGCCAAATGTAGAAAAGGAAATATCTTATTATAAAAACTAGACAGAATCATTCTCAGAAACTACTTTGTGATGTGTGCGTTCAATTCACAGAGTATAACTTTTCTTTTGATGGAGGAGTTTGGAGACACTGTCTTTGTAAAGTCTGCAAGTGGATATTTGGACCTCTTTGAGGCCTTCGTTGGAAACGGGATTTCCTCATATAATGTTACACAGAAGAATTCTCAGTAACTTATTTGTGGTGTGTGTATTCAACTCACAGAGTTGAACCTTCCTTTAGACAGAGCAGATTTGAAACACTCTTTTTGTGGAGTTTCCATGTGGAGATTTCAATCGCTTTGAGACCAAAGGTAGAAAAGGAAACATCTTCGTATAAAAACTAGACAGAATCATTCTCAGAAACTACTTTGTGATGTCTGTGTTCAACTCAAGGAGGTTAACCTTTCTTTTGATGGAGCAGTTTGGAAAAACTCTGTCTGTAAAGTCTGCAAGCAGAGATTTGGACGTCTTTGAGGCCTTCGTTGGAAACGGGATTTCTTCACATAATGCTTGATAGGAGAAGTCTCAGTAACTTCTTTGTGCTGTGTGTATTCAACTCATAGAGTTGAACTTTCCTTTAGAAGAGCAGATGTTAAACACCCTTTTTGTGGAATTTGCAGCTGGAGATTTCAAGCGCTTTGAGGCCTACGGTAGAAAAAGAAACATCTTCTTATAAAATCTAGACAGAATCATTCACAGAAACTTCTTTTTGATGTGTGTGTTCAGCTCACAGAGTTTAACCTTTCTTTTGATGGAGCAGTTTGGAAACACTCTGTTTGTAATGCCTGCAAGTGGATATTTGGACCTCTTTGAGGCCTTCGTTGGAAACGGGAATTCTTCATGTAATGTTCGACAGAAGAATTCTCAGTAACTTATTTGTGGTGTGTGTATTCAACTCACAGAGTTGAACCTTCCTTTAGACAGAGCAGATTTGAAACACCCTATTTGTGCAGTTTCCAGTTGGAGATTTCAATCGCTTTGAGGCCAATCATAGAAACGGAAATAACCTTGTATAAAAACAAGACAGAATCATTCTCAGAAACAACTTTGTGATGTGTGCGTTCAACTCAAGGAGTTTAAGCTTTCTTTTCATAGAGTAGTTTGGAAACACTCTGTCTGTAAAGTCGGCAAGCAGATATTTGGACCTCTTTGAGGCCTTCGTTGGAAACGGGATTTCTTCATACAACGCTAGAAAGAAGAATACTGAGTAAGTTCTTTGTGTTCCCTCTATTCAACTCACAGAGGTGAACTGTCCTTTAGACAGAGCAGATGTGAAACCCTCTTTTTGTGATATTTGCAGGTGGAGATTTCAAGCGCTTTTAGGCCAAATATAGAAAAGGAAATATCTTCGTATAAAAACTAGACAGAATCATTCTCAGAAACTACTTTGTGATGTGTGTGTTCAACTCAAGGAGTTTAACCTTTCTTTTGATGGAGCAGTTTGGAAACACTCTGTCTGTAAAGTCTGCAAGCAGATATTTGGACCTCTTTGAGGCCTTCGTTGGAAACGGGATTTCTTCATATAATGTTTGATAGGAGAAGTCTCAGTAACTTCTTTGTGCTGTGTGTATTCAACTCGTAGAGTTGAACTTTCCTTTAGAAGGGCAGATGTTAAACACCATTTTTGTGGAATTTGCAGCTGGAGATTTCAAGCGCTTTGAGGCCTACGGTAGAAAAGGAAACATCTTCTTATAAAATCTAGACAGAATCATTCACAGAAACTTCTTTTTGATGTGTGTGTTCAGCTCACAGAGTTTAACCTTTCTTTTGATGGAGAAGTTTGGAAACACTCTGTCTGTAAAGTCTGCAAGCAGATATTTGGACCTCTTTGAGGCCTTCGTTGGAAACGGGATTTCTTCATAGAACGCTAGAAAGAAGAGTACTGAGTAAGTTCTTGGTGTTGTCTCTATTCAACTCACAGAGGTGAACTGTCCTTTACACAGAGCAGATGTGAAACCCTCTTTTTGTGATATTTGCAGGTGGAGATTTCAAGCGCTTTTAGGCCAAATGTAGAAAAGGAAATATCTTCGTATAAAAACTAGACAGAATCATTCTCAGAAACTACTTTGTGATGTGTGCGTTCAATTCACAGAGTATAACCTTTCTTTTGATGGAGGAGTTTGGAGACACTGTCTTTGTAAATGTCTGCAAGTGGATATTTGGACCTCTTTGAGGCCTTCGTTGGAAACGGGATTTTCTCATATAATGTTACACAGAAGAATTCTCAGTAACTTATTTGTGGTGTGTGTATTCAACTCACAGAGTTGAACCTTCCTTCAGAAAGAGCAGATTTGAAACACTCTTTTTGTGGAGTTTCCATGTGGAGATTTCAATCGCATTGAGACCAAAGGTAGAAAAGGAAACATCTTCGTATAAAAACTAGACAGAATCATTCACAGAAACTACTTTGTGATGTGTGTGTTCAACTCAAGGAGTTTAACCTTTCTTTTGATGGAGCAGTTTGGAAACACTCTGTCTGTAAAGTCTGCAAGCAGATATTTGGACCTCTTTGAGGCCTTCGTTGGAAACGGGATTTCTTCATATAATGTTTGATAGGAGAAGTCTCAGTAACTTCTTTGTGCTGTGTGTATTCAACTCATAGAGTTGAACTTTCCTTTAGAAGAGCAGATGTTAAACACCCTTTTTGTGGAATTTGCAGCTGGAGATTTCAAGCGCTTTGAGGCCTACGGTAGAAAAGGAAACATCTTCTTATAAAATCTAGACAGAATCATTCACAGAAACTTCTTTTTGATGTGTGTGTTCAGCTCACAGAGTTTAACCTTTCTTTTGATGGAGCAGTTGGGAAACACACTGTTTGTAATGTCTGCAAGTGGATATTTGGACCTCTTTGAGGCCTTCGTTGGAAACGGGATTTCTTCATAGAACGCTAGAAAGAAGAATACTGAGTAAGTTCTTTGTGTTGCCTCTATTCAACTCACAGAGGTGAACTGTCCTTTTGACAGAGCAGATCTGATACCCTCTTTTTGTGATATTTGCACGTGGAGATTTCAAGCGCTTTTAGGCCAAATGTAGAAAAGGAAATATCTTCGTATAAAAACTAGACAGAATCATTCTCAGAAACTACTTTGTGATGTGTGCGTTCAATTCACAGAGTATAACCTTTCTTTTGATGGAGGAGTTTGGAGACACTGTCTTTGTAAAGTCTGCAAGTGGATATTTGGACCTCTTTGAGGCCTTTGTTGGAAACGGGATTTCCTCATATAATGTTACACAGGGAGAATTCTCAGTAACTTATTAGTGGTGTGTGTATTCAACTCACAGAGTTGAACCTTCCTTCAGAAAGAGCAGATTTGAAACACTCTTTTTGTGGAGTTTCCATGTGGAGATTTCAATCGCATTGAGACCAAAGGTAGAAAAGGAAACATCTTCGTATAAAAACTAGACAGAATCATTCACAGAAACTACTTTGTGATGTGTGTGTTCAACTCAAGGAGTTTAACCTTTCTTTTGATGGAGCAGTTTGGAAAAACTCTGTCTGTAAAGTCTGCAAGCAGATATTTGGACCTCTTTGAGGCCTTCGTTGGAAACGGGATTTCTTCATATAATGTTTGATAGGAGAAGTCTCAGTAACTTCTTTGTGCTGTGTGTATTCAACTCATAGAGTTGAACTTTCCTTTAGAAGAGCAGATGTTAAACACCCTTTTTGTGGAATTTGCAGCTGGAGATTTCAAGCGCTTTGAGGCCTACGGTAGAAAAGGAAACATCTTCTTATAAAATCTAGACAGAATCATTAACAGAAACTTCTTTTTGATGTGTGTGTTCAGCTCACAGAGTTTAACCTTTCTTTTCATGGAGCAGTTTGGAAACACTCTGTTTGTAATGTCTGCAAGTGGATATTTGGACCTCTTTGAGGCCTTCGTTGGAAACGGAATTTCTTCAAGTAATGTTCGACAGAAGAATTCTCAGTAACTTATTTGTGGTGTGTGTATTCAACTCACAGAGTTGAACCTTCCTTTAGACAGAGCAGATTTGAAACACCCTATTTGTGCAGTTTCCAGTTGGAGATTTCAATCGCTTTGAGACCAAATGTAGAAAAGGAAACATCTTCGTATAAAAACTAGACAGAATCATTCTCAGAAACTACTTTGTGATGTGTGCGTTCAACTCAAGGAGTTTAAGCTTTCTTTTCATAGAGTAGTTTGGAAACACTCTGTCTGTAAAGTCTGCAAGCAGATATTTGACCTCTTTGAGGCCTTCGTTGGAAACGGGATTTCTTCATAGAACGCTAGAAAGAAGAATACTGAGTAAGTTCTTTGTGTTGCCTCTATTCAACTCACAGAGGTGAACTCTCCTTTAGATAGAGCAGATGTGAAACCCTCTTTTTGTGATATTTGCAGGTGGAGATTTCAAGCGCTTTTAGGCCAAATGTAGAAAAGGAAATATCTTCATATAAAAACTAGACAGAATCATTCTCAGAAACTACTTTGTGATGTGTGCGTTCAATTCACAGAGTATAACCTTTCTTTTGATGGAGGAGTTTGGAGACACTGTCTTTGTAAAGTCTGCAAGTGGATATTTGGACCTCTTTGAGGCCTTCGTTGGAAACGGGATTTCCTCATATAATGTTACACAGAAGAATTCTCAGTAACTTATTTGTGGTGTGTGTATTCAACTCACAGAGTTGAACCTTCCTTCAGAAAGAGCAGATTTGAAACACTCTTTTTGAGGAGTTTCCATGTGGAGATTTCAATCGCTTTGAGACCAAAGGTAGAAAAGGAAACATCTTCTTATAAAAACTAGACAGAATCATTCACAGAAACTACTTTGTGATGTGTGTGTTCAACTCAAGGAGTTTAACCTTTCTTTTGATGGAGCAGTTTGGAAAAACTCTGTCTGTAAAGTCTGCAAGCAGATATTTGGACCTCTTTGAGGCCTTCGTTGGAAACGGGATTTCTTCATAGAATGCTAGAAAGAAGAATACTGAGTAAGTTCTTTGTGTTGCCTCTATTCAACTCACAGAGGTGAACTGTCCTTTAGACAGAGCAGATGTGAAACCCTCTTTTTGTGATATTTGCAGGTGGAGATTTCAAGCGCTTTTAGGCCAAATGTAGAAAAGGAAATATCTTCGTATAAAAACTAGACAGAATCATTCTCAGAAACTACTTTGTGATGTATGCGTTCAATTCACAGAGTATAACCTTTCTTTTGATGGAGGAGTTTGGAGACACTGTCTTTGTAAAGTCTGCAAGTGGATATTTGGACCTCTTTGAGGCCTTCGTTGGAAACGGGATTTCCTCATATAATGTTACACAGAAGAATTCTCAGTAACTTATTTGTGGTGTGTGTATTCAACTCACAGAGATGAACCTTCCTTCAGAAAGAGCAGATTTGAAACACTCTTTTTGTGGAGTTTCCATGTGGAGATTTCAATCGCTTTGAGACCAAAGGTAGAAAAGGAAACATCTTCGTATAACAACTAGACAGAATCATTCACAGAAACTACTTTGTGATGTGTGTGTTCAACTCAAGGAGTTTAACCTTTCTTTTGATGGAGCAGTTTGGAAACACTCTGTCTGTAAAGTCTGCAAGCAGATATTTGGACCTCTTTGAGGCCTTCGTTG
The DNA here is from genome assembly GCF_000001405.40 of Homo sapiens. NCBI lineage: Eukaryota > Metazoa > Chordata > Mammalia > Primates > Hominidae > Homo > Homo sapiens. Next base: position 35,687,475 of record NC_000012.12, read on the forward strand.
GAAACGGGATTTCTTCATATAATGTTTGATAGGAGAAGTCTCAGTAACTTCTTTGTGCTGTGTGTATTCAACTCATAGAGTTGAACTTTCCTTTAGAAGAGCAGATGTTAAACACCCTTTTTGTGGAATTTGCAGCTGGAGATTTCAAGCGCTTTGAGGCCTACGGTAGAAAAGGAAACATCTTCTTATAAAATCTAGACAGAATCATTCACAGAAACTTCTTTTTGATGTGTGTGTTCAGCTCACAGAGTTTAACCTTTCTTTTGATGGAGCAGTTTGGAAACACTCTGTTTGTAACGTCTGCAAGTGGATATTTGGACCTGTTTGAGGCCTTCGTTGGAAACGGGATTTCTTCAAGTAATGTTCGACAGAAGAATTCTCAGTAACTTATTTGTGGTGTGTGTATTCAACTCACAGAGTTGAACCTTCCTTTAGACAGAGCAGATTTGAAACACCCTATTTGTGCAGTTTCCAGTTGGAGATTTCAATCGCTTTGAGACCAAATGTAGAAAAGGAAACATCTTCGTATAAAAACTAGACAGAATCATTCTCAGAAACTACTTTGTGATGTGTGCGTTCAACTCAAGGAGTTTAAGCTTTCTTTTCATAGAGTAGTTTGGAAACACTCTGTCTGTAAAGTCTGCAAGCAGATATTTGGACCTCTTTGAGGCCTTCGTTGGAAACGGGATTTCTTCATATAACGCTAGAAAGAAGAATACTGAGTAAGTTCTTTGTGTTGCCTCTATTCAACTCACAGAGGTGAACTGTCCTTTAAACAGAGCAGATGTGAAACCCTCTTTTTGTGATATTTGCAGGTGGAGATTTCAAGCGCTTTTAGGCCAAATGTAGAAAAGGAAATATTTTCGTATAAAAACTAGACAGAATCATTCTCAGAAACTACTTTGTGATGTGTGCGTTCAATTCACAGAGGATAACCTTTCTTTTGATGGAGGAGTTTGGAGACACTGTCTTTGTAAAGTCTGCAAGTGGATATTTGGATCTCTTTGAGGCCTTCGTTGGAAACGGGATTTCCTCATATAATGTTACACAGAAAGAATTCTCAGTAACTTATTTGTGGTGTGTGTATTCAACTCACAGAGTTGAACCTTCCTTCGGAAAGAGCAGATTTGAAACACTCTTTTTGTGGAGTTTCCATGTGGAGATTTCAATCGCTTTGAGACCAAAGGTAGAAAAGGAAACATCTTCGTATAAAAACTAGACAGAATCATTCACAGAAACTACTTTGTGATGTGTGTGTTCAACTCAAGGAGTTTAACCTTTCTCTTGATGGAGCAGTTTGGAAAAACTGTGTCTGTAAAGTCTGCAAGCAGATATTTGGACCTCTTTGAGGCCTTCGTTGGAAACGGGATTTCTTCATATAATGTTTGATAGGAGAAGTCTCAGTAACTTCTTTGTGCTGTGTGTATTCAACTCATAGAGTTGAACTTTCCTTTAGAAGAGCAGATGTTAAACACCCTGTTTGTGGAATTTGCAGCTGGAGATTTCAAGCGCTTTGAGGCCTACGGTAGAAAAGGAAACATCTTATAAAATCTAGACAGAATCATTCACAGAAACTTCTTTTTGATGTGTGTGTTCAGCTCACAGAGTTTAACCTTTCTTTTGATGGAGCAGTTTGGAAACACTCTGTTTGTAATGTCTGCAAGTGGTTATTTGGACCTCCTTGAGGCCTTCGTTGGAAACGGGATTTTTTCAAGTAATGTTCGACAGAAGAATTCTCAGTAACTTATTTGTGGTGTGTGTATTCAACTCACAGAGTTGAACCTTCCTTTAGACAGAGCAGATTTGAAACAGCCTATTTGTGCAGTTTCCAGTTGGAGATTTCAATCGCTTTGAGACCAAATGTAGAAAAGGAAACATCTTCGTATAAAAACTAGACAGAATCATTCTCAGAAACTACTTTGTGATGTGTGCGTTCAACTCAAGGAGTTTAAGCTTTCTTTTCATAGAGTAGTTTGGAAACACTCTGTCTGTAAAGTCTGCAAGCAGATATTTGACCTCTTTGAGGCCTTCGTTGGAAACGGGATTTCTTCATAGAACGCTAGAAAGAAGAATACTGAGTACGTTCTTTGTGTTGCCTCTATTCAACTCACAGAGGTGAACTGTCCTTTAGACAGAGCAGATGTGAAACCCTCTTTTTGTGATATTTGCAGGTGGAGATTTCAAGCGCTTTTAGGCCAAATGTAGAAAAGGAAATATCTTCGTATAAAAACTAGACAGAATCATTCTCAGAAACTACTTTGTGATGTGTGCGTTCAATTCACAGAGTATAACCTTTCTTTTGATGGAGGAGTTTGGAGACACTGTCTTTGTAAAGTCTGCAAGTGGATATTTGGACCTCTTTGAGGCCTTCGTTGGAAACGGGATTTCCTCATATAATGTTACACAGAAGAATTCTCAGTAACTTATTTGTGGTGTGTGTATTCAACTCACAGATTTGAACCTTCCTTCAGAAAGAGCAGATTTGAAACACTCTTTTTGTGGAGTTTCCATGTGGAGATTTCAATCGCATTGAGACCAAAGGTAGAAAAGGAAACATCCTTCGTATAAAAACTAGAAAGAATCACTCACAGAAACTACTTTGTGATGTGTGTGTTCAACTCAAGGAGGTTAACCTTTCTTTTGATGGAGCAGTTTGGAAACACTCTGTCTGTAAAGTTTGTGAGCAGATATTTGGACTTCTTTGAGGCCTTCGTTGGAAGCGGGATTTCTTCATATAATGTTTGATAGGAGAAGTCTCAGTAACTTCTTTGTGCTGTGTGTATTCAACTCATAGAGTTGAACATTCCTTTAGAAGAGCAGATGTTAAACACCCTTTTTGTGGAATTTGCAGCTGGAGATTTCAAGCGCTTTGAGGCCTACGGTAGAAAAGGAAACATCTTCTTATAAAATCTAGACAGAATCATTCACAGAAACTTCTTTTTGATGTGTGTGTTCAGCTCACAGAGTTTAACCTTTCTTTTGATGGAGCAGTTGGGAAACACACTGTTTGTAATGTCTGCAAGTGGATATTTGGACCTCTTTGAGGCCTTCGTTGGAAACGGGATTTCTTCCTGTAATGTTCGACAGAAGAATTCTCAGTAACTTATTTGTAGTGTGTGTATTCAACTCACAGAGTTGAACCTTCCTTTAGACAGAGCAGATTTGAAACACCCTATTTGTGCAGTTTCCAGTTGGAGATTTTAATCGCTTTGAGACCAAATGTAGAAAAGGAAACATCTTCGTATAAAAACTTGACAGAATCATTCTCAGAAACTACTTTGTGATGTGTGCGTTCAACTCAAGGAGTTTAAGCTTTCTTTTCATAGAGTAGTTTGGAAACACTCTGTCTGTAAAGTCTGCAAGCAGATATTTGGACCTCTTTGGGGCCTTCGTTGGAAACGGGATTTCTTCATAGAACGCTAGAAAGAAGAATACTGAGTAAGTTCTTTGTGTTGCCTCTATTCAACTCACAGAGGTGAACTGTCCTTTAGACAGAGCAGATGTGAAACCCTCTTTTTGTGATATTTGCAGGTGGAGATTTCAAGCGCTTTTAGGCCAAATGTAGAAAAGGAAATATCTTCGTATAAAAACTAGACACAATCATTCTCAGAAACTACTTTGTGATGTGTGCGTTCAATTCACAGAGTATAACCTTTCTTTTGATGGAGGAGTTTGGAGACACTGTCTTTGTAAAGTCTTCAAGTGGATATTTGGACCTCTTTGAGGCCTTCGTTGGAAACGGGATTTCCTCATATAATGTTACACAGAAGAATTCTCAGTAACTTATTTGTGGTGTGTGTATTCAACTCACAGAGTTGGACCTTCCTTCAGAAAGAGCAGATTTGAAACACTCTTTTTGTGGAGTTTCGATGTGGAGATTTCAATCGCTTTGAGACCAAAGGTAGAAAAGGAAACATCTTCGTATAAAAACTAGACAGAATCATTCACAGAAACTACTTTGTGATGTGTGTGTTCAACTCAAGGAGTTTAACCTTTCTTTTGATGGAGCAGTTTGGAAACACTCTGTCTGTAAAGTCTGCAAGCAGATATTTGGACCTCTTTGAGGCCTTCGTTGGAAACAGGATTTCTTCATATAATGTTAGACAGAAGAAGTCTCAGTAACTTCTTTGTGCTGTGTGTATTCAACTCATAGAGTTGAACTTTCCTTTAGAAGAGCAGATGTTAAACACCCTTTTTGTGGAATTTGCAGCTGGAGATTTCAAGCGCTTTGAGGCCTACGGTAGAAAAGGAAACATCTTCTTATAAAATCTAGACAGAATCATTCACAGAAACTTCTTTTTGATGTGTGTGTTCAGCTCACAGAGTTTAACCTTTCTTTTGATGGAGCAGTTTGGAAACACTCTGTTTGTAATGTCTGCAAGTGGATATTTGGACCTCTTTGAGGCCTTCGTTGGAAACGGGATTTCTTCAAGTAGTGTTCGAAAGAAGAATTCTCAGTAACTTATTTGTGGTGTGTGTATTGAACTCACAGAGTTGAACCTTCCTTTAGATAGAGCAGATTTGAAACACCCTATTTGTGCAGTTACCAGTTGGAGATTTCAATCGCTTTGAGACAAATGTAGAAAAGGAAACATCTTCGTATAAAAACTAGACAGAATCATTCTCAGAAACTACTTTGTGATGTGTGCGTTCAACTCAAGGAGTTTAAGCTTTCTTTTCATAGAGTAGTTTGGAAACACTCTGTCTGTAAAGTCTGCAAGCAGATATTTGGACCTCATTGGGGCCTTAGTTGGAAACGGGATTTCTTCATTGAACGCTAGAAAGAAGAATACTGAGTAAGTTCTTTGTGTTGCCTCTATTCAACTCACAGAGGTGAACTGTCCTTTAGACAGAGCAGATGTGAAACCCTCTTTTTGTGATATTTGCAGGTGGAGATTTCAAGCGCTTTTAGGCCAAATGTAGAAAAGGAAATATCTTCGTATAAAAACTAGACAGAATCATTCTCAGAAACTACTTTGTGATGTGTGCGTTCAATTCACAGAGTATAACCTTTCTTTTGATGGAGGAGTTTGGAGACACTGTCTTTGTAAAGTCTGCAAGTGGATATTTGGACCTCTTTGAGGCCTTCGTTGGAAACGGGATTTCCTCATATAATGTTACCCAGAAGAATTCTCAGTAACTTATTTGTGGTGTGTGTATTCAACTCACAGAGTTGAACCTTCCTTCAGAAAGAGCAGATTTGAAACACTCTTTTTGTGGAGCTTCCATGTGGAGATTTCAATCGCTTTGAGACCAAAGGTAGAAAAGGAAACATCGTCGTATAAAAACTAGACAGAATCATTCACAGAAACTACTTTGTGATGTGTGTGTTCAACTCAAGGAGTTTAACCTTTCTTTTGATGGAGGAGTTTGGAAACACTCTGTCTGTAAAGTCTGGAAGCAGATATTTGGACCTCTTTGAGGCCTTCGTTGGAAACGGGATTTCTTCATATAATGTTTGATAGGAGAAGTCTCAGTAAATTCTTTGTGCTGTGTGTATTCAACTCATAGAGTTGAACTTTCCTTTAGAAGAGCAGATGTTAAACACCCTTTTTGTGGAATTTGCAGCTGGAGATTTCAAGCGCTTTGAGGCCTACTGTAGAAAAGGAAACATCTTCTTATAAAATCTAGACAGAATCATTCACAGAAACTTCTTTTTGATGTGTGTGTTCAGCTCACAGAGTTTAACCTTTCCTTTGATGGAGCAGTTTGGAAACACTCTGTTTGTAATGTCTGCAAGTGGATATTTGGACCTCTTTGAGGCCTTCGTTGGAAACGGGATTTCTTCATGTAATGTTCGACAGAAGAATTCTCAGTAACTTATTTGTGGTGTGTGTATTCAACTCACAGAGTTGAACCTTCCTTTAGAAAGAGCAGATTTGAAACACCCTATTTGTGCAGTTTCCAGTTGGAGATTTCAATCGCTTTGAGACCAAATGTAGAAAAGGAAACATCTTCGTATAAAAACTAGACAGAATCATTCTCAGAAACTACTTTGTGATGTGTGCGTTCAACTCAAGGAGTTTAAGCTTTCTTTTCATAGAGTACTTTGGAAACACTCTGTCTGTGAAGTCTGCAAGCAGATATTTGGACCTCTTTGAGGCCTTCGTTGGAAACGGGATTTCTTCATAGAGCGCTAGAAAGAAGAATACTGAGTAACTTCTTGGTGTTTTCTCTATTCAACTCACAGAGGTGAACTGTCCTTTAGACAGAGCAGATGTGAAACCCTCTTTTTGTGATATTTGCAGGTGGAGATTTCAAGCGCTTTTAGGCCAAATGTAGAAAAGGAAATATCTTCGTATAAAAAGTAGACAGAATCATTCTCAGAAACTACTTTGTGATGTGTGCGTTCAATTCACAGAGTATAACCTTTCTTTTGATGGAGGAGTTTGGAGACACTGTCTTTGTAAAGTCTGCAAGTGGATATTTGGACCTCTTTGAGGCCTTCGTTGGAAACGGGATTTCCTCATATAATGTTACACAGAAGAATTCTCAGTAACTTATTTGTGGTGTGTGTATTCAACTCACAGAGTTGAACCTTCCTTCAGACAGAGCAGATTTGAAACACTCTTTTTGTGGAGTTTCCATGTGGAGACTTCAATTGCTTTGAGACCAAAGGTAGAAAAGGAAACATCTTCGTATAAAAACTAGACAGAATCATTCACAGAAACTACTTTGTGATGTGTGTGTTCAACTCAAGGAGTTTAACCTTTCTTTTGATGGAGGAGTTTGGAAACACTCTGTCTGTAAAGTCTGCAAGTGGATATTTGGACCTCTTTGGGGCCTTCGTTGGAAACGGGATTTCTTCATATAATGTTTGATAGGAGAAGTCTCAGTAACTTCTTTGTGCTGTGTGTATTCAACTCATAGAGTTGAACTTTCCTTTAGAAGAGCAGATGTTAAACACCCTTTTTGGGGAATTTGCAGCTGGGGGTTTCAAGCGCTTTGAGGCCTACTGTAGAAAAGGAAACATCTTCTTATAAAATCTAGACAGAATCATTCACAGAAACTTCTTTTTGATGTGTGTGTTCAGCTCACAGAGTTTAACATTTCCTTTGATGGAGCAGTTTGGAAACACTCAGTTTGTAATATCTGCAAGTGGATATATGGACCTCTTTGAGGCCTTGGTTGGAAACGGGATTTCTTCATGTAATGTTCGACAGAAGAATTCTCAGCAACTTATTTGTGGTGTGTGTATTCAACTCACAGAGTTGAACCTTCCTTCAGAAAGAGCAGATTTGAAACACTCATTTTGTGGAGTTTCCATGTGGAGATATCCATCGCTTTGAGACCAAAGGTAGAAAAGGAAACATCTTCGTATAAAAACTAGACAGAATCATTCACAGAAACTACTTTGTGATGTGTGTGTTCAGCTCACAGAGTTTAACCTTTCTTTTGATATGGCAGTTTGGAAACACTCTGTTTTTCACGTCTGCAAGTGGATATTTGGACTGCTTTGGGGCCTTCTTTGGAAACGGGATTTCTTCATATAATGTTTGATAGGAGAAGTCTCAGTAACTTCTTTGTGCTGTGTGTATTCAACTCATAGAGTTGAACTTTCCTTTAGAAGAGCAGATGTTAAACACCCTTTTTGTGGAATTTGCAGCTGGAGATTTCAAGCGCTTTGAGGCCTACGGTAGAAAAGGAAACATCTTCTTATAAAATCTAGACAGAATCATTCACAGAAACTTCTTTTTGATGTGTGTGTTCAGCTCACAGAGTTTAACCTTTCCTTTGATGGAGCAGTTTGGAAACACTCTGTTTGTAATGTCTGCAAGTGGATATTTGGACCTCTTTGAGGCCTTCGTTGGAAACGGGATTTCTTCATGTAATGTTCAACAGAAGAATTCTCAGTAACTTATTTGTTGTGTGTGTATTCAACTCACAGAGTTGAACCTTCCTTTAGACAGAGCAGATTTGAAACACCCTATTTGTGCAGTTTCCAGTTGGAGATTTCAATCGCTTTGAGGCCAATCATAGAAACGGAAAGATCTTGGTATAAAAACAAGACAGAATCATTCTCAGAAACTACTTTGTGATGTGTGCGTTCAACTCAAGGAGTTTAAGCTTTCTTTTCATAGAGTAGTTTGGAAACACTCTGTCTGTAAAGTCTGCAAGCAGATATTTGGACCTCTTTGGGGCCTTCGTTGGAAACGGGATTTCTTCATAGAACGCTAGAAAGAAAGAATACTGAGTAAGTTCTTTGTGTTGCCTCTATTCAACTCACAGAGGTGAACTGTCCTTTAGAAAGAGCAGATGTGAAACCCTCTTTTTGTGATATTTGCAGGTGGAGATTTCAAGCGCTTTTAGGCCAAATGTAGAAAAAAAAATATCTTCGTATAAAAACTAGACAGAATCATTCTCAGAAACTACTTTGTGATGTGTGCGTTCAATTCACAGAGTATAACCTTTCTTTTGATGGAGGAGTTTGGAGACACTGTCTTTGTAAAGTCTGCAAGCAGATATTTGGACCTCTTTGAGGCCTTCGTTGGAAACGGGATTTCTTCATATGATGTTTGATAGGAGAAGTCTCAGTAACTTCTTTGGGCTGTGTGTATTCAACTCATTGAGTTGAACTTTCCTTTAGAAGAGCAGATGTTAAACACCCTTTTTGTGGAATTTGCAGCTGGAGATTTCAAGCACTTTGAGGCCTACAGTAGAAAAGGAAACATCTTCTTATAAAATCTAGACAGAATCATTCACAGAAACTACTTTGTGATGTGTGTGTTCAACTCACAGAGTTTAACCTTTCTTTTGATGGAGCAGTTTGGAAACACTCTGTTTGTCACGTCTGCAAGTGGATATTTGGACCTCTTTGAGGCCTTCGTTGGAAACGGGATTTCTTCAAGTAATGTTCGACAGAAGAATTCTCAGTAACTTATTTGTGGTGTGTGTATTCAACTCACAGAGTTGAACCTTCCTTTAGACAGAGCAGATTTGAAACACCCTATTTGTGCAGTTTCCAGTTGGAGATTTCAATCGCTTTGAGACCAAATGTAGAAAAGGAAACATCTTCGTATAAAAACTAGACAGAATCATTCTCAGAAACTACTTTGTGATGTGTGCGTTTAACTCAAGGAGTTTAAGCTTTCTTTTCATAGAGTAGTTTGGAAACACTCTGTCTGTAAAGTCTGCAAGCAGATATATAGACCTCTTTGAGGCCTTCGTTGGAAACGGGATTTCTTCATAGAACGCTAGAAAGAAGAATACTGAGTAAGTTCTTTGTGTTGTCTCTATTCAACTCACAGAGGTGAACTGTCCTTTAGACAGAGCAGATGTGAAACCCTCTTTTTGTGATATTTGCAGGTGGAGATTTCAAGCGCTTTTAGGCCAAAGGTAGAAAAGGAAACATCTTCGTATAAAAACTAGACAGAATCATTCACAGAAACTACTTTGTGATGTGTGTGTTCAACTCAAGGAGGTTAACCTTTCTTTTGATGGAGCAGTTGGGAAACACTCTGTCTGTAAAGTCTGCAAGCAGATATTTGGACCTCTTTGAGGCCTTCGTTGGAAACGGGATTGCTTCATATAATGTTTGATAGGAGAAGTCTCAGTAACTTCTTTGTGCTGTGTGTATTCAACTCATAGAGTTGAACTTTCCTTTAGAAGAGCAGATGTTAAACACCCTTTTTGTGGAATTTGCAGCTGGAGATTTCAAGCGCTTTGAGGCCTACGGTAGAAAAGGAAACATCTTCTTATAAAATCTAGACAGAATCATTCACAGAAACTTCTTTTTGATGTGTGTGTTCAGCTCACAGAGTTTAACCTTTCTTTTGATGGAGCAGTTTGGAAACACTCTGTTTGTAATGTCTGCAAGTGGATATTTGGACCTCTTTGAGGCCTTCGTTGGAAACGGGATTTCTTCATGTAATGTTCGACAGAAGAATTCTCAGTAACTTATTTGTGGTGTGTGTATTCAACTCACAGAGTTGAACCTTCCTTTAGACAGAGCAGATTTGAAACACCCTATTTGTGCAGTTTCCAGTTGGAGATTTCAATCGCTTTGAGACCAAATGTAGAAAAGGAAACATCTTCGTATAAAAACTAGACAGAATCATTCTCAGAAACTACTTTGTGATGTGTGCGTTCAACTCAAGGAGTTTAAGCTTTCTTTTCATAGAGTAGTTTGGAAACACTCTGTCTGTAAAGTCTGCAAGCAGATATTTGGACCTCTTTGAGGCCTTCTTTGGAAACGGGATTTCTTCATATAACGCTAGAAAGAAGAATACTAAGTTCTTTGTGTTGCCTCTATTCAACTCGCAGAGGTGAACTGTCCTTTAGACAGAGCAGATGTGAAACCCTCTTTTTGTGATATTTGCAGGTGGAGATTTCAAGCACTTTTAGGCCAAATGTAGAAAAGGAAACATCTTCGTATAAAAACTAGACAGAATCATTCTCAGAAACTACTTTGTGATGTGTGCGTTCAATTCACAGAGTATAACCTTTCTTTTGATGGAGGAGTTTGGAGACACTGTCTTTGTAAAGTCTGCAAGTGGATATTTGGACCTCTTTGAGGCCTTCGTTGGAAACGGGATTTCCTCATATAATGTTACACAGAAGAATTCTCAGTAACTTATTTGTGGTGTGTGTATTCAACTCACAGAGATGAACCTTCCTTCAGAAAGAGCAGATTTGAAACACTCTTTTTGTGGAGTTTCCATGTGGAGATTTCAATCGCTTTGAGACCAAAGGTAGAAAAGGAAACATCTTCGTATAAAAACTAGACAGAATCATTCACAGAAACTACTTTTTGATGTGTGTGTTCAACTCAAGGAGTTTAACCTTTCTTTTGATGGAGCAGTTTGGAAACACTCTGTCTGTAAAGTCTGCAAGCAGATATTTGGACCTCTTTGAGGCCTTCGTTGGAAACGGGATTTCTTCATATAATGTTAGACAGAAGAAGTCTCAGTAACTTCTTTGTGCTGTGTGTATTCAACTCATAGAGTTGAACTTTCCTTTAGAAGAGCAGATGTTAAACACCCTTTTTGTGGAATTTGCAGCTGGAGATTTCAAGCGCTTTGAGGCCTACGGTAGAAAAGGAAACATCTTCTTATAAAATCTAGACAGAATCATTCACAGAAACTTCTTTTTGATGTGTGTGTTCAGCTCACAGAGTTTAACCTTTCTTTTGATGGAGCAGTTTGGAAACACACTGTTTGTAATGTCTGCAAGTGGATATTTGGACCTCTTTGAGGCCTTCGTTGGAAACGGGATTTCTTCATGTAATGTTCGACAGAAGAATTCTCAGTAACTTATTTGTGGTGTGTGTATTCAACTCACAGAGTTGAACCTTCCTTTAGACAGAGCAGATTTGAAACACCCTATTTGTGCAGTTTGCAGTTGGAGATTTCAATCGCTTTGAGACCAAATGTAGAAAAGGAAACATCTTCGTATAAAAACTTGACAGAATCATTCTCAGAAACTACTTTGTGATGTGTGCGTTCAACTCAAGGAGTTTAAGCTTTCTTTTCATAGAGTAGTTTGGAACCACTCTGTCTGTAATGTCTGCAAGCAGATATTTGGACCTCTTTGAGGCCTTCGTTGGAAACGGGATTTCTTCATATAACGCTAGAAAGAAGAATACTCAGTAACTTCATTGTGTTGCCTCTATTCAACTCACAGAGGTGAACTGTCCTTTAGACAGAGCAGATGTGAAACCCTCTTTTTGTGATATTTGCAGGTGGAGATTTCAAGCGCTTTTAGGCCAAATGTAGAAAAGGAAATATCTTCGTATAAAAAGTAGACAGAATCATTCTCAGAAACTACTTTGTGATGTGTGCGTTCAATTCACAGAGTATAACCTTTCTTTTGATGGAGGAGTTTGGAGACACTGTCTTTGTAAAGTCTGCAAGTGGATATTTGGACCTCTTTGAGGCCTTCGTTGGAAACGGGATTTCCTCATATAATGTTACACAGAAGAATTCTCAGTAACTTATTTGTGGTGTGTGTATTCAACTCACAGAGATGAACCTTCCTTCAGAAAGAGCAGATTTGAAACACTCTTTTTGTGGAGTTTCCATGTGGAGATTTCAATCGCATTGAGACCAAAGGTAGAAAAGGAAACATCTTCGTATAAAAACTAGACAGAATCATTCACAGAAACTACTTTGTGATGTGTGTGTTCAACTCAAGGAGTTTAACCTTTCTTTTGATGGAGCAGTTTGGAAACACTCTGTCTGTAATGTCTGCAAGCAGATATTTGGACCTCTTTGAGGCCTTCGTTGGAAACGGGATTTCTTCATATAATGTTTGATAGGAGAAGTCTCAGTAACTTCTTTGTGCTGTGTGTATTCAACTCATAGAGTTGAACTTTCCTTTAGAAGAGCAGATGTTAAACACCCTTTTTGTGGAATTTGCAGCTGGAGATTTCAAGCGCTTTGAGGCCTACGGTAGAAAAGGAAACATCTTCTTATAAAATCTAGACAGAATCATTCACAGAAACTTCTTTTTGATGTGTGTGTTCAGCTCACAGAGTTTAACCTTTCTTTTGATGGAGCAGTTTGGAAACACTCTGTTTGTAATGTCTGCAAGTGGATATTTGGACCTCTTTGAGGCCTTCGTTGGAAACGGGATTTCTTCAACTAATGTTCGACAGAAGAATTCTCAGTAACTTCTTTGTGGTGTGTGTATTCAACTCACAGAGTTGAACCTTCCTTTAGACAGAGCAGATTTGAAACAGCCTATTTGTGCAGTTTCCAGTTGGAGATTTCAATCGCTTTGAGACCAAATGTAGAAAAGGAAACATCTTCGTATAAAAACTAGACAGAATCATTCTCCGAAACTACTTTGTGATGTGTGCGTTCAACTCAAGGAGTTTAAGCTTTCTTTTCATAGAGTAGTTTGGAAACACTCTGTCTGTAAAGTCTGCAAGCAGATATTTGGACCTCTTTGGGGCCTTCGTTGGAAACGGGATTTCTTCATAGAACGCTAGAAAGAAGAATACTGAGTAAGTTCTTTGTGTTGCCTCTATTCAACTCACAGAGGTGAACTGTCATTTAGACAGAGGAGATGTGAAACACTCTTTTTGTGATATTTGCAGGTGGAGATTTCAAGCGCTTTTAGGCTAAATGTAGAAAAGGAAATATCTTCGTATAAAAACTAGACAGAATCATTCTGAGAAACTACTTTGTGATGTGTGCGTTCAATTCACAGAGTATAACTTTTCTTTTGATGGAGGAGTTTGGAGACACTGTCTTTGTAAAGTCTGCAAGTGGATATTTGGACCTCTTTGAGGCCTTCGTTGGAAACGGGATTTCCTCATATAATGTTACACAGAAGAATTCTCAGTAACTTATTTGTGTTGTGTGTATTCAACTCACAGAGTTGAACCTTCCTTCAGAAAGAGCAGATTTGAAACACTCTTTTTGTGGAGTTTCCATGTGGAGATTTCAATCGCTTTGAGACGAAAGGTAGAAAAGGAAACATCTTCATATAAAAACTAGACAGAATCATTCACAGAAACTACTTTGAGATGTGTGTGTTCCACTCACAGAGTTTAACCTTTCTTTTGATGGAGCAGTTTGGAAACACTCTGTTTGTCACGTCTGCAAGTGGATATTTGGACCTCTTTGAGGCCTTCGTTGGAAACGGGATTTCTTCATATAATGTTTGATAGGAGAAGTCTCAGTAACTTCTTTGTGCTGTGTGTATTCAACTCATAGAGTTGAACTTTCCTTTAGAAGAGCAGATGTTAAACACCCTTTTTGTGGAATTTGCAGCTGGAGATTTCAAGCGCTTTGAGGCCTACGGTAGAAAAGGAAACATCTTCTTATAAAATCTAGACAGAATCATTCACAGAAATTTCTTTTTGATGTGTGTGTTCAGCTCACAGAGTTTAACCTTTCTTTTCATGGAGCAGTTTGGAAACACTCTGTTTGTAATGTCTGCAAGTGGATATTTGGACCTCTTTGAGGCCTTCGTTGGAAACGGAATTTCTTCAAGTAATGTTCGACAGAAGAATTCTCAGTAACTTATTTGTGTTGTGTGTATTCAACTCACAGAGTTGAACCTTCCTTTAGACAGAGCAGATTTGAAACACCCTATTTGTGCAGTTTCCAGTTGGAGATTTCAATCGCTTTGAGACCAAATGTAGAAAAGGAAACATACTTCGTATAAAAACTAGACAGAATCATTCTCAGTAAACTACTTTGTGATGTGTGCGTTCAACTCAAGGAGTTTAAGCTTTCTTTTCATAGAGTAGTTTGGAAACATTCTGTCTGTAAAGTCTGCAGGCAGATATTTGGACCTCTTTGGGGCCTTCGTTGGAAACGGGATTTCTTCATAGAACGCCAGAAAGAAGAATACTGAGTAAGTTCTTTGTGTTGCCTCTATTCAACTCACAGAGGTGAACTGTCCTTTAGACAGAGCAGATGTGAAACCCTCTTTTTGTGATATTTGCAGGTGGAGATTTCAAGCACTTTTAGGCCAAATGTAGAAAAGGAAATATCTTCGTATAAAAACTAGACAGAATCATTCTCAGAAACTACTTTGTGATGTGTGCGTTCAATTCACAGAGTATAACCTTTCTTTTGATGGAGGAGTTTGGAGACACTGTCTTTGTAAAGTCTGCAAGTGGATATTTGGACCTCTTTGAGGCCTTCGTTGGAAACGGGATTTCCTCATATAATGTTACACAGAAGAATTCCTCAGTAACTTATTTGTGGTGTGTGTATTCAACTCACAGAGATGAACCTTCCTTCAGAAAGAGCAGATTTCAAACACTCTTTTTGTGGAGTTTCCATGTGGAGATTTCAATCGCTTTGAGACCAAAGGTAGAAAAGGAAACATCTTCGTATAACAACTAGACAGAATCATTCACAGAAACTACTTTGTGATGTGTGTGTTCAACTCAAGGAGTTTAACCTTTCTTTTGATGGAGCAGTTTGGAAACACTCTGTCTGTAAAGTCTGCAAGCAGATATTTGGACCTCTTTGAGGCCTTCGTTGGAAACGGGATTTCTTCATATAATGTTTGATAGGAGAAGTCTCAGTAACTTCTTTGTGCTGTGTGTATTCAACTCATAGAGTTGAACTTTCCTTTAGAAGAGCAGATGTTAAACTCCCTTTTTGTGGAATTTGCAGCTGGAGATTTCAAGCGCTTTGAGGCCTACGGTAGAAAAGGAAACATCTTCTTATAAAATCTAGACAGAATCATTCACAGAAACTTCTTTTCGATGTGTGTGTTCAGCTCACAGAGTTTAACCTTTCTTTTGATGGAGCAGTTTGGAAACACTCTGTTTGTAATGTCTGCAAGTGGATATTTGGACCTCTTTGAGGCCTTCGTTGGAAACGGGATTTCTTCAAGTAATGTTCGACAGAAGAATTCTCAGTAACTTATTTGTGGTGTGTGTATTCAACTCACAGAGTTGAACCTTCCTTTAGACAGAGCAGATTTGAAACACCCTATTTGTGCAGTTTCCAGTTGGAGATTTCAATCGCTTTGAGACCAAATGTAGAAAAGGAAACATCTTCGTATAAAAACTAGACAGAATCATTCTCAGAAACTACTTTGTGATGTGTGCGTTCAACTCAAGGAGTTTAAGCTTTCTTTTCATAGAGTAGTTTGGAAACACTCTGTCTGTAAAGTCTGCAAGCAGATATTTGGACCTCTTTGGGGCCTTCGTTGGAAACGGGATTTCTTCATAGAACGCTAGAAAGAAGAATACTGAGTAAGTTCTTTGTGTTGCCTCTATTCAACTCACAGAGGTGAACTGTCCTTTAGACAGAGCAGATGTGAAACCCTCTTTTTGTGATATTTGCAGGTGGAGATTTCAAGCGCTTTTAGGCCAAATGTAGAAAAGGAAATATCTTCGTATAAAAACTAGACAGAATCATTCTCAGAAACTACTTTGTGATGTGTGCGTTCAATTCACAGAGTATAACCTTTCTTTTGATGGAGGAGTTTGGAGACACTGTCTTTGTAAAGTCTGCAAGCGGATATTTGGACCTCTTTGAGGCCTTCGTTGGAAACGGGATTTCCTCATATAATGTTACACAGAAGAATTCTCAGTAACTTATTTGTGGTGTGTGTATTCAACTCACAGAGATGAACCTTCCTTCAGAAAGAGCAGATTTGAAACACTCTTTTTGTGGAGTTTCCATGTGGAGATTTCAATCGCTTTGAGACCAAAGGTAGAAAAGGAAACATCTTCGTATAACAACTAGACAGAATCATTCACAGAAACTACTTTGTGATGTGTGTGTTCAACTCAAGGAGTTTAACCTTTCTTTTGATGGAGCAGTTTGGAAACACTCTGTCTGTAAAGTCTGCAAGCAGATATTTGGACCTCTTTGAGGCCTTCGTTGGAAACGGGATTTCTTCATATAATGTTTGATAGGAGAAGTCTCAGTAACTTCTTTGTGCTGTGTGTATTCAACTCATAGAGTTGAACTTTCCTTTAGAAGAGCAGATGTTAAACACCCTTTTTGAGGAATTTGCAGCTGGAGATTTCAAGCGCTTTGAGGCCTACGGTAGAAAAGGAAACATCTTCTTATAAAATCTAGACAGAATCATTCACAGAAACTTCTTTTCGATGTGTGTGTTCAGCTCACAGAGTTTAACCTTTCTTTTGATGGAGCAGTTTGGAAACACTCTGTTTGTAATGTCTGCAAGTGGATATTTGGACCTCTTTGAGGCCTTCGTTGGAAACGGGATTTCTTCAAGTAATGTTCGACAGAAGAATTCTCAGTAACTTATTTGTGGTGTGTGTATTCAACTCACAGAGTTGAACCTTCCTTTAGACAGAGCAGATTTGAAACACCCTATTTGTGCAGTTTCCAGTTGGAGATTTCAATCGCTTTGAGACCAAATGTAGAAAAGGAAACATCTTCGTATAAAAACTAGACAGAATCATTCTCAGAAACTACTTTGTGATGTGTGCGTTCAACTCAAGGAGTTTAAGCTTTCTTTTCATAGAGTAGTTTGGAAACACTCTGTCTGTAAAGTCTGCAAGCAGATATTTGGACCTCTTTGGGGCCTTCGTTGGAAACGGGATTTCTTCATAGAACGCTAGAAAGAAGAATATTGAGTAAGTTCTTTGTGTTGCCTCTATTCAACTCACAGAGGTGAACTGTCCTTTAGACAGAGCAGATGTGAAACCCTCTTTTTGTGATATTTGCAGGTGGAGATTTCAAGCGCTTTTAGGCCAAATGTAGAAAAGGAAATATCTTCGTATAAAAACTAGACAGAAAATCATTCTCAGCAAACTACTTTGTGATGTGTGCGTTCAATTCACAGAGTATAACCTTTCTTTTGATGGAGGAGTTTGGAGACACTGTCTTTGTAAAGTCTGCAAGTGGATATTTGGACCTCTTTGAGGCCTTCGTTGGAAACGGGATTTCCTCATATAATGTTACACAGAAGAATTCTCAGTAACTTATTTGTGGTGTGTGTATTCAACTCACAGAGTTGAACCTTCCTTCAGAAAGAGCAGATTTGAAACACTCTTTTTGTGGAGTTTCCATGTGGAGAATTCCATCGCTTTGAGACCAAAGGTAGAAAAGGAAACATCTTCATATAAAAACTAGACAGAATCATTCACAGAAACTACTTTGTGATGTGTGTGTTCAACTCAAGGAGTTTAACCTTTCTTTTGATGCAGCAGTTTGGAAACACTCTGTCTGTAAAGTCTGCAAGCAGATATTTGGACCTCTTTGAGGGCTTCGTTGGAAACGGGATTTCTTCATATAACGCTAGAAAGAAGAATACTGAGTAAGTTCTTTGTGTTGCCTCTATTCAACTCACAGAGGTGAACCTGTCCTTTAGACAGAGCAGATGTGAAACCCTCTTTTTGTGATATTTGCAGGTGGAGATTTCAAGCGCTTTTAGGCCAAATGTAGAAAAGGAAATATCTTCGTATAAAAACTAGACAGAATCATTCTCAGAAACTACTTTGTGATGTGTGCGTTCAATTCACAGAGTATAACCTTTCTTTTGATGGAGGAGTTTGGAGACACTGTCTTTGTAAAGTCTGCAAGTGGATATTTGGACCTCTTTGAGGCCTTCGTTGGAAACGGGATTTCCTCATATAATGTTACACAGAAGAATTCTCAGTAACTTATTTGTGGTGTGTGTATTCAACTCACAAGAGTTGAACCTTCCTTCAGAAAGAGCAGATTTGAAACACTCTTTTTGTGGAGTTTCCATGTGGAGATTTCAATCGCTTTGAGACCAAAGGTAGAAAAGGAAACATCTTCGTATAAAAACTAGACAGAATCATTCACAGAAACTATTTTGTGATGTGTGTGTTCAACTCAAGGAGTTTAACCTTTCTTTTGATGGAGCAGTTTGGAAACACTCTGTCTGTAAAGTCTGCAAGCAGATATTTGGACCTCTTTGAGGCCTTCGTTGGAAACGGGATTTCTTCATATAATGTTTGATAGGAGAAGTCTCAGTAACTTCTTTGTGCTGTGTGTATTCAACTCATAGAGTTGAACTTTCCTTTAGAAGAGCAGATGTTAAACACCCTTTTTGTGGAATTTGCAGCTGGAGATTTCAAGCGCTTTGAGGCCTACGGTAGAAAAGGAAACATCTTCTTATAAAATCTAGACAGAATCATTCACAGAAACTTCTTTTTGATGTGTGTGTTCAGCTCACAGAGTTTAACCTTTCTTTTGATGGAGCAGTTTGGAAACACACTGTTTGTAATGTCTCCAAGTGGATATTTGGACCTCTTTGAGGCCTTCGTTGGAAACGGGATTTCTTCATGTAATGTTCGACAGAAGAATTCTCAGTAACTTATTTGTGGTGTGTGTATTCAACTCACAGAGTTGAACCTTCCTTTAAACAGAGCAGATTTGAAACACCCTATTTGTGCAGTTTCCAGTTGGAGATTTCAATCGCTTTGAGACCAAATGTAGAAAAGGAAACATCTTCGTATAAAAACTAGACAGAATCATTCTCAGAAACTACTTTGTGATGTGTGCGTTCAACTCAAGGAGTTTAAGCTTTCTTTTCATAGAGTAGTTTGGAAACACTCTGTCTGTAAAGTCTGCAAGCAGATATTTGGACCTCTTTGAGGCCTTCGTTGGAAACGGGATTTCTTCATAGAACGGTAGAAAGAAGAATACTGAGTAAGTTCTTTGTGTTGCCTCTATTCAACTCACAGAGGTGAACTGTCCTTTAGACAGAGCAGATGTGAAACCCTCTTTTTGTGATATTTGCAGGTGGAGATTTCAAGCACTTTTAGGCCAAATGTAGAAAAGGAAATATCTTCGTATAAAAACTAGACAGAATCATTCTCAGAAACTACTTTGTGATGTGTGCATTCAATTCACAGAGTATAACCTTTCTATTGATGGAGGAGTTTGGAGACACTGTCTTTGTAAAGTCTGCAAGTGGATATTTGGACCTCTTTGAGGCCTTCGTTGGAAACGGGATTTCCTCATATAATGTTACACAGAAGAATTCTCAGTAACTGATTTGTGGTGTGTGTATTCAACTCACAGAGTTGAACCTTCCTTCAGAAAGAGCAGATTTGAAACACTCTTTTTGTGGAGTTTCCATGTGGAGATTTCAATGGCTTTGAGACCAAAGGTAGAAAAGGAGACATCTTCCTATAAAAACTAGACAGAATCATTCACAGAAACTACTTTGTGATGTGTGTGTTCAGCTCACAGAGTTTAACCTTTCTTTTGATGGTGCAGTTTGGAAACACTCTGTCAAGTCTGCAAGTGGATATTTGGACCTCTTTGAGGCCTTCGTTGGAAACGGGATTTCTTCATATAATGTTAGACAGAAGAAGTCTCAGTAACTTCTTTGTGCTGTGTGTATTCAACTCACAGAGCTGAACTTTACTTTAGACAGAGCAGATGTTAAACACACTTTTTGTGGAATTTGCAGCTGGAGATTTCTAGCGCTTTGAGGCCTATGGTAGAAAAGGAAACATCTTCTTATAAAATCTAGACAGAATCATTCACAGAAACTTCTTTTTGATGTGTGTGTTCAGCTCACAGAGTTTAACCTTTCTTTTGATGGAGCAGTTTGGAAACACTCTGTTTGTAATGTCTGCAAGTGGATATTTGGACCTCTTTGAGGCCTTCGCTGGAAACGGGATTTCTTCCTGTAATGTTCGACAGAAGAATTCTCAGTAACTTATTTGTGGTGTGTGTATTCAACTCACAGAGTTGAACCTTCCTTTAGACAGAGCAGATTTGAAACACCCTATTTGTGCAGTTTCCAGTTGGAGATTTCAATCGCTTTGAGACCAAATGTAGAAAAGGAAACATCTTCGTATAAAAACTAGACAGAATCATTCTCAGAAACTACTTTGTGATGTGTGCGTTCAACTCAAGGAGTTTAAGCTTTCTTTTCATAGAGTAGTTTGGAAACACTCTGTCTGTAAAGTCTGCAAGCAGATATTTGGACCTCTTTGAGGCCTTCTTTGGAAACGGGATTTCTTCATATAACGCTAGAAAGAAGAATACTGAGTAAGTTCTTTGTGTTGCCTCTATTCAACTCACAGAGGTGAACTGTCCTTTAGACAGAGTAGATGTGAAACCCTCTTTTTGTGATATTTGCAGGTGGAGATTTCAAGCGCTTTTAGGCCAAATGTAGAAAAGGAAATATCTTCGTATAAAAACTAGACAGAATCATTCTCAGAAACTACTTTGTGATGTGTGCGTTCAATTCACAGAGTATAACCTTTCTTTTGATGGAGGAGTTTGGAGACACTGTCTTTGTAAAGTCTGCAAGTGGATATTTGGACCTCTTTGAGGCCTTCGTTGGAAACGGGATTTCCTCATATAATGTTACACAGAAGAATTCTCAGTAACTTATTTGTGGTGTGTGTATTCAACTCACAGAGTTGAACCTTCCTTCAGAAAGAGCAGATTTGAAACACTCTTTTTGTGGAGTTTCCATGTGGAGATTTCAATCGCATTGAGACCAAAGGTAGAAAAGGAAACATCTTCGTATAAAAACTAGACAGAATCATTCACAGAAACTACTTTGTGATGTGTGTGTTCAACTCAAGGAGTTTAACCTTTCTTTTGATGGAGCAGTTTGGAAAAACTCTGTCTGTAAAGTCTGCAAGCAGATATTTGGACCTCTTTGAGGCCTTCGTTGGAAACGGGATTTCTTCATATAATGTTTGATAGGAGAAGTCTCAGTAACTTCTTTCTGCTGTGTTTATTTAACTCATAGAGTTGAACTTTCCTTTAGAAGAGCAGATGTTAAACACCCTTTTTGTGGAATTTGCAGCTGGAGATTTCAAGCGCTTTGTGGCGTACTGTAGAAAAGGAAACATCTTCTTATAAAATCTAGACAGAAACATTCACAGAAACTTCTTTTTGATGTGTGTTCAGCTCACAGAGTTTAACCTTTCTTTTGATGGAGCAGTTTGGAAACACACTGTTTGTAATGTCTGCAAGTGGATATTTGGACCTCTTTGAGGCCTTCGTTGGAAACGGGATTTCTTCATGTAATGTTCGACAGAAGAATTCTCAGTAACTTATTTGTGGTGTGTGTATTCAACTCACAGAGTTGACCCTTCCTTTAGACAGATCAGATTTGAAACTCCCTATTTGTGCAGTTTCCAGTTGGAGATTTCAATCGCTTTGAGACCAAATGTAGAAAAGGAAACATCTTCGTATAAAAACTAGACAGAATCATTCTCAGAAACTACTTTGTGATGTGTGCCTTCAACTCAAGGAGTTTAAGCTTTCTTTTCATAGAGTAGATTGGAAACACTCTGTCTGTGAAGTCTGCAAGCAGATATTTGGACCTGTTTGAGGCCTTCGTTGGAAATGGAATTTCTTCATAGAACGCTGGAAAGAAGAATACTGAGTAAGTTCTTTGTGTTGCCTCTATTCAACTCACAGAGGTGAACTGTCCTTTAGACAGAGCAGATGTGAAACCCTCTTTTTGTGATATTTGCAGGTGGAGATTTCAAGCGCTTTTAGGCCAAATGTAGAAAAGGAAATATCTTCGTATAAAAACTAGACAGAATCATTCTCAGAAACTACTTTGTGATGTGTGCGTTCAATTCACAGAGTATAAACTTTCTTTTGATGGAGGAGTTTGGAGACACTGTCTTTGTAAAGTCTGCAAGTGGATATTTGGACCTCTTTGAGGCCTTCGTTGGAAACGGGATTTCCTCATATAATGTTACACAGAAGAATTCTCAGTAACTTATTTGTGGTGTGTGTATTCAACTCACAGAGTTGAACCTTCCTTCAGAAAGAGCAGATTTGAAACACTCTTTTTGTGGAGTTTCCATGTGGAGATTTCAATCGCTTTGAGACCAAAGGTAGAAAAGGAAACATCTTCGTATAAAAACTAGACAGAATCATTCACAGAAACTACTTTGTGATGTGTGTGTTCAACTCAAGGAGTTTAACCTTTCTTTTGATGGAGCAGTTTGGAAACACTCTGTCTGTAAAGTCTGCAAGCAGATATTTGGACCTCTTTGAGGCCTTCGTTGGAAACGGGATTTCTTCATATAATGTTTGATAGGAGAAGTCTCAGTAACTTCTTTGTGCTGTGTGTATTCAACTCATAGAGTTGAACTTTCCTTTACAAGAGCAGATGTTAAACACCCTTTTTGTGGAATTTGCAGCTGGAGATTTCAAGCGCTTTGAGGCCTACGGTAGAAAAGGAAACATCTTCTTATAAAATCTAGACAGAATCATTCACAGAAACTTCTTTTTGATGTGTGTGTTCAGCTCACAGAGTTTAACCTTTCTTTTGATGGAGCAGTTTGGAAACACTCTGTTTGTAATGTCTGCAAGTGGATATTTGGACCTCTTTGAGGCCTTCGTTGGAAACGGGATTTCTTCAAGTAATGTTCGACAGAAGAATTCTCAGTAACTTATTTGTGGTGTGTGTATTCAACTCACAGAGTTGAACCTTCCTTTAGACAGAGCAGATTTGAAACAGCCTATTTGTGCAGTTTCCAGTTGGAGATTTCAATCGCTTTGAGACCAAATGTAGAAAAGGAAACATCTTCGTATAAAAACTAGACAGAATCATTCTCAGAAACTACTTTGTGATGTGTGCGTTCAACTCAAGGAGTTTAAGCTTTCTTTTCATAGAGTAGTTTGGAAACACTCTGTCTGTAAAGTCTGCAAGCAGATATTTGACCTCTTTGAGGCCTTCGTTGGAAACGGGATTTCTTCATAGAACGCTAGAAAGAAGAATACTGAGTAAGTTCTTTGTGTTGCCTCTATTCAACTCACAGAGGAGAACTGTCCTTTAGACAGAGCAGATGTGAAACCCTCTTTTTGTGATATTTGCAGGTGGAGATTTCAAGCGCTTTTAGGCCAAATGTAGAAAAGGAAATATCTTCGTATAAAAACTAGACAGAATCATTCTCAGAAACTACTTTGTGATGTGTGCGTTCAATTCACAGAGTATAACCTTTCTTTTGATGGAGGAGTTTGGAGACACTGTCTTTGTAAAGTCTGCAAGTGGATATTTGGACCTCTTTGAGGCCTTCGTTGGAAACGGGATTTCCTCATATAATGTTACACAGAAGAATTCTCAGTAACTTATTTGTGGTGTGTGTATTCAACTCACAGAGTTGAACCTTCCTTTAGACAGAGCAGATTTGAAACACTCTTTTTGTGGAGTTTCCATGTGGAGATTTCAATCGCTTTGAGACCAAAGGTAGAAAAGGAAACATCTTCGTATAAAAACTAGACAGAATCATTCTCAGAAACTACTTTGTGATGTGTGTGTTCAACTCAAGGAGGTTAACCTTTCTTTTGATGGAGCAGTTTGGAAACACTCTGTCTGCAAAGTCTGCAAACAGATATTTGGACCTCTTTGAGGCCTTCGTTGGAAACGGGATTTCTTCATATAATGTTTGATAGGAGAGGTCTCAGTAACTTCTTTGTGCTGTGTGTATTCAACTCATTGAGTTGAACTTTCCTTTAGAAGATCAGGTGTTAAACACCCTTTTTGTGGAATTTGCAGCTGGAGATTTCAAGCACTTTGAGGCCTACTGTAGAAAAGGAAACATCTTCTTATAAAATCTAGACAGAATCATTCACAGAAACTTCTTTTTGATGTGTGTGTTCAGCTCACAGAGTTTAACCTTTCTTTTGATGGAGCAGTTTGGAAACACTCTGTTTGTAATGTCTGCAAGTGGATATTTGGACCTTTTGAGGCCTTCGTTGGAAACGGGATTTCTTCATGTAATGTTCGACAGAAGAATTCTCAGTAACTTATTTGTGGTGTGTGTATTCAACTCACAGAGTTGAACCTTCCTTTAGACAGAGCAGATTTGAAACACCCTATTTGTGCAGTTTCCAGTTGGAGATTTCAATCACTTTGAGGCCAATCATAGAAACAGAAATAACTTTGTATAAAAACAAGACAGAATCATTCTCAGAAACTACTTTGTGATGTGTGCGTTCAACTCAAGGAGTTTAAGCTTTCTTTTCATAGAGTAGTTTGGAAACACTCTGTCTGTAAAGTCTGCAAGCAGATATTTGGACCTCTTTGAGGCCTTCTTTGGAAACGGGATTTCTTCATATAACGCTAGAAAGAAGAATACTGAGTAAGTTCTTTGTGTTGCCTCTATTCAACTCACAGAGGTGAACTGTCCTTTAGACAGAGCAGATGTGAAACCCTCTTTTTGTGATATTTGCAGGTGGAGATTTCAAGCGCTTTTAGGCCAAATGTAGAAAAGGAAATATCTTCGTATAAAAACTAGACAGAATCATTCTCAGAAACTACTTTGTGATGTGTGCATTCAATTCACAGAGTATAACCTTTCTTTTGATGGAGGAGTTTGGAGACACTGTCTTTGTAAAGTCTGCAAGTGGATATTTGGATCTCTTTGAGGCCTTCGTTGGAAACGGGATTTCCTCATATAATGTTACACAGAAGAATTCTCAGTAACTTATTTGTGGTGTGTGTATTCAACTCACAGAGATGAACCTTCCTTCAGAAAGAGCAGATTTGAAACACTCTTTTTGTGGAGTTTCCATGTGGAGATTTCAATCGCATTGAGACCAAAGGTAGAAAAGGAAACATCTTCGTATAAAAACTAGACAGAATCATTCACAGAAACTACTTTGTGATGTGTGTGTTCAACTCAAGGAGTTTAACCTTTCTTTTGATGGAGCAGTTTGGAAACACTCTGTCTGTAAAGTCTGCAAGCAGATATTTGGACCTCTTTGAGGCCTTCGTTGGAAACGGGATTTCTTCATATAATGTTTGATAGGAGAAGTCTCAGTAACTTCTTTGTGCTGTGTGTATTCAACGCATAGAGTTGAACTTTCCTTTAGAAGAGCAGATGTAAAACACCCTTTTTGTGGAATTTGCAGCTGGAGATTTCAAGCGCTTTGAGGCCTACGGTAGAAAAGGAAACATCTTCTTATAAAATCTAGACAGAATCATTCACAGAAACTTCTTTTTGATGTGTGTGTTCAGCTCACAGTGTTTAACCTTTCTTTTGATGGAGCAGTTTGGAAACACTCTGTTTGTAATGTCTGCAAGTGGATATTTGGACCTCTTTGAGGCCTTCGTTAGAAACGGGATTTCTTCAAGTAATGTTCGACAGAAGAATTCTCAGTAACTTATTTGTGGTGTGTGTATTCAACTCACAGAGCTGAACCTTCCTTTAGACAGAGCAGATTTGAAACAGCCTATTTGTGCAGTTTCCAGTTGGAGATTTCAATCGCTTTGAGACCAAATGTAGAAAAGGAAACATCTTCGTATAAAAACTAGACAGAATCATTCTCAGAAACTACTTTGTGATGTGTGCGTTCAACTCAAGGAGTTTAAGCTTTCTTTTCATAGAGTAGTTTGGAAACACTCTGTCTGTAAAGTCTGCAAGCAGATATTTGACCTCTTTGAGGCCTTCGTTGGAAACGGGATTTCTTCATATAACGCTAGAAAGAAGAATACTGAGTAAGTTCTTTGTGTTGCCTCTATTCAACTCACAGAGGTGAACTGTCCTTTAGACAGAGCAGATGTGAAACCCTCTTTTTGTGATATTTGCAGGTGGAGATTTCAAGCGCTTTTAGGCCAAATGTAGAAAAGGAAATATCTTCGTATAAAAACTAGACAGAATCATTCTCAGAAACTACTTTGTGATGTGTGCATTCAATTCACAGAGTATAACCTTTCTTTTGATGGAGGAGTTTGGAGACACTGTCTTTGTAAAGTCTGCAAGTGGATATTTGGACCTCTTTGAGGCCTTCGTTGGAAACGGGATTTCCTCATATAATGTTACACAGAAGAATTCTCAGTAACTTATTTGTGGTGTGTGTATTCAACTCACAGAGTTGAACCTTCCTTCAGAAAGAGCAGATTTGAAACACTCTTTTTGTGGAGTTTCCATGTGGAGATTTCAATCGCTTTGAGACCAAAGGTAGAAAAGGAAACATCTTCGTATAAAAACTAGACAGAATCATTCACAGAAACTACTTTGTGATGTGTGTGTTCAACTCAAGGAGTTTAACCTTTCTTTTGATGGAGCAGTTTGGAAACACTCTGTCTGTAAAGTCTGCAAGCAGATATTTGGACCTCTTTGAGGCCTTCGTTGGAAATGGGATTTCTTCATATAATGTTTGATAGGAGAAGTCTCAGTAACTTCTTTGTGCTGTGTGTATTCAACTCATAGAGTTGAACTTTCCTTTAGAAGAGCAGATGTTAAACACCCTTTTTGTGGAATTTGCAGCTGGAGATTTCAAGCGCTTTGAGGCCTACGGTAGAAAAGGAAACATCTTCTTATAAAATCTAGACAGAATCATTCACAGAAACTTCTTTTTGATGTGTGTGTTCAGCTCACAGAGTTTAACCTTTCTTTTGATGGAGCAGTTGGGAAACACACTGTTTGTAATGTCCGCAAGTGGATATTTGGACCTCTTTGAGGCCTTCGTTGGAAACGGGATTTCTTCCTGTAATGTTCGACAGAAGAATTCTCAGTAACTTATTTGTGGTGTGTGTATTCAACTCACAGAGCTGAACCTTCCTTTAGACAGAGCAGATTTGAAACAGCCTATTTGTGCAGTTTCCAGTTGGAGATTTCAATCGCTTTCAGACCAAATGTAGAAAAGGAAACATCTTCGGTATAAAAACTAGACAGAATCATTCTCAGAAACTACTTTGTGATTTGTGCGTTCAACTCAAGGAGTTTAAGCTTTCTTTTCATAGAGTAGTTTGGAAACACTCTGTCTGTAAAGTCTGCAAGCAGATATTTGGACCTCTTTGAGGCCTTCGTTGGAAACGGGATTTCTTCATAGAACGCTAGAAAGAAGAATACTGAGTAAGTTCTTTGTGTTGCCTCTATTCAACTCACAGAGGTGAACTGTCCTTTAGACAGAGCAGATGTGAAACCCTCTTTTTGTGATATTTGCAGGTGGAGATTTCAAGCGCTTTTAGGCCAAATGTAGAAAAGGAAATATCTTCGTATAAAAACTAGACAGAATCATTCTCAGAAACTACTTTGTGATGGGTGCGTTCAATTCACAGAGTATAACCTTTCTTTTGATGGAGGAGTTTGGAGACACTGTCTTTGTAAAGTCTGCAAGTGGATATTTGGACCTCTTTGAGGCCTTCGTTGGAAACGGGATTTCCTCATATAATGTTACACAGAAGAATTCTCAGTAACTTATTTGTGGTGTGTGTATTCAACTCACAGAGTTGAACCTTCCTTCAGAAAGAGCAGATTTGAAACACTCTTTTTGTGGAGTTTCCATGTGGAGATTTCAATCGCTTTGAGACCAAAGGTAGAAAAGGAAACATCTTCGTATAAAAACTAGACAGAATCATTCACAGAAACTACTTTGTGATGTGTGTGTTCAACTCACAGAGTTTAACCTTTCTTTGGATGGAGCAGTTTGGAAACACTCTGTTTGTCACGTCTGCAAGTGGATATTTGGACCTCTTTGAGGCCTTCGTTGGAAACGGGATTTCTTCCTCTAATGTTTGATAGCAGAAGTCTCAGTAACTTATTTGTGCTGTGTGTATTCAACTCATAGAGTTGAACTTTCCTTTAGAAGAGCAGATGGTAAACACCCTTTTTGTGGAATTTGCAGCTGGAGATTTCAAGCGCTTTGAGGCCTACGGTAGAAAAGGAAACATCTTCTTATAAAATCTAGACAGAATCATTCACAGAAACTTCTTTTTGATGTGTGCGTTCAGCTCACAGAGTTTGACCTTTCTTTTGATGGAGCAGTTTGGAAACACTCTGTTTGTAATATCTGCAAGGGGATATTTGGACCTCTTTGAGGCCTTCGTTGGAAACGGGATTTCTTCATGTAATGTTCGACAGAAGAATTCTCAGTAACTTATTTGTGGTGTGTGTATTCAACTCACAGAGTTGAACCTTCCTTTAGACAGAGCAGATTTGAAACACCCTATTTGTGCAGTTTTCAGTTGGAGATTTCAATCGCTTTGAGACCAAATGTAGAAAAGGAAACATCTTCGTATAAAAACTAGACAGAATCGTTCTCAGAAACTACTTTGTGATGTGTGCGTTCAACTCAAGGAGTTTAAGCTTTCTTTTCATAGAGTAGTTTGGAAACACTCTGTCTGTTAAGTCTGCAAGCAGATATTTGGACCTCTTTGAGGCCTTCGTTGGAAACGGGATTTCTTCATAGAACGCTAGAAAGAAGAATACTGAGTAAGTTCTTTGTGTTGCCTCTATTCAACTCACAGAGGTGAACTGTCCTTCAGACAGAGCAGATGTGAAACCCTCTTTTTGTGACATTTGCAGGTGGAGATTTCAAGCGCTTTTAGGCCAAATGTAGAAAAGGAAATATCTTCGTATAAAAACTAGACAGAATCATTCTCAGAAACTACTTTGTGATGTGTGCGTTCAATTCACAGAGTATAACCTTTCTTTTGATGGAGGAGTTTGGAGACACTGTCTTTGTAAAGTCTGCAAGTGGATATTTGGACCTCTTTGAGGCCTTCGTTGGAAACGGGATTTCCTCATATAATGTTACACAGAAGAATTCTCAGTAACTTATTTGTGGTGTGTGTATTCAACTCACAGAGTTGAACCTTCCTTCAGAAAGAGCAGATTTGAAACACTCTTTTTGTGGAGTTTCCATGTGGAGATTTCAATCGCTTTGAGACCAAATGTAGAAAAGGAAACATCTTCGTATAAAAACTAGACAGAATCATTCACAGAAACTACTTTGTGATGTGTGTGTTCAACTCAAGGAGTTTAACCTTTCTTTTGATGGAGCAGTTTGGAAAAACTCTGTCTGTAAAGTCTGCAAGCAGATATTTGGACCTCTTTGAGGCCTTCGTTGGAAACGGGATTTCTTCATATAATGTTTGATAGGAGAAGTCTCAGTAACTTCTTTGTGCTGTGTGTATTCAACTCATAGAGTTGAACTTTCCTTTAGAAGAGCAGATGTTAAACACCCGTTTTGTGGAATTTGCAGCTGGAGATTTCAAGCGCTTTGAGGCCTACGGTAGAAAAGGAAACATCTTCTTATAAAATCTAGACAGAATCATTCACAGAAACTTCTTTTTGATGTGTGTGTTCAGCTCACAGAGTTTAACCTTTCTTTTGATGGAGCAGTTTGGAAACACTCTGTTTGTAATGTCTGCAAGTGGATATTTGGACCTCTTTGAGACCTTCGTTGGAAACGGGATTTCTTCATGAAATGTTCGACTGAAGAATTCTCAGTAACTTATTTGTGGTGTGTGTATTCAACTCACAGAGTTGAACCTTCCTTTAGACAGAGCAGATTTGAAACACCCTATTTGTGCAGTTTCCAGTTGGAGATTTCAATCGCTTTGAGACCAAATGTAGAAAAGGAAACATCTTCGTATAAAAACTAGACAGAATCATTCTCAGAAACTACTTTGTGATGTGTGCGTTCAATTCAAGGAGTTTAAGCTTTCTTTTCATAGAGTAGTTTGGAAACACTCTGTCTGTAAAGTCTGCAAGCAGATATTTGGACCTCTTTGAGGCCTTCGTTGGAAACGGGATTTCTTCATAGAACGCTAGAAAGAAGAATACTGAGTAAGTTCTTTGTGTTGCCTCTATTCAACTCACAGAGGTGAACTGTCCTTTAGACAGAGCAGATGTGAAACCCTCTTTTTGGGATATTTGCAGGTGGAGATTTCAAGCGCTTTTAGGCCAAATGTAGAAAAGGAAATATCTTCGTATAAAAACTAGACAGAATCATTCTCAGAAACTACTTTGTGATGTGTGCGTTCAATTCACAGAGTATAACTTTTCTTTTGATGGAGGAGTTTGGAGACACTGTCTTTGTAAAGTCTGCAAGTGGATATTTGGACCTCTTTGAGGCCTTCGTTGGAAACGGGATTTCCTCGTATAATGTTACACAGAAGAATTCTCAGTAACTTATTTGTGGTGTGTGTATTCAACTCACAGAGTTGAACCTTCCTTCAGAAAGAGCAGATTTGAAACACTCTTTTTGTGGAGTTTCCATGTGGAGATTTCAATCGCTTTGAGACCAAAGGTAGAAAAGGAAACATCTTCGTATAAAAACTAGACAGAATCATTCACAGAAACTACTTTGTGATGTGTGTGTTCAACTCAAGGAGTTTAACCTTTCTTTTGATGGAGCAGTTTGGAAACACTCTGTCTGTAAAGTCTGCAAGCAGATATTTGGACCCCTTTGAGGCCTTCGTTGGAAACGGGATTTCTTCATATAATGTTTGATAGGAGAAGTCTCAGTAACTTCTTTGTGCTGTGTGTATTCAACTCATAGAGTTGAACTTTCCTTTAGAAGAGCAGATGTTAAACACCCTTTTTGTGGAATTTGCAGCTGGAGATTTCAAGCGCTTTGAGGCCTACGGTAGAAAAGGAAACATCTTCTTATAAAATCTAGACAGAATCATTCACAGAAACTGCTTTTTGATGTGTGTGTTCAGCTCACAGAGTTTAACCTTTCTTTTGATGGAGCAGTTTGGAAACACTCTGTTTGTAATGTCTGGAAGTGGATATTTGGACCTCTTTGAGGCCTTCGTTGGAAACGGGATTTCTTCAAGTAATGTTCGACAGAGTAATTCTCAGTAACTTATTTGTGGTGTGTGTATTCAACTCACAGAGTTGAACCTTCCTTTAGACAGAGCAGATTTGAAACAGCCTATTTGTGCAGTTTCCAGTTGGAGATTTCAATCGCTTTGAGACCAAATGTAGAAAAGGAAACATCTTCGTATAAAAACTAGACAGAATCATTCTCAGAAACTACTTTGTGCTGTGTGCGTTCAACTCAAGGAGTTTAAGCTTTCTTTTCATAGAGTAGTTTGGAAACACTCTGTCTGTAAAGTCTGCAAGCAGATATTTGGACCTCTTTGGGGCCTTCGTTGGAAACGGGATTTCTTCATAGAACGCTAGAAAGAAGAATACTGAGTAAGTTCTTTGTGTTGCCTCTATTCAACTCACAGAGGTGAACTGTCCTTTAGACAGAGCAGATGTGAAACCCTCTTTTTGTGATATTTGCAGGTGGAGATTTCAAGCGCTTTTAGGCCAAATGTAGAAAAGGAAGTATCTTCGTATAAAAACTAGACAGAATCATTCTCAGAAACTACTTTGTGATGTGTGCGTTCAATTCACAGAGTATAACCTTTCTTTTGATGGAGGAGTTTGGAGACACTGTCTTTGTAAAGTCTGCAAGTGGATATTTGGACCTCTTTGAGGCCTTCGTTGGAAACGGGATTTCCTCATATAATGTTACCCAGAAGAATTCTCAGTAACTTATTTGTGGTGTGTGTATTCAACTCACAGAGTTGAACCTTCCTTCAGAAAGAGCAGATTTGAAACACTCTTTTTGTGGAGTTTCCATGTGGAGATTTCAATCGCTTTGAGACCAAAGGTAGAAAAGGAAACATCTTCGTATAGAAACTAGACAGAATCATTCACAGAAACTACTTTGTGATGTGTGTGTTCAACTCAAGGAGTTTAACCTTTCTTTTGATGGAGCAGTTTGGAAAAACTCTGTCTGTAAAGTCTGCAAGCAGATATTTGGACCTCTTTGAGGCCTTCGTTGGAAACGGGATTTCTTCATAGAATGCTAGAAAGAAGAATACTGAGTAAGTTCTTTGTGTTGCCTCTATTCAACTCACAGAGGTGAACTGTCCTTTAGACAGAGCAGATGTGAAACCCTCTTTTTGTGATATTTGCAGGTGGAGATTTCAAGCGCTTTTAGGCCTAATGTAGAAAAGGAAATATCTTCGTATAAAAACTAGACAGAATCATTCTCAGAAACTACTTTGTGATGTGTGCGTTCAATTCACAGAGTATAACCTTTCTTTTGATGGAGGAGTTTGGAGACACTGTCTTTGTAAAGTCTGCAAGTGGATATTTGGACCTCTTTAAGGCCTTCGTTGGAAACGGGATTTCCTCATATAATGTTACACAGAAGAATTCTCAGTAACTTATTTGTGGTGTGTGTATTCAACTCACAGAGTTGAACCTTCCTTCAGAAAGAGCAGATTTGAAACACTCTTTTTGTGGAGTTTCCATGTGGAGATTTCAATCGCATTGAGACCAAAGGTAGAAAAGGAAACATCTTCGTATAAAAACTAGACAGAATCATTCACAGAAACTACTTTGTGATGTGTGTGTTCAACTCAAGGAGTTTAACCTTTCTTTTGATGGAGCAGTTTGGAAACACTCTGTCTGTAAAGTCTGCAAGCAGATATTTGGACCTCTTTGAGGCCTTCGTTGGAAACGGGATTTCTTCATATAATATTTGATAGGAGAAGTCTCAGTAACTTCTTTGTGCTGTGTGTATTCAACTCATAGAGTTGAACTTTCCTTTAGAAGAGCAGATGTTAAACACCCTTTTTGTGGAATTTGCAGCTGGAGATTTCAAGCGCTT
Organism: Homo sapiens; assembly: GCF_000001405.40. Classification (NCBI taxonomy): domain Eukaryota; kingdom Metazoa; phylum Chordata; class Mammalia; order Primates; family Hominidae; genus Homo; species Homo sapiens. The sequence continues at coordinate 35,720,240 of NC_000012.12, forward strand.
TGAGGCCTACGGTAGAAAAGGAAACATCTTCTTATAAAATCTAGACAGAATCATTCACAGAAACTTCTTTTTGATGTGTGTGTTCAGCTCACAGAGTTTAACCTTTCTTTTGATGGAGCAGTTTGGAAACACTCTGTTTGTAATGCCTGCAAGTGGATATTTGGACCTCTTTGAGGCCTTCGTTGGAAACGGGAATTCTTCATGTAATGTTCGACAGAAGAATTCTCAGTAACTTATTTGTGGTGTGTGTATTCAACTCACAGAGTTGAACCTTCCTTTAGACAGAGCAGATTTGAAACAGCCTATTTGTGCAGTTTCCAGTTGGAGATTTCAAGAGCTTTGAGACCAAATGTAGAAAAGGAAACATCCTTCGTATAAAAACTAGACAGAATCATTCTCAGAAACTACTTTGTGATGTGTGCGTTCAACTCAAGGAGTTTAAGCTTTCTTTTCATAGAGTAGTTTGGAAACACTCTGTCTGTAAAGTCTGCAAGCAGATATTTGGACCTCTTTGGGGCCTTCGTTGGAAACGGGATTTCTTCATAGAACGCTAGAAAGAAGAATACTGAGTAAGTTCTTTGTGTTGCCTCTATTCAACTCACAGAGGTGAACTGTCCTTTAGACAGAGCAGATGTGAAACCCTCTTTTTGTGATATTTGCAGGTGGAGATTTCAAGCGCTTTTAGGCCAAATGTAGAAAAGGAAACATCTTCGTATAAAAACTAGACAGAATCATTCTCAGAAACTACTTTGTGATGTGTGCGTTCAATTCACAGAGTATAACCTTTCTTTTGATGGAGGAGTTTGGAGACACTGTCTTTGTAAAGTCTGCAAGTGGATATTTGGACCTCTTTGAGGCCTTCGTTGGAAACGGGATTTCCTCATATAATGTTACACAGAAGAATTCTCAGTAACTTATTTGTGGTGTGTGTATTCAACTCACAGAGTTGAACCTTCCTTTAGACAGAGCAGATTGGAAACACTCTTTTTGTGGAGTTTCCATGTGGAGATTTCAATCGCTTTGAGACCAAAGGTAGAAAAGGAAACATCTTCGTATAAAAACTAGACAGAATCATTCTCAGAAACTACTTTGTGATGTGTGTGTTCAACTCAAGGAGGTTAACCTTTCTTTTGATGGAGCAGTTTGGAAACACTCTGTCTGTAAAGTCTGCAAGCAGATATTTGGACCTCTTTGAGGCCTTCGTTGGAAACGGGATTGCTTCATTTAATGTTTGATAGGAGAAGTCTCAGTAACTTCTTTGTGCTGTGTGTATTCAACTCATAGAGTTGAACTTTCCTTTAGAAGAGCAGATGTTAAACACCCTTTTTGTGGAATTTGCAGCTGGAGATTTCAAGCGCTTTGAGGCCTACGGTAGAAAAGGAAACATCTTCTTATAAAATCTAGACAGAATCATTCACAGAAACTTCTTTTTGATGTGTGTGTTCAGCTCACAGAGTTTAACCTTTCTTTTGATGGAGCAGTTTGGAAACACTCTGTTTGTAATGTCTGCAAGTGGATATTTGGACCTCTTTGAGGCCTTCGTTGGAAACGGGATTTCTTCAAGTAATGTTCGACAGAAGAATTCTCAGTAACTTATTTGTGGTGTGTGTATTCAACTCACAGAGTTGAGCCTTCCTTTAGACAGAGCAGATTTGAAACACCCTATTTGTGCAGTTTCCAGTTGGAGATTTCAATCGCTTTGAGACCAAATGTAGAAAAGGAAACATCTTCGTATAAAAACTAGACAGAATCATTCTCAGAAACTACTTTGTGATGTGTGCGTTCAACTCAAGGAGTTTAAGCTTTCTTTTCATAGAGTAGTTTGGAAACACTCTGTCTGTAAAGTCTGCAAGCAGATATTTGGACCTCTTTGGGGCCTTCGTTGGAAACGGGATTTCTTCATAGAACGCTAGAAAGAAGAATACTGAGTAAGTTCTTTGTGTTGCCTCTATTCAACTCACAGAGGTGAACTGTCCTTTAGACAGAGCAGATGTGAAACCCTCTTTTTGTGATATTTGCAGGTGGAGATTTCAAGCGCTTTTAGGCCAAATGTAGAAAAGGAAATATCTTCGTATAAAAACTAGACAGAATCATTCTCAGAAACTACTTTGTGATGTGTGCGTTCAATTCACAGAGTATAACCTTTCTTTTGATGGAGGAGTTTGGAGACACTGTCTTTGTAAAGTCTGCAAGTGGATATTTGGACCTCTTTGAGGCCTTCGTTAGAAACGGGATTTCCTCATATAATGTTACACAGAAGAATTCTCAGTAACTTATTTGTGGTGTGTGTATTCAACTCACAGAGTTGAACCTTCCTTCAGAAAGAGCAGATTTGAAACACTCTTTTTGTGGAGTTTCCATGTGGAGATTTCAATCGCTTTGAGACCAAAGGTAGAAAAGGAAACATCTTCGTATAAAAACTAGACAGAATCATTCACAGAAACTACTTTGTGATGTGTGTGTTCAACTCAAGGAGTTTAACCTTTCTTTTGATGGAGCAGTTTGGAAAAACTCTGTCTGTAAAGTCTGCAAGCAGATATTTGGACCTCTTTGAGGCCTTCGTTGGAAACGGGATTTCTTCATAGAATGCTAGAAAGAAGAATACTGAGTAAGTTCTTTGTGTTGCCTCTATTCAACTCACAGAGGTGAACTGTCCTTTAGACAGAGCAGATGTGAAACCCTCTTTTTGTGATATTTGCAGGTGGAGATTTCAAGCGCTTTTAGGCCAAATGTAGAAAAGGAAATATCTTCGTATAAAAACTAGACAGAATCATTCTCAGAAACTACTTTGTGATGTGTGCGTTCAATTCACAGAGTATAACCTTTCTTTTGATGGAGGAGTTTGGAGACACTGTCTTTGTAAAGTCTGCAAGTGGATATTTGGACCTCTTTGAGGCCTTCGTTGGAAACGGGATTTCCTCATATAATGTTACACAGAAGAATTCTCAGTAACTTATTTGTGGTGTGTGTATTCAACTCACAGAGTTGAACCTTCCTTCAGAAAGAGCAGATTTGAAACACTCTTTTTGTGGAGTTTCCATGTGGAGATTTCAATCGCTTTGAGGCCAAAGGTAGAAAAGCAAACATCTTCGTATAAAAACTAGACAGAATCATTCACAGAAACTACTTTTTGATGTGTGTGTTCAACTCAAGGAGTTTAACCTTTCTTTTGATGGAGCAGTTTGGAAACACTCTGTCTGTAAAGTCTGCAAGCAGATATTTGGACCTCTTTGAGGCCTTCGTTGGAAACGGGATTTCTTCATATAATGTTAGACAGAAGAAGTCTCAGTAACTTCTTTGTGCTGTGTGTATTCAACTCATAGAGTTGAACTTTCCTTTAGAAGAGCAGATGTTAAACACCCTTTTTGTGGAATTTGCAGCTGGAGATTTCAAGCGCTTTGAGGCCTACGGTAGAAAAGGAAACATCTTCTTATAAAATCTAGACAGAATCATTCACAGAAACTTCTTTTCGATGTGTGTGTTCAGCTCACAGAGTTTAACCTTTCTTTTGATGGAGCAGTTTGGAAACACTCTGTTTGTAATGTCTGCAAGTGGATATTTGGACCTCTTTGAGGCCTTCGTTGGAAACGGGATTTCATCAAGTAATGGTCGACAGAAGAATTCTCAGTAACTTATTTGTGGTGTGTGTATTCAACTCACAGAGTTGAACCTTCCTTTAGACAGAGCAGATTTGAAACACCCTATTTGTGCAGTTTCCAGTTGGAGATTTCAATCGCTTTGAGACCAAATGTAGAAAAGGAAACATCTTCGTATAAAAACTAGACAGAATCATTCTCAGAAACTACTTTGTGATGTGTGCGTTCAACTCAAGGAGTTTAAGCTTTCTTTTCATAGAGTAGTTTGGAAACACTCTGTCTGTAAAGTCTGCAAGCAGATATTTGGACCTCTTTGGGGCCTTCGTTGGAAACGGGATTTCTTCATAGAACGCTAGAAAGAAGAATACTGAGTAAGTTCTTTGTGTTGCCTCTATTCAACTCACAGAGGTGAACTGTCCTTTAGACAGAGCAGATGTGAAACCCTCTTTTTGTGATATTTGCAGGTGGAGATTTCAAGCGCTTTTAGGCCAAATGTAGAAAAGGAAATATCTTCGTATAAAAACTAGACAGAATCATTCTCAGAAACTACTTTGTGATGTGTGCGTTCAATTCACAGAGTATAACCTTTCTTTTGATGGAGGAGTTTGGAGACACTGTCTTTGTAAAGTCTGCAAGTGGATATTTGGACCTCTTTGAGGCCCTCGTTGGAAACGGGATTTCCTCATATAATTTTACACAGAAGAATTCTCAGTAACTTATTTGTGGTGTGTGTATTCAACTCACAGAGTTGAACCTTCCTTCAGAAAGAGCAGATTTGAAACACTCTTTTTGTGGAGTTTCCATGTGGACATTTCAATCGCTTTGAGACCAAAGGTAGAAAAGGAAACATCTTCGTATAAAAACTAGACAGAATCATTCACAGAAACTACTTTGTGATGTGTGTGTTCAACTCAAGGAGTTTAACCTTTCTTTTGATGGAGCAGTTTGGAAAAACTCTGTCTGTAAAGTCTGCAAGCAGATATTTGGACCTCTTTGGGGCCTTCGTTGGAAACGGGATTTCTTCATAGAATGCTAGAAAGAAGAATACTGAGTAAGTTCTTTGTGTTGCCTCTATTCAACTCACAGAGGTGAACTGTCCTTTAGACAGAGCAGATGTGAAACCCTCTTTTTGTGATATTTGCAGGTGGAGATTTCAAGCACTTTTAGGCCAAATGTAGAAAAGGAAATATCTTCGTATAAAAACTAGACAGAATCATTCTCAGAAACTACTTTGTGATGTGTGCGTTCAATTCACAGAGTATAACCTTTCTTTTGATGGAGGAGTTTGGAGACACTGTCTTTGTAAAGTCTGCAAGTGGATATTTGGACCTCTTTGAGGCCTTCGTTGGAAACGGGATTTCCTCATATAATGTTACACAGAAGAATTCTCAGTAACTTATTTGTGGTGTGTGTATTCAACTCACAGAGTTGAACCTTCCTTCAGAAAGAGCAGATTTGAAACACTCTTTTTGAGGAGTTTCCATCTGGAGATTTCAATCGCTTTGAGACCAAAGGTAGAAAAGGAAACATCTTCTTATAAAAACTAGACAGAATCATTCACAGAAACTACTTTGTGATGTGTGTGTTCAACTCAAGGAGTTTAACCTTTCTTTTGATGGAGCAGTTTGGAAAAACTCTGTCTGTAAAGTCTGCAAGCAGATATTTGGACCTCTTTGGGGCCTTCGTTGGAAACGGGATTTCTTCATAGAATGCTAGAAAGAAGAAGTCTCAGTAACTTCTTTGTGCTGTGTGTATTCAACTCATAGAGTTGAACTTTCCTTCAGAAGAGCAGATGTTAAACACCCTTTTTGTGGAATTTGCAGCTGGAGATTTCAAGCGCTTTGAGCCCTACGGTAGAAAAGGAAACATCTTCTTATAAAATCTAGACAGAATCATTCACAGAAACTTCTTTTTGATGTGTGTGTTCAGCTCACAGAGTTTAACCTTTCCTTTGATGGAGCAGTTTGGAAACACTCTGTTTGTAATGTCTGCAAGTGGATATTTGGACCTCTTTGAGGCCTTCATTGGAAACGGGATTTCTTCATGTAATGTTCGACAGAAGAATTCTCAGTAACTTATTTGTGGTGTGTGTATTCAACTCACAGAGTTGAACCTTCCTTTAGACAGAGCAGATTTGAAACACCGTATTTGTGCAGTTTCCAGTTGGAGATTTCAATCGCTTTGAGGCCAATCGTAGAAACGGAAATATCTTCGTATAAAAACAAGACAGAATCATTCTCCGAAACTACTTTGTGATGTGTGCGTTCAACTCAAGGAGTTTAAGCTTTCTTTTCATAGAGAAGTTTGGAAACACTCTGTCTGTAAAGTCTGCAAGCAGATATTTGGACCTCTTTGGGGCCTTCGTTGGAAACGGGATTTCTTCATAGAACGCTAGAAAGAAGAATACTGAGTAAGTTCTTTGTGTTGCCTCTATTCAACTCATAGAGGTGAACTGTCCTTTAGACAGAGCAGATGTGAAACCCTCTTTTTGTGATATTTGCAGGTGGAGATTTCAAGCGCTTTTAGGCCAAATGTAGAAAAGGAAATATCTTCGTATAAAAACTAGACAGAATCATTCTCAGAAACTACTTTCTGATGTGTGCATTCAATTCACAGAGTATAACCTTTCTTTTGATGGAGGAGTTTGGAGACACTGTCTTTGTAAAGTCTGCAAGTGGATATTTGGACCTCTTTGAGGCCTTCGTTGGAAACGGGATTTCCTCATATAATGTTACACAGAAGAATTCTCAGTAACTTATTTGTGGTGTGTGTATTCAACTCACAGAGTTGAACCTTCCCTCAGAAAGAGTAGATTTGAAACACTCTTTTTGTGAAGTTTCCATGTGGAGATTTCAATCGCTTTGAGACCAAAGGTAGAATAGGAACCATCTTCGTATAAAAACTAGACAGAATCATTCACAGAAACTTCTTTTTGATGTGTGTGTTCAGCTCACAGAGTTTAACCTTTCTTTTGATGGAGCAGTTTGGAAACACTCTGTTTGTAATGTCTGCAAGTGGATATTTGGACCTCTTTGAGGCCTTCTTTGGAAACGGGATTTCTTCAAGTAATGTTCGACAGAAGAATTCTCAGTAACTTATTTGTGGTGTGTGTATTCAACTCACAGAGTTGAACCTTCCTTTAGACAGAGCAGATTTGAAACACCCTATTTGTGCAGTTTCCAGTTGGAGATTTCAATCGCTTTGAGACCAAATGTAGAAAAGGAAACATCTTCGTATAAAAACTAGACAGAATCATTCTCAGAAACTACTTTGTGATGTGTGCGTTCAACTCAAGGAGTTTAAGCTTTCTTTTCATAGAGTAGTTTGGAAACACTCTGTCTGTAAAGTCTGCAAGCAGATATTTGGACCTCTTTGAGGCCTTCGTTGGAAACGGGATTTCTTCATAGAATGCTAGAAAGAAGAATACTGAGTAAGTTCTTTGTGTTGCCTCTATTCAACTCACAGACGTGAACTGTCCTTTAGACAGAGCAGATGTGAAACCCTCTTTTTGTGATATTTGCACGTGGAGATTTCAAGCGCTTTTAGGCAAAATGTAGAAAAGGAAATATCTTCGAATAAAAACTAGACAGAATCATTCTCAGAAACTACTTTGTGATGTGTGCGTTCAATTCACAGAGTATAACCTTTCTTTTGATGGAGGAGTTTGGAGACACTGTCTTTGTAAAGTCTGCAAGTGGATATTTGGACCTCTTTGAGGCCTTCGTTGGAAACGGGATTTCCTCATATAATGTTACACAGAAGAATTCTCAGTAACTTATTTGTGGTGTGTGTATTCAACTCACAGAGTTGAACCTTCCTTCAGAAAGAGCAGATTTGAAACACTCTTTTTGTGGAGTTTCCATGTGGAGATTTCAATCGCTTTGAGACCAAAGGTAGAAAAGGAAACATCTTCGTATAAAAACTAGACAGAATCATTCACAGAAACTACTTTGTGATGTGTGTGTTCAACTCAAGGAGTTTAACCTTTCTTTTGATGGAGCAGTTTGGAAACACTCTGTCTGTAAAGTCTGCAAGCAGATATTTGGACCTCTTTGAGGCCTTCGTTGCAAACGGGATTTCTTCATATAATGTTTGATAGGGGAAGTCTCAGTAACTTCTTTGTGCTGTGTGTATTCAACTCACAGAGTTGAACTTTCCTTTAGAAGAGCAGATGTTAAACACCGTTTTTGTGGAATTTGCACCTGGAGATTTCAAGCGCTTTGAGGCCTACTGTAGAAAAGGAAACATCTTCTTATAAAATCTAGACAGAATCATTCACAGAAACTTCTTTTTGATGTGTGTGTTCAGCTCACAGAGTTTAACCTTTCTTTTGATGGAGCAGTTTGGAAACACTCTGTAATGTCTGCAAGTGGATATTTGGACCTCTTTGAGGCCTTCGTTGGAAACGGGATTTCTTCATGTAATGTTCGACAGAAGAATTCTCAGTAACTTATTTGTGGTGTGTGTATTCAACTCACAGAGTTGAACCTTCCTTTAGACAGAGCAGATTTGAAACACCCTATTTGTGCAGTTTCCAGTTGGAGATTTCAATCGCTTTGAGGCCAATCGTAGAAACGGAAATATCTTCGTATAAAAACAAGACAGAATCATTCTCAGAAACTACTTTGTGATGTGTGCGTTCAACTCACGGAGTTTAAGCTTTCTTTTCATAGAGTAGTTTGGAAACACTCTGTCTGTAAAGTCTGCAAGCAGATATTTGGACCTCTTTGAGGCCTTCGTTGGAAACGGGATTTCTTCATATAACGCTAGAAAGAAGAATACTGAGTAAGTTCTTTGTGTTGCCTCTATTCAACTCACAGAGGTGAACTGTCCTTTAGACAGAGCAGATGTGAAACCCTCTTTTTGTGATATTTGCAGGTGGAGATTGCAAGCGCTTTTAGGCCAAATGTAGAAAAGGAAATATCTTCGTATAAAAACTAGACAGAATCATTCTCAGAAACTACTTTGTGATGTGTGCGTTCAACTCACAGAGTATAACCTTTCTTTTGATGGAGGAGTTTGGAGACACTGTCTTTGTAAAGTCTGCAAGCAGATATTTGGACCTCTTTGAGGCCATCGTTGGAAACGGGATTTCTTCATATAATGTTTGATAGGAGAATTCTCAGTAACTTATTTGTGGTGTGTGTATTCAACTCACAGAGATGAACCTTCCTTCAGAAAGAGTAGATTTGAAACACTATTTTTGTGGAGTTTCCATGTGGAGATTTCAATCGCTTTGAGACCAGAGGTAGAAAAGGAAACATCTTCGTATAAAAACTAGACAGAATCATTCACAGAAACAACTTTGTGATGTGTGTGTTCAACTCACAGAGTTTAACCTTTCTTTTGATGGAGCAGTTTGGAAACACTCTGTCTGTAAAGTCTGGAAGCAGATATTTGGACCTCTTTGAGGCCTTCGTTGGAAACGGGATTTCTTCATATAACGCTAGAAAGAAGAAGTCTCAGTAACTTCTTTGTGCTGTGTGTATTCAACTCATAGAGTTGAACTTTCCTTTAGAAGAGCAGATGTTAAACACCCTTTTTGTGGAGTTTCCATGTGGAGATTTCAAGCGCTTTGAGGCCTACGGTAGAAAAGGAAGCATCTTCTTATAAAATCTAGACAGAATAATTCACAGAAACTTCTTTTTGATGTGTGTGTTCAGCTCACAGAGTTTAACCTTTCTTTGATGGAGCAGTTTGGAAACACTCTGTTTGTAATGTCTGCAAGTGGATATTTGGACCTCTTTGAGGCCTTCGTTGGAAACGGGATTTCTTCATGTAATGTTCGACAGAAGAATTCTCAGTAACTTATTTGTGGTGTGTGTATTCAACTCACAGAGTTGAACCTTCCTTTAGACAGAGCAGATTTGAAACACCCTATTTGTGCAGTTTCCAGTTGGAGATTTCAATCGCTTTGAGACCAAATGTAGAAAAGGAAACATCTTCGTATAAAAACTAGACAGAATCATTCTCAGAAACTACTTTGTGATGTGTGCGTTCAACTCAAGGAGTTTAAGCTTTCTTTTCATAGAGTAGTTTGGAAACACTCTGTCTGTAAAGTCTGCAAGCAGATATTTGGACCTCTTTGGGGCCTTCGTTGGAAACGGGATTTCTTCATAGAACGCTAGAAAGAAGAATACTGAGTAAGTTCTTTGTGTTGCCTCTATTCAACTCACAGAGGTGAACTGTCCTTTAGACAGAGCAGATGTGAAACCCTCTTTTTGTGATATTTGCACGTGGAGATTTCAAGCGCTTTTAGGCCAAATGTAGAAAAGGAAATATCTTCGTATAAAAACTAGACAGAATCATTCTCAGAAACTACTTTGTGATGTGTGCGTTCAATTCACAGAGTATAACCTTTCTTTTGATGGAGGAGTTTGGAGACACTGTCTTTGTAAAGTCTGCAAGTGGATATTTGGACCTCTTTGAGGCCTTCGTTGGAAACGGGATTTCCTCATATAATGTTACCCAGAAGAATTCTCAGTAACTTATTTGTGGTGTGTGCATTCAACTCACAGAGATGAACCTTCCTTCAGAAAGAGCAGATTTGAAACACTCTTTTTGTGGAGTTTCCATGTGGAGATTTCAATCGCTTTGAGACCAAAGGTAGAAAAGGAAACATCTTCGTATAAAAACTAGACAGAATCATTCACAGAAACTACTTTGTGATGTGTGTGTTCAACTCAAGGAGTTTAACCTTTCTTTTGATGGAGCAGTTTGGAAACACTCTGTCTGTAAAGTCTGCAGGCAGATATTTGGACCTCTTTGAGGCCTTCGTTGGAAACGGGATTTCTTCAAGTAATGTTCGACAGAAGAAGTCTCAGAAACTTCTTTGTGCTGTGTGTATTCAACTCATAGAGTTGAACTTTCCTTTAGAAGAGCAGATGTTAAACACCCTTTTTGTGGAATTTGCAGCTGGAGATTTCAAGCGCTTTGAGGCCTACGGTAGAAAAGGAAACATCTTCTTATAAAATCTAGACAGAATCATTCACAGAAACTTCTTTTTGATGTGTGTGTTCAGCTCACAGAGTTTAACCTTTCTTTTGATGGAGCAGTTTGCAAACACACTGTTTGTAATGTCTGCAAGTGGAAATTTGGACCTCTTTGAGGCCTTCGTTGGTAACGGGATTTCTTCCTGTAATGTTCGACAGAAGAATTCTCAGTAACTTATGTGTGGTGTGTGTATTCAACTCACAGAGTTGAACCTTCCTTTAGACAGAGCAGATTTGAAACACCCTATTTGTGCAGTTTCCAGTTGGAGATTTCAATCGCTTTGAGACCAAATGTAGAAAAGGAAACATCTTCGTATAAAAACTAGACAGAATCATTCTCAGAAACTACTTTGTGATGTGTGCGTTCAACTCAAGGAGTTTAAGCTTTCTTTTCATAGAGTAGTTTGGAAACACTCTGTCTGTAAAGTCTGCAAGCAGATATTTGGACCTCATTGAGGCCTTCGTTGGAAACGGGATTTCTTCATAGAACGCTAGAAAGAAGAATACTGAGTAAGTTCATTGTGTTGCCTCTATTCAACTCACAGAGGTGAACTGTCCTTTAGACAGAGCAGATGTGAAACCCTCTTTTTGTGATATTTGCAGGTGGAGATTTCAAGCGCTTTTAGGCCAAATGTAGAAAAGGAAATATCTTCGTATAAAAACTAGACAGAATCATTCTCAGAAACTACTTTGTGATGTGTGCGTTCAATTCACAGAGTATAACCTTTCTTTTGATGGAGGAGTTTGGAGACACTGTCTTTGTAAAGTCTGAAAGTGGATATTTGGACCTCTTTGAGGCCTTCGTTGGAAACGGGATTTCCTCATATAATGTTACACAGAAGAATTCTCAGTAACTTATTTGTGGTGTGTGTATTCAACTCACAGAGTTGAACCTTCCTTCAGAAAGAGCAGATTTGAAACACTCTTTTTGTGGAGTTTCCATGTGGAGATTTCAATCGCTTTGAGACCAAAGGTAGAAAAGGAAACATCTTCGTATAAAAACTAGACAGAATCATTCACAGAAACTACTTTGTGATGTGTGTGTTCAACTCAAGGAGTTTAACCTTTCTTTTGATGGAGCAGTTTGGAAAAACTCTGTCTGTAAAGTCTGCAAGCAGATATTTGGACCTCTTTGAGGCCTTCGTTGGAAACGGGATTTCTTCATAGAATGCTAGAAAGAAGAATACTGAGTAAGTTCTTTGTGTTGCCTCTATTCAACTCACAGAGGTGAACTGTCCTTTAGACAGAGCAGATGTGAAACCCTCTTCTTGTGATATTTGCAGGTGGAGATTTCAAGCGCTTTTAGGCCAAATGTAGAAAAGGAAATATCTTCGTATAAAAACTAGACAGAATCATTCTCAGAAACTACTTTGTGATGTATGCGTTCAATTCACAGAGTATAACCTTTCTTTTGATGGAGGAGTTTGGAGACACTGTCTTTGTAAAGTCTGCAAGTGGATATTTGGACCTCTTTGAGGCCTTCGTTGGAAACGGGATTTCCTCATATAATGTTACACAGAAGAATTCTCAGTAACTTATTTGTGGTGTGTGTATTCAACTCACAGAGATGAACCTTCCTTCAGAAAGAGCAGATTTGAAACACTCTTTTTGTGGAGTTTCCATGTGGAGATTTCAATCGCTTTGAGACCAAAGGTAGAAAAGGAAACATCTTCGTATAAAAACTAGACAGAATCATTCACAGAAACTACTTTGTGATGTGTGTGTTCAACTCAAGGAGTTTAACCTTTCTTTTGATGGAGCAGTTTGGAAACACTCTGTCTGTAAAGTCTGCAAGCAGATATTTGGACCTCTTTGAGGCCTTCGTTGGAAACGGGATTTCTTCATATAATGTTTGATAGGAGAAGTCTCAGTAACTTCTTTGTGCTGTGTGTATTCAACTCATAGAGTTGAACTTTCCTTTAGAAGAGCAGATGTTAAACACCCTTTTTGTGGAATTTGCAGCTGGAGATTTCAAGCGCTTTGAGGCCTACGGTAGAAAAGGAAACATCTTCTTATAAAATCTAGACAGAATCATTCACAGAAACTTCTTTTTGATGTGTGTGTTCAGCTCACAGAGTTTAAACTTTCTTTTGATGGAGCAGTTTGGAAACACTCTTTAATGTCTGCAAGTGGATATTTGGACCTCTTTGAGGCCTTCGTTGAAACGGGATTTCTTCATGTAATGTTCGACACAAGAATTCTCAGTAAGTTATTTGTGGTGTGTGTATTCAACTCACAGAGTTGAACCTTCCTTTAGACAGAGCAGATTTGAAACACCCTATTTGTGCAGTTTCCAGTTGGAGATTTCAATCGCTTTGAGGCCAATCATAGAAACGGAAATAACCTTGTATAAAAACAAGACAGAATCATTCTCAGAAACTACTTTGTGATGTGTGCGTTCAACTCAAGGAGTTTAAGCTTTCTTTTCATAGAGTAGTTTGGAAACACTCTGTCTGTAAAGTCTGCAAGCAGATATTTGGACCTCTTTGGGGCCTTCGTTGGAAACGGGATTTCTTCATAGAACGCTAGAAAGAAGAATACTGAGTAAGTTCTTTGTGTTGCCTCTATTCAACTCACAGAGGTGAACTGTCCTTTAAACAGAGCAGATGTGAAACCCTCTTTTTGTGATATTTGCAGGTGGAGATTTCAAGCGCTTTTAGGCCAAATGTAGAAAAGGAAATATCTTCGTATAAAAACTAGACAGAATCATTCTCAGAAACTACTTTGTGATGTGTGCGTTCAATTCACAGAGTATAACCTTTCTTTTGATGGAGGAGTTTGGAGAAACTGTCTTTGTAAAGTCTGCAAGTGGATATTTGGACCTCTTTGAGGCCTTCGTTGGAAACGGGATTTCCTCATATAATGTTACACAGTAGAATTCTCAGTAACTTATTTGTGGTGTGTGTATTCAACTCACAGAGTTGAACCTTCCTTCAGAAAGAGCAGATTTGAAACACTCTTTTTGTGGAGTTTCCATGGGGAGATTTCAATCGCTTTGAGACGAAAGGTAGAAAAGGAAACATCTTCGTATAAAAACTAGACAGAATCATTCACAGAAACTACTTTGTGATGTGTGTGTTCAACTCAAGGAGTTTAACCTTTCTTTTGATGGAGCTGTTTGGAAAAACTCTGTCTGTAAAGTCTGCAAGCAGATATTTGGACCTCTTTGGGGCCTTCGTTGGAAACGGGATTTCTTCATATAATGTTTGATAGGAGAAGTCTCAGTAACTTCTTTCTGCTGTGTTTATTCAACGCATAGAGTTGAACTTTCCTTTAGAAGAGCAGATGTTAAACACCCTTTTTGTAGAATTTGCAGCTGGAGATTTCAAGCGCTTTGAGGCCTACGGTAGAAAAGGAAACATCTTCTTATAAAATCTAGACAGAATCATTCACAGAAACTTCTTTTTCATGTGTGTGTTCAGCTCACAGAGTTTAACCTTTCTTTTGATGGAGCAGTTTGGAAACACTCTGTTTGTAATGTCTGCAAGTGGATATTTGGACCTCTTTGAGGCCTTCTTTGGAAACGGGATTTCTTCAAGTAATGTTCGACAGAAGAATTCTCAGTAACTTATTTGTGGTGTGTGTATTCAACTCACAGAGTTGAACCTTCCTTTAGACAGAGCAGATTTGAAACACCCTATTTGTGCATTTTCCAGTTGGAGATTTCAATCGCTTTGAGACCAAATGTAGAAAAGGAAACATCTTCGTATAAAAACTAGACAGAATCATTCTCAGAAACTACTTTGTGATGTGTGCGTTCAACTCAAGGAGTTTAAGCTTTCTTTTCATAGAGTAGTTTGGAAACACTCTGTCTGTAAAGTCTGCAAGCAGATATTTGGACCTCTTTGAGGCCTTCGTTGGAAACGGGATTTCTTCATAGAACGCTAGAAAGAAGAATACTGAGTAAGATCTTTGTGTTGCCTCTATTCAACTCACAGAGGTGAACTGTCCTTTAGACAGAGCAGATGTGAAACCCTCTTTTTGTGATATTTGCACGTGGAGATTTCAAGCGCTTTTAGGCCAAATGTAGAAAAGGAAATATCTTCGTATAAAAACTAGACAGAATCATTCTCAGAAACTACTTTGTGATGTGTGCGTTCAATTCACAGAGTATAACCTTTCTTTTGATGGAGGAGTTTGGAGACACTGTCTTTGTAAAGTCTGCAAGTGGATATTTGGACCTCTTTGAGACCTTCGTTGGAAACGGGATTTCCTCATATAATGTTACACAGAAGAATTCTCAGTAACTTATTTGTGGTGTGTGTATTCAACTCACAGAGTTGAACCTTCCTTCAGAAAGAGCAGATTTGAAACACTCTTTTTCTGGAGTTTCCATGTGGAGATTTCAATCGCATTGAGACCAAAGGTAGAAAAGGAAACATCTTCGTATAAAAACTAGACAGAATCATTCACAGAAACTACTTTGTGATGTGTGTGTTCAACTCAAGGAGTTTAACCTTTCTTTTGATGGAGCAGTTTGGAAACTCTCTGTCTGAAAAGTCTGCAAGCAGATATTTGTACCTCTTTGAGGGCTTCGTTGGAAACGGGATTTCTTCATATAATGTTTGATAGGAGAAGTCTCAGTAACTTCTTTCTGCTGTGTGTATTCAACTCATAGAGTTGAACTTTCCTTTAGTAGAGCAGATGTTAAACACCCTTTTTGTGGAATTTGCAGCTGGAGATTTCAAGCGCTTTGAGGCCTACGGTAGAAAAGGAAACATCTTCTTATAAAATCTAGACAGAATCATTCACAGAAACTTCTTTTTGATGTGTGTGTTCAGCTCACAGAGTTTAACCTTTCTTTTGATGGAGCAGTTTGGAAACACTCTGTTTGTAATGTCTGCAAGTGGATATTTGGACCTCTTTGAGGCCTTCTTTGGAAACGGGATTTCTTCAAGTAATGTTCGACAGAAGAATTCTCAGTAACTTATTTGTGGTGTGTGTATTCAACTCACAGAGTTGAACCTTCCTTTAGACAGAGCAGATTTGAAACACCCTATTTGTGCAGTTTCCAGTTGGAGATTTCAATCGCTTTGAGACCAAATGTAGAAAAGGAAACATCTTCGTATAAAAACTAGACAGAATCATTCTCAGAAACTACTTTGTGATGTGTGCGTTTAACTCATGGAGTTTAAGCTTTCTTTTCATAGAGTAGTTTGGAAACACTCTGTCTGTAAAGTCTGCAAGCAGATATTTGGACCTCTTTGAGGCCTTCGTTGGAAACGGGATTTCTTCATATAACGCTAGAAAGATGAATACTGAGTAAGTTCTTTGTGTTGCCTCTATTTCAACTCACAGAGGTGAACTGTCCTTTAGACAGAGCAGATGTGAAACCCTCTTTTTGTGATATTTGCAGGTGGAGATTTCAGGCACTTTTAGGCCAAATGTAGAAAAGGAAACATCTTCGTATAAAAACTAGACAGAATCATTCTCAGAAACTACTTTGTGATGTGTGCGTTCAACTCAAGGAGTTTAAGCTTTCTTTTCATAGAGTAGTTTGGAAACACTCTGTCTGTAAAGTCTGCAAGCAGATATTTGGACCTCATTGGGGTCTTCGTTGGAAACCGGATTTCTTCATAGAACGCTAGAAAGAAGAATACTGAGTAAGTTCTTTGTGTTGCCTCTATTCAACTCACAGAGGTGAACTGTCCTTTAGACAGAGCAGATGTGAAACCCTCTTTTTGTGATATTTGCAGGTGGAGATTTCAAGCGCTTTTAGGCCAAATGTAGAAAAGGAAATATCTTCGTATAAAAACTAGACAGAATCATTCTCAGAAACTACTTTGTGATGTGTGCGTTTAATTCACAGAGTATAACCTTTCTTTTGATGGCGGAGTTTGGAGACACTGTCTTTGTAAAGTCTGCAAGTGGATATTTGGACCTCTTTGAGGCCTTCGTTCTAAACGGGATTTCCTCATATAATGTTACACAGAAGAATTCTCAGTAACTTATTTGTGGTGTGTGTATTCAACTCACAGAGTTGAACCTTCCTTCAGAAAGAGCAGATTTGAAACACTCTTTTTGTGGAGTTTCCATGTGGAGATTTCAATCGCATTGAGACCAAAGGTAGAAAAGGAAACATCTTCGTATAAAAACTAGACAGAATCATTCACAGAAACTACTTTGTGATGTGTGTGTTCAACTCAAGGAGTTTAACCTTTCTTTTGATGGAGGAGTTTGGAGACACTGTCTTTGTAAAGTCTGCAAGCAGATATTTGGACCTCTTTGAGGCCTTCGTTGGAAACGGGATTTCTTCATATAATGTTTGATAGGAGAAGTCTCAGTAACTTCTTTGTGCTGTGTGTATTCAACTCATTGAGTTGAACTTTCCTTTAGAAGAGCAGATGTTAAACACCCTTTTTGTGGAATTTGCAGCTGGAGATTTCAAGCGCTTTGAGGCCTACGGTAGAAAAGGAAACATCTTCTTATAAAATCTAGACAGAATCATTCACAGAAACTTCTTTTTGATGTGTGTGTTCAGCTCACAGAGTTTAACCTTTCTTTTGATGGAGCAGTTTGGAAACACTCTGTTTGTAATGTCTGCAAGTGGATATTTGGACCTCTTTGAGGCCTTCGTTGGAAACGGGATTTCTTCATGTAATGTTCGACAGAAGAATTCTCAGTAACTTATTTGTGGTGTGTGTATTCAACTCACAGAGTTGAACCTTCCTTTAGACAGAGCAGATTTGAAACACCCTATTTGTGCAGTTTCCAGTTGGAGATTTCAATCGCTTTGAGACCAAATGTAGAAAAGGAAACATCTTCGTATAAAAACTAGACAGAATCATTCTCAGAAACTACTTTGTGTTGTGTGCGTTCAACTCAAGGAGTTTAAGCTTTCTTTTCATAGAGTAGTTTGGAAACACTCTGTCTGTAAAGTCTGCAAGCAGATATTTGAACCTCTTTGAGGCCTTCGTTGGAAACGGGATTTCTTCATAGAACGCTAGAAAGAAGAATACTAAGTTCTTTGTGTTGCCTCTATTCTACTCACAGAGGTGAACTGTCCTTTAGACAGAGCAGATGTGAAACCCTCTTTTTGGGATATTTGCAGGTGGAGATTTCAAGTGCTTTTAGGCCAAATGTAGAAAAGGAAATATCTTCGTATAAAAACTAGACAGAATCATTCTCAGAAACTACTTTGTGATGTGTGCGTTCAATTCACAGAGTATAACCTTTGTTTTGATGGAGGAGTTTGGAGACATTGTCTTTGTAAAGTCTGCAAGTGGATACTTGGACCTCTTTGAGGCCTTCGTTGGAAACGGGATTTCCTCATATAATGTTCCACAGAAGAATTCTCAGTAACTTATTTGTGGTGTGTGTATTCAACTCACAGAGTTGAACCTTCCTTCAGAAAGAGCAGATTTGAAACACTCTTTTTGTGGAGTTTCCATGTGGAGATTTCAATCGCTTTGAGGCCAAAGGTACAAAAGCAAACATCTTCGTATAAAAACTAGACAGAATCATTCACAGAAACTACTTTGTGATGTGTGTGTTCAACTCAAGGAGTTTAACCTTTCTTTTGATGGAGCAGTTTGGAAACACACTGTCTGTAAAGTCTGCAAGCAGATATTTGGACCTCTTTGGGGCCTTCGTTGGAAACGGGATTTCTTCATATAATGTTTGATAGGAGAAGTCTCAGTAACTTCTTTGTGCTGTGTGTATTCAACTCATAGAGTTGAACTTTCCTTTAGAAGAGCAGATGTTAAACACCCTTTTTGTGGAATTTGCAGCTGGAGATTTCAAGCGCTTTGAGGCCTACGGTAGAAAAGGAAACATCTTCTTATAAAATCTAGACAGAATCATTCACAGAAACTTCTTTTTGATGTGTGTGTTCAGCTCACAGAGTTTAACCTTTCTTTTGATGGAGCAGTTTGGAAACACTCTGTTTGTAATGTCTGCAAGTGGATATTTGGACCTCTTTGAGGCCTTCGTTGGAAACGGGATTTCTTCAAGTAATGTTCGACAGAAGAATTCTCAGTAACTTATTTGTGGTGTGTGTATTCAACTCACAGAGTTGAACCTTCCTTTAGACAGAGCAGATTTGAAACAGCCTATTTGTGCAGTTTCCAGTTGGAGATTTCAATCGCTTTGAGACCAAATGTAGAAAAGGAAACATCTTCGTATAAAAACTAGACAGAATCATTCTCAGAAACTACTTTGTGATGTGTGCGTTCAACTCAAGGAGTTTAAGCTTTCTTTTCATAGAGTAGTTTGGAAACACTCTGTCTGTAAAGTCTGCAAGCAGATATTTGGACCTCTTTGGGGCCTTCGTTGGAAACGGGATTTCTTCATAGAACGCTAGAAAGAAGAATACTGAGTAAGTTCTTTGTGTTGCCTCTATTCAACTCACAGAGGTGAACTGTCCTTTAGACAGAGCAGATGTGAAACCCTCTTTTTGTGATATTTGCAGGTGGAGATTTCAAGCGCTTTTAGGCCAAATGTAGAAAAGGAAATATCTTCGTATAAAAACTAGACAGAATCATTCTCAGAAACTACTTTGTGATGTGTGCGTTCAATTCACAGAGTATAACCCTTCTTTTGATGGAGGAGTTTGGAGACACTGTCTTTGTAAAGTCTGCAAGTGGATATTTGGACCTCTTTGAGGCCTTCGTTGGAAACGGGATTTCCTCATATAATATTACACAGAAGAATTCTCAGTAACTTATTTGTGGTGTGTGTATTCAACTCACAGAGATGAACCTTCCTTCAGAAAGAGCAGATTTGAAACACTCTTTTTGTGGAGTTTCCATGTGGAGATTTCAATCGCTTTGAGACCAAAGGTAGAAAAGGAAACATCTTCGTATAACAACTAGACAGAATCATTCACAGAAACTACTTTGTGATGTGTGTGTTCAACTCAAGGAGTTTAACCTTTCTTTTGATGGAGCAGTTTGGAAACACTCTGTCTGTAAAGTCTGCAAGCAGATATTTGGACCTCTTTGAGGCCTTCGTTGGAAACGGGATTTCTTCATATAATGTTTGATAGGAGAAGTCTCAGTAACTTCTTTGTGCTGTGTGTATTCAACTCATAGAGTTGAACTTTCCTTTAGAAGAGCAGATGTTAAACACCCTTTTTGTGGAATTTGCAGCTGGAGATTTCAAGCGCTTTGAGACCTATGGTAGAAAAGGAAACATCTTCTTATAAAATCTAGACAGAATCATTCACAGAAACTTCTTTTTGATGTGTGTGTTCAGCTCACAGAGTTTAACCTTTCTTTTGATGGAGCAGTTTGGAAACACTCTGTTTGTAATGTCTGCAAGTGGATATTTGGACCTCTTTGAGGCCTTCTTTGGAAACGGGATTTCTTCAAGTAATGTTCGACAGAAGAATTCTCAGTAACTTATTTGTGGTGTGTGTATTCAACTCACAGAGTTGAACCTTCCTTTAGACAGAGCAGATTTGAAACACCCTATTTGTGCAGTTTCCAGTTGGAGATTTCAATCGCTTTGAGACCAAATGTAGAAAAGGAAACATCTTCGTATAAAAACTAGACAGAATCATTCTCAGAAACTACTTTGTGATGTGTGCATTCAACTCAAGGAGTTTAAGGTTTCTTTTCATAGAGTAGTTTGGAAACACTCTGTCTGTAAAGTCTGCAAGCAGATATTTGGACCTCTTTGGGGCCTTCGTTGGAAACGGGATTTCTTCATAGAACGCTAGAAAGAAGAATACTGAGTAAGTTCTTTGTGTTGCCTCTATTCAACTCACAGAGGTGAACTGTCCTTTAGACAGAGCAGATGTGAAACCCTCTTTTTGTGATATTTGCAGGTGGAGATTTCAAGCGCTTTTAGGCCAAATGTAGAAAAGGAAATATCTTCGTATAAAAACTAGACAGAATCATTCTCAGAAACTACTTTGTGATGTGTGCATTCAATTCACAGAGTATAACCTTTCTTTTGATGGAGGAGTTTGGAGACACTGTCTTTGTAAAGTCTGCAAGTGGATATTTGGACCTCTTTGAGGCCTTCGTTGGAAACGGAATTTCCTCATATAATGTTACACAGAAGAATTCTCAGTAACTTATTTGTGGTGTGCGTATTCAACTCACAGAGTTGAACCTTCCTTCAGAAAGAGCAGATTTGAAACACTCTTTTTGTGGAGTTTCCATGTGGAGATTTCAATCGCTTTCAGACCAAAGGTAGAAAAGGAAACATCTTCGTATAAAAACTAGACAGAATCATTCACAGAAACTACTTTGTGATGTGTGTGTTCAACTCAAGGAGTTTAACCTTTCTTTTGATGGAGCAGTTTGGAAACACTCTGTCTGTAAAGTCTGCAAGCAGATATTTGGACCTCTTTGAGGCCTTCGTTGGAAACGGGATTTCTTCATATAATGTTTGATAGGAGAAGTCTCAGTAACTTCTTTGTGCTGTGTGTATTCAACTCATATAGTTGAACTTTCCTTTAGAAGAGCAGATGTTAAACACCCTTTTTGTGGAATTTGCAGCTGGAGATTTCAAGCGCTTTGAGGCCTACGGTAGAAAAGGAAACATCTTCTTATAAAATCTAGACAGAATCATTCACAGAAACTTCTTTTTGATGTGTGTGTTCAGCTCACCGAGTTTAACCTTTCTTTTGATGGAGCAGTTTGGAAACACTCTGTTTGTAATGTCTGCAAGTGGATATTTGGACCTCTTTGAGGACTTCGTTGGAAACGGGATTTCTTCATGTAATGTACGACAGAAGAATTCTCAGTAACTTATTTGTGGTGTGTGTATTCAACTCACAGAGTTGAACCTTCCTTTAGACAGAGCAGATTTGAAACACCCTATTTGTGCAGTTTCCAGTTGGAGATTTCAATCGCTTTGAGACCAAATGTAGAAAAGGAAACATCTTCGTATAAAAACTAGACAGAATCATTCTCAGAAACTACTTTGTGATGTGTGCGTTCAACTCAAGGAGTTTAAGCTTTCTTTTCATAGAGTACTTTGGAAACACTCTGTCTGTAAAGTCTGCAAGCAGATATTTGGACCTCTTTGGGACCTTCGTTGGAAACGGGATTTCTTCATAGAACGCTAGAAAGAAGAATACTGAGTAAGTTCTTTGTGTTGCCTCTATTCAACTCACAGAGGTGAACTGTCCTTTAGACAGAGCAGATGTGAAACCCTCTTTTTGTGATATTTGCAGGTGGAGATTTCAAGCGCTTTTAGGCCAAATGTAGAAAAGGAAATATCTTCGTATAAAAACTAGACAGAATCATTCTCAGAAACTACTTTGTGATGTGTGCATTCAATTCACAGAGTATAACCTTTCTTTTGATGGAGGAGTTTGGAGACACTGTCTTTGTAAAGTCTGCAAGTGGATATTTGGACCTCTTTGAGGCCTTCGTTGGAAACGGGATTTCCTCATATAATGTTACACAGAAGAATTCTCAGTAACTTATTTGTGGTGTGTGTATTCAACTCACAGAGTTGAACCTTCCTTCAGAAAGAGCAGATTTGAAACACTCTTTTTGTGGAGTTTCCATGTGGAGATTTCAATCGCTTTCAGACCAAAGGTAGAAAAGGAAACATCTTCGTATAAAAACTAGACAGAATCATTCACAGAAACTACTTTGTGATGTGTGTGTTCAACTCAAGGAGTTTAACCTTTCTTTTGATGGAGCAGTTTGGAAACACTCTGTCTGTAAAGTCTGCAAGCAGATATTTAGACCTCTTTGAGGCCTTCATTGGAAACGGGATTTCTTCATATAATGTTTGATAGGAGAAGTCTCAGTAACTTCTTTGTGCTGTGTGTATTCAACTCATAGAGTTGAACTTTCCTTTAGAAGAGCAGATGTTAAACACCCTTTTTGTGGAATTTGCAGCTGGAGATTTCAAGCGCTTTGAGGCCTATGGTAGAAAAGGAAACATCTTCTTATAAAATCTAGACAGAATCATTCACAGAAACTTCTTTTCGATGTGTGTGTTCAGCTCACAGAGTTTAACCTTTCTTTTGATGGATCAGTTAGGAAACACTCTGTTTGTAATGTCTGCAAGTGGATATTTGGACCTCTTTGAGGCCTTCGTTGGAAACGGGATTTCTTCAAGTAATGTTCGACAGAAGAATTCTCAGTAACTTATTTGTGGTGTGTGTATTCAACTCAAAGAGTTGAACCTTCCTTTAGACAGAGCAGATTTGAAACACCCTATTTGTGCAGTTTCCAGTTGGAGATTTCAATCGCTTTGAGACCAAATGTAGAAAAGGAAACATCTTCGTATAAAAACTAGACAGAATCATTCTCAGAAACTACTTTGTGATGTGTGCGTTCAACTCAAGGAGTTTAAGCTTTCTTTTCATAGAGTAGTTTGGAAACACTCTGTCTGTAAAGTCTGCAAGCAGATATTTGGACCTCTTTGAGGCCTTCGTTGGAAACGGGATTTCTTCATAGAACGGTAGAAAGAAGAATATTGAGTAAGTTCTATGTGTTGCCTCTATTCAACTCACAGAGGTGAACTGTCCTTTAGACAGAGCAGATGTGAAACCCTCTTTTTGTGATATTTCCACGTGGAGATTTCAAGCGCTTTTAGGCCAAATGTAGAAAAGGAAATATCTTCGTATAAAAACTAGACAGAATCATTCTCAGAAACTACTTTGTGATGTGTGCGTTCAATTCACAGAGTATAACCTTTCTTTTGATGGAGGAGTTTGGAGACACTGTCTTTGTAAAGTCTGCAAGTGGATATTTGGACCTCTTTGAGGCCTTCGTTGGAAACGGGATTTCCTCATATAATGTTACCCAGAAGAATTCTCAGTAACTTATTTGTGGTGTGTGTATTCAACTCACAGAGTTGAACCTTCCTTCAGAAAGAGCAGATTTGAAACACTCTTTTTGTGGAGTTTCCATGTGGAGATTTCAATCGCTTTGAGACCAAAGGTAGAAAAGGAAACATCTTCGTATAAAAACTAGACAGAATCATTCACAGAAACTACTTTGTGATGTGTGTGTTCAACTCAAGGAGTTTAACCTTTCTTTTGATGGAGCAGTTTGGAAACACTCTGTCTGTAAAGTCTGCAAGCAGACATTTGGACCTCTTTGAGGCCTTCGTTGGAAACGGGATTTCTTCATATAATGTTTGATAGGAGAAGTCTCAGTAACTTCTTTGTGCTGTGTGTATTCAACTCATAGAGTTGAACTTTCCTTTAGAAGAGCAGATGTTAAACACCCTTTTTGTGGAATTTGCAGCTGGAGATTTCAAGCGCTTTGAGGCCTACGGTAGAAAAGGAAACATCTTCTTATAAAATCTAGACAGAATCATTCACAGAAACTTCTTTTTGATGTGTGTGTTCAGCTCACAGAGTTTAACCTTTCTTTTGATGGAGCAGTTGGGAAACACACTGTTTGTAATGTCCGCAAGTGGATATTTGGACCTCTTTGAGGCCTTCATTGGAAACGGGATTTCTTCCTGTAATGTTCGACAGAAGAATTCTCAGTAACTTATTTGTGGTGTGTGTATTCAACTCACAGAGCTGAACCTTCCTTTAGACAGAGCAGATTTGAAACAGCCTATTTGTGCAGTTTCCAGTTGGAGATTTCAATCGCTTTCAGACCAAATGTAGAAAAGGAAACATCTTCGTATAAAAACTAGACAGAATCATTCTCAGAAACTACTTTGTGATGTGTGCGTTCAACTCAAGGAGTTTAAGCTTTCTTTTCATCGAGTAGTTTGGAAACACTCTGTCTGTAAAGTCTGCAAGCAGATATTTGACCTCTTTGAGGCCTTCGTTGGAAACGGGATTTCTTCATAGAATGCTAGAAAGAAGAATACTGAGTAAGTTCTTTGTGTTGCCTCTATTCAACTCACAGAGGTGAACTGTCCTTTAGACAGAGCAGATGTGAAACCCTCTTTTTGTGATATTTGCAGGTGGAGATTTCAAGCGCTTTTAGGCCAAATGTAGAAAAGGAAATATCTTCGTATAAAAACTAGACAGAATCATTCTCAGAAACTACTTTGTGATGTGTGCGTTCAATTCACAGAGTATAACCTTTCTTTTGATGGAGGAGTTTCGAGACACTGTCTTTGTAAAGTCTGCAAGTGGATATTTGGACCTCTTTGAGGCCTTCGATGGAAACGGGATTTCCTCGATATAATGTTACACAGAAGAATTCTCAGTAACTTATTTGTGGTGTGTGTATTCAACTCACAGAGTTGAACCTTCCTTCAGAAAGAGCAGATTTGAAACACTCTTTTTTGTGGAGTTTCCATGTGGAGATTTCAATCGCTTTGAGACCAAAGGTAGAAAAGGAAACATCTTCGTATAAAAACTAGACAGAATCATTCACAGAAACTAATTTGTGATGTGTGTGTTCAACTCAAGGAGGTTAACCTTTCTTTTGATGGAGCAGTTTGGAAACACTCTGTCTGTAAAGTCTGCAAGCAGATATTTGGACCTCTTTGAGGCCTTCGTTGGAAACGGGATTTCTTCATATAATGTTTGATAGGAGAAGTCTCAGTAACTTCTTTGTGCTGTGTGTATTCAACTCATTGAGTTGAACTTTCCTTTAGAAGAGCAGATGTTAAACACCCTTTTTGTGGAATTTGCAGCTGGAGATTTCAAGCGCTTTGAGGCCTACGGTAGAAAAGGAAACATCTTCTTATAAAATCTAGACAGAATCATTCACAGAAACTTCTTTTTGATGTGTGTGTTCAGCTCACAGAGTTTAACCTTTCTTTTGATGGAGCAGTTTGGAAACACTCTGTTTGTAATGTCTGCAAGTGGATAGTTGGACCTCTTTGAGGCCTTCGTTGGAAACGGAATTTCTTCATGTAATGTTCGACAGAAGAATTCTCAGTAACTTATTTGTGGTGTGTGTATTCAACTCACAGAGTTGAACCTTCCTTTAGACAGAGCAGATTTGAAACACCCTATTTGTGCAGTTTCCAGTTGGAGATTTCAATCGCTTTGAGACCAAATGTAGAAAAGGAAACATCTTCGTATAAAAACTAGACAGAATCATTCTCAGAAACTACTTTGTGATATGCGCGTTCAATTCAAGGAGTTTAAGCTTTCTTTTCATAGAGTAGTTTGGAAACACTCTGTCTGTAAAGTCTGCAAGCAGATATTTGGACCTCTTTGAGGCCTTCGTTGGAAACGGGATTTCTTCATAGAACGCTAGAAAGAAGAATACTGAGTAAGTTCTTTGTGTTGCCTCTATTCAACTCACAGAGGTGAACTGTCCTTTAGACAGAGGAGATGTGAAACCCTCTTTTTGGGATATTTGCAGGTGGAGATTTCAAGCGCTTTTAGGCCAAATGTAGAAAAGGAAATATCTTCGTATAAAAACTAGACAGAATCATTCTCAGAAACTACTTTGTGATGTGTGCGTTCAATTCACAGAGTATAACCTTTCTTTTGATGGAGGAGTTTGGAGACACTGTCTTTGTAAAGTCTGCAAGTGGATATTTGGACCTCTTTGAGGCCTTCGTTGGAAACGGGATTTCCTCATATAATGTTACACAGAAGAATTCTCAGTAACTTATTTGTGGTGTGTGTATTCAACTCACAGAGTTGAACCTTCCTTCAGAAAGAGCAGATTTGAAACACTCTTTTTGTGGAGTTTCCATGTGGAGATTTCAATCGCTTTGAGACCAAAGGTAGAAAAGGAAACATCTTCGTATAAAAACTAGACAGAATCATTCACAGAAACTACTTTGTGATGTGTGTGTTCAACTCAAGGAGTTTAACCTTTCTTTTGATGGAGCAGTTTGGAAAAACTCTGTCTGTAAAGTCTGCAAGCAGATATTTGGACCTCTTTGAGGCCTTCGTTGGAAACGGGATTTCTTCATATAATGTTTGATAGGAGAAGTCTCAGTAACTTCTTTGTGCTGTGTGTATTCAACTCATAGAGTTGAACTTTCCTTTAGAAGAGCAGATGTTAAACACCCTTTTTGTGGAATTTGCAGCTGGAG
Source organism: Homo sapiens (assembly GCF_000001405.40). NCBI lineage: Eukaryota > Metazoa > Chordata > Mammalia > Primates > Hominidae > Homo > Homo sapiens. The sequence continues at coordinate 35,746,719 of NC_000012.12, forward strand.
ATTTCAAGCGCTTTGAGGCCTACGGTAGAAAAGGAAACATCTTCTTATAAAATCTAGACAGAATCATTCACAGAAACTTCTTTTCGATGTGTGTGTTCAGCTCACAGAGTTTAACCTTTCTTTTGATGGAGCAGTTTGGAAACACTCTGTTTGTAATGTCTGCAAGTGGATATTTGGACCTCTTTGAGGCCTTCGTTGGAAACGGGATTTCTTCAAGTAATGGTCGACAGAAGAATTCTCAGTAACTTATTTGTAGTTTGTGTATTCAACTCACAGAATTGAACCTTCCTTTAGACAGAGCAGATTTGAAACACCCTATTTGTGCAGTTTCCAGTTGGAGATTTCAATCGCTTTGAGACCAAATGTAGAAAAGGAAACATCTTCGTATAAAAACTAGACAGAATCATTCTCAGAAACTACTTTGTGATGTGTGCGTTCAACTCAAGGAGTTTAAGCTTTCTTTTCATAGAGTAGTTTGGAAACACTCTGTCTGTAAAGTCTGCAAGCAGATATTTGGACCTCTTTGGGGCCTTCGTTGGAAACGGGATTTCTTCATAGAACGCTAGAAAGAAGAATACTGAGTAAGTTCTTTGTGTTGCCTCTATTCAACTCACAGAGGTGAACTGTCCTTTAGACAGAGCAGATGTGAAACCCTCTTTTTGGGATATTTGCAGGTGGAGATTTCAAGCGCTTTTAGGCCAAATGTAGAAAAGGAAATATCTTCGTATAAAAACTAGACAGAATCATTCTCAGAAACTACTTTGTGATGTGTGCGTTCAATTCACAGAGTATAACTTTTCTTTTGATGGAGGAGTTTGGAGACACTGTCTTTGTAAAGTCTGCAAGTGGATATTTGGACCTCTTTGAGGCCTTCGTTGGAAACGGGATTTCCTCGTATAATGTTACACAGAAGAATTCTCAGTAACTTATTTGTGTTGTGTGTATTCAACTCACAGAGTTGAACCTTCCTTCAGAAAGAGCAGATTTGAATCACTCTTTTTGTGGAGTTTCCATGTGGAGATTTCAATCGCTTTGAGACCAAAGGTAGAAAAGGAAACATACTTCGTATAAAAACTGGACAGAATCATTCACAGAAACTACTTTGTGATGTGTGTGTTCAACTCAAGGAGTTTAACCTTTCTTTTGATGGAGCAGTTTGGAAACACTCTGTCTGTAAAGTCTGCAAGCAGATATTTGGACCTCTTTGAGGCCTTCGTTGGAAACGGGATTTCTTCATATAATGTTTGATAGGAGAAGTCTCAGTAACTTCTTTGTGCTGTGTGTATTCAACTCATAGAGTTGAACTTTCCTTTAGAAGAGCAGATGTTAAACACCCTTTTTGTGGAATTTGCAGCTGGAGATTTCAAGCGCTTTGAGGCCTACGGTAGAAAAGGAAACATCTTCTTATAAAATCTAGACAGAATCATTCACAGAAACTTCTTTTTGATGTGTGTGTTCAGCTCACAGAGTTTAACCTTTCTTTTGATGGAGCAGTTTGGAAACACTCTGTTTGTAACGTCTGCAAGTGGATATTTGGACCTCTTTGAGGCCTTCGTTGGAAACGGGATTTCTTCAAGTAATGTTCGACAGAAGAATTCTCAGTAACTTATTTGTGGTGTGTGTATTCAACTCACAGAGTTGAACCTTCCTTTAGACAGAGCAGATTTAAAACAGCCTATTTGTGCAGTTTCCAGTTGGAGATTTCAAGAGCTTTGAGACCAAATGTAGAAAAGGAAACATCTTCGTATAAAAACTAGACAGAATCATTCTCAGAAACTACTTTGTGATGTGTGCGTTCAACTCAAGGAGTTTAAGCTTTCTTTTCATAGAGTAGTTTGGAAACACTCTGTCTGTAAAGTCTGCAAGCAGATATTTGACCTCTTTGAGGCCTTCGTTGGAAACGGGATTTCTTCATAGAACGCTAGAAAGAAGAATACTGAGTAAGTTCTTTGTGTTGCCTCTATTCAACTCACAGAGGTGAACTCTCCTTTAGATAGAGCAGATGTGAAACCCTCTTTTTGTGATATTTGCAGGTGGAGATTTCAAGCGCTTTTAGGCCAAATGTAGAAAAGGAAATATCTTCGTATAAAAACTAGACAGAATCATTCTCAGAAACTACTTTGTGATGTGTGCGTTCAATTCACAGAGTATAACCTTTCTTTTGATGGAGGAGTTTGGAGACACTGTCTTTGTAAAGTCTGCAAGTGGATATTTGGACCTCTTTGAGGCCTTCGTTGGAAACGGGATTTCCTCATATAATGTTACACAGAAGAATTCTCAGTAACTTATTTGTGGTGTGTGTATTCAACTCACAGAGATGAACCTTCCTTCAGAAAGAGCAGATTTGAAACACTCTTTTTGTGGAGTTTCCATGTGGAGATTTCAATCGCTTTGAGACCAAAGGTAGAAAAGGAAACATCTTCGTATAAAAACTAGACAGAAACATTCACAGAAACTACTTTGTGATGTGTGTGTTCAACTCAAGGAGTTTAACCTTTCTTTTGATGGAGCAGTTTGGAGACACTCTGTCTGTAAAGTCTGCAAGCAGATATTTGGACCTCTTTGAGGCCTTCGTTGGAAACGGGATTTCTTCATATAATGTTTGATAGGAGAAGTCTCAGCAACTTCTTTGTGCTGTGTGTATTCAACTCATAGAGTTGAACTTTCCTTTAGAAGAGCAGATGTTAAACACCCTTTTTGTGGAATTTGCAGCTGGAGATTTCAAGCGCTTTGAGGCCTACGGTAGAAAAGGAAACATCTTCTTATAAAATCTAGACAGAATCATTCACAGAAACTTCTTTTCGATGTGTGTGTTCAGCTCACAGAGTTTAACCTTTCTTTTGATGGAGCAGTTTGGAAACACTCTGTTTGTAATGTCTGCAAGTGGATATTTGGACCTCTTTGAGGCCTTCGTTGGAAACGGGATTTCTTCAAGTAATGTTTGACAGAAGAATTCTCAGTAACTTATTTGTGGTGTGTGTATTCAACTCACAGAGTTGAACCTTCCTTTAGACAGAGCAGATTTGAAACACCCTATTTGTGCAGTTTCCAGTTGGAGATTTCAATCGCTTTGAGACCAAATGTAGAAAAGGAAACATCTTCGTATAAAAACTAGACAGAATCATTCTCCGAAACTACTTTGTGATGTGTGCGTTCAACTCAAGGAGTTTAAGCTTTCTTTTCATAGAGTAGTTTGGAAACACTCTGTCTGTAAACTCTGCAAGCAGATATTTGGACCTCTTTGGGGCCTTCGTTGGAAACGGGATTTCTTCATAGAACGCTAGAAAGAAGAATACTGAGTAAGTTCTTTGTGTTGCCTCTATTCAACTCACAGAGGTGAACTGTCCTTTAGACAGAGCAGATGTGAAACCCTCTTTTTGTGATATTTGCAGGTGGAGATTTCAAGCGCTTTTAGGCCAAATGTAGAAAAGGAAATATCTTCCTATAAAAACTAGACAGAATCATTCTCAGAAACTACTTTGTGATGTGTGCGTTCAATTCACAGAGTATAACCTTTCTTTTGATGGAGGAGTTTGGAGACACTGTCTTTGTAAAGTCTGCAAGTGGATATTTGGACCTCTTTGAGGCCTTCGTTGGAAACGGGATTTCCTCATATAATGTTACCCAGAAGAATTCTCAGTAACTTATTTGTGGTGTGTGTATTCAACTCACAGATTTGAACCTTCCTTCAGAAAGAGCAGATTTGAAACACTCTTTTTGTGGAGTTTCCATGTGGAGATTTCAATCACTTTGAGACCAAAGGTAGAAAAGGAAACATCTTCGTATAAAAACTAGACAGAATCATTCACAGAAACTACTTTGTGATGTGTGTGTTCAGCTCACAGAGTTTAACCTTTCTTTTGATGGTGCAGTTTGGAAACACTCTGTTTGACAAGTCTGCAAGTGGATATTTGGACCTCTTTGAGGCCTTCGTTGGAAAAGGGATTTATTCATATAATGTTAGACAGAAGAAGTCTCAGTAACTTCTTTGTGCTGTGTGTATTCAACTCATAGAGTTGAACTTTCCTTTAGAAGAGCAGATGTTAAACACCCTTTTTGTGGAATTTGCAGCTGGAGATTTCAAGCGCTTTGAGGCCTACAGTAGAAAAGGAAACATCTTCTTATAAAATCTAGACAGAATCATTCACAGAAACTTCTTTTTGATGTGTGTGTTCAGCTCACAGAGTTTAACCTTTCTTTTGATGGAGCAGTTTGGAAACACTCTGTTTGTAATGTCTGCAAGAGGATATTTGGACCTCTTTGAGGCCTTAGTTGGAAACGGGATTTCTTCAAGTAATTTTCGACAGAAGAATTCTCAGTAACTTATTTGTGGTGTGTGTATTCAACTCACAGAGTTGAACCTTCCTTTAGACAGAGCAGATTTGAAACACCCTATTTGTGCAGTTTCCAGTTGGAGATTTCAATCGCTTTGAGACCAAATGTAGAAAAGGAAACATCTTCGTATAAAAACTAGACAGAATCATTCTCAGAAACTACTTTGTGATGTGTGCGTTCAACTCAAGGAGTTTAAGCTTTCTTTTCATAGAGTAGTTTGGAAACACTCTGTCTGTAAAGTCTGCAAGCAGATATTTGGACCTCTTTGAGGCCTTCGTTGTAAACGGGATTTCTTCATAGAACGCTAGAAAGAAGAATACTGAGTAAGTTCTTTGTGTTGCCTCTATTCAACTCACAGGGGTGAACTCTCCTTTAGATAGAGCAGATGTGAAACCCTCTTTTTGTGATATTTGCAGGTGGAGATTTCAAGCGCTTTTAGGCCAAATGTAGAAAAGGAAATATCTTCGTATAAAAACTAGACAGAATCATTCTCAGAAACTACTTTGTGATGTGTGCGTTCAATTCACAGAGTATAACCTTTCTTTTGACGGAGGAGTTTGGAGACACTGTCTTTGTAAAGTCTGCAAGCAGATATTTGGACCTTCTTTGGGGCCTTCGTTGGAAACGGGATTTCTTCATAGAATGCTAGAAAGAAGAATTCTCAGTAACTTATTAGTGGTGTGTGTATTCAACTCACAGAGTTGAACCTTCCTTCAGAAAGAGCAGATTTGAAACACTCTTTTTGTGGAGTTTCCATGTGGAGATTTCAATCGCTTTGAGACCAAAGGTAGAAAAGGATACATCTTCGTATAAAAACTAGACAGAATCATTCACAGAAACTACTTTGTGATGTGTGTGTTCAACTCAAGGAGTTTAACCTTTCTTTTGATGGAGCAGTTTGGAAAAACTCTGTCTGTAAAGTCTGCAAGCAGATATTTGGACCTCTTTGAGGCCTTCGTTGGAAACGGGATTTCTTCATATAATGTTTGATAGGAGAAGTCTCAGTAACTTCTTTGTGCTGTGTGTATTCAACTCATAGAGTTGAACTTTCCTTTAGAAGAGCAGATGTTAAACACCCTTTTTGTGGAATTTGCAGCTGGAGATTTCAAGCGCTTTGAGGCCTACGGTAGAAAAGGAAACATCTTCTTATAAAATCTAGACAGAATCATTCACAGAAACTTCTTTTTGATGTGTGTGTTCAGCTCACAGAGTTTAACCTTTCTTTTGATGGAGCAGTTTGGAAACACTCTGTTTGTAATGTCTGCAAGTGGATATTTGGACCTCTTTGAGGCCTTCGTTGGAAACGGGATTTCTTCAAGTAATGTTCGACAGAAGAATTCTCAGTAACTTATTTGTGGTGTGTGTATTCAACTCACAGAGTTGAACCTTCTTTTAGACAGAGCAGATTTGAGACACCCTATTTGTGCAGTTTCCAGTTGGAGATTTCAATCGCTTTGAGACCAAATGTAGAAAAGGAAACATCTTCGTATAAAAACTAGACAGAATCATTCTCAGAAACTACTTTGTGATGTTTGCGTTCAATTCACAGAGTATAACATTTCTTTTGATGGAGGAGTTTGGAGACACTGTCTTTGTAAATCTGCAAGCAGATATTTGGACCTCTTTGAGGCCATCGTTGGAAACGGGATTTCTTCATATAATGTTTGATAGGAGAAGTCTCAGTAACTTCTTTGTGCTGTGTGTATTCAACTCATAGAGTTGAACTTTCCTTTAGAAGAGCAGATGTTAAACACCCTTTTTGTGGAATTTGCAGCTGGAGATTTCAAGCGCTTTGAGGCCTACGGTAGAAAAGGAAACATCTTCTTATAAAATCTAGACAGAATCATTCACAGAAACTTCTTTTTGATGTGTGTGTTCAGCTCACAGAGTTTAACCTTTCTTTTGATGGAGCAGTTTGGAAACACTCTGTTTGTAATGTCTGCAAGTGGATATTTGGACCTCTTTGAGGCCTTCGTTGGAAACGGGATTTCTTCAAGTAATGTTCGACAGAAGAATTCTCAGTAACTTATTTGTGGTGTGTGTATTCAACTCACAGAGTTGAACCTTCCTTTAGACAGAGCAGATTTGAAACACCCTATTTGTGCAGTTTCCAGTTGGAGATTTCAATCGCTTTGAGACCAAATGTAGAAAAGGAAACATCTTCGTATAAAAACTAGACAGAATCATTCTCAGAAACTACTTTGTGATGTGTGCGTTCAACTCAAGGAGTTTAAGCTTTCTTTTCATAGAGTAGTTTGGAAACACTCTGTCTGTAAAGTCTGCAAGCAGATATTTGGACCTCTTTGGGGCCTTCGTTGGAAATGGGATTTCTTCATAGAACGCTAGAAAGAAGAATACTGAATAAGTTCTTTGTGTTGCCTCTATTCAACTCACAGAGGTGAACTGTCCTTTAGACAGAGCAGATGTGAAACCCTCTTTTTGTGATATTTGCAGGTGGAGATTTCAAGCGCTTTTAGGCCAAATGTAGAAAAGGAAATATCTTCGTATAAAAACTAGACAGAATCATTCTCAGAAACTACTTTGTGATGTGTGCGTTCAATTCACAGAGTATAACCTTTCTTTTGATGGAGGAGTTTGGAGACACTGTCTTTGTAAAGTCTGCAAGTGGATATTTGGACCTCTTTGAGGCCTTCGTTGGAAACGGGATTTCCTCATATAATGTTACACAGAAGAATTCTCAGTAACTTATTTGTGGTGTGTGTATTCAACTCACAGAGTTGAACCTTCCTTCAGAAAGAGCAGATTTGAAACACTCTTTTTGTGGAGTTTCCATGTGGAGATTTCAATCGCTTTGAGACCAAAGGTAGAAAAGGAAACATCTTCGTATAAAAACTAGACAGAATCATTCACAGAAACTACTTTGTGATGTGTGTGTTCAACTCAAGGAGTTTAACCTTTCTTTTGATGGAGCAGTTTGGAAATACTCTGTCTGTAAAGTCTGCAAGCAGATATTTGGACCTCTTTGAGGCCTTCGTTGGAAACGGGATTTCTTCATATAATGTTTGATAGGAGAAGTCTCAGTAACTTCTTTGTGCTGTGTGTATTCAACGCATAGAGTTGAACTTTCCTTTAGAAGAGCAGATGTTAAACACCCTTTTTGTGGAATTTGCAGCTGGAGATTTCAAGCGCTTTGTGGCCTACCGTAGAAAAGGAAATATCTTCTTATAAAATCTAGACAGAATCATTCACAGAAACTTCTTTTTGATGTGTGTGTTCAGCTCACAGAGTTTAACCTTTCTTTTGATGGAGCAGTTTGGAAACACTCTGTTTGTAATGTCTGCAAGTGGATATTTGGACCTCCTTTGAGGCCTTCGTTGGAAACGGGATTTCTTCAAGTAATGTTCGACAGAAGAATTCTCAGTAACTTATTTGTGGTGTGTGTATTCAACTCACAGAGTTGAACCTTCCTTTAGACAGAGCAGATTTGAAACACCCTATTTGTGCAGTTTCCAGTTGGAGATTTCAATCGCTTTGAGACCAAATGTAGAAAAGGAAACATCTTCGTATAAAAACTAGACAGAATCATTCACAGAAACTAATTTGTGATGTGTGTGTTCAACTCAAGGAGTTTAACCTTTCTTTTGATGGAGCAGTTTAAAAACACTCTGTCTGTAAAGTCGGCAAGCAGATATTTGGACCTCTTTGAGGCCTTCGTTGGAAACGGTATTTCTTCATATAATGTTTGATAGGAGAAGTCTCAGTAACTTCTTTGTGCTGTGTCTATTCAACTCATAGAGTTGAACTTTCCTTTAGAAGAGCAGATGTTAAACACCCTTTTTGTGGAATTTGCAGCTGGAGATTTCAAGCGCTTTGAGGCCTACGGTAGAAAAGGAAACATCTTCTTATAAAATCTAGACAGAATCATTCACAGAAACTTCATTTGATGTGTGTGTTCAGCTCACAGAGTTTAACATTTCTTTTGATGGAGCAGTTTGGAAACACACTGTTTGTAATGTCTGCAAGTGGATATTTGGACCTCTTTGAGGCCTTCGTTGGAAACGGGATTTCTTCCTGTAATGTTCGACAGAAGAATTCTCAGTAACTTATTTGTGGTGTGTGTATTCAACTCACAGAGTTGAACCTTCCTTTAGACAGAGCAGATTTGAAACACCCTATTTGTGCAGTTTCCAGTTGGAGATTTCAATCGCTTTGAGACCAAATGTAGAAAAGGAAACATCTTCGTATAAAAACTAGACAGAATCATTCTCAGAAACTACTTTGTGATGTGTGCGTTCAACTCAAGGAGTTTACGCTTTCTTTTCATAGAGTAGTTTGGAAACACTCTGTCTGTAAAGTCTGCAAGCAGATCTTTGACCTCTTTGAGGCCTTCGTTGGAAACGGGATTTCTTCATAGAACGCTAGAAAGAAGAATACTGAGTAAGTTCTTTGTGTTGCCTCTATTCAACTCACAGAGGTGAACTGTCCTTTAGACAGAGCAGATGTGAAACCCTCTTTTTGTGATATTTGCAGGTGGAGATTTCAAGCGCTTTTAGGCCAAATGTAGAAAAGGAAATATCTTCGTATAAAAACTAGACAGAATCATTCTCAGAAACTACTTTGTGATGTGTGCGTTCAATTCACAGAGTATAACCTTTCTTTTGATGGAGGAGTTTGGAGACACTGTCTTTGTAAAGTCTGCAAGTGGATATTTGGACCTCTTTGAGGCCTTCGTTGGAAACGGGATTTCCTCATATAATGTTACACAGAAGAATTCTCAGTAACTTATTTGTGGTGTGTGTATTCAACTCACAGAGTTGAACCTTCCTTCAGAAAGAGCAGATTTGAAACACTCTTTTTGTGGAGTTTCCATGTGGAGATTTCAATCGCTTTGAGACCAAAGGTAGAAAAGGAAACATCTTCGTATAAAAACTAGACAGAATCATTCACAGAAACTACTTTGTGATGTGTGTGTTCAACTCAAGGAGGTTAACCTTTCTTTTGATGGAGCAGTTTGGAAACACTCTGTCTGTAAAGTCTGCAAGCAGATATTTGGACCTCTTTGAGGCCTTCGTTGGAAACGGGATTTCTTCATATAATGTTTGATAGGAGAAGTCTCAGTAACTTCTTTGTGCTGTGTGTATTCAACTCATAGAGTTGAACTTTCCTTTAGAAGAGCAGATGTTAAACACCCTTTTTGTGGAATTTGCAGCTGGAGATTTCAAGCGCTTTGAGGCCTACGGTAGAAAAGGAAACATCTTCTTATAAAATCTAGACAGAATCATTCACAGAAACTTCTTTTTGATGTGTGTGTTCAGCTCACAGAATTTAACCTTTCTTTTGATGGAGCAGTTTGGAAACACACTGTTTGTAATGTCTGCAAGTGGATATTTGGACCTCTTTGAGGCCTTCGTTGGAAACGGGATTTCTTCCTGTAATGTTCGACAGAAGAATTCTCAGTAACTTATTTGTGGTGTGTGTATTCAACTCACAGAGTTGAACCTTCCTTTAGACAGAGCAGATTTGAAACACCCTATTTGTGCAGTTTCCAGTTGGAGATTTCAATCGCTTTGAGACAAATGTAGAAAAGGAAATATCTTCGTATAAAAACTAGACAGAATCATTCTCAGAAACTACTTTGTGATGTGTGCGTTCAACTCAAGGAGTTTAAGCTTTCTTTTCATAGAGTAGTTTGGAAACACTCTGTCTGTAAAGTCTGCAAGCAGATATTTGGACCTCTTTGAGGCCTTCGTTGGAAACGGGATTTCTTCATAGAACGCTAGAAAGAAGAATAGTGAGTAAGTTCTTGGTGTTGCCTCTATTCAACTCACAGAGGTGAACTGTCCTTTAGACAGAGCAGATGTGAAACCCTCTTTTTGTGATATTTGCAGGTGGAGATTTCAAGCGCTATTAGGCCAAATGTAGAAAAGGAAATAACTTCGTATAAAAACTAGACAGAATCATTCTCAGAAACTACTTTGTGATGTGTGCGTTCAATTCACAGAGTATAACCTTTCTTTTGATGGAGGAGTTTGGAGACACTGTCTTTGTAAAGTCTGCAAGTGGATATTTGGACCTCTTTGAGGCCTTCGTTGGAAACGGGATTTCCTCATATAATGTTACACAGAAGAATTCTCAGTAACTTATTTGTGGTGTGTGTATTCAACTCACAGAGTTGAACCTTCCTTCAGAAAGAGCAGATTTGAAACACTCTTTTTGTGGAGTTTCCATGTGGAGATTTCAATCGCTTTGAGACCAAAGGTAGAAAAGGAAACATCTTCGTATAAAAACTAGACAGAATCATTCACAGAAACTACTTTGTGATGTGTGTGTTCAACCTCACAGAGTTTAACCTTTCTTTTGATGGAGCAGTTTGGAAACACTCTGTTTGTCACGTCTGCAAGTGGATATTTGGACCTCTTTGAGGCCTTCGTTGGAAACGGGATTTCTTCATATAATGTTTGATAGGAGAAGTCTCAGTAACTTCTTTGTGCTGTGTGTATTCAACTCATAGAGTTGAACTTTCCTTTAGAAGAGCAGATGTTAAACACCCTTTTTGTGGAATTTGCAGCTGGAGATTTCAAGCGCTTTGAGGCCTACGGTAGAAAAGGAAACATCTTCTTATAAAATCTAGACAGAAATCATTCACAGAAACTTCTTTTTGATGTGTGTGTTCAGCTCACAGAGTTTAACCTTTCTTTTGATGGAGCAGTTTGGAAACACTCTGTAATGTCTGCAAGTGGATATTTGGACCTCTTTGAGGCCTTCGTTGGAAAAGGGATTTCTTCATGCAGTGTTCGACAGAAGAATTCTCAGTAACTTATTTGTGGTGTGTGTATTCAACTCACAGAGTTGACCCTTCCTTTAGACAGAGCAGATTTGAAACTCCCTATTTGTGCAGTTTCCAGTTGGAGATTTCAATCGTTTTGAGACCAAATGTAGAAAAGGAAACATCTTCGTATAAAAACTAGACAGAATCATTCTCAGAAACTACTTTGTGATGTGTGCGTTCAACTCAAGGAGTTTAAGCTTTCTTTTCATAGAGTAGTTTGGAAACAGTCTATCTGTAAAGTCTGCAAGCAGATATTTGGACCTCATTGGGGTCTTCGTTGGAAACCGGATTTATTCATAGAACGCTAGAAAGAAGAATACTGAGTAAGTTCTTTGTGTTGCCTCTATTCAACTCACAGAGGTGAACTGTCCTTTAGACAGAGCAGATGTGAAACCCTCTTTTTGTGATATTTGCAGGTGGAGATTTCAAGCGCTTTTAGGCCAAATGAAGAAAAGGAAACATCTTCGTATAAAAACTAGACAGAATCATTCTCAGAAACTACTTTGTGATGTGTGCGTTCAATTCACAGAGTATAACCTTTCTTTTGATGGAGGAGTTTGGAGACACTGTCTTTGTAAAGTCTGCAAGTGGATATTTGGACCTCTTTGAGGCCTTCGTTGGAAACGGGATTTCCTCATATAATGTTACACAGAAGAATTCTCAGTAACTTATTTGTGGTGTGTGTATTCAACTCACAGAGTTGAACCTTCCTTCAGAAAGAGCAGATTTGAAACACTCTTTTTGTGGAGTTTCCATGTGGAGATTTCAATCGCATTGAGACCAAAGGTAGAAAAGGAAACATCTTCGTATAAAAACTAGACAGAATCATTCACAGAAACTACTTTGTGATGTGTGTGTTCAACTCAAGGAGTTTAACCTTTCTTTTGGTGGAGGAGTTTGGAAACACTCTGTCTGTAAAGTCTGCAAGCAGATATTTGGACCTCTTTGAGGCCTTCGTTGGAAACGGGATTTCTTCATATAATGTTTGATAGGAGAAGTCTCAGTAACGTCTTTGTGCTGTGTGTATTCAACTCATAGAGTTGAACTTTCCTTTAGAAGAGCAGATGTTAAGCACCCTTTTTGTGGAATTTGCAGCTGGAGATTTCAAGCGCTTTGAGGCCTACGGTAGAAAAGGAAACATCTTCTTATAAAATCTAGACAGAATCATTCACAGAAACTTCTTTTTGATGTGTGTGTTCAGCTCACAGAGTTTAACCTTTCTTTTGATGGAGCAGTCTGGAAACACTCTGTTTGTAATGTCTGCAAGTGGATATTTGGACCTCTTTGAGGCCTTCGTTGGAAACGGGATTTCTTCAAGTAATGTTCGACAGAAGAATTCTCAGTAACTTATTTGTGGTGTGTGTATTCAACTCACAGAGTTGAACCTTCCTTCAGAAAGAGCAGATTTGAAACACTCTTTTTGTGGGGTTTCCATGTGGAGATTTCAATCGCTTTGAGACCAAAGGTAGAAAAGGAAACATCTCCGTATAAAAACTAGACAGAATCATTCACAGAAACTACTTTGTGACGTGTGTGTTCAACTCAAGGAGTTTAACCTTTCTTTTGATGGAGCAGTTTGGAAAAACTTTGTCTGTAAAGTCTGCAAGCAGATATTTGGATGTCTTTGGGGTCTTCGTTGGAAAGGGGATTTCTTCATAGAACGCTAGAAAGAAGAATACTGAGTAAGTTCTTTGTGTTGCCTCTATTCAACTCACAGAGGTGAACTGTCCTTTAGACAGAGCAGATGTGAAACCCTCTTTTTGTGATATTTGCAGGTGGAGATTTCAAGCGCTTTTAGGCCAAATGTAGAAAAGGAAATATCTTCGTATAAAAACTAGACAGAATCATTCTCAGAAACTACTTTGTGATGTGTGCGTTCAATTCACAGAGTATAACCTTTCTTTTGATGGAGGAGTTTGGAGACACTGTCTTTGTAAAGTCTGCAAGTGGATATTTGGACCTCTTTGAGGCCTTCGTTGGAAACGGGATTTCCTCATATAATGTTACACAGAAGAATTCTCAGTAACTTATTTGTGGTGTGTATATTCAACTCACAGAGATGAACCTTCCTTCAGAAAGAGCAGATTTGAAACACTCTTTTTGTGGAGTTTCCATGTGGAGATTTCAATCGCATTGAGACCAAAGGTAGAAAAGGAAACATCTTCGTATAAAAACTAGACAGAATCATTCACAGAAACTACTTTGTGATGTGTGTGTTCAACTCAAGGAGTTTAACCTTTCTTTTGATGGAGCAGTTTGGAAACACTCTGTCTGTAAAGTCTGCAAGCAGATATTTGGACCTCTTTGAGGCCTTCGTTGGAAACGGGATTTCTTCATATAATGTTTGATAGGAGAAGTCTCAGTAACTTCTTTGTGCTGTGTGTATTCAACTCATAGAGTTGAACTTTCCTTTAGAAGAGCAGATGTTAAACACCCTTTTTGTGGAATTTGCAGCTGGAGATTTCAAGCGCTTTGAGGCCTACGGTAGAAAAGGAAACATCTTCTTATAAAATCTAGACAGAATCATTCACAGAAACTTCTTTTCGATGTGTGTGTTCAGCTCACAGAGTTTAACCTTTCTTTTGATGGAGCAGTTTGGAAACACTCTGTTTGTAATGTCTGCAAGTGGATATTTGGACCTCTTTGAGGCCTTCGTTGGAAACGGGATTTCATCAAGTAATGGTCGACAGAAGAATTCTCAGTAACTTATTTGTGGTGTGTGTATTCAACTCACAGAGTTGAACCTTCCTTTAGACAGAGCAGATTTGAAACACCCTATTTGTGCAGTTTCCAGTTGGAGATTTCAATCGCTTTGAGACCAAATGTAGAAAAGGAAACATCTTCGTATAAAAACTAGACAGAATCATTCTCAGAAACTACTTTGTGATGTGTGCGTTCAACTCAAGGAGTTTAAGCTTTCTTTTCATAGAGTAGTTTGGAAACACTCTGTCTGTAAAGTCTGCAAGCAGATATTTGGACCTCTTTGGGGCCTTCGTTGGAAACGGGATTTCTTCATAGAACGCTAGAAAGAAGAATACTGAGTAAGTTCTTTGTGTTGCCTCTATTCAACTCACAGAGGTGAACTGTCCTTTAGACAGAGCAGATGTGAAACCCTCTTTTTGTGATATTTGCAGGTGGAGATTTCAAGCGCTTTGAGGCCAAATGTAGAAAAGGAAATATCTTCGTATAAAAACTAGACAGAATCATTCTCAGAAACTACTTTGTGATGTGTGCGTTCAATTCACAGAGGATAACCTTTCTTTTGATGGAGGAGTTTGGAGACACTGTCTTTGTAAAGTCTGCAAGTGGATATTTGGATCTCTTTGAGGCCTTCGTTGGAAACGGGATTTCCTCATATAATGTTACACAGAAGAATTCTCAGTAACTTATTTGTGGTGTGTGTATTCAACTCACAGAGTTGAACCTTCCTTCGGAAAGAGCAGATTTGAAACACTCTTTTTGTGGAGTTTCCATGTGGAGATTTCAATCGCTTTGAGACCAAAGGTAGAAAAGGAAACATCTTCGTATAAAAACTAGACAGAATCATTCACAGAAACTACTTTGTGATGTGTGTGTTCAACTCAAGGAGTTTAACCTTTCTCTTGATGGAGCAGTTTGGAAAAACTGTGTCTGTAAAGTCTGCAAGCAGATATTTGGACCTCTTTGAGGCCTTCGTTGGAAACGGGATTTCTTCATATAATGTTTGATAGGAGAAGTCTCAGTAACTTCTTTGTGCTGTGTGTATTCAACTCATAGAGTTGAACTTTCCTTTAGAAGAGCAGATGTTAAACACCCTTTTTGTGGAATTTGCAGCTGGAGATTTCAAGCGCTTTGAGGCCTACGGTAGAAAAGGAAACATCTTATAAAATCTAGACAGAATCATTCACAGAAACTTCTTTTTGATGTGTGTGTTCAGCTCACAGAGTTTAACCTTTCTTTTGATGGAGCAGTTTGGAAACACTCTGTTTGTAATGTCTGCAAGTGGTTATTTGGACCTCCTTGAGGCCTTCGTTGGAAACGGGATTTTTTCAAGTAATGTTCGACGGGAAGAATTCTCAGTAATTTATTTGTGGTGTGTGTATTCAACTCACAGAGTTGAACCTTCCTTTAGACAGAGCAGATTTGAAACACCCTATTTGTGCAGTTTCCAGTTGGAGATTTCAATGGCTTTGAGGCCAATCATAGAAACGGAAATATCTTCGTATAAAAACTAGACAGAAATCATTCTCAGAAACTACTTTGTGATGTGTGCGTTCAACTCAAGGAGTTTAAGCTTTCTTTTCATAGAGTAGTTTGGAAACACTCTGTCTGTAAAGTCTGCAAGCAGATATTTGGACCTCTTTGGGGCCTTCGTTGGAAACGGGATTTCTTCATAGAACGCTAGAAAGAAGAATACTGAGTAAGTTCTTTGTGTTCCCTCTATTCAACTCACAGAGGTGAACTGTCCTTTAGACAGAGCAGATGTGAAACCCTCTTTTTGTGATATTTGCAGGTGGAGATTTCAAGCGCTTTTAGGCCAAATATAGAAAAGGAAATATCTTCGTATAAAAACTAGACAGAATCATTCTCAGAAACTACTTTGTGATGTGTGCGTTCAATTCACAGAGTATAACCTTTCTTTTGATGGAGGAGTTTGGAGACACTGTCTTTGTAAAGTCTGCAAGTGGATATTTGGACCTCTTTGAGGCCTTCGTTGGAAACGGGATTTCCTCATATAATGTTACACAGAAGAATTCTCAGTAACTTATTTGTGGTGTGTGTATTCAACACACAGAGATGAACCTTCCTTCAGAAAGAGCAGATTTGAAACACTCTTTTTGTGGAGTTTCCATGTGGAGATTTCAATCGCTTTGAGACCAAAGGTAGAAAAGGAAACATCTTCGTATAAAAACTAGACAGAATCATTCACAGAAACTACTTTGTGATGTGTGTGTTCAACTCAAGGAGTTTAACCTTTCTTTTGATGGAGCAGTTTGGAAACACTCTGTCTGTAAAGTCTGCAAGCAGATATTTGGACCTCTTTGAGGCCTTCGTTGGAAACGGGATTTCTTCATATAATGTTAGACAGAAGAAGTCTCAGTAACTTCTTTGTGCTGTGTGTATTCAACTCATAGAGTTGAACTTTCCTTTAGAAGAGCAGATGTTAAACACCCTTTTTGTGGAATTTGCAGCTGGAGATTTCAAGCGCTTTGAGGCCTACGGTAGAAAAGGAAACATCTTCTTATAAAATCTAGACAGAATCATTCACAGAAACTTCTTTTTGATGTGTGTGTTCAGCTCACAGAGTTTAACCTTTCTTTTGATGGAGCAGTTTGGAAACACTCTCTTTGTAATGTCTGCAAGTGGATATTTGGACGTCTTTGAGGCCTTCGTTGGAAACGGGATTTCTTCATGTAATGTTCGACAGAAGAATTCTCAGTAACTTATTTGTGGTGTGTGTATTCAACTCACAGAGTTGAACCTTCCTTTAGACAGAGCAGATTTGAAACACCCTATTTGTGCAGTTTCCAGTTGGAGATTTCAATCGCTTTGAGACCAAATGTAGAAAAGGAAACATCTTCGTATAAAAACTAGACAGAATCATTCTCCGAAACTACTTTGTGATGTGTGCGTTCAACTCAAGGAGTTTAAGCTTTCTTTTCATAGAGTAGTTTGGAAACACTCTGTCTGTAAAGTCTGCAAGCAGATATTTGGACCTCTTTGGGGCCTTCGTTGGAAACGGGATTTCTTCATAGAACGCTAGAAAGAAGAATACTGAGTAAGTTCTTTGTGTTGCCTCTATTCAACTCACAGAGGTGAACTGTCCTTTAGACAGAGCAGATGTGAAACCCTCTTTTTGTGATATTTGCAGGTGGAGATTTCAAGCGCTTTTAGGCCAAATGTAGAAAAGGAAATATCTTTGTATAAAAACTAGACAGAATCATTCTCAGAAACTACTTTGTGATGTGTGCGTTCAATTCACAGAGTATAACCTTTCTTTTGATGGAGGAGTTTGGAGACACTGTCTTTGTAAAGTCTGCAAGTGGATATTTGGACCTCTTTGAGGCCTTCGTTGGAAACGGGATTTCCTCATATAATGTTACACAGAAGAATTCTCAGTAACTTATTTGTGGTGTGTGTATTCAACTCACAGAGTTGAACCTTCCTTCACAAAGAGCAGATTTGAAACACTCTTTTTGTGGAGTTTCCATGTGGAGATTTCAATCGCTTTGAGACCAAAGGTAGAAAAGGAAACATCTTCGTATAAAAACTAGACAGAATCATTCACAGAAACTACTTTGTGATGTGTGTGTTCAACTCAAGGAGTTTAACCTTTCTTTTGATGGAGCAGTTTGGAAACACTCTGTCTGTAAAGTCTGCAAGCAGATATTTGGACCTCTTTGAGGCCTTCGTTGGAAACGGGATTTCTTCATATAATGTTTGATAGGAGAAGTCTCAGTAACTTCTTTGTGCTGTGTGTATTCAACTCATAGAGTTGAACTTTCCTTTAGAAGAGCAGATGTTAAACACCCTTTTTGTGGAATTTGCAGCTGGAGATTTCAAGCGCTTTGAGGCCTACGGTAGAAAAGGAAACATCTTCTTATAAAATCTAGACAGAATCATTCACAGAAACTTCTTTTTGATGTGTGTGTTCAGCTCACAGAGTTTAACCTTTCTTTTGATGGAGCAGTTTGGAAACACTCTGTTTGTAACGTCTGCAAGTGGATATTTGGACCTCTTTGAGGCCTTCGTTGGAAACGGGATTTCTTCAAGTAATGTTCGACAGAAGAATTCTCAGTAACTTATTTGTGGTGTGTGTATTCAACTCACAGAGTTGAACCTTCCTTTAGACAGAGCAGATTTGAAACAGCCTATTTGTGCAGTTTCCAGTTGGAGATTTCAATCGCTTTGAGACCAAATGTAGAAAAGGAAACATCTTCGTATAAAAACTAGACAGAATCATTCTCAGAAACTACTTTGTGATGTGTGCGTTCAACTCAAGGAGTTTAAGCTTTCTTTTCATAGAGTAGTTTGGAAACACTCTGTCTGTAAAGTCTGCAAGCAGATATTTGACCTCTTTGAGGCCTTCGTTGGAAACGGGATTTCTTCATAGAATGCTAGAAAGAAGAATACTGAGTAAGTTCTTTGTGTTGCCTCTATTCAACTCACAGAGGTGAACTGTCCTTTAGACAGAGCAGATGTGAAACCCTCTTTTTGTGATATTTGCAGGTGGAGATTTCAAGCGCTTTTAGGCCAAATGTAGAAAAGGAAATATCTTCGTATAAAAACTAGACAGAATCATTCTCAGAAACTACTTTGTGATGTGTGCGTTCAATTCACAGAGTATAACCTTTCTTTTGATGGAGGAGTTTGGAGACACTGTCTTTGTAAAGTCTGCAAGTGGATATTTGGACCTCTTTGAGGCCTTCGATGGAAACGGGATTTCCTCATATAATGTTACACAGAAGAATTCTCAGTAACTTATTTGTGGTGTGTGTATTCAACTCACAGAGTTGAACCTTCCTTCAGAAAGAGCAGATTTGAAACACTCTTTTTGAGGAGTTTCCATGTGGAGATTTCAATCGCTTTGAGACCAAAGGTAGAAAAGGAAACATCTTCTTATAAAAACTAGACAGAATCATTCACAGAAACTACTTTGTGATGTGTGTGTTCAACTCAAGGAGTTTAACCTTTCTTTTGATGGAGCAGTTTGGAAATACTCTGTCTGTAAAGTCTGCAAGCAGATATTTGGACCTCTTTGAGGCCTTCGTTGGAAACGGGATTTCTTCATATAATGTTTGATAGGAGAATACTGAGTAAGTTCTTTGTGTTGCCTCTATTCAACTCACAGAGGTGAACTGTCCTTTAGACAGAGCAGATGTGAAACCCTCTTTTTGTGATATTTGCAGGTGGAGATTTCAAGCGCTTTGAGGCCAAATGTAGAAAAGGAAATATCTTCGTATAAAAACTAGACAGAATCATTCTCAGAAACTACTTTGTGATGTGTGCGTTCAATTCACAGAGTATAACCTTTCTTTTGATGGAGGAGTTTGGAGACACTGTCTTTGTAAAGTCTGCAAGTGGATATTTGGACCTCTTTGAGGCCTTCGTTGGAAACGGGATTTCCTCATATAATGTTACACAGAAGAATTCTCAGTAACTTATTTGTGGTGTGTGTATTCAACTCACAGAGTTGAACCTTCCTTCAGAAAGAGCAGATTTGAAACACTCTTTTTGTGGAGTTTCCATGTGGAGATTTCAATCGCTTTGAGACCAAAGGTAGAAAAGGAAACATCTTCGTATAAAAACTAGACAGAATCATTCACAGAAACTACTTTGTGATGTGTGTGTTCAACTCAAGGAGTTTAACCTTTCTTTTGATGGAGCAGTTTGGAAATACTCTGTCTGTAAAGTCTGCAAGCAGATATTTGGACCTCTTTGAGGCCTTCGTTGGAAACGGGATTTCTTCATATAATGTTTGATAGGAGAAGTCTCAGTAACTTCTTTGTGCTGTGTGTATTCAACTCATAGAGTTGAACTTTCCTTTAGAAGAGCAGATGTTAAACACCCTTTTTGTGGAATTTGCAGCTGGAGATTTCAAGCGCTTTGAGGCCTACGGTAGAAAAGGAAACATCTTCTTATAAAATCTAGACAGAATCATTCACAGAAACTTCTTTTTGATGTGTGTGTTCAGCTCACAGAGTTTAACCTTTCTTTTGATGGAGCAGTTTGGAAACACTCTGTTTGTAATGTCTGCAAGTGGATATTTGGACCTCTTTGAGGCCTTCGTTGGAAACGGGATTTCTTCCTGTAATGTTCGACAGAAGAATTCTCAGTAACTTATTTGTGGTGTGTGTATTCAACTCACAGAGTTGAACCTTCCTTTAGACAGAGCAGATTTGAAACACCCTATTTGTGCAGTTTCCAGTTGGAGATTTCAATCGCTTTGAGACCAAATGTAGAAAAGGAAACATCTTCGTATAAAAACTAGACAGAATCATTCTCAGAAACTACTTTGTGATGTGTGCGTTCAACTCAAGGAGTTTAAGGTTTCTTTTCATAGAGTAGTTTGGAAACACTCTGTCTGTAAAGTCTGCAAGCAGATATCTGGACCTCTTTGGGGCCTTCGTTGGAAACGGGATTTCTTCATAGAACGCTAGAAAGAAGAATACTGAGTAAGTTCTTTGTGTTGCCTCTATTCAACTCACAGAGGTGAACTGTCCTTTAGACAGAGCAGATGTGAAACCCTCTTTTTGTGATATTTGCAGGTGGAGATTTCAAGCGCTTTTAGGCCAAATGTAGAAAAGGAAATATCTTCGTATAAAAACTAGACAGAATCATTCTCAGAAACTACTTTGTGATGTGTGCGTTCAATTCACAGAGTATAACCTTTCTTTTGATGGAGGAGTTTGGAGACACTGTCTTTGTAAAGTCTGCAAGTGGATATTTGGACCTCTTTGAGGCCTTCGTTGGAAACGGGATTTCCTCATATAATGTTACACAGAAGAATTCTCAGTAACTTATTTGTGGTGTGTGTATTCAACTCACAGAGTTGAACCTTCCTTCAGAAAGAGCAGATTTGAAACTCTCTTTTTGTGGAGTTTCCATGTGGAGATTTCAATCGCTTTGAGACCAAAGGTAGAAAAGGAAACATCTTCGTATAAAAACTAGACAGAATCATTCACAGAAACTACTTTGTGATGTGTGTGTTCAACTCAAGGAGTTTAACCTTTCTTTTGATGGAGCAGTTTGGAAACACTCTGTCTGTAAAGTCTGCAAGCAGATATTTGGACCTCTTTGAGGCCTTCGTTGGAAACGGGATTTCTTCATATAATGTTTGATAGGAGAAGTCTCAGTAACTTCTTTGTGCTGTGTGTATTCAACTCATAGAGTTGAACTTTCCTTTAGAAGAGCAGATGTTAAACACCCTTTTTGTGGAGTTTCCATGTAGAGATTTCAAGCGCTTTGAGGCCTACGGTAGAAAAGGAAGCATCTTCTTATAAAATCTAGACAGAATCATTCACAGAAACTTCTTTTTGATGTGTGTGTTCAGCTCACAGAGTTTAACCTTTCTTTTGATGGAGCAGTTTGGAAACACTCTGTTTGTAATGTCTGCAAGTGGATATTTGGACCTCTTTGAGGCCTTCGTTGGAAACGGGATTTCTTCAAGTAATGTTCGACAGAAGAATTCTCAGTACCTTATTTGTGGTGTGTGTATTCAACTCACAGAGTTGAACCTTCCTTTAGACAGAGCAGATTTGAAACACCCTATTTGTGCAGTTTCCAGTTGGAGATTTCAATCGCTTTGAGACCAAATGTAGAAAAGGAAACATCTTCGTATAAAAACTAGACAGAATCATTCTCAGAAACTACTTTGTGATGTGTGCGTTCAACTCAAGGAGTTTAAGCTTTCTTTTCATAGAGTAGTTTGGAAACACTCTGTCTGTAAAGTCTGCAAGCAGATATTTGGACCTCTTTGGGGCCTTCGTTGGAAACGGCGTTTCTTCATAGAACCCTAGAAAGAAGAATACTGAGTAAGTTCTTTGTGTTGCCTCTATTCAACTCACAGAGGTGAACTGTCCTTTAGACAGAGCAGATGTGAAACCCTCTTTTTGTGATATTTGCAGGTGGAGATTTCAAGCGCTTTTAGGCCAAATGTAGAAAAGGAAATATCTTCGTATAAAAACTAGACAGAATCATTCTCAGAAACTACTTTGTGATGTGTGCGTTCAATTCACAGAGTATAACCTTTCTTTTGATGGAGGAGTTTGGAGACACTGTCTTTGTAAAGTCTGCAAGTGGATATTTGGACCTCTTTGAGGCCTTCGTTGGAAACGGGATTTCCTCATATAATGTTACACAGAAGAATTCTCAGTAACTTATTTGTGGTTTGTGTATTCAACTCACAGAGTTGAACCTTCCTTCAGAAAGAGCAGATTTGAAACACTCTTTTTGTGGAGTTTCCATGTGGAGATTTCAATCGCTTTGAGACCGAAGGTAGAAAAGGAAACATCTTCGTATAAAAACTAGACAGAATCATTCACAGATACTACTTTGTGACGTGTGTGTTCAACTCAAGGAGTTTAACCTTTCTTTTGATGGAGCAGTTTGGAAAAACTCTGTCTGTAAAGTCTGCAAGCAGATATTTGGACGTCTTTGGGGTCTTCGTTGGAAAGGGGATTTCTTCATAGAACGCTAGAAAGAAGAATACTGAGTAAGTTCTTTGTGTTGCCTCTATTCAACTCACAGAGGTGAACTGTCCTTTAGACAGAGCAGATGTGAAACCCTCTTTTTGTGATATTTGCAGGTGGAGATTTCAAGCGCTTTTAGGCCAAATGTAGAAAAGGAAATATCTTCGTATAAAAACTAGACAGAATCATTCTCAGAAACTACTTTGTGATGTGTGCGTACAATTCACAGAGTATAACCTTTCTTTTGATGGAGGAGTTTGGAGACACTGTCTTTGTAAAGTCTGCGTGTGGATATTTGGACCTCTTTGAGGCCTTCGTTGGAAACGGGATTTCCTCATATAATGTTACACAGAAGAATTCTCAGTAACTTATTTGTGGTGTGTGTATTCAACTCACAGAGATGAACCTTCCTTCAGAAAGAGCAGATTTGAAACACTCTTTTTGTGGAGTTTCCATGTGGAGATTTCAATCGCTTTGAGACCAAAGGTAGAAAAGGAAACATCTTCGTATAACAACTAGACAGAATCATTCACAGAAACTACTTTGTGATGTGTGTGTTCAACTCAAGGAGTTTAACCTTTCTTTTGATGGAGCAGTTTGGAAACACTCTGTCTGTAAAGTCTGCAAGCAGATATTTGGACCTCTTTGAGGCCTTCGTTGGAAACGGGATTTCTTCATATAATGTTTGATAGGAGAAGTCTCAGTAACTTCTTTGTGCTGTGTGCATTCAACTCATAGAGTTGAACTTTCCTTTAGAAGAGCAGATGTTAAACACCCTTTTTGTGGAATTTGCAGCTGGAGATTTCAAGCGCTTTGAGGCCTACTGTAGAAAGGGAAACATCTTCTTATAAAATCTAGACAGAATCATTCACAGAAACTTCTTTTTGATGTGTGTGTTCAGCTCACAGAGTTTAACCTTTCTTTTGATGGAGCAGTTTGGAAACACTCTGTTTGTAATGTCTGCAAGTGGATATTTGGACCTCTTTGAGGCCTTCGCTGGAAACGGGATTTCTTCCTGTAATGTTCGACAGAAGAATTCTCAGTAACTTATTTGTGGTGTGTGTATTCAACTCACAGAGTTGAACCTTCCTTTAGACAGAGCAGATTTGAAACACCCTATTTGTGCAGTTTCCAGTTGGAGATTTCAATCGCTTTGAGACCAAATGTAGAAAAGGAAACATCTTCGTATAAAAACTAGACAGAATCATTCTCAGAAACTACTTTGTGATGTGTGCGTTCAACACAAGGAGTTTAAGCTTTCTTTTCATAGAGTAGTTTGGAAACACTCTGTCTGTAAAGTCTGCAAGCAGATATTTCGACCTCATTGGGGTCTTCGTTGGAAACGGGATTTCTTCATAGAACGCTTGAAAGAAAGAATACTGAGTAAGTACTTTGTGTTGCCTCTATTCAACTCACAGTAGGTGAACTGTCCTTTAGACAGAGCAGATGTGAAACCCTCTTTTTGTGATATTTGCAGGTGGAGATTTCAAGCGCTTTTAGGCCAAATGTAGAAAAGGAAATATCTTCGTATAAAAACTAGACACAATCATTCTCAGAAACTACTTTGTGATGTGTGCGTTCAATTCACAGAGTATAACCTTTCTTTGGATGGAGGAGTTTGGAGACACTGTCTTTGTAAAGTCTGCAAGTGGATATTTGGACCTCTTTGAGGCCTTCGTTGGAAACGGGATTTCCTCATATAATGTTACACAGAAGAATTCTCAGTAACTTATTTGTGGTGTGTGTATTCAACTCACAGAGTTGAACCTTCCTTTAGACAGAGCAGATTTGAAACACTCTTTTTGTGGAGTTTCCATGTGGAGATTTCAATCGCTTTGAGACCAAAGGTAGAAAAGGAAACATCTTCGTATAAAAACTTGACAGAATCATTCTCAGAAACTACTTTGTGATGTCTGTGTTCAACTCAAGGAGGTTAACCTTTCTTTTGATGGAGCAGTTTGGAAAAACTCTGTCTGTAAAGTCTGCAAGCAGAGATTTGGACGTCTTTGAGGCCTTCGTTGGAAACGGGATTTCTTCACATAATGCTTGATAGGAGAAGTCTCAGTAACTTCTTTGTGCTGTGTGTATTCAACTCATAGAGTTGAACTTTCCTTTAGAAGAGCAGATGTTAAACACCCTTTTTGTGGAATTTGCAGCTGGAGATTTCAAGCGCTTTGAGGCCTACGGTAGAAAAAGAAACATCTTCTTATAAAATCTAGACAGAATCATTCACAGAAACTTCATTTGATGTGTGTGTTCAGCTCACAGAGTTTAACATTTCTTTTGATGGAGCAGTTTGGAAACACACTGTTTGTAATGTCTGCAAGTGGATATTTGGACCTCTTTGAGGCCTTCGTTGGAAACGGGATTTCTTCCTGTAATGTTCGACAGAAGAATTCTCAGTAACTTATTTGTGGTGTGTGTATTCAACTCACAGAGTTGAAGCTTCCTTTAGACAGAGCAGATTTGAAACACCCTATTTGTGCAGTTTCCAGTTGGAGATTTCAATCGCTTTGAGTCAAATCATAGAAACGGAAATATCTTCGTATAAAAACAAGACAGAATCATTCTCAGAAACTACTTTGTGATGTGTGCGTTCCACTCAAGGAGTTTAAGCTTTCTTTTCATAGAGTAGTTTGGAAACACTCTGTAAAGTCTGCAAGCAGATATTTGGACCTCTTTGAGGCCTTCGTTGGAAAAGGGATTTCTTCATAGAACGCTAGAAAGAAGAATACTGAGTAAGTTCTTTGTGTTGCCTCTATTCAACTCACAGAGGTGAACTGTCCTTTAGACAGAGCAGATGTGAAACCCTCTTTTTGTGATATTTGCAGGTGGAGATTTCAAGCGCTTTAGGCCAAATGTAGAAAAGGAAATATCTTCGTATAAAAACTAGACAGAATCATTCTCAGAAACTACTTTGTGATGTGTGCGTTCAATTCACAGAGTATAACCTTTCTTTTGATGGAGGAGTTTGGAGACACTGTCTTTGTAAAGTCTGCAAGTGGATATTTGGACCTCTTTGAGGCCTTCGTTGGAAACGGGATTTCCTCATCTAATGTTACACAGAAGAATTCTCAGTAACTTATTTGTGGTGTGTGTATTCAACTCACAGAGATGAACCTTCCTTCAGAAAGAGCAGATTTGAAACACTCTTTTTGTGGAGTTTCCATGTGGAGATTTCAATCGCTTTGAGACCAAAGGTAGAAAAGGAAACATCTTCGTATAACAACTAGACAGAATCATTCACAGAAACTACTTTGTGATGTGTGTGTTCAACTCAAGGAGTTTAACCTTTCTTTTGATGGAGCAGTTTGGAAACACTCTGTCTGTAAAGTCTGCAAGCAGATATTTGGACCTCTTTGAGGCCTTCGTTGGAAACGGGATTTCTTCATATAATGTTTGATAGGAGAAGTCTCAGTAACTTCTTTGTGCTGTGTGTATTCAACTCATAGAGTTGAACTTTCCTTTAGAAGAGCAGATGTTAAACACCCTTTTTGTGGAATTTGCAGCTGGAGATTTCAAGCGCTTTGAGGCCTACGGTAGAAAAGGAAACATCTTCTTATAAAATCTAGACAGAATCATTCACAGAAACTTCTTTTCGATGTGTGTGTTCAGCTCACAGAGTTTAACTTTTCTTTTGATGGAGCAGTTTGGAAACACTCTGTTTGTAATGTCTGCAAGTGGATATTTGGACCTCTTTGAGGCCTTCGTTGGAAACGGGATTTCTTCAAGTAATGTTCGACAGAAGAATTCTCAGTAACTTATTTGTGGTGTGTGTATTCAACTCACAGAGTTGAACCTTCCTTTAGGCAGAGCAGATTTGAAACACCCTATTTGTGCAGTTTCCAGTTGGAGATTTCAATCGCTTTGAGACCAAATGTAGAAAAGGAAACATCTTCGTATAAAAACTAGACAAAATCATTCTCAGAAACTACTTTGTGATGTGTGCGTTCAACTCAAGGAGTTTAAGCTTTCTTTTCATAGAGTAGTTTGGAAACACTCTGTCTGTAAAGTCTGCAAGCAGATATTTGACCTCTTTGAGGCCTTCGTTGGAAACGGGATTTCTTCATAGAACGCTAGAAAGAAGAATACTGAGTAAGTTCTTTGTGTTGCCTCTATTCAACTCACAGAGGTGAACTGTCCTTTAGACAGAGCAGATGTGAAACCCTCTTTTTGTGATATTTGCAGGTGGAGATTTCAAGCGCTTTGAGGCCAAATGTAGAAAAGGAAATATCTTCGTATAAAAACTAGACAGAATCATTCTCAGAAACTACTTTGTGATGTGTGCGTTCAATTCACAGAGTATAACCTTTCTTTTGATGGAGGAGTTTGGAGACACTGTCTTTGTAAAGTCTGCAAGTGGATATTTGGACCTCTTTGAGGCCTTCGTTGGAAACGGGATTTCCTCATATAATGTTACACAGAAGAATTCTCAGTAACTTATTTGTGGTGTGTGTATTCAACTCACAGAGTTGAACCTTCCTTCAGAAAGAGCAGATTTGAAACACTCTTTTTGTGGAGTTTCCATGTGGAGATTTCAATCGCTTTGAGACCAAAGGTAGAAAAGGAAACATCTTCGTATAAAAACTAGACAGAATCATTCACAGAAACTACTTTGTGATGTGTGTGTTCAACTCAAGGAGTTTAACCTTTCTTTTGATGGAGCAGTTTGGAAAAACTCTGTCTGTAAAGTCTGCAAGCAGATATTTGGACCTCTTTGAGGCCTTCGTTGGAAACGGGATTTCTTCATATAATGTTTGATAGGAGAAGTCTCAGTAACTTCTTTGTGCTGTGTGTATTCAACTCATTGAGTTGAACTTTCCTTTAGAAGAGCAGATGTTAAACACCCTTTTTGTGGAATTTGCAGCTGGAGATTTCAAGCGCTTTGAGGCCTACGGTAGAAAAGGAAACATCTTCTTATAAAATATAGACAGAATCATTCACAGAAACTTCTTTTTGATGTGTGTGTTCAGCTCACAGAGTTTAACCTTTCTTTTGATGGAGCAGTTTGGAAACACTCTGTTTGTAATGTCTGCAAGTGGATATTTGGACCTCTTTGAGGCCTTCGTTGGAAACGGGATTTCTTCCTGTAATGTTCGACAGAAGAATTCTCAGTAACTTATTTGTGGTGTGTGTATTCAACTCACAGAGTTGAACCTTCCTTTAGACAGAGCAGATTTGAAACACCCTATTTGTGCAGTTTCCAGTTGGAGATTTCAATCGCTTTGAGACCAAATGTAGAAAAGGAAACATCTTCGTATAAAAACTAGACAGAATCATTCTCAGAAACTACTTTGTGATGTGTGCGTTCAACTCATGGAGTTTAAGCTTTCTTTTCATAGAGTAGTTTGGAAACACTCTGTCTGTAAAGTCTGCAAGCAGATATTTGGATCTCTTTGGGGCCTTCGTTGGAAATGGGATTTCTTCATAGAACGCTAGAAAGAAGAATACTGAGTAAGTTCTTTGTGTTGCCTCTATTCAACTCACAGAGGTGAACTGTCCTTTAGACAGAGCAGATGTGAAACCCTCTTTTTGTGATATTTGCAGGTGGAGATTTCAAGCGATTTTAGGCCAAATGTAGAAAAGGAAATATCTTCGTATAAAAACTAGACAGAATCATTCTCAGAAACTACTTTGTGATGTGTGCGTTCAATTCACAGAGTATAACCTTTCTTTTGATGGAGGAGTTTGGAGACACTGTCTTTGTAAAGTCTGCAAGTGGATATTTGGATCTCTTTGAGGCCTTCGTTGGAAACGGGATTTCCTCATATAATGTTACACAGAAGAATTCTCAGTAACTTATTTGTGGTGTGTGTATTCAACTCACAGAGTTGAACCTTCCTTCAGAAAGAGCAGATTTGAAACACTCTTTTTGTGGAGTTTCCATGTGGAGATTTCAATCGCATTGAGACCAAAGGTAGAAAAGGAAACATCTTCGTATAAAAACTAGACAGAATCATTCACAGAAACTACTTTGTGATGTGTGTGTTCAACTCAAGGAGTTTAACCTTTCTTTTGGTGGAGGAGTTTGGAAACACTCTGTCTGTAAAGTCTGCAAGCAGATATTTGGACCTCTTTGAGGCCTTCGTTGGAAACGGGATTTCTTCATATAATGTTTGATAGGAGAAGTCTCAGTAACTTATTTGTGCTGTGTGTATTCAACTCATAGAGTTGAACTTTCCTTTAGAAGAGCAGATAGTAAACACCCTTTTTGTGGAATTTGCAGCTGGAGATTTCAAGCGCTTTGAGGCCTACGGTAGAAAAGGAAACATCTTCTTATAAAATCTAGACAGAATCATTCACAGAAACTTCTTTTTGATGTGTGCGTTCAGCTCACAGAGTTTGACCTTTCTTTTGATGGAGCAGTTTGGAAACACTCTGTTTGTAATATCTGCAAGGGGATATTTGGACCTCTTTGAGGCCTTCGTTGGAAACGGGATTTCTTCATGTAATGTTCGACAGAAGAATTCTCAGTAACTTATGTGTGGTGTGTGTATTCAACTCACAGAGTTGAACCTTCCTTTAGACAGAGCAGATTTGAAACACCCTATTTGTGCAGTTTCCAGTTGGAGATTTCAATCGCTTTGAGACCAAATGTAGAAAAGGAAACATCTTCGTATAAAAACTAGACAGAATCATTCTCAGAAACTACTTTGTGATGTGTGCGTTCAACTCAAGGAGTTTAAGCTTTCTTTTCATAGAGTAGTTTGGAAACACTCTGTCTGTAAAGTCTGCAAGCAGATATTTGGACCTCATTGAGGCCTTCGTTGGAAACGGGATTTCTTCATAGAACGCTAGAAAGAAGAACACTGAGTAAGTTCTTTGTGTTGCCTCTATTTAACTCACAGAGGTGAACTGTCCTTTAGACAGAGCAGATGTGAAACCCTCTTTTTGTGATAATTGTAGGTGGAGATTTCAAGCGCTTTTAGGCGAAATGTAGAAAAGGAAATATCTTCGTATAAAAACTAGACAGAATCATTCTCAGAAACTACTTTGTGATGTGTGCGTTCAATTCACAGAGTATAACCTTTCTTTTGATGGAGGAGTTTGGAGACACTGTCTTTGTAAAGTCTGCAAGTGGATATTTGGACCTCTTTGAGGCCTTCGTTGGAAACGGGATTTCCTCATATAATGTTACACAGAAGAATTCTCAGTAACTTATTTGTGGTGTGTGTATTCAACTCACAGAGATGAAACTTCCTTCAGAAAGAGCAGATTTGAAACACACTTTTTGTGGAGTTTCCATGTGGAGATTTCAATCGCTTTGAGACCAAAGGTAGAAAAGGAAACATCTTCGTATAACAACTAGACAGAATCATTCACAGAAACTACTTTGTGATGTGTGTGTTCAACTCAAGGAGTTTAACCTTTCTTTTGATGGAGCAGTTTGGAAACACTCTGTCTGTAAAGTCTGCAAGCAGATATTTGGACCTCTTTGAGGCCTTCGTTGGAAACGGGATTTCTTCATATAATGTTTGATAGGAGAAGTCTCAGTAACTTCTTTGTGCTGTGTGTATTCAACTCATAGAGTTGAACTTTCCTTTAGAAGAGCAGATGTTAAACACCCTTTTTGTGGAATTTGCAGCTGGAGATTTCAAGCGCTTTGAGGCCTACGGTAGAAAAGGAAACATCTTCTTATAAAATCTAGACAGAATCATTCACAGAAACTTCTTTTCGATGTGTGTGTTCAGCTCACAGAGTTTAACCTTTCTTTTGATGGAGCAGTTTGGAAACACTCTGTTTGTAATGTCTGCAAGTGGATATTTGGACCTCTTTGAGGCCTTCGTTGGAAACAGGGATTTCTTCAAGTAATGGTCGACAGAAGAATTCTCAGTAACTTATTTGTGGTGTGTGTATTCAACTCACAGAGTTGAACCTTCCTTTAGACAGAGCAGATTTGAAACACCCTATTTGTGCAGTTTCCAGTTGGAGATTTCAATCGCTTTGAGACCAAATGTAGAAAAGGAAACATCTTCGTATAAAAACTAGACAGAATCATTCTCAGAAACTACTTTGTGATGTGTGCGTTCAACTCAAGGAGTTTAAGCTTTCTTTTCATAGAGTAGTTTGGAAACACTCTGTCTGTAAAGTCTGCAAGCAGATATTTGACCTCTTTGAGGCCTTCGTTGGAAACGGGATTTCTTCATAGAACGCTAGAAAGAAGAATACTGAGTAAGTTCTTTGTGTTGCCTCTATTCAACTCACAGAGGTGAACTGTCCTTTAGACAGAGCAGATGTGAAACCCTCTTTTTGTGATATTTGCAGGTGGAGATTTCAAGGGCTTTTAGGCCAAATGTAGAAAAGGAAATATCTTCGTATAAAAACTAGACAGAATCATTCTCAGAAACTTCTTTGTGATGTGTGCGTTCCATTCACAGAGTATAACCTTTCTTTTGATGGAGGAGTTTGGAGACACTGTCTTTGTAAAGTCTGCAAGTGGATATTTGTATCTCTTTGAGGCCTTCGTTGGAAACGGGATTTCCTCATATAATGTTACACAGAAGAATTCTCAGTAACTTATTTGTGGTGTGTGTATTCAACTCACAGAGTTGAACCTTTCTTCAGAAAGAGCAGATTTGAAACACTCTTTTTGTGGAGTTTCCATGTGGAGATTTCAATCGCATTGAGACCAAAGGTAGAAAAGGAAACATCTTCGTATAAAAACTAGACAGAATCATTCACAGAAACTACTTTGTGATGTGTGTGTTCAACTCAAGGAGTTTAACCTTTCTTTTGATGGAGCAGTTTGGAAACACTCTGTCTGTAAAGTCTGCAAGCAGATATTTGGACCTCTTTGAGGCCTTCTTTGGAAACGGGATTTCTTCATATAATGTTTGATAGGAGAAGTCTCAGTAACTTCTTTGTGCTGTGTGTATTCAACTCATAGAGTTGAACTTTCCTTTAGAAGAGCAGATGTTAAACACCCTTTTTGTGGAATTTGCAGGTGGAGATTTCAAGCGCTTTGAGGCCTACGGTAGAAAAGGAAACATCTTCTTATAATATCTAGACAGAATCATTCACAGAAACTTCTTTTTGATGTGTGTGTTCAGCTCACAGAGTTTAACCTTTCTTTTGATGGAGCAGTTTGGAAACACTCTGTTTGTAATGTCTGCAAGTGGATATTTGGACCTCTTTGAGGCCTTCGTTGGAAACGGGATTTCTTCAAGTAATGTTCGACAGAAGAATTCTCAGTAACTTATTTGTGGTGTGTGTATTCAACTCACAGAGTTGAACCTTCCTTTAGACAGAGCAGATTTGAAACACCCTATTTGTGCAGTTTCCAGTTGGAGATTTCAATCGCTTTGAGACCAAATGTAGAAAAGGAAACATCTTCGTATAAAAACTAGACAGAATCATTCTCAGAAACTACTTTGTGATGTGTGCGTTCAACTCAAGGAGTTTAAGCTTTCTTTTCATAGAGTAGTTTGGAAACACTCTGTCTGTAAAGTCTGCAAGCAGATATTTGGACCTCTTTGGGGCCTTCGTTGGAAACGGGATTTCTTCATAAAACGCTAGAAAGAAGAATACTGAGTAAGTTCTTTGTGTTGCCTCTATTCAACTCACAGAGGTGAACTGTCCTTTAGACAGAGCAGATGTGAAACCCTCTTTTTGTGATATTTGCAGGTGGAGATTTCAAGCACTTTTAGGCCAAATGTAGAAAAGGAAATATCTTCGTATAAAAACTAGACAGAATCATTCTCAGAAACTACTTTGTGATGTGTGCGTTCAATTCACAGAGTATAACCTTTCTTTTGATGGAGGAGTTTGGAGACACTGTCTTTGTAAAGTCTGCAAGTGGATATTTGGACCTCTTTGCGGCCTTCGTTGGAAACGGGATTTCCTCATATAATGTTACACAGAAGAATTCTCAGTAACTTATTTGTGGTGTGTGTATTCAACTCACAGAGTTGAACCTTCCTTCAGAAAGAGCAGATTTGAAACACTCTTTTTGTGGAGTTTCCATGTGGAGATTTCAATCGCTTTGAGACCAAAGGTATAAAAGGAAACATCTTCGTATAAAAACTAGACAGAATCATTCACAGAAACTACTTTGTGATGTGTGTGTTCAACTCAAGGAGTTTAACCTTTCTTTTGATGGAGCAGTTTGGAAACACTCTGTCTGTAAAGTCTGCAAGCAGATATTTGGACCTCTTTGAGGCCCTTCGTTGGAAACGGGATTTCTTCATATAATGTTTGATAGGAGAAGTCTCAGTAACTTCTTTGTGCTGTGTGTATTCAACTCATAGAGTTGAACTTTCCTTTAGAAGAGCAGATGTTAAACACCCTTTTTGTGGAATTTGCAGCTGGAGATTTCAAGCGCTTTGAGGCCTACGGTAGAAAAGGAAACATCTTCTTATAAAATCTAGACAGAATCATTCACAGAAACTTCTTTTTGATGTGTGTGTTCAGCTCACAGAGTTTAACCTTTCTTTTGATTGAGCAGTTTGGAAACACACTGTTTGTAATGTCTGCAAGTGGATATTTGGACCTCTTTGAGGCCTTCGTTGGAAACGGGATTTCTTCCTGTAATGTTCAACAGAAGAAATCTCAGTAACTTATTTGTGGTGTGTGTATTCAACTCACAGAGTTCAACCTTCCTTTAGACAGAGCAGATTTGAAACACACTATTTGTGCAGTTTCCAGTTGGAGATTTCAATCGCTTTGAGGCCAATCGTAGAAACGGAAATATCTTCGTATAAAAACTAGACAGAATCATTCTCAGAAACTACTTTGTGATGTGTGCGTTCAACTCACGCAGTTTAAGCTCTCTTTTCATAGAGTAGTTTGGAAACACTCTGTCTGTAAAGTCTGCAAGCAGATATTTGGACCTCTTTGAGGCCTTCGTTGGAAACGGGATTTCTATCATATAACGCTAGAAAGAAGAATACTCAGTAAGTTCTTTGTGTTGCCTCTATTCAACTCACAGAGGTGAACTGTCCTTTAGACAGAGCAGATGTGAAACCCTCTTTTTGTGATATTTGCAGGTGAAGATTTCAAGCGCTTTTAGGCCAAATGTAGAAAAGGAAATATCTTCGTATAAAAACTAGACAGAATCATTCTCAGAAACTACTTTGTGATGTGTGCGTTCAATTCACAGAGTATAACCTTTCTTTTCATGGAGGAGTTTGGAGACACTGTCTTTGTAAAGTCTGCAAGTGGATATTTGAACCTCTTTGAGGCCTTCGTTGGAAACGGGATTTCCTCATATAATGTTACACAGAAGAATTCTCAGTAACTTATTTGTGGTGTGTGTATTCAACTCACAGAGTTGAACCTTCCTTCAGAAAGAGCAGATTTGAAACACTCTTTTTGTGGAGTTTCCATGTGGAGATTTCAATCGCTTTGAGACCAAAGGTAGAAAAGGAAACATCTTCGTATAAAAACTAGACAGAATCATTCACAGAAACTACTTTGTGATGTGTGTGTTCAGCTCACAGAGTTTAACCTTTCTTTTGATGGTGCAGTTTGGAAACACTCTGTTTGACAAGTCTGCAAGTGGATATTTGGACCTCTTTGAGGCCTTCGTTGGAAACGGGATTTCTTCATATAATGTTAGACAGAAGAAGTCTCAGTAACTTCTTAGTGCTGTGTGTATTCAACTCACAGAGCTGAACTTTACTTTAGACAGAGCAGATGTTAAACACACTTTTTGTGGAATTTGCAGCTGGAGATTTCTAGCGCTTTGAGGACTATGGTAGAAAAGGAAACATCTTCTTATAAAATCTAGACAGAATCATTCACAGAAACTTCTTTTTGATGTGTGTGTTCATCTCACAGAGTTTAACCTTTCTTTTGACGGAGCAGTTTGCAAACACTGTGTTTGCAATGTCGGCAAGTGGATATTTGGACCTCTTTGCGGCCTTCGTTGGAAACGGGATTTCTTCATGTAATGTTCGAGAGAAGAATTCTCAGTAACTTATTTGTGGTGTGTGTATTCAACTCACAGAGTTGAACCTTCCTTTAGACAGAGCAGATTTGAAACACCCTGTTTGTGCAGTTTCCAGTTGGAGATTTCAATCGCTTTGAGGCCAATCGTAGAAACGGAACTATCTTCGTATAAAAACAAGACAGAATCATTCTCAGAAACTACTTTGTGATGTGTGCGTTCAACTCACGGAGTTTAAGCTTTCTTTTCATAGAGTAGTTTGGAAACACTCTGTCTGTAAAGTCTGCAAGCAGATATTTGGACCTCTTTGAGGCCTTCGTTGGAAACGGGATTTCTTCATATAACGCTAGAAAGAAGAATACTCAGTAACTTCTTTGTGTTGCCTCTTTTCAACTCACAGAGGTGAACTGTCCTTTAGACAGAGCAGATGTGAAACCCTCTTTTTGTGATATTTGCAGGTGGAGATTTCAAGCGCTTTTAGGCCAAATGTAGAAAAGGAAATATCTTCGTATAAAAAGTAGACAGAATCATTCTCAGAAACTACTTTGTGATGTGTGCGTTCAATTCACAGAGTATAACCTTTCTTTTGATGGAGGAGTTTGGAGACACTGTCTTTGTAAAGTCTGCAAGTGGATATTTGGACCTCTTTGAGGCCTTCGTTGGAAACGGGATTTCCTCATATAATGTTACACAGAAGAATTCTCAGTAACTTATTTGTGGTGTGTGTATTCAACTGACAGAGATGAACCTTCCTTCAGAAAGAGCAGATTTGAAACACTCTTTTTGTGGAGTTTCCATGTGGAGATTTCAATAGCTTTGAGACCAAAGGTAGAAAAGGAAACATCTTCGTATAACAACTAGACAGAATCATTCACAGAAACTACTTTGTGATGTGTGTGTTCAACTCAAGGAGTTTAACCTTTCTTTTGATGGAGCAGTTTGGAAAAACTCTGTCTGTAAAGTCTGCAAGCAGATATTTGGACCTCTTTGAGGCCTTCGTTGGAAACGGGATTTCTTCATATAATGTTTGATAGGAGAAGTCTCAGTAACTTCTTTGTGCTGTGTGTATTCAACTCATAGAGTTGAACTTTCCTTTAGAAGAGCAGATGTTAAACACCCTTTTTGTGGAATTTGCAGCTGGAGATTTCAAGCGCTTTGAGGCCTACGGTAGAAAAGGAAACATCTTCTTAGAAAATCTAGACAGAATCATTCACAGAAACTTCTTTTTGATGTGTGTGTTCAGCTCACAGAGTTTAACCTTTCTTTTGATGGAGCAGTTTGGAAACACTCTGTTTGTAATGTCTGCAAGTGGTTATTTGGACCTCTTTGAGGCCTTCGTTGGCAACGGGATTTTTTCAAGTAATGTTCGACAGAAGAATTCTCAGTAACTTATTTGTGGTGTGTGTATTCAACTCACAGAGTTGAACCTTCCTTTAGACAGAGCAGATTTGAAACACCCTATTTGTGCAGTTTCCAGTTGGAGATTTCAATCGCTTTGAGACCAAATGTAGAAAAGGAAACATCTTCGTATAAAAACTAGACAGAATCATTCTCAGAAACTACTTTGTGATGTGTGCGTTCAACTCAAGGAGTTTAAGCTTTCTTTTCATAGAGTAGTTTGGAAACACTCTGTAAAGTCTGCAAGCAGATATTTGGACCTCTTTGAGGCCTTCGTTGGAAACGGGATTTCTTCATAGAACGCTAGAAAGAAGAATACTGAGTAAGTTCTTTGTGTTGCCTCTATTCAACTCACAGAGGTGAAGTGTCCTTTAGACAGAGCAGATGTGAAACCCTCTTTTTGTGATATTTGCAGGTGGAGATTTCAAGCGCTTTTAGGCCAAATGTAGAAAAGGAAATATCTTCGTATAAAAACTAGACAGAATCATTCTCAGAAACTACTTTGTGATGTGTGCGTTCAATTCACAGAGTATAACCTTTCTTTTGATGGAGGAGTTTGGAGACACTGTCTTTGTAAAGTCTGCAAGTGGATATTTGGACCTCTTTGAGGCCTTCGTTGGAAACGGGATTTCCTCATATAATGTTACACAGAAGAATTCTCAGTAACTTATTTGTGGTGTGTGTATTCAACTCACAGAGTTGAACCTTCCTTCAGAAAGAGCAGATTTGAAACACTCTTTTTGTGGAGTTTCCATGTGGAGATTTCAATCGCTTTGAGACCAAAGGTAGAAAAGGAAACATCTTCATATAAAAACTAGACAGAATCATTCACAGAAACTACTTTGTGATGTGTGTGTTCAACTCAAGGAGTTTAACCTTTCTTTTGATGGAGCAGTTTGGAAAAACTCTGTCTGTAAACTCTGCAAGCAGATATTTGGACCTCTTTGGGGCCTTCGTTGGAAACGGGATTTCTTCATAGAATGCTAGAAAGAAGAAGTCTCAGTAACTTCTTTGTGCTGTGTGTATTCAACTCATAGAGTTGAACTTTCCTTTAGAAGAGCAGATGTTAAACACCCTTTTTGTGGAATTTGCAGCTGGAGATTTCAAGCGCTTTGAGGCCTACGGTAGAAAAGGAAACATCTTCTTATAAAATCTAGACAGAATCATTCACAGAAACTTCTTTTTGATGTGTGTGTTCAGCTCACAGAGTTTAACCTTTCTTTTGATGGAGCAGTTTGGAAACACTCTGTTTGTAATGTCTGCAAGTGGATATTTGGACCTCTTTGAGGCCTTGGTTGGAAACGGGATTTCTTCAAGTAATGTTCGACAGAAGAATTCTCAGTAACTTATTTGTGGTGTGTGTATTCAACTCAAAGAGTTGAACCTTCCTTTAGACAGAGCAGATTTGAAACACCCTATTTGTGCAGTTTCCAGTTGGAGATTTCAATCGCTTTGAGACCAAATGTAGAAAAGGAAACATCTTCGTATAAAAACTAGACAGAATCATTCTCAGAAACTACTTTGTGATGTGTGCGTTCAACTCAAGGAGTTTAAGCTTTCTTTTCATAGAGTAGTTTGGAAACACTCTGTCTGTAAAGTCTGCAAGCAGATATTTGGACCTCTTTGGGGC
Organism: Homo sapiens; assembly: GCF_000001405.40. Classification (NCBI taxonomy): domain Eukaryota; kingdom Metazoa; phylum Chordata; class Mammalia; order Primates; family Hominidae; genus Homo; species Homo sapiens. The sequence goes on from NC_000012.12 coordinate 35,783,930, forward strand.
CTTCGTTGGAAACGGGATTTCTTCATAGAACGCTAGAAAGAAGAATACTGAGTAAGTTCTTTGTGTTGCCTCTATTCAACTCACAGTGGTGAACTGTCCTTTAGACAGAGCAGATGTGAAACCCTCTTTTTGTGATATTTGCAGGTGGAGATTTCAAGCGCTTTTAGGCCAAATGTAGAAAAGGAAATATCTTCGTATAAAAACTAGACAGAATCACTCTCAGAAACTACTTTGTGATGTGTGCGTTCAATTCACAGAGTATAACCTTTCTTTTGATGGAGGAGTTTGGAGACACTGTCTTTGTAAAGTCTGCAAGCAGATATTTGGACCTCTTTGAGGCCTTCGTTGGAAACCGGATTTCTTCATATAATGTTTGATAGGAGAATTCTCAGTAACTTATTTGTGGTGTGTGTATTCAACTCACAGAGTTGAACCTTCCTTCAGAAAGAGCAGATTTGAAACACTCTTTTTGTGGAGTTTCCATGTGGAGATTTCAATCGCTTTGAGACCAAAGGTAGAAAAGGAAACATCTTCGTATAAAAACTAGACAGAATCATTCACAGAAACTACTTTGTGATGTGTGTGTTCAACTCACAGAGTTTAACCTTTCTTTTGATGGAGCAGTTTGGAAACACTCTGTTTGTCACGTCTGCAAGTGGATATTTGGACCTCTTTGAGGCCTTCGTTGGAAACGGGATTTCTTCATATAATGTTTGATAGGAGAAGTCTCAGTAACTTCTTTGTGCTGTGTGTATTCAACTCATAGAGTTGAACTTTCCTTTAGAAGAGCAGATGTTAAACACCCTTTTTGTGGAATTTGCAGCTGGAGATTTCAAGCGCTTTGAGGCCTACGGTAGAAAAGGAAACATCTTCTTATAAAATCTAGACAGAATCATTCACAGAAACTTCTTTTTGATGTGTGTGTTCAGCTCACAGAGTTTAACCTTTCTTTTGATGGAGCAGTTTGGAAACACTCTGTTTGTAATGTCTGCAAGTGGATATTTGGACCTCTTTGAGGCCTTCGCTGGAAACGGGATTTCTTCCTGTAATGTTCGACAGAAGAATTCTCAGTAACTTATTTGTGGTGTGTGTATTCAACTCACAGAGTTGAACCTTCCTTTAGACAGAGCAGATTTGAAACACCCTATTTGTGCAGTTTCCAGTTGGAGATTTCAATCGCTTTGAGACCAAATGTAGAAAAGGAAACATCTTCGTATAAAAACTAGACAGAATCATTCTCAGAAACTACTTTGTGATGTGTGCGTTCAACTCAAGGAGTTTAAGCTTTCTTTTCATAGAGTAGTTTGGAAACACTCTGTCTGTAAAGTCTGCAAGCAGATATTTGGACCTCTTTGAGGCCTTCGTTGGAAACGGGATTTCTTCATAAAAGGCTAGAAAGAAGAATACTGAGTAAGTTCTTTGTGTTGCCTCTATTCAACTCACAGTGGTGAACTGTCCTTTAGACAGAGCAGATGTGAAAACCTCTTTTTGTGATATTTGCAGGTGGAGATTTCAAGCGCTTTTAGGCCAAATGTAGAAAAGGAAATATCTTCGTATAAAAACTAGACAGAATCATTCTCAGAAACTACTTTGTGATGTGTGCGTTCAATTCACAGAGTATAACCTTTCTTTTGATGGAGGAGTTTGGAGACACTGTCTTTGTAAAGTCTGCAAGTGGATATTTGGACCTCTTTGAGGCCTTCGTTGGAAACGGGATTTCCTCATATAATGTTACCCAGAAGAATTCTCAGTAACTTATTTGTGGTGTGTGTATTCAACTCACAGAGATGAACCTTCCTTCAGAAAGAGCAGATTTGAAACACTCTTTTTGTGGAGTTTCCATGTGGAGATTTCAATCGCTTTGAGACCAAAGGTAGAAAAGGAAACATCTTCGTATAACAACTAGACAGAATCATTCACAGAAACTACTTTGTGATGTGTGTGTTCAACTCAAGGAGTTTAACCTTTCTTTTGATGGAGCAGTTTGGAAACACTCTGTCTGTAAAGTCTGCAAGTAGATATTTGGACCTCTTTGAGGCCTTCGTTGGAAACGGGATTTCTTCATATAATGTTTGATAGGAGAAGTCTCAGTAACTTCTTTGTGCTGTGTGTATTCAACTCATAGAGTTGAACTTTCCTTTAGAAGAGCAGATGTTAAACACCCTTTTTGTGGAATTTGCAGCTGGAGATTTCAAGCGCTTTGAGGCTTACGGTAGAAAAGGAAACATCTTCTTATAAAATCTAGACAGAATCATTCACAGAAACTTCTTTTCGATGTGTGTGTTCAGCTCACAGAGTTTAACCTTTCTTTTGATGGAGCAGTTTGGAAACACTCTGTTTGTAATGTCTGCAAGTGGATATTTGGACCTCTTTGAGGCCTTCGTTGGAAACGGGATTTCTTCAAGTAATGTTCGACAGAAGAATTCTCAGTAACTTATTTGTGGTGTGTGTATTCAACTCACAGAGTTGAACCTTCCTTTAGACAGAGCAGATTTGAAACTCCCTATTTGTGCAGTTTCCAGTTGGAGATTTCAATCGCTTTGAGACCAAATGTAGAAAAGGAAACATCTTCGTATAAAAACTAGACAGAATCATTCTCAGAAACTACTTTGTGATGTGTGCGTTCAACTCAAGGAGTTTAAGCTTTCTTTTCATAGAGTAGTTTGGAAACACTCTGTCTGTAAATTGTGCAAGCAGATATTTGGACCTCTTTGGGGCCTTCGTTGGAAACGGGATTTCTTCATAGAACGCTAGAAAGAAGAATACTGAGTAAGTTCTTTGTGTTGCCTCTATTCAACTCACAGAGGTGAACTGTCCTTTAGACAGAGCAGATGTGAAACCCTCTTTTTGTGATATTTGCAGGTGGAGATTTCAAGCGCTTTTAGGCCAAATGTAGAAAAGGAAATATCTTCTGTATAAAAACTAGACAGAATCATTCTCAGAAACTACTTTGTGATGTGTGCGTTCAATTCACAGAGTATAACCTTTCTTTTGATGGAGGAGTTTGGAGACACTGTCTTTGTAAAGTCTGCAAGTGGATATTTGGACCTCTTTGAGGCCTTCGTTGGAAACGGGATTTCCTCATATAATGTTACCCAGAAGAATTCTCAGTAACTTATTTGTGGTGTGTATATTCAACTCACAGAGATGAACCTTCCTTCAGAAAGAGCAGATTTGAAACACTCTTTTTGTGGAGTTTCCATGTGGAGATTTCAATCGCTTTGAGACCAAAGGTAGAAAAGGAAACATCTTCGTATAACAACTAGACAGAATCATTCACAGAAACTACTTTGTGATGTGTGTGTTCAACTCAAGGAGTTTAAACTTTCTTTTGATGGAGCAGTTTGGAAACACTCTGTCTGTAAAGTCTGCAAGCAGATATTTGGACCTCTTTGAGGCCTTCGTTGGAAACGGGATTTCTTCAAATAATGTTTGATAGGAGAAGTCTCAGTAACTTCTTTGTGCTGTGTGTATTCAACTCATAGAGTTGAACTTTCCTTTAGAAGAACAGATGTTAAACACCCTTTTTGTGGAATTTGCAGCTGGAGATTTCAAGCGCTTTGAGGCCTACGGTAGAAAAGGAAACATCTTCTTATAAAATCTAGACAGAATCATTCACAGAAACTTCTTTTTGATGTGTGTGTTCAGCTCACAGAGTTTAACCTTTCTTTTGATGGAGCAGTTGGGAAACACACTGTTTGTAATGTCCGCAAGTGGATATTTGGACCTCTTTGAGGCCTTCGTTGGAAACGGGATTTCTTCCTGTAATGTTCGACAGAAGAATTCTCAGTAAGTTATTTGTGGTGTGTGTATTCAACTCACAGAGTTCAACCTTCCTTTAGACAGAGCAGATTTGAAACACCCTATTTGTGCAGTTTCCAGTTGGAGATTTCAATCGCTTGGAGGCCAATCATAGAAACGGAAATATCTTCTTATAAAAACAAGACAGAATCATTCTCAGAAACTACTTTGTGATGTGTGCGTTCAACTCAAGGAGTTTAAGCTTTCTTTTCATAGAGTAGTTTGGAAACACTCTGTCTGAAAAGTCTGCAAGCAGATATTTGGACCTCTTTGGGGCCTTTGTTGGAAACGGGATTTCTTCATAGAACGCTAGAAAGAAGAATACTGAGTAAGTTCTTTGTGTTGCCTCTATTCAACTCACAGAGGTGAACTGTCCTTTAGACAGAGCAGATGTGAAACCCTCTTTTTGTGATATTTGCACGTGGAGATTTCAAGCGCTTTTAGGCCAAATGTAGAAAAGGAAATATCTTCGAATAAAAACTAGACAGAATCATTCTCAGAAACTACTTTGTGATGAGTGCGTTCAATTCACAGTGTATAATATTTCTTTTGATGGAGGAGTTTGGAGACACTGTCTTTGTAAAGTCTGCAAGCAGATATTTGGACCTCTTTGGGGCCATCATTGGAAACGGGATTTCTTCATATAATGTTTGATAGGAGAATTCTCAGTAACTTATTTGTGGTGTGTGTATTCAACTCACAGAGTTGAACCTTCCTTCAGAAAGAGCAGATTTGAAACACTCTTTTTGTGGAGTTTCCATGTGGAGATTTCAATCGCTTTGAGACCAAAGGTAGAAAAGGAAACATCTTCGTATAAAAAGTAGACAGAATCATTCACAGAAACTACTTTGTGATGTGTGTGTTCAACTCAAGGAGTTTAACCTTTCTTTTGATGGAGCAGTTTGGAAATACTCTGTCTGTAAAGTCTGCAAGCAGATATTTGGACCTCTTTGAGGCCTTCGTTGGAAACGGGATTTCTTCATATAATGTTTGATAGGAGAAGCCTCAGTAACTTCATTGTGCTGTGTGTATTGAACTCATAGAGTTGAACTTTCCTTTAGTAGAGCAGATGTTAAACACCCTTTTTGTGGAATTTGCAGCTGGAGATTTCAAGCGCTTTGAGGCCTACGGTAGAAAAGGAAACATCTTCTTATAAAATATAGACAGAATCATTCACAGAAACTTCTTTTTGATGTGTGTGTTCAGCTCACAGAGTTTAACCTTTCTTTTGATGGAGCAGTTTGGAAACACTCTGTTTGTAATGTCTGCAAGTGGATATTTGGACCTCTTTGAGGCCTTCTTTGGAAACGGGATTTCTTCAAGTAATGTTCGACAGAAGAATTCTCAGTAACTTATTTGTGGTGTGTGTATTCAACTCACAGAGTTGAACCTTCCTTTAGACAGAGCAGATTTGAAACACCGTATTTGTGCAGTTTCCAGTTGGAGATTTCAATCGCTTTGAGACCAAATGTAGAAAAGGAAACATCTTCGTATAAAAACTGGACAGAATCATTCTCAGAAACTACTTTGTGATGTGTGCGTTCAACTCAAGGGAGTTTAAGCTTTCTTTTCATAGAGTAGTTTGGAAACACTCTGTCTGTAAAGTCTGCAAGCAGATATTTGGACCTCTTTGGGGCCTTCGTTGGAAACGGGATTTCTTCATAGAACGCTAGAAAGAAGAATACTGAGTAAGTTCTTTGTGTTGCCTCTATTCAACTCACAGAGGTGAACTGTCCTTTAGACAGAGCAGATGTGAAACCCTCTTTTTGTGATATTTGCAGGTGGAGATTTCAAGCGCTTTTAGGCCAAATGTAGAAAAGGAAATATCTTCGTATAAAAACTAGACAGAATCATTCTCAGAAACTACTTTGTGATGTGTGCGTTCAATTCACAGAGTATAACCTTTCTTTTGATGGAGGAGTTTGGAGACACTGTCTTTGTAAAGTCTGCAAGTGGATATTTGGGCCTCTTTGAGGCCTTCGTTGGAAACGGGATTTCCTCATATAATGTTACACAGAAGAATTCTCAGTAACTTATTTGTGGTGTGTGTATTCAACTCACAGAGATGAACCTTCCTTCAGAAAGAGCAGATTTGAAACACTCTTTTTGTGGAGTTTCCATGTGGAGATTTCAATCGCTTTGAGACCAAAGGTAGAAAAGGAAACATCTTCGTATAAAAACTAGACAGAATCATTCACAGAAACTACTTTGTGATGTGTGTGTTCAACTCAAGGAGTTTAACCTTTCTTTTGATGGAGCAGTTTGGAAACACTCTGTCTGTAAAGTCTGCAAGCAGATATTTGGACCTCTTTGAGGCCTTCGTTGGAAACGGGATTTCTTCATATAATGTTTGATAGGAGAAGTCTCAGTAACTTCTTTGTGCTGTGTGTATTCAACTCATAGAGTTGAACTTTCCTTTAGAAGAGCAGATGTTAAACACCCTTTTTGTGGAATTTGCAGCTGGAGATTTCAAGCGCTTTGAGGCCTACGGTAGAAAAGGAAACATCTTCTTATAAAATCTAGACAGAATCATTCACAGAAACTTCTTTTCGATGTGTGTGTTCAGCTCACAGAGTTTAACCTTTCTTTTGATGGAGCAGTTTGGAAACACTCTGTTTGTAATGTCTGCAAGTGGATATTTGGACCTCTTTGAGGCCTTCGTTGGAAACGGGATTTCTTCAAGTAATGGTCGACAGAAGAATTCTCAGTAACTTATTTGTGGTGTGTGTATTCAACTCACAGAGTTGAACCTTCCTTTAGACAGAGCAGATTTGAAACACCCTATTTGTGCAGTTTCCAGTTGGAGATTTCAATCGCTTTGAGACCAAATGTAGAAAAGGAAACATCTTCGTATAAAAACTAGACAGAATCATTCTCAGTAACTACTTTGTGATGTGTGCGTTCAACTCAAGGAGTTTAAGCTTTCTTTTCATAGAGTACTTTGGAAACACTCTGTCTGTAAAGTCTGCAAGCAGATATTTGGACCTCATTGGGGTCTTCGTTGGAAACGGGATTTCTTCATAGAACGCTAGAAAGAAGAATACTGAGTAAGTTCTTTGTGTTGCCTCTATACAACTCACAGAGGTGAACTGTCCTTTAGACAGAGCAGATGTGAAACCCTCTTTTTGTGATATTTGCAGGTGGAGATTTCAAGCGCTTTTAGGCCAAATGTAGAAAAGGAAATATCTTCGTATAAAAACTAGACAGAATCATTCTCAGAAACTACTTTGTGATGTGTGCGTTCAATTCACAGAGTATAACCTTTCTTTTGATGGAGGAGTTTGGAGACACTGTCTTTGTAAAGTCTGCATGTGGATATTTGGACCTCTTTGAGGCCTTCGTTGGAAACGGGATTTCCTCATATAATGTTACACAGAAGAATTCTCAGTAACTTATTTGTGGTGTGTGTATTCAACTCACAGAGTTGAACCTTCCTTCAGAAAGAGCAGATTTGAAACACTCTTTTTGTGGAGTTTCCATGTGGAGATTTCAATCGCTTTGAGACCAAAGGTAGAAAAGGAAACATCTTCGTATAAAAACTAGACAGAATCATTCACAGAAACTACTTTGTGATGTGTGTGTTCAACTCAAGGAGTTTAACCTTTCTTTTGATGGAGCAGTTTGGAAAAACTCTGTCTGTAAAGTCTGCAAGCAGATATTTGGACCTCTTTGAGGCCTTCGTTGGAAACGGGATTTCTTCATATAATGTTTGATAGGAGAAGTCTCAGTAACTTCTTTGTGCTGTGTGTATTCAACTCATAGAGTTGAACTTTCCTTTAGAAGAGCAGATGTTAAACACCCTTTTTGTGGAATTTGCAGCTGGAGATTTCAAGCGCTTTGAGGCCGACGGTAGAAAAGGAAACATCTTCTTATAAAATCTAGACAGAATCATTCACAGAAACTTCTTTTTGATGTGTGTGTTCAGCTCACAGAGTTTAACCTTTCTTTTGATGGAGCAGTTTGGAAACACTCTGTTTGTAATATCTGCAAGTGGATATTTGGACCTCTTTGAGGCCTTCGTTGGAAACGGGATTTCTTCAAGTAATGTTCGACAGAAGAATTCTCAGCAACTTATTTGTGGTGTGTGTATTCAACTCACAGAGTTGAACCTTCCTTTAGACAGAGCAGATTTGAAACACCCTATTTGTGCAGTTTCCATTTGGAGATTTCAAACGCTTTGAGAACAAATGTAGAAAAGGAAACATCTTCGTATAAAAACTAGACAGAATCATTCTCAGAAACTACTTTGTGATGTGTGCGTTCAACTCAAGGAGTTTAAGCTTTCTTTTCATAGAGTAGTTTGGAAACACTCTGTCTGTAAAGTCTGCAAGCAGATATTTGGACCTCTTTGAGGCCTTCGTTGGAAACGGGATTTCTTCATAGAACGGTAGAAAGAAGAATACTGAGTAAGTTCTTTGTGTTGCCTCTATTCAACTCACAGAGGTGAACTGTCCTTTAGACAGAGCAGATGTGAAACCCTCTTTTTGTGATATTTGCAGGTGGAGATTTCAAGCGCTTTTAGGCCAAATGTAGAAAAGGAAATATCTTCGTATAAAAACTAGACAGAATCATTCTCAGAAACTACTTTGTGATGTGTGCGTTCAATTCACAGAGTATAACCTTTCTTTTGATGGAGGAGTTTGGAGACACTGTCTTTGTAAAGTCTGCAAGTGGATATTTGGATCTCTTCGAGGCCTTCTTTGGAAACGGGATTTCCTCATATAATGTTACACAGAAGAATTCTCAGTAACTTATTTGTGGTGTGTGTATTCAACTCACAGAGATGAACCTTCCTTCAGAAAGAGCAGATTTGAAACACTCTTTTTGTGGAGTTTCCATGTGGAGATTTCAATCGCTTTGAGACCAAAGGTAGAAAAGGAAACATCTTCGTATAAAAACTAGACAGAATCATTCACAGAAACTACTTTGTGATGTGTGTGTTCAACTCAAGGAGGTTAACCTTTCTTTTGATGGAGCAGTTTGGAAACACTCTGTCTGTAAAGTCTGCAAGCAGATATTTGGACCTCTTTGAGGCCTTCGATGGAAACGGGATTTCTTCATATAATGTTTGATAGGAGAAGTCTCAGTAACTTCTTTGTGCTGTGTGTATTCAACTCATAGAGTTGAACTTTCCTTTAGAAGAGCAGATGTTAAACACCCTTTTTGTGGAATTTGCAGCTGGAGATTTCAAGCGCTTTGAGGCCTACGGTAGAAAAGGAAACATCTTCTTATAAAATCTAGACAGAATCATTCACAGAAACTTCTTTTTGATGTGTGTGTTCAGCTCACAGAGTTTAACCTTTCTTTTGATGGAGCAGTTGGGAAACACACTGTTTGTAATGTCTGCAAGTGGATATTTGGACCTCTTTGAGGCCTTCGTTGGAAACGGGATTTCTTCCTGTAATGTTCGACAGAAGAATTCTCAGTAACTTATTTGTGGTGTGTGTATTCAACTCACAGAGTTGAACCTTCCTTTAGACAGAGCAGATTTGAAACACCCTATTTGTGCAGTTTCCAGTTGGAGATTTCAATCGCTTTGAGACCAAATGTAGAAAAGGAAACATCTTCGTATAAAAACTAGACAGAATCATTCTCAGAAACTACTTTGTGATGTGTGCGTTCAACTCAAGGAGTTTAAGCTTTCTTTTCATAGAGTACTTTGGAAACACTCTGTCTGTAAAGTCTGCAAGCAGATATTTGGACCTCTTTGGGGCCTTCGTTGGAAACGGGATTTCTTCATAGAACGCTAGAAAGAAGAATACTGAGTAAGTTCTTTGTGTTGCCTCTATTCAACTCACAGAGGTGAACTGTCCTTTAGACAGAGCAGATGTGAAACCCTCTTTTTGTGATATTTGCAGGTGGAGATTTCAAGCGCTTTTAGGCCAAATGTAGAAAAGGAAATATCTTCGTATAAAAACTAGACAGAATCATTCTCAGAAACTACTTTGTGATGTGTGCGTTCAATTCACAGAGTATAACCTTTCTTTTGATGGAGGAGTTTGGAGACACTGTCTTTGTAAAGTCTGCAAGTGGATATTTGGACCTCTTTGAGGCCTTCGTTGGAAACGGGATTTCCTCATATAACGTTACACAGAAGAATTCTCAGTAACTTATTTGTGGTGTGTGTATTCAACTCACAGAGTTGAACCTTCCTTCAGAAAGAGCAGATTTGAAACACTCTTTTTGTGGAGTTTCCATGTGGAGATTTCAATCGCTTTGAGACCAAAGGTAGAAAAGGAAACATCTTCGTATAAAAACTAGACAGAATCATTCACAGAAACTACTTTGTGATGTGTGTGTTCAACTCAAGGAGTTTAACCTTTCTTTTGATGGAGCAGTTTGGAAACACTCTGTCTGTAAAGTCTGCAAGCAGATATTTGGACCTCTTTGAGGCCTTCGTTGGAAACGGGATTTCTTCATATAATGTTTGATAGGAGAAGTCTCAGTAACTTCTTTGTGCTGTGTGTATTCAACTCATAGAGTTGAACTTTCCTTTAGAAGAGCAGATGTTAAACACCCTTTTTGTGGAATTTGCAGCTGGAGATTTCAAGCGCTTTGAGGCCTACGGTAGAAAAGGAAACATCTTCTTATAAAATCTAGACAGAATCATTCACAGAAACTTCTTTTCGATGTGTGTGTTCAGCTCACAGAGTTTAACCTTTCTTTTGATGGAGCAGTTTGGAAACACTCTGTTTGTAATGTCTGCAAGTGGATATTTGGACCTCTTTGAGGCCTTCGTTGGAAACGGGATTTCATCAAGTAATGGTCGACAGAAGAATTCTCAGTAACTTATTTGTGGTGTGTGTATTCAACTCACAGAGTTGAACCTTCCTTTAGACAGAGCAGATTTGAAACACCCTATTTGTGCAGTTTCCAGTTGGAGATTTCAATCGCTTTGAGACCAAATGTAGAAAAGGAAACATCTTCGTATAAAAACTAGACAGAATCATTCTCAGAAACTACTTTGTGATGTGTGCGTTCAACTCAAGGAGTTTAAGCTTTCTTTTCATAGAGTAGTTTGGAAACACTCTGTCTGTAAAGTCTGCAAGCAGATATTTGGACCTCTTTTGGGGGCCTTCGTTGGAAACGGGATTTCTTCATAGTAACTGCTAGAAAGATGAATACTGAGTAAGTTCTTTGTGTTGCCTCTATTCAACTCACAGAGGTGAACTGTCCTTTAGACAGAGCAGATGTGAAACCCTCTTTTTGTGATATTTGCAGGTGGAGATTTCAAGCACTTTTAGGCCAAATGTAGAAAAGGAAACATCTTCGTATAAAAACTAGACAGAATCATTCTCAGAAACTACTTTGTGATGTGTGCGTTCAACTCAAGGAGTTTAAGCTTTCTTTTCATAGAGTAGTTTGGAAACACTCTGTCTGTAAAGTCTGCAAGCAGATATTTGGACCTCATTGGGGTCTTCGTTGGAAACCGGATTTCTTCATAGAACGCTAGAAAGAAGAATACTGAGTAAGTTCTTTGTGTTGCCTCTATTCAACTCACAGAGGTGAACTGTCCTTTAGACAGAGCAGATGTGAAACCCTCTTTTTGTTATATTTGCAGGTGGAGATTTCAAGCGCTTTTAGGCCAAATGTAGAAAAGGAAATATCTTCGTATAAAAACTAGACAGAATCATTCTCAGAAACTACTTTGTGATGTGTGCGTTCAATTCACAGAGTATAACCCTTCTTTTGATGGAGGAGTTTGGAGACACTGTCTTTGTAAAGTCTGCATGTGAATATTTGGACCTCCTTTGAGGCCTTCGTTGGAAACGGGATTTCCTCATATAATGTTACACAGAAGAATTCTCAGTAACTTATTTGTGGTGTGTGTATTCAACTCACAGAGATGAACCTTCCTTCAGAAAGAGCAGATTTGAAACACTCTTTTTGTGGAGTTTCCATGTGGAGATTTCAATCGCTTTGAGACCAAAGGTAGAAAAGGAAACATCTTCGTATAAAAACTAGACAGAATCATTCACAGAAACTACTTTGTGATGTGTGTGTTCAACTCAAGGAGTTTAACCTTTCTTTTGATGGAGCAGTTTGGAAACACTCTGTCTGTAAAGTCTGCAAGTAGATATTTGGACCTCTTTGAGGCCTTCGTTGGAAACGGGATTTCTTCATATAATGTTTGATAGGAGAAGTCTCAGTAACTTCTTTGTGCTGTGTGTATTCAACTCATAGAGTTGAACTTTCCTTTAGAAGAGCAGATGTTAAACACCCTTTTTGTGGAATTTGCAGCTGGAGATTTCAAGCGCTTTGAGGCCTACGGTAGAAAAGGAAACATCTTCTTATAAAATCTAGACAGAATCATTCACAGAAACTTCTTTTCGATGTGTGTATTCAGCTCACAGAGTTTAACCTTTCTTTTGATGGAGCAGTTTGGAAACACTCTGTTTGTAATGTCTGCAAGTGGATATTTGGACCTCTTTGAGGCCTTCGTTGGAAACGGGATTTCATCAAGTAATGGTCGACAGAAGAATTATCAGTAACTTATTTGTGGTGTGTGTATTCAACTCACAGAGTTGAACCTTCCTTTAGACAGAGCAGATTTGAAACACCCTATTTGTGCAGTTTCCAGTTGGAGATTTCAATCGCTTTGAGGCCAATCATAGAAACGGAAAGATCTTCGTATAAAAACAAGACAGACATCATTCTCAGAAACTACTTTGTGATGTGTGCGTTCAACTCAAGGAGTTTAAGCTTTCTTTTCATAGAGTAGTTTGGAAACACTCTGTCTGTAAAGTCTGCAAGCAGATATTTGGACCTCATTGGGGTCGTCGTTGGAAACGGGATTTCTTCATAGAACGCTAGAAAGAAGAATACTGAGTAAGTTCTTTGTGTTGCCTCTATTCAACTCACAGAGGTGAACTGTCCTTTAGAAAGAGCAGATGTGAAACCCTCTTTTTGTGATATTTGCAGGTGGAGATTTCAAGCGCTTTTAGGCCAAATGTAGAAAAAAAAATATCTTCGTATAAAAACTAGACAGAATCATTCTCAGAAACTACTTTGTGATGTGTGCGTTCAATTCACAGAGTATAACCTTTCTTTTGATGGAGGAGTTTGGAGACACTGTCTTTGTAAAGTCTGCAAGCAGATATTTGGACCTCTTTGAGGCCTTCGTTGGAAACGGGATTTCTTCATATGATGTTTGATAGGAGAAGTCTCAGTAACTTCTTTGTGCTGTGTGTATTCAACTCATTGAGTTGAACTTTCCTTTAGAAGAGCAGATGTTAAACACCCTTTTTGTGGAATTTGCAGCTGGAGATTTCAAGCGCTTTGAGGCCTACGGTAGAAAAGGAAACATCTTCTTATAAAATCTAGACAGAATCATTCACAGAAACTTCTTTTTGATGTGTGTGTTCAGCTCACAGAGATTAACCTTTTTTTTGATGGAGCAGTTTGGAAACACTCTGTTTGTAATGTCTGCAAGTGGATATTTGGACCTCTTTGAGGCCTTCGTTGGAAACGGGATTTCTTCATGTAACGTTTGACAGAAGAATTCTCAGTAACTTATTTGTGGTGTGTGTATTCAACTCACAGAGTTGAACCTTCCTTTAGACAGAGCAGATTTCACACACCCTATTTGTGCAGTTTCCAGTTGGAGATTTCAATCGCTTTGTGGCCAATCATAGAAACGGAAATAACTTTGTATAAAAACAAGACAGAATCATTCTCAGAAACTACTTTGTGATGTGTGCGTTCAACTCAAGGAGTTTAAGCTTTCTTTTCATAGAGTAGTTTGGAAACACTCTGTCTGTAAAGTCTGCAAGCAGATATTTGGACCTCTTTGGGGCCTTCGTTGGAAACGGGATTTCTTCATAGAACGCTAGAAAGAAGAATACTGAGTAAGTTCTTTGTGTTGCCTCTATTCAACTCACAGAGGTGAACTGTCCTTTAGACAGAGCAGATGTGAAACCCTCTTTTTGTGATATTTGCAGGTGGAGATTTCAAGCGCTTTTAGGCCAAATGTAGAAAAGGAAATATCTTCGTATAAAAACTAGACAGAATCATTCTCAGAAACTACTTTGTGATGTGTGCGTTCAATTCACATAGTATATCCTTTCTTTTGATGGAGGAGTTTGGAGACACTGTCTTTGTAAAGTCTGCAAGTGGATATTTGGACCTCTTTGAGGCCTTCGTTGGAAACGGGATTTCCTCATATAATGTTACACAGAAGAATTCTCAGTAACTTATTTGTGGTGTGTGTATTCAACTCACAGAGTTGAACCTTCCTTCAGAAAGAGCAGATTTGAAACACTCTTTTTGTGGAGTTTCCATGTGGAGATTTCAATCGCTTTGAGACCAAAGGTAGAAAAGGAAACATCTTCGTATAAAAACTAGACAGAATCATTCACAGAAACTACTTTGTGATGTGTGTGTTCAACTCAAGGAGTTTAACCTTTCTCTTGATGGAGCAGTTTGGAAAAACTGTGTCTGTAAAGTCTGCAAGCAGATATTTGGACCTCTTTGAGGCCTTCGTTGGAAACGGGATTTCTTCATATAATGTTTGATAGGAGAAGTCTCAGTAACTTCTTTGTGCTGTGTGTATTCAACTCACAGAGCTGAACTTTACTTTAGACAGAGCAGATGTTAAACACACTTTTTGTGGAATTTGCAGCTGGAGATTTCTAGCACTTTGAGGCATATGGTAGAAAAGGAAACATCTTCTTATAAAATCTAGACAGAATCATTCACAGAAACTTCTTTTTGATGTGTGTGTTCAGCTCACAGAGTTTAACCTTTCTTTTGATGGAGCAGTTGGGAAACACACTGTTTGTAATGTCTGCAAGTGGATATTTGGACCTCTTTGAGGCCTTCGTTGGAAACGGGATTTCTTCCTGTAATGTTCGACAGAAGAATTCTCAGTAACTTATTTGTGGTGTGTGTATTCAACTCACAGAGTTGAACCTTCCTTTAGACAGAGCAGATTTGAAACACCCTATTTGTGCAGTTTCCAGTTGGAGATTTCAATCGCTTTGAGACCAAATGTAGAAAAGGAAACATCTTCGTATAAAAACTAGACAGAATCATTCTCAGAAACTACTTTGTGATGTGTGCGTTCAACTCAAGGAGTTTAAGCTTTCTTTTCATAGAGTAGTTTGGAAACACTCTGTAAAGTCTGCAAGCAGATATTTGGACCTCTTTGAGGCCTTCGTTGGAAAAGGGATTTCTTCATAGAACGCTAGAAAGAAGAATACTGAGTAAGTTCTTTGTGTTGCCTCTATTCAACTCACAGAGGTGAACTGTCCTTTAGACAGAGCAGATGTGAAACCCTCTTTTTGTGATATTTGCAGGTGGAGATTTCAAGCGCTTTTAGGCCAAATGTAGAAAAGGAAATATCTTCGTATAAAAACTAGACAGAATCATTCTCAGAAACTACTTTGTGATGTGTGCGTTCAATTCACAGAGTATAACCTTTCTTTGATGGAGGAGTTTGGAGACACTGTCTTTGTAAAGTCTGCAAGTGGATATTTGGACCTCTTTGAGGCCTTCGTTGGAAACGGGATTTCCTCATATAATGTTACACAGAAGAATTCTCAGTAACTTATTTGTGGTGTGTGTATTCAACTCACAGAGTTGAACCTTCCTTCAGAAAGAGCAGATTTGAAACACTCTTTTTGTGGAGTTTCCATGTGGAGATTTCAATCGCTTTGAGACCAAAGGTAGAAAAGGAAACATCTTCGTATAAAAACTAGACAGAATCATTCACAGAAACTACTTTGTGATGTGTGTGTTCAACTCAAGGAGTTTAACCTTTCTTTTGATGGAGCAGTTTGGAAAAACTCTGTCTGTAAAGTCTGCAAGCAGATATTTGGACCTCTTTGAGGCCTTCGTTGGAAACGGGATTTCTTCATAGAATGCTAGAAAGAAGAATACTGAGTAAGTTCTTTGTGTTGCCTCTATTCAACTCACAGAGGTGAACTGTCCTTTAGACAGAGCAGATGTGAAACCCTCTTTTTGTGATATTTGCAGGTGGAGATTTCAAGCGCTTTAGGCCAAATGTAGAAAAGGAAATATCTTCGTATAAAAACTAGACAGAATCATTCTCAGAAACTACTTTGTGATGTGTGCGTTCAATTCACAGAGTATAACCTTTCTTTTGATGGAGGAGTTTGGAGACACTGTCTTTGTAAAGTCTGCAAGTGGATATTTGGACCTCTTTGAGGCCTTCGTTGGAAACGGGATTTCCTCATCTAATGTTACACAGAAGAATTCTCAGTAACTTATTTGTGGTGTGTGTATTCAACTCACAGAGTTGAACCTTCCTTCAGAAAGAGCAGATTTGAAACACTCTTTTTGTGGAGTTTCCATGTGGAGATTTCAATCGCTTTGAGACGAAAGGTAGAAAAGGAAACATCTTCGTATAAAAACTAGACAGAATCATTCACAGAAACTACTTTGTGATGTGTGTGTTCAACTCAAGGAGTTTAACCTTTCTTTTGATGGAGCAGTTTGGAAACACTCTGTCTGTAAAGTCTGCAAGCAGATATTTGGACCTCTTTGAGGCCTTCGTTGGAAACGGGATTTCTTCATATAATGTTTGATAGGAGAAGTCTCAGTAACTTCTTTGTGCTGTGTGTATTCAACTCATAGAGTTGAACTTTCCTTTAGAAGAGCAGATGTTAAACACCCTTTTTGTGGAATTTGCAGCTGGAGATTTCAAGCGCTTTGAGGCCTACGGTAGAAAAGGAAACATCTTCTTATAAAATCTAGACAGAATCATTCACAGAAACTTCTTTTCGATGTGTGTGTTCAGCTCACAGAGTTTAACCTTTCTTTTGATGGAGCAGTTTGGAAACACTCTGTTTGTAATGTCTGCAAGTGGATATTTGGACCTCTTTGAGGCCTTCGTTGGAAACGGGATTTCTTCAAGTAATGTTCGACAGAAGAATTCTCAGTAACTTATTTGTGGTGTGTGTATTCAACTCACAGAGTTGAACCTTCCTTTAGACAGAGCAGATTTGAAACACCCTATTTGTGCAGTTTCCAGTTGGAGATTTCAATCGCTTTGAGACCAAATGTAGAAAAGGAAACATCTTCGTATAAAAACTAGACAGAATCATTCTCAGAAACTACTTTGTGATGTGTGCGTTCAACTCAAGGAGTTTAAGCTTTCTTTTCATAGAGTAGTTTGGAAACACTCTGTCTGTAAAGTCTGCAAGCAGATATTTGGACCTCTTTGGGGCCTTCGTTGGAAACGGGATTTCTTCATAGAACGCTAGAAAGAAGAATACTGAGTAAGTTCTTTGTGTTGCCTCTATTCAACTCACAGAGGTGAACTGTCCTTTAGACAGAGCAGATGTGAAACCCTCTTTTTGTGATATTTGCAGGTGGAGATTTCAAACGCTTTTAGGCCAAATGTAGAAAAGGAAATATCTTCGTATAAAAACTAGACAGAATCATTCTCAGAAACCACTTTGTGATGTGTGCGTTCAATTCACAGAGTATAACCTTTCTTTTGATGGAGGAGTTTGGAGACCCTGTCTTTGTAAAGTCTGCAAGTGGATATTTGGACCTCTTTGAGGCCTTCGTTGGAAACGGGATTTCCTCATATAATGTTACACAGAAGAATTCTCAGTAACTTATTTGTGGTGTGTGTATTCAACTCACAGAGTTGAACCTTCCTTCAGAAAGAGCAGATTTGAAACACCCTTTTTGTGGAGTTTCCATGTGGAGATTTCAATCGCTTTGAGACCAAAGGTACAAAAGGAAACATCTTCGTATAAAAACTAGACAGAATCATTCACAGAAACTACTTTGTGATGTGTGTGTTCAACTCAAGGAGTTTAACCTTTCTTTTGATGGAGCAGTTTGGAAACACTCTGTCTGTAAAGTCTGCAAGCAGATATTTGGACCTCTTTGAGGCCTTCGTTGGAAACGGGATTTCTTCATGTAATGTTTGATAGGAGAAGTCTCAGTAACTTCTTTGTGCTGTGTGTATTCAACTCATAGAGTTGAACTTTCCTTTAGAAGAGCAGATGTTAAACACCCTTTTTGTGGAATTTGCAGCTGGAGATTTCAAGCGCTTTGAGGCCTACGGTAGAAAAGGAAACATCTTCTTATAATATCTAGACAGAATCATTCACAGAAACTTCTCTTTGATGTGTGTGTTCAGCTCACAGAGTTTAACCTTTCTTTTGATGGAGCAGTTTGGAAACACTCTGTTTGTAATGTCTGCAAGTAGATATTTGGACCCCTTGAGGCCTTCTTTGGAAACGGGATTTCTTCATGTAATGTTCGACAGAAGAATTCTCAGTAACTTATTTGTGGTGTGTGTATTCAACTCACAGAGTTGAACCTTCCTTTAGACAGAGCAGATTTGAAACACCCTATTTGTGCAGATTCCAGTTGGAGATTTCAATCGCTTTGAGACCAAATGTAGAAAAGGAAACATCTTCGTATAAAAACTAGACAGAATCATTCTCAGAAACTACTTTGTGATGTGTGCATTCAACTCACGGAGTTTAAGCTTTCTTTTCATAGAGTAGTTTGGAAACACTCTGTCTGTAAAGTCTGCAAGCAGATATTTGGACCTCTTTGAGGCCTTCGTTGGAAACGGGATTTCTTCATAGAACGCTGGAAAGAAGAATACTGAGTAAGTTCTTTGTGTTGCCTCTATTCAACTCACAGAGGTGAACTGTCCTTTAGACAGAGCAGATGTGAAACCCTCTTTTTGTGATATTTGCAGGTGGAGATTTCAAGCGCTTTTAGGCCAAATGTAGAAAAGGAAATATCTTCGTATTAAAACTAGACAGAATCATTCTCAGAAACTACTTTGTGATGTGTGCGTTCAATTCACAGAGTATAACCTTTCTTTTGATGGAGGAGTTTGGAGACACTGTCTTTGTAAAGTCTGCAAGTGGATATTTGGACCTCTTTGAGGCCTTCGTTGGAAACGGGATTTCCTCATATAATGTTACACAGAAGAATTCTCAGTAACTTATTTGTGGTGTGTGTATTCAACTCACAGAGCATGAACCTTCCTTCAGAAAGAGCAGATTTGAAACACTCTTTTTGTGGAGTCTCCATGTGGAGATTTCAATCGCTTTGAGACCAAAGGTAGAAAAGGAAACATCTTCGTATAACAACTAGACAGAATCATTCACAGAAACTACTTTGTGATGTGTGTGTTCAACTCAAGGAGTTTAACCTTTCTTTTGATGGAGCAGTTTGGAAACACTCTGTCTGTAAAGTCTGCAAGCAGATATTTGGACCTCTTTGAGGCCTTCGTTGGAAACGGGATTTCTTCATATAATGTTTGATAGGAGAAGTCTCAGTAACTTCTTTGTGCTGTGTGTATTCAACTCATAGAGTTGAACTTTCCTTTAGAAGAGCAGATGTTAAACACCCTTTTTGTGGAATTTGCAGTTGGAGATTTCAAGCGCTTTGAGGACTACAGTAGAAAAGGAAACATCTTCTTATAAAATCTGGACAGAATCATTCACAGAAACTTCTTTTTGATGTGTGTGTTCAGCTCACAGAGTTTAACCTTTCTTTTGATGGAGCAGTTTGGAAACACTCTGTTTGTAATGTCTGCAAGTGGATATTTGGACCTCCTTTGAGGCCTTCGTTGGAAACGGGATTTCTTCAAGTAATGTTCGACAGAAGAATTCTCAGTAACTTATTTGTGGTGTGTGTATTCAACTCACAGAGCTGAACCTTCCTTTAGACAGAGCAGATTTGAAACACCCTATTTGTGAAGTTTCCAGTTGGAGATTTCAATCGCTTTGAGACCAAATGTAGAAAAGGAAACATCTTCGTATAAAAACTAGACAGAATCATTCTCAGAAACTACTTTGTGATGTGTGCGTTCAACTCAAGAAGTTTAAGCTTTCTTTTCATAGAGTAGTTTGGAAACACTCTGTCTGTAAAGTCTGCAAGCAGATATTTGGACCTCATTGGGGCCTTCGTTGGAAACGTGATTTCTTCATAGAACGCTGGAAAGAAGAATACTGAGTAAGTTCTTTGTGTTGCCTCTACTCAACTCACAGAGGTGAACTGTCCTTTAGACAGAGCAGATGTGAAACCCTCTTTTTGTGATATTTGCAGGTGGAGATTTCAAGCGCTTTTAGGCCAAATGTAGAAAAGGAAATATCTTCGTATAAAAACTAGACAGAATCATTCTCAGAAACTACTTTGTGATGTGTGCGTTCAATTCACAGAGTATAACCTTTCTTTTGATGGAGGAGTTTGGAGACACTGTCTTTGTAAAGTCTGCAAGTGGATATTTGGACCTCTTTGAGGCCTTCGTTGGAAACGGGATTTCCTCATATAATGTTACACAGAAGAATTCTCAGTAACTTATTTGTGGTGTGTGTATTCAACTCACAGAGTTGAACCTTCCTTCAGAAAGAGCAGATTTGAAACACTCTTTTTGTGGAGTTTCCATGTGGAGATTTCAATCGCTTTGAGACCAAAGGTAGAAAAGGAAACATCTTCGTATAAAAACTAGACAGAATCATTCACAGAAACTACTTTGTGATGTGTGTGTTCAACTCAAGGAGTTTAACCTTTCTTTTGATGGAGCAGTTTGGAAATACTCTGTCTGTAAAGTCTGCAAGCAGATATTTGGACCTCTTTGAGGCCTTCGTTGGAAACGGGATTTCTTCATATAATGTTTGATAGGAGAAGTCTCAGTAACTTCTTTGTGCTGTGTGTATTCAACTCATAGAGTTGAACTTTCCTTTAGAAGAGCAGATGTTAAACACCCTTTTTGTGGAATTTGCAGCTGGAGATTTCAAGCGCTTTGAGGCCTACGGTAGAAAAGGAAACATCTTCTTATAAAATCTAGACAGAATCATTCACAGAAACTTCTTTTTGATGTGTGTGTTCAGCTCACAGAGTTTAACCTTTCTTTTGATGGAGCAGTTTTGGAAACACTCTGTTTGTAATGTCTGCAAGTGGATATTTGGACCTCTTTGAGGCCTTCGTTGGAAACGGGATTTCTTCAAGTAATGTTCGACGGAAGAATTCTCAGTAACTTATTTGTGGTGTGTGTATTCAACTCACAGAGTTGAACCTTCCTTTAGACAGAGCAGATTTGAAACAGCCTATTTGTGCAGTTTCCAGTTGGAGATTTCAATCGCTTTGAGACCAAATGTAGAAAAGGAAACATCTTCGTATAAAAACTAGACAGAATCATTCTCAGAAACTACTTTGTGATGTGTGCGTTCAACTCAAGGAGTTTAAGCTTTCTTTTCATAGAGTAGTTTGGAAACACTCTGTCTGTAAAGTCTGCAAGCAGATATTTGGACCTCTTTGGGGCCTTCGTTGGAAACGGGATTTCTTCATAGAACGCTAGAAAGAAGAATACTGAGTAAGTTCTTTGTGTTGCCTCTATTCAACTCACAGAGGTGAACTGTCCTTTAGACAGAGCAGATGTGAAACCCTCTTTTTGTGATATTTGCAGGTGGAGATTTCAAGCACTTTTAGGCCAAATGTAGAAAAGGAAATATCTTCGTATAAAAACTAGACAGAATCATTCTCAGAAACTACTTTGTGATGTGTGCGTTCAACTCAAGGAGTTTAAGCTTTCTTTTCATAGAGTAGTTTGGAAACACTCTGTCTGTAAAGTCTGCAAGCAGATATTTGACCTCTTTGAGGCCTTCGTTGGAAACGGGATTTCTTCATAGATCGCTAGAAAGATAAGAATACTGAGTAAGTTCTTTGTGTTGCCTCTATTCAACTCACAGAGGTGAACTGTCCTTTAGACAGAGCAGATGTGAAACCCTCTTTTTGTGATATTTGCAGGTGGAGATTTCAAGCGCTTTTAGGCCAAATGTAGAAAAGGAAATATCTTCGTATAAAAACTAGACAGAATCATTCTCAGAAACTACTTTGTGATGTGTGCGTTCAATTCACAGAGTATAACCTTTCTTTTGATGGAGGAGTTTGGAGACACTGTCTTTGTAAAGTCTGCAAGTGGATATTTGGACCTCTTTGAGGCCTTCGTTGGAAACGGGATTTCCTCATATAATGTTACACAGAAGAACTCTCAGTAACTTATTTGTGGTGTGTGTATTCAACTCACAGAGATGAACCTTCCTTCAGAAAGAGCAGATTTGAAACACTCTTTTTGTGGAGTTTCCATGTGGAGATTTCAATCGCTTTGAGACCAAAGGTAGAAAAGGAAACATCTTCGTATAAAAACTAGACAGAATCATTCACAGAAACTACTTTGTGATGTGTGTGTTCAACTCAAGGAGTTTAACCTTTCTTTTGATGGAGCAGTTTGGAAACACTCTGTCTGTAAAGTCTGCAAGCAGATATTTGGACCTCTTTGAGGCCTTCGTTGGAAACGGGATTTCTTCATATAATGTTTGATAGGAGAAGTCTCAGTAACTTCTTTGTGCTGTGTGTATTCAACTCATAGAGTTGAACTTTCCTTTAGAAGAGCAGATGTTAAACACCCTTTTTGTGGAATTTGCAGCTGGAGATTTCAAGCGCTTTGAGGCCTACGGTAGAAAAGGAAACATCTTCTTATAAAATCTAGACAGAATCATTCACAGAAACTTCTTTTTGATGTGTGTGTTCAGCTCACAGAGTTTAACCTTTCTTTTGATGGAGCAGGTTGGAAACACTCTGTTTGTAATGTCTGCAAGTGGATATTTGGACCTCTTTGAGGCCTTCGTTGGAAACGGGATTTCTTCAAGCAATGTTCGACAGAAGAATTCTCAGTAACTTATTTGTGGTGTGTGTATTCAACTCACAGAGTTGAACCTTCCTTTAGACAGAGCAGATTTGAAACACCCTATTTGTGCAGTTTCCAGTTGGAGATTTCAATCGCTTTGAGACCAAATGTAGAAAAGGAAACATCTTCGTATAAAAACTAGACAGAATCATTCTCAGAAACTACTTTGTGATGTGTGCGTTCAACTCAAGGAGTTTAAGCTTTCTTTTCATAGAGTAGTTTGGAAACACTCTGTCTGTAAAGTCTGCAAGCAGATATTTGGACCTCTTTGAGGCCTTCGTTGGAAACGGGATTTCTTCAGAGAACGCTAGAAAGAAGAATACTGAGTAAGTTCTTTGTGTTGCCTCTATTCAACTCACAGAGGTGAACTGTCCTTTAGACAGAGCAGATGTGAAACCCTCTTTTTGTGATATTTGCAGGTGGAGATTTCAAGCGCTTTTAGGCCAAATGTAGAAAAGGAAATATCTTCGTATAAAAACTAGACAGAATCATTCTCAGAAACTACTTTGTGATGTGTGCGTTCAATTCACAGAGTATAACCTTTCTTTTGATGGAGGAGTTTGGAGACACTGTCTTTGTAAAGTCTGCAAGTGGATATTTGGACCTCTTTGAGGCCTTCGTTGGAAACGGGATTTCCTCATATAATGTTACACAGAAGAATTCTCAGTAACTTATTTGTGGTGTGTGTATTCAACTCACAGAGATGAACCTTCCTTCAGAAAGAGCAGATTTGAAACACTCTTTTTGTGGAGTTTCCATGTGGAGATTTCAATCGCTTTGAGACCAAAGGTAGAAAAGGAAACATCTTCGTATAAAAACTAGACAGAATCATTCACAGAAACTACTTTGTGATGTCTGTGTTCAACTCAAGGAGGTTAACCTTTCTTTTGATGGAGCAGTTTGGAAACACTCTGTCTGTAAAGTCTGCAAGCAGATATTTGGACCTCTTTGAGGCCTTCGATGGAAACGGGATTTCTTCATATAATGTTTGATAGGACAAGTCTCAGTAACTTCTTTGTGCTGTGTGTATTCAACTCATAGGGTTGAACTTTCCTTTAGAAGAGCAGATGTTAAACACCCTTTTTGTGGAATTTGCAGCTGGAGATTTCAAGCGCTTTGAGGCCTACGGTAGAAAAGGAAACATCTTCTTATAAAATCTAGACAGAATCATTCACAGAAACTTCTTTTTGATGTGTGTGTTCAGCTCACAGAGTATAACCTTTCTTTTGATGGAGCAGTTTGGAAACACTCTGTTTGTAATGTCTGCAAGTGGATATTTGGACCTCTTTGAGGCCTTCGTTGGAAACGGGATTTCTTCAAGTAATGTTCGACAGAAGAATTCTCAGTAACTTATTTGTGGTGTGTGTATTCAACTCACTGAGTTGAACCTTCCTTTAGACAGAGCAGATTTGAAACACCCTATTTGTGCAGTTTCCAGTTGGAGATTTCAATCGCTTTGAGACCAAATGTAGAAAAGGAAACATCTTCGTATAAAAACTAGACAGCATCATTCTCAGAAACTACTTTGTGATGGGTGCGTTGAACTCAAGGAGTTTAAGCTTTCTTTTCATAGAGTAGTTTGAAAACACTCTGTCTGTAAAGTCTGCAAGCAGATATTAGGACCTCATTGGGGTCTTCGTTGGAAACGGGATTTTTCATAGAACGCTAGAAAGAAGAATACTGAGTAAGTTCTTTGTGTTGCCTCTATTCAACTCACAGAGGTGAACTGTCCTTTAGACAGAGCAGATGTGAAACCCTCTTTTTGTGATATTTGCAGGTGGAGATTTCAAGCGCTTTTAGGCCAAATGTAGAAAAGGAAATATCTTCGTATAAAAACTAGACAGAATCATTCTCAGAAACTACTTTGTGATGTGTGCGTTCAATTCACAGAGTATAACCTTTCTTTTGATGGAGGAGTTTGGAGACACTGTCTTTGTAAAGTCTGCAAGTGGATATTTGGACCTCTTTGAGGCCTTCGTTGGAAACGGGATTTCCTCATATAATGTTACACAGAAGAATTCTCAGTAACTTATTTGTGGTGTGTGTATTCAACTCACAGAGATGAACCTTCCTTCAGAAAGAGCAGATTTGAAACACTCTTTTTGTGGAGTTTCCATGTGGAGATTTCAATCGCATTGAGACCAAAGGTAGAAAAGGAAACATCTTCGTATAAAAACTAGACAGAATCATTCACAGAAACTACTTTGTGATGTGTGTGTTCAACTCAAGGAGTTTAACCTTTCTTTTGATGGAGCAGTTTGGAAACACTCTGTCTGTAAAGTCTGCAAGCAGATATTTGGACCTCTTTGAGGCCTTCGTTGGAAAAGGGATTTCTTAATATAATGTTTGATAGGAGAAGTCTCAGTAACTTCTTTGTGCTGTGTGTATTCAACTCATAGAGTTGAACTTTCCTTTAGAAGAGCAGATGTTAAACACCCTTTTTGTGGAATTTGCAGCTGGAGATTTCAAGCGCTTTGAGGCCTACGGTAGAAAAGGAAACATCTTCTTATAAAATCTAGACAGAATCATTCACAGAAACTTCTTTTTGATGTGTGTGTTCAGCTCACAGAGTTTAACCTTTCTTTTGATGGAGCAGTTTGGAAACACTCTGTTTGTAATGTCTGCAAGTGGATATTTGGACCTCTTTGAGGCCTTTGTTGGAAACGGGATTTCTTCAAGTAATGTTCGACAGAAGAATTCTCAGTAACTTATTTGTGGTGTGTGTATTCAACTCACAGAGTTGAACCTTCCTTTAGACAGAGCAGATTTGAAACACCCTATTTGTGCAGTTTCCAGTTGGAGATTTCAATCGCTTTGAGACCAAATGTAGAAAAGGAAACATCTTCGTATAAAAACTAGACAGAATCATTCTCAGAAACTACTTTGTGATGTGTGCGTTCAACTCAAGGAGTTTAAGCTTTCTTTTCATAGAGTAGTTTGGAAGCACTCTGTCTGTAAAGTCTGCAAGCAGATATTTGGACCTTTTTGAGGCCTTCGTTGGAAACGGGATTTCTTCATATAACGCTAGAAAGAAGAATACTGAGTAAGTTCTTTGTGTTGCCTCTATTCAACTCACAGAGGTGAACTGTCCTTTAGACAGAGCAGATGTGAAACCCTCTTTTTGTGATATTTGCAGGTGGAGATTTCAAGCGCTTTGAGGCCAAATGTAGAAAAGGAAATATCTTCGTATAAAAACTAGACAGAATCATTCTCAGAAACTACTTTGTGATGTGTGCGTTCAATTCACAGAGTATAACCTTTCTTTTGATGGAGGAGTTTGGAGACACTGTCTTTGTAAAGTCTGCAAGTGGATATTTGGACCTCTTTGAGGCCTTCGTTGGAAACGGGATTTCCTCATATAATGTTACACAGAAGAATTCTCAGTAACTTATTTGTGGTGTGTGTATTCAACTCACAGAGTTAAACCTTCCTTCAGAAAGAGCAGATTTGAAACACTCTTTTTGTGGAGTTTCCATGTGGAGATTTCAATCGCATTGAGACCAAAGGTAGAAAAGGAAACATCTTCGTATAAAAACTAGACAGAATCATTTACAGAAACTACTTTGTGATGTGTGTGTTCAACTCAAGGAGTTTAACCTTTCTTTTGATGGAGAAGTTTGGAAACACTCTGTGTGTAAAGTCTGCAAGCAGATATTTGGACCTCTTTGAGGTCTTCGTTGGAAACGGGATTTCTTCATATAATGTTTGATAGGAGAAGTCTCAGTAACTTCTTTGTGCTGTGTGTATTCAACTCATAGAGTATAACTTTCCTTTAGAAGAGCAGATGTTAAACACCCTTTTTGTGGAATTTGCAGCTGGAGATTTCAAGCGCTTTGAGGCCTACCGTAGAAAAGGAAACGTCTTCTTATAAAATCTAGACAGAATCATTCACAGAAACTTCTTTTTGATGTGTGTGTTCAGCTCACCGAGTTTAACCTTTCTTTTGATGGAGCAGTTTGGAAACACTCTGTTTGTAATGTCTGCAAGTGGATATTTGGACCTCTTTGAGGCCTTCGTTGGAAACGGGATTTCTTCCTGTAATGTTCGACAGAAGAATTCTCAGTAACTTATTTGTGGTGTGTGTATTCAACTCACAGCAGTTGAACCTTCCTTTAGACAGAGCAGATTTGAAACACCCTATTTGTGCAGTTTCCAGTAGGAGATTTCAATCGCTTTGAGACCAAATGTAGAAAAGGAAACATCTTCGTATAAAAACTAGACAGAATCATTCTCAGAAACTACTTTGTGATGTGTGCGTTCAACTCAAGGAGTTTAAGCTTTCTTTTCATAGAGTAGTTTGGAAACACTCTGTCTGTAAAGTCTGCAAGCAGATATTTGACCTCTTTGAGGCCTTCGTTGGAAACGGGATTTCTTCATAGAACGCTAGAAAGATAAGAATACTGAGTAAGTTCTTTGTGTTGCCTCTATTCAACTCACAGTAGGTGAACTGTCCTTTAGACAGAGCAGATGTGAAACCCTCTTTTTGTGATATTTGCAGGTGGAGATTTCAAGCGCTTTTAGGCCAAATGTAGAAAAGGAAATATCTTCGTATGAAAACTAGACAGAATCATTCTCAGAAACTACTTTGTGATGTGTGCGTTCAATTCACAGAGGATAACCTTTCTTTTGATGGAGGAGTTTGGAGACACTGTCTTTTTAAAGTCTGCAAGTGGATATTTGGACCTCTTTGAGGCCTTCGTTGGAAACGGGATTTCCTCCTGTAATGTTACACAAAAGAATTCTCAGTAACTTATTTGTGGTGTGTGTATTCAACTCACAGAGTTGAACCTTCCTTCAGAAAGAGCATATTTGAAACACTCTTTTTGTGGAGTTTCCATGTGGAGATTTCAATGGCTTTGAGACCAAAGGTAGAAAAGGAAACATCTTCGTATAAAAACTAGACAGAATCATTCACAGAAACTACTTTGTGATGTGTGTGTTCAACTCAAGGAGTTTAACCTTTCTTTTGATGGAGCAGTTTGGAAACACTCTGTCTGTAAAGTCTGCAAGCAGATATTTGGACCTCTTTGAGGCCTTCGTTGGAAACGGGATTTCTTCATATAATGTTTGATAGGAGAAGTCTCAGTAACTTCTTTGTGCTGTGTGTATTCAACTCATAGAGTTGAACTTTCCTTTAGAAGAGCAGATGTTAAACACCCTTTTTGTGGAATTTGCAGCTGGAGATTTCAAGCGCTTTGAGGCCTACGGTAGAAAAGGAAACATCTTCTTATAAAATCTAGACAGAATCATTCACAGAAACTTCTTTTTGATGTGTGTGTTCAGCTCACAGAGTTTAACCTTTCTTTTGATGGAGCAGTTTGGAAACACACTGTTTGTAATGTCTGCAAGTGGAGGTTTGGACCTCTTTGAGGCCTTAGTTGGAAACGGCATTTCTTCCTGTAATGTTCGACAGAAGAATTCTCAGTAACTTACTTGTGGTGTGTGTATTCAACTCACAGAGTTGAACCCTCCTTTAGACAGAGCAGATTTGAAACAGCCTATTTGTGCAGTTTCCAGTTGGAGATTTCAATCGCTTTGAGACAAATGTAGAAAAGGAAACATCTTCGTATAAAAACTAGACAGAATCATTCTCAGAAACTACTTTGTGATGTGTGCGTTCAACTCAAGGAGTTTAAGCTTTCTTTTCATAGAGTAGTTTGGAAACACTCTGTCTGTAAAGTCTGCAAGCAGATATTTGGACCTCTTTGAGGCCTTCGTTGGAAACGGGATTTCTTCATAGAACGCTATAAAGAAGAATACTGAGTAAGTTCTTTGTGTTGCCTCTATTCAACTCACAGAGGTGAACTGTCCTTTAGACACAGCAGATGTGAAACCCTCTTTTTGTGATATTTGCACGTGGAGATTTCAAGCGCTTTTAGGCCAAATGTAGAAAAGGAAATGTCTTCGTATAAAAACTAGACAGAATCATTCTCAGAAACTACTTTGTGATGTGTGCGTTCAATTCACAGAGTATAACCTTTCTTTTGATGGAGAAGTTTGGAGACACTGTCTTTGTAAAGTCTGCAAGTGGATATTTGGACCTCTTTGAGGCCTTCGTTGGAAACGGGATTTCCTCATATAATGTTACACAGAAGAATTCTCAGTAACTTATTTGTGGTGTGTGTATTCAACTCACAGAGTTGAACCTTCCTTCAGAAAGAGCAGATTTGAAACTCTCTTTTTGTGGAGTTTCCATGTGGAGATTTCAATCGCTTTGAGACCAAAGGTAGAAAAGGAAACATCTTCGTATAAAAACTAGACAGAATCATTCACAGAAACTACTTTGTGATGTGTGTGTTCAACTCAAGGAGTTTAACCTTTCTTTTGATGGAGCAGTTTGGAAACACTCTGTCTGTAAAGTCTGCAGGCAGATATTTGGACCTCTTTGAGGCCTTCGTTGGAAACGGGATTTCTTCATATAATGTTAGACAGAAGAAGTCTCAGTAACTTCTTTGTGCTGTGTGTATTCAACTCATAGAGTTGAACTTTCCTTTAGAAGAGCAGATGTTAAACACCCTTTTTGTGGAATTTGCAGCTGGAGATTTCAAGCGCTTTGAGGCCTACGGTAGAAAAGGAAACATCTTCATATAAAATCTAGACAGAATCATTCACAGAAACTTCTTTTTGATGTGTGTGTTCAGCTCACAGAGTTTAACCTTTCTTTTGATGGAGCAGTTTGGAAACACTCTGTTTGTAATGTCTGCAAGTGGATATTTGGACGTCTTTGAGGCCTTCGTTGGAAACGGGATTTCTTCATGTAATGTTCGACAGAAGAATTCTCAGTAACTTATTTGTGGTGTGTGTATTCAACTCACAGAGTTGAACCTTCCTTTAGACAGAGCAGATTTGAAACACCCTATTTGTGCAGTTTCCAGTTGGAGATTTCAATCGCTTTGAGACCAAATGTAGAAAAGGAAACATCTTCGTATAAAAACTAGACAGAATCATTCTCAGAAACTACTTTGTGATGTGTGCGTTCAACTCAAGGAGTTTAAGCTTTCTTTTCATAGAGTAGTTTGGAAACACTCTGTCTGTAAAGTCTGCAAGCAGATATTTGGACCTCTTTGGGGCCTTCGTTGGAAACGGGATTTCTTCATGGAACGCTAGAAAGAAGAATACTGAGTAAGTTCTTTGTGTTGCCTCTATTCAACTCACAGAGGTGAACTGTCCTTTAGACAGAGCAGATGTGAAACCCTCTTTTTGTGATATTTGCAGGTGGAGATTTCAAGCGCTTTTAGGCCAAATGTAGAAAAGGAAATATCTTCGTATAAAAACTAGACAGAATCATTCTCAGAAACTACTTTGTGATGTGTGCGTTCAATTCACAGAGTATAACCTTTCTTTTGATGGAGGAGTTTGGAGACACTGTCTTTGTAAAGTCTGCAAGTGGATATTTGGACCTCTTTGAGGCCTTCGTTGGAAACGGGATTTCCTCACATAATGTTACACAGAAGAATTCTCAGTAACTTATTTGTGGTGTGTGTATTCAACTCACAGAGTTGAACCTTCCTTCAGAAAGAGCAGATTTGAAACACTCTTTTTGTGGAGTTTCCATGTGGAGATTTCAATCGCTTTGAGACCAAAGGTAGAAAAGGAAACATCTTCGTATAAAAACTGGACAGAATCATTCACAGAAACTACTTTGTGATGTGTGTGTTCAACTCAAGGAGTTTAACCTTTCTTTTGATGGAGCAGTTTGGAAACACTCTGTCTGTAAAGTCTGCAAGCAGATATTTGGACCTCTTTGAGGCCTTCGTTGGAAACGGGATTTCTTCATATAATGTTTGATAGGAGAAGTCTCAGTAACTTCTTTGTGCTGTGTGTATTCAACTCATAGAGTTGAACTTTCCTTTAGAAGAGCAGATGTTAAACACCCTTTTTGTGGAATTTGCAGCTGGAGATTTCAAGCGCTTTGAGGCCTACGGTAGAAAAGGAAACATCTTCTTATAAAATCTACACAGAATCATTCACAGAAACTTCTTTTTGATGTGTGTGTTCAGCTCACAGAGTTTAACCTTTCTTTTGATGGAGCAGTTTGGAAACACTCTGTTTGTAATGTCTGCAAGTGGATATTTGGACCTCTTTGAGGCCTTCGTTGGAAACGGGATTTCTTCAAGTAATGTTCGACAGAAGAATTCTCAGTAACTTATTTGTGGTGTGTGTATTCAACTCACAGAGTTGAACCTTCCTATAGACAGAGCAGATTTGAAACAGCCTATTTGTGCAGTTTCCAGTTGGAGATTTCAATCGCTTTGAGACCAAATGTAGAAAAGGAAACATCTTCATATAAAAACTAGACAGAATCATTCTCAGAAACTACTTTGTGATGTGTGCGTTCAACTCAAGGAGTTTAAGCTTTCTTTTCATAGAGTAGTTTGGAAACACTCTGTCTGTAAAGTCTGCAAGCAGATATTTGGACCTCTTTGAGGCCTTCGTTGTAAACGGGATTTCTTCATAGAACGCTAGAAAGAAGAATACTGAGTAAGTTCTTTGTGTTGCCTCTATTCAACTCACAGAGGTGAACTGTCCTTTAGACAGAGCAGATGTGAAACCCTCTTTTTGTGATATTTGCAGGTGGAGATTTCAAGCGCTTTTAGGCCAAATGTAGAAAAGGAAATATCTTCGTATAAAAACTAGACAGAATCATTCTCAGAAACTACTTTGTGATGTGTGCGTTCAATTCACAGAGTATAACCTTTCTTTTGATGGAGGAGTTTGGAGACACTGTCTTTGTAAAGACTGCAAGTGGATATTTGGACCTCTTTGAGGCCTTCGTTGGAAACGGGATTTCCTCATATAATGTTACACAGAAGAATTCTCAGTAACTTATTTGTGGTGTGTGTATTCAACTCACAGAGTTGAACCTTCCTTCAGAAAGAGCAGATTTGAAACACTCTTTTTTGTGGAGTTTCCATGTGGAGATTTCAATCGCTTTGAGACCAAAGGTAGAAAAGGAAACATCTTCGTATAAAAACTAGACAGAATCATTCACAGAAACTACTTTGTGATGTGTGTGTTCAACTCAAGGAGTTTAACCTTTCTTTTGATGGAGCAGTTTGGAAACACTCTGTCTGTAAAGTCTGCAAGCAGATATTTGGACCTCTTTGAGGCCTTCGTTGGAAACGGGATTTCTTCATATAATGTTTGATAGGAGAAGTCTCAGTAACTTCTTTGTGCTGTGTGTATTCAACTCATAGAGTTGAACTTTCCTTTAGAAGAGCAGATGTTAAACACCCTTTTTGTGGAATTTGCAGCTGGAGATTTCAAGCGCTTTGAGGCCTACGGTAGAAAAGGAAACATCTTCTTATAAAATCTAGACAGAATCATTCACAGTAAACTTCTTTTCGATGTGTGTGTTTAGCTCACAGAGTTTAACCTTTCTTTTGATGGAGCAGTTTGGAAACACTCTGTTTGTAATGTCTGCAAGTGGATATTTGGACCTCTTTGAGGACTTCGTTGGAAACGGGATTTCTTCAAGTAATGTTCGACAGAAGAATTCTCAGTAACTTATTTGTGGTTTGTGTATTCAACTCACAGAGTTGAACCTTCCTTTAGACAGAGCAGATTTGAAACACCCTATTTGTGCAGTTTCCAGTTGGAGATTTCAATCGCTTTGAGACCAAATGTAGAAAAGGAAACATCTTCGTATAAAAACTAGACAGAATCATTCTCAGAAACTACTTTGTGATGTGTGCGTTCAACTCAAGGAGTTTAAGCTTTCTTTTCATAGAGTAGTTTGGAAACACTCTGTCTGTAAAGTCTGCAAGCAGATATCTGGACCTCTTTGGGGCCTTCGTTGGAAACGGGATTTCTTCATAGAACGCTAGAAAGAAGAATACTGAGTAAGTTCTTTGTGTTGCCTCTATTCAACTCACAGAGGTGAACTGTCCTTTAGACAGAGCAGATGTGAAACCCTCTTTTTGTGATATTTGCAGGTGGAGATTTCAAGCACTTTTAGGCCAAATGTAGAAAAGGAAATATCTTCGTATAAAAACTAGACAGAATCATTCTCAGAAACTACTTTGTGATGTGTGCGTTCAATTCACAGAGTATAACCTTTCTTTTGATGGAGGAGTTTGGAGACACTGTCTTTGTAAAGTCTGCAAGTGGATATTTGGACCTCTTTGAGGCATTCGTTGGAAACGGGATTTCCTCATATAATGTTACACAGAAGAATTCTCAGTAACTTATTTGTGGTGTGTTTATTCAACTCACAGAGTTGAACCTTCCTTCAGAAAGAGCAGATTTGCATCACTCTTTTTGTGGAGTTTCCATGTGGAGATTTCAGTCGCTTTGAGACCAAAGGTAGAAAAGGAAACATCTTCGTATAAAAACTAGACAGAATCATTCACAGAAACTACTTTGTGATGTGTGTGTTCAGCTCACAGTGTTTAACTTTTCTTTTGATGGTGCAGTTTGGAAACACTCTGTTTGAAAAGTCTGCAAGTGGATATTTGGACCTCTTTGAGGCCTTCGTTGGAAACGGGTTTTCTCCATATAATGTTAGACAGAAGAATTCTCAGTAACTTATTTGTGGTGTGTGTATTCAACTCACAGAGTTGAACCTTCCTTTAGACAGAGCAGATTTGAAACAGCCTATTTGTGCAGTTTCCAGTTGGAGATTTCAATCGCTTTGAGACCAAATGTAGAAAAGGAAACATCTTCGTATAAAAACTAGACAGAATCATTCTCCGAAACTACTTTGTGATGTGTGCGTTCAACTCAAGGAGTTTAAGCTTTCTTTTCATAGAGTAGTTTGGAAACACTCTGTCTGTAAAGTCTGCAAGCAGATATTTGGACCTCTTTGGGGCCTTCGTTGGAAACGGGATTTCTTCATAGAACGCTAGAAAGAAGAATACTGAGTAAGTTCTTTGTGTTGCCTCTATTCAACTCACAGAGGTGAACTGTCCTTTAGACAGAGCAGATGTGAAACCCTCTTTTTGTGATATTTGCAGGTGGAGATTTCAAGCGCTTTTAGGCCAAATGTAGAAAAGGAAATATCTTCGTATAAAAACTAGACAGAATCATTCTCAGAAACTACTTTGTGATGTGTGCGTTCAATTCACAGAGTATAACCTTTCTTTTGATGGAGGAGTTTGGAGACACTGTCTTTGTAAAGTCTGCAAGTGGATATTTGGACCTCTTTGAGGCCTTCGTTGGAAACGGGATTTCCTCATATAATGTTACACAGAAGAATTCTCAGTAACTTATTTGTGGTGTGTGTATTCAACTCACGGAGATGAACCTTCCTTCAGAAAGAGCAGATTTGAAACACTCTTTTTGTGGAGTTTCCATGTGGAGATTTCAATCGCTTTGAGACCAAAGGTAGAAAAGGAAACATCTTCGTATAACAACTAGACAGAATCATTCACAGAAACTACTTTGTGATGTGTGTGTTCAACTCAAGGAGTTTAACCTTTCTTTTGATGGAGCAGTTTGGAAACACTCTGTCTGTAAAGTCTGCAAGCAGATATTTGGACCTCTTTGAGGCCTTCGTTGGAAACGGGATTTCTTCATATAATGTTTGATAGGAGAAGTCTCAGTAACTTCTTTGTGCTGTGTGTATTCAACTCATAGAGTTGAACTTTCCTTTAGAAGAGCAGATGTTAAACACCCTTTTTGTGGAATTTGCAGCTGGAGATTTCAAGCGCTTTGAGGCCTACGGTAGAAAAGGAAACATCTTCTTATAAAATCTAGACAGAATCATTCACAGAAACTTCTTTTTGATGTGTGTGTTCAGCTCACAGAGTTTAACCTTTCTTTTGATGGAGCAGTTTGGAAACACTCTGTTTGTAATGTCTGCAAGTGGATATTTGGACCTCTTTGAGGCCTTCGTTGGAAACGGGATTTCTTCCTGTAATGTTCGACAGAAGAATTCTCAGTAACTTATTTGTGGTGTGTGTATTCAACTCACAGAGTTGAACCTTCCTTTAGACAGAGCAGATTTGAAACACCCTATTTGTGCAGTTTCCAGTTGGAGATTTCAATCGCTTTGAGACCAAATGTAGAAAAGGAAACATCTTCGTATAAAAACTAGACAGAATCATTCTCAGAAACTACTTTGTGATGTGTGTGTTCAACTCAAGGAGTTTAAGCTTTCTTTTCATAGAGTAGTTTGGAAACACTCTGTCTGTAAAGTCTGCAAGCAGATATTTGGACCTCTTTGGGGCCTTCGTTGGAAACGGGATTTCTTCATAGAACGCTAGAAAGAAGAATACTGAGTAAGTTCTTTGTGTTGCCTCTATTCAACTCACAGAGGTGAACTGTCCTTTGGACAGAGCAGATGTGAAACCCTCTTTTTGTGATATTTGCAGGTGGAGATTTCAAGCGCTTTTAGGCGAAATGTAGAAAAGGAAATATCTTCGTATAAAAACTAGACAGAATCATTCTCAGAAACTACTTTGTGATGTGTGCGTTCAATTCACCGAGTATAACCTTTCTTTTGATGGAGGAGTTTGGAGACACTGTCTTTGTAAAGTCTGCAAGTGGATATTTGGACCTCTTTGAGGCCTTCGTTGGAAACGGGATTTCCTCATATAATGTTAC
The DNA here is from genome assembly GCF_000001405.40 of Homo sapiens. NCBI lineage: Eukaryota > Metazoa > Chordata > Mammalia > Primates > Hominidae > Homo > Homo sapiens. The sequence continues at coordinate 35,818,971 of NC_000012.12, forward strand.
ACAGAAGAATTCTCAGTAACTTATTTGTGGTGTGTGTATTCAACTCACAGAGATGAACCTTCCTTCAGAAAGAGCAGATTTGAAACACTCTTTTTGTGGATTTTCCATGTGGAGATTTCAATCGCTTTGAGACCAAAGGTAGAAAAGGAAACATCTTCGTATAAAAACTAGACAGAATCATTCACAGAAACTACTTTGTGATGTGTGTGTTCAACTCAAGGAGTTTAACCTTTCTTTTGATGGAGCAGTTTGGAAAAACTCTGTCTGTAAAGTCTGCAAGCAGATATTTGGACCTCTTTGAGGCCTTCGTTGGAAACGGGTTTTCTTCATATAATGTTTGATAGGAGAAGTCTCAGTAACTTCTTTGTGCTGTGTGTATTCAACGCATAGAGTTGAACTTTCCTTTAGAAGAGCAGATGTTAAACACCCTTTTTGTGGAATTTGCAGCTGGAGATTTCCAGCGCTTTGTGGCCTACGGTAGAAAAGGAAACATCTTTTTATAAAATCTAGACAGAATCATTCACAGAAACTTCTTTTTGATGTGTGTGTTCAGCTCACAGAGTTTAACCTTTCTTTTGATGGAGCAGTTTGGAAACACTCTGTTTGTAATGTCTGCAAGTGGATATTTGGACCTCTTTGAGGCCTTCGTTGGAAACGGGATTTCTTCAAGTAATGTTCGACAGAAGAATTCTCAGTAACTTATTTGTGGTGTGTGTATTCAACTCACAGAGTTGAACCTTCCTTTAAACAGAGCAGATTTGAAACACCCTATTTGTGCAGTTTCCAGTTGGAGATTTCAATCGCTTTGAGACCAAATGTAGAAAAGGAAACATCTTCGTATAAAAACTAGACAGAATCATTCTCAGAAACTACTTTGTGATGTGTGCGTTCAACTCAAGGAGTTTAAGCTTTCTTTTCATAGAGTAGTTTGGAAACACTCTGTCTGTAAAGTCTGCAAGCAGATATTTGGACTTCATTGGGGTCTTCGTTGGAAACGGGATTTCTTCATAGAACGCTAGAAAGAAGAATACTGAGTAAGTTCTTTGTGTTGCCTCTATTCAACTCACAGAGGTGAACTGTCCTTTAGACAGAGCAGATGTGAAACCCTCTTTTTGTGATATTTGCAGGTGGAGATTTCAAGCGCTTTTAGGCCAAATGTAGAAAAGGAAATATCTTCGTATAAAAACTAGACAGAATCATTCTCAGAAACTACTTTGTGATGTGTGCGTTCAATTCACAGAGTATAACCTTTCTTTTGATGGAGGAGTTTGGAGACACTGTCTTTGTAAAGTCTGAAAGTGGATATTTGGACCTCTTTGAGGCCTTCGTTGGAAACGGGATTTCCTCATATAATGTTACACAGAAGAATTCTCAGTAACTTATTTGTGGTGTGTGTATTCAACTCACGGAGTTGAACCTTCCTTCAGAAAGAGCAGATTTGAAACACTCTTTTTGTGGAGTTTCCATGTGGAGATTTCAATCGCTTTGAGACCAAAGGTAGAAAAGGAAACATCTTCGTATAAAAACTAGACAGAATCATTCACAGAAACTACTTTGTGATGTGTGTGTTCAACTCAAGGAGTTTAACCTTTCTTTTGATGGAGCAGTTTGGAAACACTCTGTCTGTAAAGTCTGCAAGCAGATATTTGGACCTCTTTGAGGCCTTCGTTGGAAACGGTATTTCTTCATATAATGTTTGACAGGAGAAGTCTCAGTAACTTCTTTGTGCTGTGTGTATTCAACGCATAGAGTTGAACTTTCCTTTAGAAGAGCAGATGTAAAACACCCTTTTTGTGGAATTTGCAGCTGGAGATTTCAAGCGCTTTGTGGCCTACGGTAGAAAAGGAAACATCTTCTTATAAAATCTAGACAGAATCATTCACAGAAACTTCTTTTTGATGTGTGTGTTCAGCTCACAGAGTTTAACCTTTCTTTTGATGGAGCAGTTTGGAAACACTCTGTTTGTAATGTCTGCAAGTGGATATTTGGACCTCTTTGAGGCCTTCGTTGGAAACGGGATTTCTTCAAGTAATGTTCGACAGAAGAATTCTCAGTAACTTATTTGTGCTGTGTGTATTCAACTCACAGAGTTGAACCTTCCTTTAGACAGAGCAGATTTGAAACACCCTATTTGTGCAGTTTCCAGTTGGAGATTTCAATCGCTTTGAGACCAAATGTAGAAAAGGAAACATCTTCGTATAAAAACTAGACAGAATCATTCTCAGAAACTACTTTGTGATGTGTGCGTTCAACTCAAGGAGTTTAAGCTTTCTTTTCATAGAGTAGTTTGGAAACACTCTGTCTGTAAAGTCTGCAAGCAGATATTTGGACCTCTTTGGGGCCTTCGTTGGAAACGGGATTTCTTCATAGAACGCTAGAAAGAAGAATACTGAGTAAGTTCTTTGTGTTGCCTCTATTCAACTCACAGAGGTGAACTGTCCTTCAGACAGAGCAGATGTGAAACCCTCTTTTTGTGATATTTGCAGGTGGAGATTTCAAGCGCTTTTAGGCCAAATGTAGAAAAGGAAATATCTTCGTATAAAAACTAGACAGAATCATTCTCAGAAACTACTTTGTGATGTGTGCGTTCAATTCACGGAGTATAACCTTTCTGTTGATGGAGGAGTTTGGAGACACTGTCTTTGTAAAGTCTGCAAGTGGATATTTGGATCTCTTTGAGGCCTTCGTTGGAAACGGGATTTCCTCATATAATGTTACACAGAAAGAATTCTCAGTAACTTATTTGTGGTGTGTGTATTCAACTCACAGGGTTGAACCTTCCTTCAGAAAGAGCAGATTTGAAACACTCTTTTTGTGGAGTTTCCATGTGGAGATTTCAATCGCTTTGAGACCAAAGGTAGAAAAGGAAACATCTTCGTATAAAAACTAGACAGAATCATTCACAGAAACTACTTTGTGATGTGTGTGTTCAACTCAAGGAGTTTAACCTTTCTTTTGATGGAGCAGTTTGGAAACACTCTGTCTGTAAAGTCTGCAAGCAGATATTTGGACCTCTTTGAGGCCTTCGATGGAAACGGGATTTCTTCATATAATGTTAGACAGAAGAAGTCTCAGTAACTTCTTTGTGCTGTGTGTATTCAACTCATAGAGTTGAACTTTCCTTTAGAAGAGCAGATGTTAAACACCCTTTTTGTGGAATTTGCAGCTGGAGATTTCAAGCGCTTTGAGGCCTACGGTAGAAAAGGAAACATCTTCTTATAAAATCTAGACAGAATCATTCACGGAAACTCTTTTTGATGTGTGTGTTCAGCTCACAGAGTTTAACCTTTCTTTTGATGGAGCAGTTTGGAAACACTCTGTTTGTAATGTCTGCAAGTGGATATTTGGACCTCTTTGAGGCCTTCGTTGGAAACGGGATTTCTTCAAGTAATGTTCGACAGAAGAATTCTCAGTAACTTATTTGTGGTGTGTGTATTCAACTCACAGAGTGGAACCTTCCTTTAGACAGAGCAGATTTGAAACAGCCTATTTGTGCAGTTTCCAGTTGGAGATTTCAATCGCTTTGAGACCAAATGTAGAAAAGGAAACATCTTCGTATAAAAACTAGACAGAATCATTCTCAGAAACTACTTTGTGATGTGTGCGTTCAACTCAAGGAGTTTAAGCTTTCTTTTCATAGAGTAGTTTGGAAACACTCTGTCTGTAAAGTCTGCAAGCAGATATTTGGACCTCTTTGAGGCCTTCGTTGGAAACGGGATTTCTTCTTAAAACGCTAGAAAGAAGAATACTGAGTAAGTTCTTTGTGTTGCCTCTATTCAACTCACAGAGGTGAACTGTCCTTTAGACAGAGCAGATGTGAAACCCTCTTTTTGTGATATTTGCAGGTGGAGATTTCAAGCGCTTTTAGGCCAAATGTAGAAAAGGAAATATCTTCGTATAAAAACTAGACAGAATCATTCTCAGAAACTACTTTGTGATGTGTGGGTTCAATTCACAGAGTATAACCTTTCTTTTGATGGAGGAGTTTGGAGACACTGTCTTTGTAAAGTCTGCAAGTGGATATTTGGACCTCTTTGAGGCCTTCGTTGGAAACGGGATTTCCTCATATAATGTTACACAGAAGAATTCTCAGTAACTTATTTGTGGTGTGTGTATTCAACTCACAGAGATGAACCTTCCTTCAGAAAGAGCAGATTTGAAACACTCTTTTTGTGGAGTTTCCATGTGGAGATTTCAATCGCTTTGAGACCAAAGGTAGAAAAGGAAACATCTTCGTATAACAACTAGACAGAATCATTCACAGAAACTACTTTGTGATGTGTGTGTTCAACTCAAGGAGTTTAACCTTTCTTTTGATGGAGCAGTTTGGAAACACTCTGTCTGTAAAGTCTGCAAGCAGATATTTGGACCTCTTTGAGGCCTTCGTTGGAAACGGGATTTCTTCATATAATGTTTGATAGGAGAAGTCTCAGTAACTTCTTTGTGCTGTGTGTATTCAACTCATAGAGTTGAACTTTCCTTTAGAAGAGCAGATGTTAAACACCCTTTTTGTGGAATTTGCAGCTGGAGATTTCAAGCGCTTTGAGACCTATGGTAGAAAAGGAAACATCTTCTTATAAAATCTAGACAGAATCATTCACAGAAACTTCTTTTTGATGTGTGTGTTCAGCTCACAGAGTTTAACCTTTCTTTTGATGGAGCAGTTGGGAAACACACTGTTTGTAATGTCCGCAAGTGGATATTTGGACCTCTTTGAGGCCTTCGTTGGAAACGGGAATTCTTCCTGTAATGTTCGACAGAAGAATTCTCAGTAACTTATTTGTGGTGTGTGTATTCAACTCACAGAGTTGAACCTTCCTTTAGACAGAGCAGATTTGAAACACCCTATTTGTGCAGTTTCCAGTTGGAGATTTCAATCGCTTTGAGACCAAATGTAGAAAAGGAAACATCTTCGTATAAAAACTGGACAGAATCATTCTCAGAAACTACTTTGTGATGTGTGCGTTCAACTCAAGGAGTTTAAGCTTTCTTTTCATAGAGTAGTTTGGAAACACTCTGTCTGTAAAGTCTGCAAGCAGATATTTGGACCTCTTTGGGGCCTTCGTTGGAAACGGGATTTCTTCATAGAACGCTAGAAAGAAGAATACTGAGTAAGTTCTTTGTGTTGCCTCTATTCAACTCACAGAGGTGAACTGTCCTTTAGACAGAGCAGATGTGAAACCCTCTTTTTGTGATATTTGCAGGTGGAGATTTCAAGCGCTTTTAGGCCAAATGTAGAAAAGGAAATATCTTCGTATAAAAACTAGACAGAATCATTCTCAGAAACTACTTTGTGATGTGTGCGTTCAATTCACAGAGTATAACCTTTCTTTTGATGGAGGAGTTTGGAGACACTGTCTTTGTAAAGTCTGCAAGTGGATATTTGGACCTCTTTGACGCCTTCGTTGGAAACGGGATTTCCTCATATAATGTTACACAGAAGAATTCTCAGTAACTTATTTGTGGTGTGTGTATTCAACTCACAGAGTTGAACCTTCCTTCAGAAATAGCAGGTTTGAAACACTCTTTTTGTGGAGTTTCCATGTGGAGATTTCAATCGCTTTGAGACCAAAGGTAGAAAAGGAAATATCTTCGTATAAAAACTAGACAGAATCATTCACAGAAACTACTTTGTGATGTGTGTGTTCAACTCAAGGAGTTTCACCTTTCTTTTGATGGAGCAGTTTGGAAACACTCTGTCTGTAAAGTCTGCAAGCAGATATTTGGACCTCTTTGAGGCCTTCGTTGGAAACGGGATTTCTTCATATAATGTTTGATAGGAGAAGTCTCAGTAACTTCTTTGTGCTGTGTGTATTCAACTCATAGAGTTGAACTTTCCTTTAGAAGAGCAGATGTTAAACACCCTTTTTGTGGAATTTGCAGCTGGAGATTTCAAGCGCTTTGAGGCCTACGGTAGAAAAGGAAACATCTTCTTATAAAATCTAGACAGAATCATTCACAGAAACTTCTTTTTGATGTGTGTGTTCAGCTCACAGAGTTTAACCTTTCTTTTGATGGAGCAGTTTGGAAACACTCTGTTTGTAATGTCTGCAAGTGGATATTTGGACCTCTTTGAGGCCTTCGTTGGAAACGGGATTTCTTCAAGTAATGTTCGACAGAAGAATTCTCAGTAACTTGTTTGTGGTTTGTGTATTCAACTCACAGAGTTGAACCTTCCTTTAGACAGAGCAGATTTGAAACACCCTATTTGTGCAGTTTCCAGTTGGAGATTTCAATCGCTTTGAGACCAAATGTAGAAAAGGAAACATCTTCGTATAAAAACTAGACAGAATCATTCTCAGAAACTACTTTGTGATGTGTGCGTTCAACTCAAGGAGTTTAAGCTTTCTTTTCATAGAGTAGTTTGGAAACACTCTGTCTGTAAAGTCTGCAAGCAGATATTTGGACCTCTTTGAGGCCTTCGTTGGAAACGGGATTTCTTCATGTAACGCTAGAAAGAAGAATACTCAGTAACTTCTTTGTGCTGCCTCTATTCAACTCACAGAGGTGAACTGTCCTTTAGACAGAGCAGATGTGAAACCCTCTTTTTGTGATATTTGCAGGTGGAGATTTCAAGCGCTTTTAGGCCAAATGTAGAAAAGGAAATATCTTCGTATAAAAACTAGACAGAATCATTCTCAGAAACTACTTTGTGATGTGTGCGTTCAATTCACAGAGGATAAGCTTTCTTTTGATGGAGGAGTTTGGAGACACTGTCTTTGTAAAGTCTGCAAGTGGATATTTGGACCTCTTTGAGGCCTTCGTTGGAAACGGGATTTCCTCCTATAATGTTACACAGAAGAATTCTCAGTAACTTATTTGTGGTGTGTGTATTCAACTCACAGAGTTGAACCTTCCTTCAGAAAGAACAGATTTGAAACCCTCTTTTTGTGGAGTTTCCATGTGGAGATTTCAATGGCTTTGAGACCAAACGTAGAAAAGGAAACATCTTCGTATGAAAACTAGACAGAATCATTCACAGAAACTACTTTGTGATGTGTGTGTTCAACTCACAGAGTTTAACCTTTCTTTTGATGGAGCAGTTTGGAAACACTCTGTTTGTCACGTCTGCAAGTGGATATTTGGACCTCTTTGAGGCCTTCGTTGGAAACGGGATTTCTTCATATAATGTTTGATAGGAGAAGTCTCAGTAACTTCTTTGTGCTGTGTGTATTCAACTCATAGAGTTGAACTTTCCTTTAGAAGAGCAGATGTTAAACACCCTTTTTGTGGAATTTGCAGCTGGAGATTTCAAGCGCTTTGAGGCCTACAGTAGAAAAGGAAACATCTTCTTATAAAATCTAGACAGAATCATTCACAGAAACTTCTTTTTGATGGGTGTGTTCAGCTCACAGAGTTTAACCTTTCCTTTGATGGAGCAGTTTGGAAACACTCTGTTTGTAATGTCTGCAAGTGGATATTTGGACCTCTTTGAGGCATTCGTTGGAAACGGGATTTCTTCATGTAATGTTCGACAGAAGAATTCTCAGTAATTTATTTGTGGTGTGTGTATTCAACTCACAGAGTTGAACCTTCCTTTAGACAGAGCAGATTTGAAACACCCTATTTGTGCAGTTTCCAGTTGGAGATTTCAATCGCTTTGAGGGCAATCGTAGAAACGGAAATATCTTCGTATAAAAACAAGACAGAATCATTCTCAGAAACTATTTTGTGATGTGTGCGTTCAACTCAAGGAGTTTAAGCTTTCTTTTCATAGAGTAGTTTGGAAACACTCTGTCTGTAAAGTCTGCAAGCAGATATTTGGACCTCTTTGAGGCCTTCGTTGGAAACGGGATTTCTTCATGTAACGCTAGAAAGAAGAATACTGAGTAAGTTCTTTGTGTTGCCTCTATTCAACTCACAGAGGTGAACTGTCCTTTAGACAGAGCAGATGTGAAACCCTCTTTTTGTGATATTTGCAGGTGGAGATTTCAAGCACTTTCAGGCCAATTGTAGAAAAGGAAATATCTTCGTATATAAACCAGACAGAATCATTCTCAGAAACTAGTTTGTGATGTGTGCGTTCAATTCACAGAGTATAACCTTTCCTTTGATGGAGCAGTTTGGAAACACTCTGTTTGTAATGTCTGCAAGTGGATATTTGGACCTCTTTGAGGCCTTCGTTGGAAACGGGATTTCTTCATGTAATGTTCGACAGAAGAATTCTCAGTAACTTATTTGTGGTGTGTGTATTCAACTCACAGAGTTGAACCTTCCTTTAGACAGAGCAGATTTGAAACACCCTATTTGTGCAGTTTCCAGTTGGAGATTTCAATCGCTTTGAGACCAAATGTAGAAAAGGAAACATCTTCGTATAAAAACTAGACAGAATCATTCTCAGTAACTACTTTGTGATGTGTGCGTTCAACTCAAGGAGTTTAAGCTTTCTTTTCATAGAGTACTTTGGAAACACTCTGTCTGTAAAGTCTGCAAGCAGATATTTGGACCTCATTGGGGTCTTCGTTGGAAACGGGATTTCTTCATAGAACGCTAGAAAGAAGAATACTGAGTAAGTTCTTTGTGTTGCCTCTATTCAACTCACAGAGGTCAACTGTCCTTTAGACAGAGCAGATGTGAAACCCTCTTTTTGTGATATTTGCAGGTGGAGATTTCAAGCGCTTTTAGGCCAAATGTAGAAAAGGAAATATCTTCGTATAAAAACTAGACAGAATCATTCTCAGAAACTACTTTGTGATGTGTGCGTTCAATTCACAGAGTATAACCTTTCTTTTGATGGAGGAGTTTGGAGACACTGTCTTTGTAAAGTCTGCAAGTGGATATTTGGACCTCTTTGAGGCCTTCGTTGGAAACGGGATTTCCTCATGTAATGTTACACAGAAGAATTCTCAGTAAATTATTTGTGGTGTGTGTATTCAACTCACAGAGTTGAACCTTCCTTCAGAAAGAGCAGATTTGAAACACTCTTTTTGTGGAGTTTCCATGTGGAGATTTCAATCGCTTTGAGACCAAAGGTAGAAAAGGAAACATCTTCTTATAAAAACTAGACAGAATCATTCACAGAAACTACTTTGTGATGTGTGTGTTCAACTCAAGGAGTTTAACCTTTCTTTTGTTTTAGCAGTTTGGAAACACTCTGTCTGTAAAGTCTGCAAGCAGATATTTGGACCTCTTTGAGGCCTTCCTTGGAAACGGGATTTCTTCATATAATGTTTGATAGGAGAAGTCTCAGTAACTTCTTTGTGCTGTGTGTATTCAACTCATAGAGTTGAACTTTCCTTTAGAAGAGCAGATGTTAAACACCCTTTTTGTGGAATTTGCAGTTGGAGATTTCAAGCGCTTTGAGGACTACAGAAGAAAAGGATACATCTTCTTATAAAATCTGGACAGAATCATTCACAGAAACTTCTTTTTGATGTGTGTGTTCATCTCACAGGGTTTAACCTTTCTTTTCACGGAGCAGTTTGCAAACACTGTGTTTGCCATGTCGGCAAGTGGATATTTGGACCTCTTTGAGGCCTTCGTTGGAAACGGGATTTCTTCATGAAATGTTCGACAGAAGAATTCTCAGTAACTTATTTGTGGTGTGTGTATTGAACTCACAGAGTTGAACCTCCCTTTAGACAGAGCAGATTTGAAACACCCTATTTGTGCAGTTTCCAGTTGGAGATTTCAATCGCTTTGAGACAAATGTAGAAAAGGAAACATCTTCGTATAAAAACTAGACAGAATCATTCTCAGAAACTACTTTGTGATGTGTGCGTTCAACTCAAGGAGTTTAAGCTTTCTTTTCATAGAGTAGTTTGGAAACACTCTGTCTGTAAAGTCTGCAAGCAGATATTTGGACCTCTTTGAGGCCTTCGTTGGAAACGGGATTTCTTCATAGAACGCTAGAAAGAAGAATACTGAGTAAGTTCTTTGTGTTGCCTCTATTCAACTCACAGAGGTGAACAGTCCATTAGACAGAGCAGGTGTGAAACCCTCTTTTTGTGATATTTGCACGTGGAGATTTCAAGCGCTTTTAGGCCAAATGTAGAAAAGGAAATATCTTCGTATAAAAACTAGACAGAATCATTCTCAGAAACTATTTTGTGATGTGTGCGTTCAATTCACAGAGTATAACCTTTCTTTTGATGGAGGAGTTTGGAGACACTGTCTTTGTAAAGTCTGCAAGTGGATATTTGGACCTCTTTGAGGCCTTCGTTGGAAACGGGATTTCCTCATATAATGTTACACAGAAGAATTCTCAGTAACTTATTTGTGGTGTGTGTATTCAACTCACAGAGTTGAACCTTCCTTCAGAAAGAGCAGATTTGAAACACTCTTTCTGTGGAGTTTCCATGTGGAGATTTCAATCGCTTTGAGACCAAAGGTAGAAAAGGAAACATCTTCTGTATAAAAACTAGACAGAATCATTCTCAGAAACTACTTTGTGATGTGTGCGTTCAACTCAAGGAGTTTAAGCTTTCTTTTCATAGAGTAGTTTGGAAACACTCTGTCTGTAAAGTCTGCAAGCAGATATTTGGACCTCTTTGAGGCCTTCGTTGGAAACGGTATTTCTTCATATAATGTTTGATAGGAGAAGTCTCAGTAACTTCTTTGTGCTGTGTCTATTCAACTCATAGAGTTGAAATTTCCTTTAGAAGAGCAGATGTTAAACACCCTTTTTGTGGAATTTGCAGCTGGAGATTTCAAGCGCTTTTAGGCCAAATGTAGAAAAGGAAATATCTTCGTATAAAAACTAGACAGAATCATTCTCAGAAACTACTTTGTGATGTGTGCGATCAATTCACAGAGTATAACCTTTCTTTTGATGGAGGAGTTTGGAGACACTGTCTTTGTAAAGTCTGCAAGTGGATATTTGGACCTCTTTGAGGCCTTCGTTGGAAACGGGATTTCCTCATATAATGTTACACAGAAGAATTCTCAGTAACTTATTTGTGGTGTGTGTATTCAACTCACAGATTTGAACCTTCCTTCAGAAAGAGCAGATTTGAAACACTCTTTTTGTGGAGTTTCCATGTGGAGATTTCAATCGCTTTGAGACCAAAGGCAGAAAAGGAAACATCTTCGTATAAAAACTAGACAGAATCATTCACAGAAACTACTTTGTGATGTGTGTGTTCAACTCAAGGAGTTTAACCTTTCTTTTGATGGAGCAGTTTGGAAACACTCTGTCTGTAAAGTCTGCAAGCAGATATTTGGACCTCTTTGAGGCCTTCGTTGGAAACCGGATTTCTTCATATAATGTTTGATAGGAGAAGTCTCAGTAACTTCTTTGTGCTGTGTGTATTCAACTCATAGAGTTGAACTTTCCTTTAGAAGAGCACATGTTAAACACCCTTTTTGTGGAATTTGCAGCCGGAGATTTCAAGCGCTTTGAGGCCTACGGTAGAAAAGGAAACATCTTCTTATAAAATCTAGACAGAATCATTCACAGAAACTTCTTTTTGATGTGTGTGTTCAGCTCACAGAGTTTAACCTTTCTTTTGATGGAGCAGTTTGGAAACACACTGTTTGTAATGTCTGCAAGTGGACATTTGGACCTCTTTGAGGCCTTCGTTGGAAACGGGATTTCTTCATGTAATGTTCGACAGAAGAATTCTCAGTAACTTATTTGTGGTGTGTGTATTCAACTCACAGAGTTGAACCTTCCTTTAGACAGAGCAGATTTGAAACACCCTATTTGTGCAGTTTCCAGTTGGAGATTTCAATCGCTTTGAGACCAAATGTAGAAAAGGAATCATCTTCGTATAAAAACTAGACAGAATCATTCTCAGAAACTACTTTGTGATGTGTGCGTTCAACTCAAGGAGTTTAAGCTTTCTTTTCATAGAGTAGTTTGGAAACACTCTGTCTGTAAAGTCTGCAAGCAGATATTTGGACCTCTTTGAGGCCTTCATTGGAAACGGGATTTCTTCATATAACGCTAGAAAGAAGACTACTGAGTAAGTTCTTTGTGTTGCCTCTATTCAACTCACAGAGGTGAACTGTCCTTTAGACAGAGCTGATGTGAAAACCTCTTTTTGTGATATTTGCAGGTGGAGATTTCAAGCGCTTTTAGGCCAAATGTAGAAAAGGAAATATCTTCGTATAAAAACTAGACAGAATCATTCTCAGAAACTACTTTGTGATGAGTGCGTTCAATTCACAGTGTATAATATTTCTTCTGATGGAGGAGTTTGGAGACACTGTCTTTGTAAAGTCTGCAAGCAGATATTTGGACCTCTTTGGGGCCATCGTTGGAAACGGGATTTCTTCATATAATGTTTGATAGGAGAATTCTCAGTAACTTATTTGTGGTGTGTGTATTCAACTCACAGAGTTGAACCTTCCTTCAGAAAGAGCAGATTTGAAACACACTTTTTGTGGAGTTTCCATGTGGATATTTCAATGGCTTTGAGACCAAAGGTAGAAAAGGAAACATCTTCGTATAAAAACTAGACAGAATCATTCACAGAAACTACTTTGTGATGTGTGTGTTCAACTCAAGGAGTTTAACCTTTCTTTTGATGGAGCAGTTTGGAAATACTCTGTCTGTAAAGTCTGCAAGCAGATATTTGGACCTCTTTGAGGCCTTCGTTGGAAACGGGATTTCTTCATATAATGTTTGATAGGAGAAGTCTCAGTAACTTCTTTGTGCTGTGTGTATTCAACTCATAGAGTTGAACTTTCCTTTAGAAGAGCAGATGTTAAACACCCTTTTTGTGGAATTTGCAGCTGGAGATTTCAAGCGCTTTGAGGCCTACGGTAGAAAAGGAAACATCTTCTTATAAAATCTAGACAGAATCATTCACAGAAACTTCTTTTTGATGTGTGTGTTCAGCTCACAGAGTTTAACCTTTCTTTTGATGGAGCAGTTTGGAAACACACTGTTTGTAATCTCTGCAAGTGGATATTTGGACCTCTTTGAGGCCTTCGTTGGAAACGGGATTTCTTCCTGTAATGTTCGACAGAAGAATTCTCAGTAACTTATTTGTGGTGTGTGTATTCAACTCACAGAGTTGAACCTTCCTTTAGACAGAGCAGATTTGAAACACCCTATTTGTGCAGTTTCCAGTTGGAGATTTCAATCGCTTTGAGACCAAATGTAGAAAAGGAAACATCTTCGTATAAAAACTAGACAGAATCATTCTCAGAAACTACTTTGTGATGTGTGCGTTCAACTCAAGGAGTTTAAGCTTTCTTTTCATAGAGTAGTTTGGAAACACTCTGTCTGTTAAGTCTGCAAGCAGATATTTGGACCTCTTTGGGGCCTTCGTTGGAAACGGGATTTCTTCATAGAACGCTAGAAAGAAGAATACTGAGTAAGTTCTTTGTGTTGCCTCTATTCAACTCACAGAGCTGAACTGTCCTTTAGACAGAGCAGATGTGAAACCCTCTTTTTGTGATATTTGCAGGTGGAGATTTCAAGCGCTTTTAGGCCAAATGTAGAAAAGGAAATATCTTCGTATAAAAACTAGACAGAATCATTCTCAGAAACTACTTTGTGATGTGTGCGTTCAATTCACAGAGTATAACCTTTCTTTTGATGGAGGAGTTTGGAGACACTGTCTTTGTAAAGTCTGCAAGTGGATATTTGGACCTCTTTGAGGCCTTCGTTGGAAACGGGATTTCCTCATATAATGTTACACAGAAGAATTCTCAGTAACTTATTTTTGGTGTGTGTATTCAACTCACAGAGATGAACCTTCCTTCAGAAAGAGCAGATTTGAAACACTCTTTTTGTGGAGTTTCCATGTGGAGATTTCAATCGCTTTGAGACCAAAGGTAGAAAAGGAAACATCTTCGTATAACAACTAGACAGAATCATTCACAGAAACTACTTTGTGATGTGTGTGTTCAACTCAAGGAGTTTAACCTTTCTTTTGATGGAGCTGTTTGGAAAAACTCTGTCTGTAAAGTCTGCAAGCAGATATTTGGACCTCTTTGGGGCCTTCGTTGGAAACGGGATTTCTTCATATAATGTTTGATAGGAGAAGTCTCAGTAACTTCTTTCTGCTGTGTTTATTCAACGCATAGAGTTGAACTTTCCTTTAGAAGAGCAGATGTTAAACACCCTTTTTGTAGAATTTGCAGCTGGAGATTTCAAGCGCTTTGAGGCCTACGGTAGAAAAGGAAACATCTTCTTATAAAATCTAGACAGAATCATTCACAGAAACTTCTTTTTGATGTGTGTGTTCAGCTCACAGAGTTTAACCTTTCTTTTGATGGAGCAGTTTTGAAACACTCTGTTTGTAATGTCTGCAAGTGGATATTTTGACCTCTTTGAGGTCTTCTTTGGAAACGGTATTTCTTCAAGTAATGTTCGACAGAAGAATTCTCAGTAACTTATTTGTGGTGTGTGTATTCAACTCACAGAGTTGAACCTTCCTTTAGACAGAGCAGATTTGAAACACCCTATTTGTGCAGTTTCCAGTTGGAGATTTCAATCGCTTTGAGACCAAATGTAGAAAAGGAAACATCTTCGTATAAAAACTAGACAGAATCATTCTCAGAAACTACTTTGTGATGTGTGCGTTCAACTCAAGGAGTTTAAGCTTTCTTTTCATAGAGTAGTTTGGAAACACTCTGTCTGTAAAGTCTGCAAGCAGATATTTGACCTCTTTGAGGCCTTCGTTGGAAACGGGATTTCTTCATAGAACGCTAGAAAGAAGAATACTGAGTAAGTTCTTTGTGTTGCCTCTATTCAACTCACAGAGGTGAACTGTCCTTTAGACAGAGCAGATGTGAAACCCTCTTTTTGTGATATTTGCAGGTGGAGATTTCAAGCACTTTTAGGCCAAATGTAGAAAAGGAAATATCTTCGTATAAAAACTAGACAGAATCATTCTCAGAAACTACTTTGTGATGTGTGCGTTCAATTCACAGAGTATAACCTTTCTTTTGATGGAGGAGTTTGGAGACACTGTCTTTGTAAAGTCTGCAAGTGGATATTTGGACCTCTTTGAGGCCTTCGTTGGAAACGGGATTTCCTCATATAATGTTACCCAGAAGAATTCTCAGTAACTTATTTGTGGTGTGTGTATTCAACTCACAGAGTTGAACCTTCCTTCAGAAAGAGCAGATTTGAAACACTCTTTTTGTGGAGCTTCCATGTGGAGATTTCAATCGCTTTGAGACCAAAGGTAGAAAAGGAAACATCGTCGTATAAAAACTAGACAGAATCATTCACAGAAACTACTTTGTGATGTGTGTGTTCAACTCAAGGAGTTTAACCTTTCTTTTGATGGAGCAGTGTGGAAAAACTCTGACTGTAAAGTCTGCAAGCAGATATTTGGACCTCTTTGAGGCCTTCGTTGGAAACGGGATTTCTTCATAGAACGCTAGAAAGAAGAATACTGAGTAAGTTCTTTGTGTTGCCTCTATTCAACTCACAGAGGTGAACTGTCCTTTAGACAGAGCAGATGTGAAACCCTCTTTTTGTGATATTTGCAGGTGGAGATTTCAAGCGCTTTTAGGCCAAATGTAGAAAAGGAAATATCTTCGTATAAAAACTAGACAGAATCATTCTCAGAAACTACTTTGTGATGTGTGCGTTCAATTCACAGAGTATAACCTTTCTTTTGATGGAGGAGTTTGGAGACACTGTCTTTGTAAAGTCTGCAAGTGGATATTTGGACCTCTTTGAGGCCTTCGTTGGAAACGGGATTTCCTCATATAATGTTACACAGAAGAATTCTCAGTAACTTATTTGTGGTGTGTGTATTCAACTCACAGAATTGAACCTTCCTTCAGAAAGAGCAGATTTGAAACACTCTTTTTGTGGAGTTTCCATGTGGAGATTTCAATCGCTTTGAGACCAAAGGTAGAAAAGGAAACATCTTCTTATAAAAACTAGACAGAATCATTCACAGAAAATACTTTGTGATGTGTGTGTTCAACTCAAGGAGTTTAACCTTTCTTTTGATGGAGCAGTTTGGAAACACTCTGTCTGTAAAGTCTGCAAGCAGATATTTGGACCTCTTTGGGGCCTTCGTTGGAAACGGGATTTCTTCATAGAATGCTAGAAAGAAGAAGTCTCAATAACTTCTTTGTGCTGTGTGTATTCAACTCTTAGAGTTGAACTTTCCTTTAGAAGAGCAGATGTTAAACACCCTTTTTGTGGAATTTGCAGCTGGAGATTTCAAGCGCTTTGAGGCCTACGGTAGAAAAGGAAACATCTTCTTATAAAATCTAGACAGAATCATTCACAGAAACTTCTTTTTGATGTGTGTGTTCAGCTCACAGAGTTTAACCTTTCCTTTGATGGAGCAGTTTGGAAACACTCTGTTTGTAATGTCTGCAAGTGGATATTTGGACCTCTTTGAGGCCTTCGTTGGAAACGGGATTTCCTCATAATATGTTACACAGAAGAATTCTCAGTAACTTATTTGTGGTGTGTGTATTCAACTCACAGAGTTGAACCTTCCTTTAGACAGAGCAGATTTGAAACACCCTGTTTGTGCAGTTTCCAGTTGGAGATTTCAATCGCTTTGAGACCAAATGTAGAAAAGGAAACATCTTCGTATAAAAACTAGACAGAATCATTCTCAGAAACTACTTTGTGATGTGTGCGTTCAACTCATGGAGTTTAAGCTTTCTTTTCATAGAGTAGTTTGGAAACACTCTGTCTGTAAAGTCTGCAAGCAGATATTTGGACCTCTTTGGGGCCTTCGTTGGAAACGGGATTTCTTCATAGAACGCTAGAAAGAAGAATACTGAGTAAGTTCTTTGTGTTGCCTCTATTCAACTCACAGAGGTGAACTGTCCTTTAGACAGAGCAGATGTGAAACCCTCTTTTTGTGATATTTGCAGGTGGAGATTTCAAGCGATTTTAGGCCAAATGTAGAAAAGGAAATATCTTCGTATAAAAACTAGACAGAATCATTCTCAGAAACTACTTTGTGATGTGTGCGTTCAATTCACAGAGTATAACCTTTCTTTTGATGGAGGAGTTTGGAGACACTGTCTTTGTAAAGTCTGCAAGTGGATATTTGGATCTCTTTGAGGCCTTCGTTGGAAACGGGATTTCCTCATATAATGTTACACAGAAGAATTCTCAGTAACTTATTTGTGGTGTGTGTATTCAACTCACAGAGTTGAACCTTCCTTCAGAAAGAGCAGATTTGAAACACTCTTTTTGTGGAGTTTCCATGTGGAGATTTCAATCGCTTTGAGACCAAAGGTAGAAAAGGAAACATCTTCGTATAAAAACTAGACAGAATCATTCACAGAAACTACTTTGTGATGTGTGTGTTCAACTCAAGGAGTTTAACCTTTCTTTTGATGGAGCAGTTTGGAAATACTCTGTCTGTAAAGTCTGCAAGCAGATATTTGGACCTCTTTGAGGCCTTCGTTGGAAACGGGATTTCTTCATATAATGTTTGATAGGAGAAGTCTCAGTAACTTCTTTGTGCTGTGTGTATTCAACTCATAGAGTTGAACTTTCCTTTAGAAGAGCAGATGTTAAACACCCTTTTTGTGGAATTTGCAGCTGGAGATTTCAAGCGCTTTGAGGCCTACGGTAGAAAAGGAAACATCTTCTTATAAAATCTAGACAGAATCATTCACAGAAACTTCTTTTTGATGTGTGTGTTCAGCTCACAGAGTTTAACCTTTCTTTTGATGGAGCAGTTGGGAAACACACTGTTTGTAATGTCCGCAAGTGGATATTTGGACCTCTTTGAGGCCTTCGTTGGAAACGGGATTTCTTCAAGTAATGTTCGACAGAAGAATTCTCAGTAACTTATTTGTGGTGTGTGTATTCAACACACAGAGCTGAACCTTCCTTTAGACAGAGCAGATTTGAAACAGCCTATTTGTGCAGTTTCCAGTTGGAGATTTCAATCGCTTTGAGACCAAATGTAGAAAAGGAAACATCTTCGTATAAAAACTAGACAGAATCATTCTCAGAAACTACTTTGTGATGTGTGCGTTCAACTCAAGGAGTTTAAGCTTTCTTTTCATAGAGTAGTTTGGAAACACTCTGTCTGTAAAGTCTGCAAGCAGATATTTGACCTCTTTGAGGCCTTCGTTGGAAACGGGATTTCTTCATAGAACGCTAGAAAGAAGAATACTGAGTAAGTTCTTTGTGTTGCCTCTATTCAACTCACAGAGGTGAACTGTCCTTTAGACAGAGCAGATGTGAAACCCTCTTTTTGTGATATTTGCAGGTGGAGATTTCAAGCGCTTTGAGGCCTACGGTAGAAAAGGAAACATCTTCTTATAAAATCTAGACAGAATCATTCACAGAAACTTCTTTTTGATGTGTGTGTTCAGCTCACAGAGTTTAACCTTTCTTTTGATGGAGCAGTTTGGAAACACTCTGTTTGTAATGTCTGCAAGTGGATATTTGGACCTCTTTGAGGCCTTCTTTGGAAACGGGATTTCTTCAAGTAATGTTCGACAGAAGAATTCTCAGTAACTTATTTGTGGTGTGTGTATTCAACTCACAGAGTTGAACCTTCCTTTAGACAGAGCAGATTTGAAACACCCTATTTGTGCAGTTTCCAGTTGGAGATTTCAATCGCTTTGAGACCAAATGTAGAAAAGGAAACATCTTCGTATAAAAACTAGACAGAATCATTCTCAGAAACTACTTTGTGATGTGTGCGTTCAACTCAAGGAGTTTAAGCTTTCTTTTCATAGAGTAGTTTGGAAACACTCTGTCTGTAAAGTCTGCAAGCAGATATTTGACCTCTTTGAGGCCTTCGTTGGAAACGGGATTTCTTCATAGAACGCTAGAAAGAAGAATACTGAGTAAGTTCTTTGTGTTGCCTCTATTCAACTCACAGAGGTGAACTGTCCTTTAGAGAGAGCAGATGTGAAACCCTCTTTTTGTGATATTTGCAGGTGGAGATTTCAAGCGCTTTTAGGCCAAATATAGAAAAGGAAATATCTTCGTATAAAAACTAGACAGAATCATTCTCAGAAACTACTTTGTGATGTGTGCGTTCAATTCACAGAGTATAACCTTTCTTTTGATGGAGGAGTTTGGAGACACTGTCTTTGTAAAGTCTGCAAGTGGATATTTGGACCTCTTTGAGGCCTTCGTTGGAAACGGGATTTCCTCATATAATGTTACCCAGAAGAATTCTCAGTAACTTATTTGTGGTGTGTGTATTCAACTCACAGAGATGAACCTTCCTTCAGAAAGAGCAGATTTGAAACACTCTTTTTGTGGAGTTTCCATGTGGAGATTTCAATCGCTTTGAGACCAAAGGTAGAAAAGGAAACATCTTCGTATAAAAACTAGACAGAATCATTCACAGAAACTACTTTGTGATGTGTGTGTTCAACTCAAGGAGGTTAACCTTTCTTTTGATGGAGCAGTTTTGAAACACTCTGTCTGTAAAGTCTGCAAGCAGATATTTGGACCTCTTTGAGGCCTTCGTTGGAAACGGGATTTCTTCATATAATGTTTGATAGGAGAAGTCTCAGTAACTTCTTTGTGCTGTGTGTATTCAACTCATAGAGTTGAACTTTCCTTTAGAAGAGCAGATGTTAAACACCCTTTTTGTGGAATTTGCAGCTGGAGATTTCAAGCGCTTTGAGGCCTACGGTAGAAAAGGAAACATCTTCTTATAAAATCTAGACAGAATCATTCACAGAAACTTCTTTTCGATGTGTGTGTTCAGCTCACAGAGTTTAACCTTTCTTTTGATGGAGCAGTTTGGAAACACTCTGTTTGTAATGTCTGCAAGTGGATATTTGGACCTCTTTGAGGCCTTCGTTGGAAACGGGATTTCATCAAGTAATGGTCGACAGAAGAATTCTCAGTAACTTATTTGTGGTGTGTGTATTCAACTCACAGAGTTGAACCTTCCTTTAGACAGAGCAGATTTGAAACACCCTATTTGTGCAGTTTCCAGTTGGAGATTTCAATCGCTTTGAGACCAAATGTAGAAAAGGAAACATCTTCGTATAAAAACTAGACAGAATCATTCTCCGAAACTACTTTGTGATGTGTGCGTTCAACTCAAGGAGTTTAAGCTTTCTTTTCATAGAGTAGTTTGGAAACACTCTGTCTGTAAAGTCTGCAAGCAGATATTTGGACCTCTTTGGGGCCTTCGTTGGAAACGGGATTTCTTCATAGAACGCTAGAAAGAAGAATACTAAGTTCTTTGTGTTGCCTCTATTCTACTCACAGAGGAGAACTGTCCTTTAGACAGAGCAGATGTGAAACCCTCTTTTTGGGATATTTGCAGGTGGAGATTTCAAGTGCTTTTAGGCCAAATGTAGAAAAGGAAATATCTTCGTATAAAAACTAGACAGAATCATTCTCAGAAACTACTTTGTGATGTGTGCGTTCAATTCACAGAGTATAACCTTTCTTTTGATGGAGGAGTTTGGAGACACTGTCTTTGTAAAGTCTGCAAGTGGATATTTGGACCTCTTTGAGGCCTTCGTTGGAAACGGGATTTCCTCATATAATGTTACACAGAAGAATTCTCAGTAACTTATTTGTGGTGTGTGTATTCAACTCACAGAGTTGAACCTTCCTTCAGAAAGAGCAGATTTGAAACACTCTTTTTGTGGAGTTTCCATGTGGAGATTTCAATCGCTTTGAGACCAAAGGTAGAAAAGGAAACATCTTCGTATAAAAACTAGACAGAATCATTCACAGAAACTACTTTGTGATGTGTGTGTTCAACTCAAGGAGTTTAACCTTTCTTTTGATGGAGCAGTTTGGAAATACTCTGTCTGTAAAGTCTGCAAGCAGATATTTGGACCTCTTTGAGGCCTTCGTTGGAAACGGGATTTCTTCATATAATGTTTGATAGGAGAAGTCTCAGTAACTTCTTTGTGCTGTGTGTATTCAACTCATAGAGTTGAACTTTCCTTTAGAAGAGCAGATGTTAAACACCCTTTTTGTGGAATTTGCAGCTGGAGATTTCAAGCGCTTTGAGGCCTACGGTAGAAAAGGAAACATCTTCTTATAAAATCTAGACAGAATCATTCACAGAAACTTCTTTTTGATGTGTGTGTTCAGCTCACAGAGTTTAACCTTTCTTTTGATGGAGCAGTTGGGAAACACACTGTTTGTAATGTCTGCAAGTGGATATTTGGACCTCTTTGAGGCCTTCGTTGGAAACGGGATTTCTTCCTGTAATGTTCGACAGAAGAATTCCCAGTAACTTATTTGTGGTGTGTGTATTCAACTCACAGAGTTGAACCTTCCTTTAGACAGAGCAGATTTGAAACACCCTATTTGTGCAGTTTCCAGTTGGAGATTTCAATCGCTTTGAGACCAAATGTAGAAAAGGAAACATCTTCGTATAAAAACTGGACAGAATCATTCTCAGAAACTACTTTGTGATGTGTGCGTTCAACTCAAGGAGTTTAAGCTTTCTTTTCATAGAGTAGTTTGGAAACACTCTGTCTGTAAAGTGTGCAAGCAGATATTTGGACCTCTTTGGGGCCTTCGTTGGAAACGGGATTTCTTCATAGAACGCTAGAAAGAAGAATACTGAGTAAGTTCTTTGTGTTGCCTCTATTCAACTCACAGAGGTGAACTGTCCTTTAGACAGAGCAGATGTGAAACCCTCTTTTTGTGATATTTGCAGGTGGAGATTTCAAGCGCTTTTGGGCCAAATGTAGAAAAGGAAATATCTTCGTATAAAAACTAGACAGAATC
This sequence comes from Homo sapiens, assembly GCF_000001405.40. Taxonomy (NCBI): domain Eukaryota; kingdom Metazoa; phylum Chordata; class Mammalia; order Primates; family Hominidae; genus Homo; species Homo sapiens. The sequence continues at coordinate 35,840,548 of NC_000012.12, forward strand.
ATTCTCAGAAACTACTTTGTGATGTGTGCGTTCAATTCACAGAGTATAACCTTTCTTTTGATGGAGGAGTTTGGAGACACTGTCTTTGTAAAGTCTGCAAGTGGATATTTGGACCTCTTTGAGGCCTTCGTTGGAAACGGGATTTCCTCATATAATGTTACACAGAAGAATTCTCAGTAACTTATTTGTGGTGTGTGTATTCAACTCACAGAGTTGAACCTTCCTTCAGAAAGAGCAGATTTGAAACACTCTTTTTGTGGAGTTTCCATGTGGAGATTTCAATCGCATTGAGACCAAAGGTAGAAAAGGAAACATCTTCGTATAAAAACTAGACAGAATCATTCACAGAAACTACTTTGTGATGTGTGTGTTCAACTCAAGGAGTTTAACCTTTCTTTTGATGGAGCAGTTTGGAAAAACTCTGTCTGTAAAGTCTGCAAGCAGATATTTGGACCTCTTTGAGGCCTTCGTTGGAAACGGGATTTCTTCATATAATGTTTGATAGGAGAAGTCTCAGTAACTTCTTTGTGCTGTGTGTATTCAACTCATAGAGTTGAACTTTCCTTTAGAAGAGCAGATGTTAAACACCCTTTTTGTGGAATTTGCAGCTGGAGATTTCAAGCGCTTTGAGGCCTACGGTAGAAAAGGAAACATCTTCTTATAAAATCTAGACAGAATCATTCACAGAAACTTCTTTTTGATGTGTGTGTTCAGCTCACAGAGTTTAACCTTTCTTTTGATGGAGCAGTTTGGAAACACTCTGTAATGTCTGCAAGTGGATATTTGGACCTCTTTGAGGCCTTCGTTGGAAACGGGATTTCTTCATGTAATGTTCGACAGAAGAATTCTCAGTAACTTATTTGTGGTGTGTGTATTCAACTCACAGAGTTGAACCTTCCTTTAGACAGAGCAGATTTGAAACACCCTATTTGTGCAGTTTCCAGTTGGAGATTTCAATCGCTTTGAGACCAAATGTAGAAAAGGAAACATCTTCGTATAAAAACTAGACAGAATCATTCTCAGAAACTACTTTGTGATGTGTGCGTTCAACTCAAGGAGTTTAAGCTTTCTTTTCATAGAGTAGTTTGGAAACACTCTGTCTGTAAAGTCTGCAAGCAGATATTTGGACCTCTTTGAGGCCTTCGTTGGAAACGGGATTTCTTCTTAAAACGCTAGAAAGAAGAATACTGAGTAAGTTCTTTGTGTTGCCTCTATTCAACTCACAGAGGTGAACTGTCCTTTAGACAGAGCAGATGTGAAACCCTCTTTTTGTGATATTTGCAGGTGGAGATTTCAAGCGCTTTTAGGCCAAATGTAGAAAAGGAAATATCTTCGTATAAAAACTAGACAGAATCATTCTCAGAAACTACTTTGTGATGTGTGCGTTCAATTCACAGAGTATAACCTCTCTTGCGATGGAGGAGTTTGGAGACACTGTCTTTGTAAAGTCTGCAAGTGGATATTTGGACCTCTTTGAGGCCTTCGTTGGAAACGGGATTTCCTCATATAATGTTACACAGAAGAATTCTCAGTAACTTATTTGTGGTGTGTGTATTCAACTCACAGAGTTGAACCTTCCTTCAGAAAGAGCAGATTTGAAACACTCTTTTTGTGGAGTTTCCATGTGGAGATTTCAATCGCTTTGAGACCAAAGGTAGAAAAGGAAACATCTTCGTATAAAAACTAGACAGAATCATTCTCAGAAACTACTTTGTGATGTGTGCGTTCAATTCACAGAGTATAACCTTTCTTTTGATGGAGGAGTTTGGAGACACTGTCTTTGTAAAGTCTGCAAGTGGATATTTGGACCTCTTTGAGGCCTTCGTTGGAAACGGGATTTCCTCATATAATGTTACACGGAAGAATTCTCAGTAACTTATTTGTGGTGTGTGTATTCAACTCACAGAGTTGAACCTTCCTTCAGAAAGAGCAGATTTCAAACACTCTTTTTGTGGAGTTTCCATGTGGAGATTTCAATCGCTTTGAGACCAAAGGTAGAAAAGGAAACATCTTCGTATAAAAACTAGACAGAATCATTCACAGAAACTACTTTGTGATGTGTGTGTTCAGCTCACAGAGTTTAACCTTTCTTTTGATGGTGCAGTTTGGAAACACTCCGTTTGACAAGTCTGCAAGTGGATATTTGGGCCTCTTTGAGGCCTTCGTTGGAAACGGGATTTCTTCATATAATGTTAGACAGAAGAAGTCTCACTAACTTCTTTGTGCTGTGTGTATTCAACTCACAGAGCTGAACTTTACTTTAGACAGAGCGGATGTTAAACACACTTTTTGTTGAATTTACAGCTGGAGATTTCTAGCGCTTTGAGGCCTATGGTAGAAAAGGAAACATCTTCTTATAAAATCTAGACAGAATCATTCTCAGAAACTACTTTGTGATGTGTGCGTTCAACTCAAGGAGTTTAAGCTTTCTTTTCATAGAGTAGTTTGGAAACACTCTGTCTGTAAAGTCTGCAAGCAGATATTTGGACCTCTTTGAGGCCTTCGTTGGAAACGGGATTTCTTCATAGAACGCTAGAAAGAAGAATACTGAGTTCTTTGTGTTGCCTCTATTCAACTCACAGAGGTGAACTGTCCTTTAGACAGAGCAGATGTGAAACCCTCTTTTTGTGATATTTGCAGGTGGAGATTTCAAGCGCTTTTAGGCCAAATGTAGAAAAGGAAATATCTTCGTATAAAAACTAGACAGAATCATTCTCAGAAACTACTTTGTGATGTGTGCGTTCAATTCACAGAGTATAACCTTTCTTTTGATGGAGGAGTTTGGAGACACTGTCTTTGTAAAGTCTGCAAGTGGATATTTGGACCTCTTTGAGGCCTTCGTTGGAAACGGGATTTCCTCATATAATGTTACACAGAAGAATTCTCAGTAACTTATTTGTGGTGTGTGTATTCAACTCACAGAGTTGAACCTTCCTTCAGAAAGAGCAGATTTGAAACACTCTTTTTGAGGAGTTTCCATGTGGAGATTTCAATCGCTTAGAGACCAAAGGTAGCAAAGGAAACATCTTCTTATAAAAACTAGACAGAATCATTCACAGAAACTACTTTGTGATGTGTGTGTTCAACTCAAGGAGTTTAACCTTTCTTTTGATGGAACAGTTTGGAAAAACTCTGTCTGTAAAGTCTGCAAGCAGATATTTGGACCTCTTTGGGGCCTTCGTTGGATACGGGATTTCTTCATAGAATGCTAGAAAGAAGAATACTGAGTAAGTTCTTTGTGTTGCCTCTATTCAACTCACAGAGGTGAACTGTCCTTTAGACAGAGCAGATGTGAAACCCTGTTTTTGTGATATTTGCAGGTGGAGATTTCAAGCGCTTTTAGGCCAAATGTAGAAAAGGAAATATCTTCGTATAAAAACTAGACAGAATCATTCTCAGAAACTACTTTGTGATGTGTGCGATCAATTCACAGAGTCTAACCTTTCTTTTGATGGAGGAGTTTGGATACACTGTCTTTGTAAAGTCTGCAAGTGGATATTTGGACCTCTTTGAGGCCTTCCTTGGAAAAGGGATTTCCTCATATAATTTTACACAGAAGAATTCTCAGTAACTTATTTGTGGTGTGTGTATTCAACTCACAGAGTTGAACCTTCCTTCGGAAAGAGCAGATTTGAAACACTCTTTTTGTGGAGTTTCCATGTGGAGATTTCAATCGCTTTGAGACCAAAGGTAGAAAAGGAAACATCTTCGTATAAAAACTAGACAGAATCATTCACAGAAACTACTTTGTGATGTGTGTGTTCAACTCAAGGAGTTTAACCTTTCTCTTGATGGAGCAGTTTGGAAAAACTGTGTCTGTAAAGTCTGCAAGCAGATATTTGGACCTCTTTGAGGCCTTCGTTGGAAACGGGATTTCTTCATAGAACGCTAGAAAGAAGAATACTGAGTAAGTTCTTTGTGTTGCCTCTATTCAACTCACAGAGGTGAACTCTCCTTTAGATAGAGCAGATGTGAAACCCTCTTTTTGTGATATTTGCAGGTGGAGATTTCAAGCGCTTTTAGGCCAAATGTAGAAAAGGAAATATCTTCGTATAAAAACTAGACAGAATCATTCTCAGAAACTACTTTGTGATGTGTGCGTTCAATTCACAGAGTATAACCTTTCTTTTGATGGAGGAGTTTGGAGACACTGTCTTTGTAAAGTCTGCAAGTGGATATTTGGACCTCTTTGAGGCCTTCGTTGGAAACGGGATTTCCTCATATAATGTTACACAGAAGAATTCTCAGTAACTTATTTGTGGTGTGTGTATTCAACTCACAGAGTTGAACCTTCCTTCAGAAAGAGCAGATTTGAAACACTCTTTTGGTGGAGTTTCCATGTGGAGATTTCAATCGCTTTGAGACCAAAGGTAGAAAAGGAAACATCTTCGTATAAAAACTAGACAGAATCATTCACAGAAACTACTTTGTGATGTGTGTGTTCAACTCAAGGAGTTTAACCTTTCTTTTGATGGAGCAGTTTGGAAACACTCTGTCTGTAAAGTCTGCAAGCAGATATTTGGACCTCTTTGAGGCCTTCGTTGGAAACGGGATTTCTTCATATAATGTTTGATAGGAGAAGTCTCAGTAACTTCTTTGTGCTGTGTGTATTCAACTCATAGAGTTGAACTTTCCTTTAGAAGAGCAGATGTTAAACACCCTTTTTGTGGAATTTGCAGCTGGAGATTTCAAGCGCTTTGAGGCCTACGGTAGAAAAGGAAACATCTTCTTATAAAATCTAGACAGAATCATTCACAGAAACTTCTTTTCGATGTGTGTGTTCAGCTCACAGAGTTTAACCTTTCTTTTGATGGAGCAGTTTGGAAACACTCTGTTTGTAATGTCTGCAAGTGGATATTTGGACCTCTTTGAGGCCTTCGTTGGAAACGGGATTTCTTCAAGTAATGGTCGACAGAAGAATTCTCAGTAACTTATTTGTGGTGTGTGTATTCAACTCACAGAGTTGAACCTTCCTTTAGACAGAGCAGATTTGAAACACCCTATTTGTGCAGTTTCCAGTTGGAGATTTCAATCGCTTTGAGACCAAATGTAGAAAAGGAAACATCTTCGTATAAAAACTAGACAGAATCATTCTCAGAAACTACTTTGTGATGTGTGCGTTCAACTCAAGGAGTTTAAGCTTTCTTTTCATAGAGTACTTTGGAAACACTCTGTCTGTAAAGTCTGCAAGCAGATATTTGGACCTCTTTGGGGCCTTCGTTGGAAAAGGGATTTCTTCATAGAACGCTAGAAAGAAGAATACTGAGTAAGTTCTTTGTGTTGCCTCTATTCAACTCACAGAAGTGAACTGTCCTTTAGACAGAGCAGATTTGAAACCCTCTTTTTGTGATATTTGCAGGTGGAGATTTCAAGCGCTTTTAGGCCAAATGTAGAAAAGGAAATATCTTTGTATAAAAACTAGACAGAGTCATTCTCAGAAACTACTTTGTGATGTGTGCGTTCAATTCACAGAGTATAACCTTTCTTTTGATGGAGGAGTTTCAAGACATTGTCTTTGTAAAGTCTGCAAGTGGATATTTGGACCTCTTTGAGGCCTTCGTTGGAAACGGGATTTCCTCATATAATGTTACACAGAAGAATTCTCAGTAACTTATTTGTGGTGTGTGTATTCAACTCACAGAGTTGAACCTTCCTTCAGAAAGAGCAGATTTGAAACACTCTTTTTGTGGAGTTTCCATGTGGAGATTTCAATCGCTTTGAGACCAAAGGTAGAAAAGGAAACATCTTCGTATAAAAACTAGACAGAATCATTCACAGAAACTACTTTGTGATGTGTGTGTTCAACTCAAGGAGTTTAACCTTTCTTTTGATGGAGCAGTTTGGAAAAACTCTGTCTTTAAAGTCTGCAAGCAGATATTTGGACCTCTTTGAGGCCTTCGTTGGAAACGGGATTTCTTCATATAATGTTTGATAGGAGAAGTCTCAGTAACTTCTTTGTGCTGTGTGTATTCAACTCATTGAGTTGAACTTTCCTTTAGAAGAGCAGATGTTAAACACCCTTTTTGTGGAATTTGCAGCTGGAGATTTCAAGCGCTTTGAGGCCTACGGTAGAAAAGGAAACATCTTCTTATAAAATCTAGACAGAATCATTCACAGAAATTTCTTTTTGATGTGTGTGTTCAGCTCACAGAGTTTAACCTTTCTTTTGATGGAGCAGTTTGGAAACACACTGTTTGTAATATCTGCAAGTGGATATTTGGACCTCTTTCAGGCCTTAGTTGGAAACGGGATTTCTTCATGTAATGTTCGACAGAAGAATTCTCAGTAACTTATTTGTGGTGTGTGTATTCAACTCACAGAGTTGAACCTTCCTTTAGACAGAGCAGATTTGAAACACCCTATTTGTGCAGTTTCCAGTTGGAGATTTCAATCGCTTTGAGACCAAATGTAGAAAAGGAAACATCTTCGTATAAAAACTAGACAGAATCATTCTCAGAAACTACTTTGTGATGTGTGCGTTCAACTCAAGGAGTTTAAGCTTTCTTTTCATAGAGTAGTTTGGAAACACTCTGTCTGTAAAGTCTGCAAGCAGATATTTGGACCTCATAGGGGTCTTCGTTGGAAACGGGATTTCTTCATAGAACGCTAGAAAGAAGAATACTGACTAAGTTCTTTGTGTTGCCTCTATTCAACTCACAGAGGTGAACTGCCCTTTAGACAGAGCAGATGTGAAACCCTCTTTTTGTGATATTTGCAGGTGGAGATTTCAAGCGCTTTTAGGCCAAATGTAGAAAAGGAAATATCTTCGTATAAAAACTGGACAGAATCATTCTCAGAAACTACTTTTTGATGTGTGCGTTCAATTCCCAGAGTATAACCTTTCTTTTGATGGAGGAGTTTGGAGACACTGTCTTTGTAAAGTCTGCAAGTGGATATTTGGACCTCTTTGAGGCCTTCGTTGGAAACGGGATTTCCTCATATAATGTTACACAGAAGAATTCTCAGTAACTTATTTGTGGTGTGTGTATTCAACTCACAGAGTTGAACCTTCCTTCAGAAAGAGCAGATTTGAAACACTCTTTTTGTGGAGTTTCCATGTGGAGATTTCAATCGCTTTGAGACCAAAGGTAGAAAAGGAAACATCTTCGTATAAAAACTAGACAGAATCATTCACAGAAACTACTTTGTGATGTGTGTGTTCAACTCAAGGAGTTTAACCTTTCTTTTGATGGAGCAGTTTGGAAATACTCTGTCTGTAAAGTCTGCAAGCAGATATTTGGACCTCTTTGAGGCCTTCGTTGGAAACGGGATTTCTTCATATAATGTTTGATAGGAGAAGTCTCAGTAACTTCTTTGTGCTGTGTGTATTCAACTCATAGAGTTGAACTTTCCTTTAGAAGAGCAGATGTTAAACACCCTTTTTGTGGAATTTGCAGCTGGAGATTTCAAGCGCTTTGAGGCCTACGGTAGAAAAGGAAACATCTTCTTATAAAATCTAGACAGAATCATTCACAGAAACTTCTTTTTGATGTGTGTGTTCAGCTCACAGAGTTTAACCTTTCTTTTGATGGAGCAGTTTGGAAACACTCTGTTTGTAATGTCTGCAAGTGGATATTTGGACCTCTTTGAGGCCTTCTTTGGAAACGGGATTTCTTCATGTAATGTTCGACAGAAGAATTCTCAGTAACTTATTTGTGGTGTGTGTATTCAACTCACAGAGTTGAACCTTCCTTTAGACAGAGCAGATTTGAAACACCCTATTTGTGCAGTTTCCAGTTGGAGATTTCAATCGCTTTGAGACCAAATGTAGAAAAGGAAACATCTTCGTATAAAAACTAGACAGAATCATTCTCAGAAACTACTTTGTGATGTGTGCGTTCAACTCAAGGAGTTTACGCTTTCTTTTCATAGAGTAGTTTGGAAACACTCTGTCTGTAAAGTCTGCAAGCAGATCTTTGACCTCTTTGAGGCCTTCGTTGGAAACGGGATTTCTTCATAGAACGCTAGAAAGAAGAATACTGAGTAAGTTCTTTGTGTTGCCTCTATTCAACTCACAGAGGTGAACTGTCCTTTAGACAGAGCAGATGTGAAACCCTCTTTTTGTGATATTTGCAGGTGGAGATTTCAAGCGCTTTTAGGCCAAATGTAGAAAAGGAAATATCTTCGTATAAAAACTAGACAGAATCATTCTCAGAAACTACTTTGTGATGTGTGCGTTCAATTCACAGAGTATAACCTTTCTTTTGATGGAGGAGTTTGGAGACACTGTCTTTGTAAAGTCTGCAAGTGGATATTTGGACCTCTTTGAGGCCTTCGTTGGAAACGGGATTTCCTCATATAATGTTACACAGAAGAATTCTCAGTAACTTATTTGTGGTGTGTGTATTCAACTCACAGAGTTGAACCTTCCTTCAGAAAGAGCAGATTTGAAACACTCTTTTTGTGGAGTTTCCATGTGGAGATTTCAATCGCTTTGAGACCAAAGGTAGAAAAGGAAACATCTTCGTATAAAAACTAGACAGAATCATTCACAGAAACTACTTTGTGATGTGTGTGTTCAACTCAAGGAGTTTAACCTTTCTTTTGATGGAGCTGTTTGGAAAAACTCTGTCTGTAAAGTCTGCAAGCAGATATTTGGACCTCTTTGGAGCCTTCGTTGGAAACGGGATTTCTTCATATAATGTTTGATAGGAGAAGTCTCAGTAACTTCTTTGTGCTGTGTGTATTCAACTCATAGACGTTGAACTTTCCTTTAGAAGAGCAGATGTTAAACACCCTTTTTGTGGAATTTGCAGCTGGAGATTTCAAGCGCTTTGAGGCCTACGGTAGAAAAGGAAACATCTTCGTATAAAATCTAGACAGAATCATTCACAGAAACTTCTTTTTGATGTGTGTGTTCAGCTCACAGAGTTTAACCTTTCTTTTGATGGAGCAGTTTGGAAACACTCTGTTTGTAATGTCTGCAAGTGGATATTTGGACCTCTTTGAAGCCTTCGTTGGAAACGGGATTTCTTCCTGTAATGTTTGACAGAAGAATTCTCAGTAACTTATTTGTGGTGTGTTTATTCAACTCACAGAGTTGAACCTTCCTTTAGACAGAGCAGATTTGAAACACCCTATTTGTGCAGTTTCCAGTTGGAGATTTCAATCGCTTTGAGACCAAATGTAGACAAGGAAACATCTTCGTATAAAAACTAGACAGAATCATTCTCAGAAACTACTTTGTGATGTGTGCGTTCAACTCAAGGAGTTTAAGCTTTCTTTTCATAGAGTAGTTTGGAAACACTCTGTCGGTAAAGTCTGCAAGCAGATATTTGGACCTCTTTGAGGCCTTCGTTGGAAACGGGATTTCTTCATAGAACGCTAGAAAGAAGAATACTGAGTAAGTTCTTTGTGTTGCCTCTATTCAACTCACAGAGGTGAACTGTCCTTTAGACAGAGCAGATGTGAAACCCTCTTTTTGTGATATTTGCAGGTGGAGATTTCAAGCGCTTTTAGGCCAAATGTAGAAAAGGAAATATCTTCGTATAAAAACTAGACAGAATCATTCTCAGAAACTACTTTGTGATGTGTGCGTTCAATTCACAGAGTATAACCTTTCTTTTGATGGAGGAGTTTGGAGACACTGTCTTTGTAAAGTCTGAAAGTGGATATTTGGACCTCTTTGAGGCCTTCGTTGGAAACGGGATTTCCTCATATAATGTTACACAGAAGAATTCTCAGTAACTTATTTGTGGTGTGTGTATTCAACTCACAGAGTTGAACCTTCCTTCAGAAAGAGCAGATTTGAAACACTCTTTTTGTGGAGTTTCCATGTGGAGATTTCAATCGCTTTGAGACCAAAGTTAGAAAAGGAAACATCTTCGTATAAAAACTAGACAGAATCATTCACAGAAACTACTTTGTGATGTGTGTGTTCAACTCAAGGAGTTTAACCTTTCTTTTGATGGAGCAGTTTGGAAACACTCTGTCTGTAAAGTCTGCAAGTAGATATTTGGACCTCTTTGAGGCCTTCGTTGGAAACGGGATTTCTTCATATAATGTTTGATAGGAGAAGTCTCAGTAACTTCTTTGTGCTGTGTGTATTCAACTCATAGAGTTGAACTTTCCTTTAGAAGAGCAGATGTTAAACACCCTTTTTGTGGAATTTGCAGCTGGAGATTTCAAGCGCTTTGAGGCCTACGGTAGAAAAGGAAACATCTTCTTATAAAATCTAGACAGAATCATTCACAGAAACTTCTTTTTGATGTGTGTGTTCAGCTCACAGAGTTTAACCTTTCTTTTGATGGAGCAGTTTGGAAACACTCTGTAATGTCTGCAAGTGGATATTTGGACCTCTTTGATGCCTTCGTTGGAAACTGGATTTCTTCATGTAATGTTCGACAGAAGAATTCTCAGTAACTTATTTGTGGTGTGTGTATTCAACTCACAGAGTTGAACCTTCCTTTAGGCAGAGCAGATTTGAAACACCCTATTTGTGCAGTTTCCAGTTGGAGATTTCAATCGCTTTGAGACCAAATGTAGAAAAGGAAACATCTTCGTATAAAAACTAGACAAAATCATTCTCAGAAACTACTTTGTGATGTGTGCGTTCAACTCAAGGAGTTTAAGCTTTCTTTTCATAGAGTAGTTTGGAAACACTCTGTCTGTAAAGTCTGCAAGCAGATATTTGGACCTCATTGGGGCCTTAGTTGGAAACGGGATTTCTTCATTGAACGCTAGAAAGAAGAATACTGAGTAAGTTCTTTGTGTTGCCTCTATTCAACTCACAGAGGTGAACTGTCCTTTAGACAGAGCAGATGTGAAACCCTCTTTTTGTGATATTTGCAGGTGGAGATTTCAAGCGCTTTTAGGTCAAATGTAGAAAAGGAAATATCTTCGTATAAAAACTAGACAGAATCATTCTCAGAAACTACTTTGTGATGTGTGCGTTCAATTCACAGAGTATAACCTTTCTTTTGATGGAGGAGTTTGGAGACACTGTCTTTGTAAAGTCTGCAGGTGGATATTTGGACCTCTTTGAGGCCTTCGTTGGAAACGGGATTTCCTCATATAATTTTACACAGAAGAATTCTCAGTAACTTATTTGTGGTGTGTGTATTCAACTCACAGAGTTGAACCTTCCTTCAGAAAGAGCAGATTTGAAACACTCTTTTTGTGGAGTTTCCATGTGGAGATTTCAATCGCTTTGAGACCAAAGGTAGAAAAGGAAACATCTTCGTATAAAAACTAGACAGAATCATTCACAGAAACTACTTTGTGATGTGTGTGTTCAACTCAAGGAGTTTAACCTTTCTTTTGATGGAGCAGTTTGGAAAAACTCTGTCTGTAAAGTCTGCAAGCAGATATTTGGACCTCTTTGAGGCCTTCGTTGGAAACGGGATTTCTTCATATAATGTTTGATAGGAGAAGTCTCAGTAACTTCTTTGTGCTGTGTGTATTCAACGCATAGAGTTGAACTTTCCTTTAGAAGAGCAGATGTTAAACACCCTTTTTGTGGAATTTGCAGCTGGAGATTTCAAGCGCTTTGAGGCCTACGGTAGAAAAGGAAATATCTTCTTATAAAATCTAGACAGAATCATTCACAGAAACTTCTTTTTGATGTGTGTGTTCAGCTCACAGAGTTTAACCTTTCTTTTGATGGAGCAGTTTGGAAACACTCTGTTTGTAATGTCTGCAAGTGGATATTTGGACCTCTTTGAGGCCTTCGTTGGAAACGGGATTTCTTCCTGTAATGTTCGACAGAAGAATTCTCAGTAACTTATTTGTGGTGTGTGTATTCAACTCACAGAGTTGAACCTTCCTTTAGACAGAGCAGATTTGAAACACCCTATTTGTGCAGTTTCCAGTTGGAGATTTCAATCGCTTTGAGACCAAATGTAGAAAAGGAAACATCTTCGTATAAAAACTAGACAGAATCATTCTCAGAAACTACTTTGTGATGTGTGCGTTCAACTCAAGGAGTTTAAGCTTTCTTTTCATAGAGTAGTTTGGAAACACTCTGTCTGTAAAGTCTGCAAGCAGATATTTGGACCTCTTTGGGGCCTTCGTTGGAAACGGGATTTCTTCATAGAACGCTAGAAAGAAGAATACTGAGTAAGTTCTTTGTGTTGCCTCTATTCAACTCACAGAGGTGAACTGTCCTTTAGACAGAGCAGATGTGAAACCCTCTTTTTGTGGTATTTGCAGGTGGAGATTTCAAGCGCTTTTCGGCCAAATGTAGAAAAGGAAATATCTTCGTATAAAAACTAGACAGAATCATTCTCAGAAACTACTTTGTGATGTGTGCGTTCAATTCACAGAGTATAACCTTTCTTTTGATGGAGGAGTTTGGAGACACTGTCTTTGTAAAGTCTGCAAGTGGATATTTGGACCTCTTTGAGGCCTTCGTTGGAAACGGGATTTCCTCATATAATGTTACACAGAAGAATTCCCAGTAACTTATTTGTGGTGCGTGTATTCAACTCACAGAGTTGAACCTTCCTTCAGAAACAGCAGATTTGAAACACTCTTTTTGTGGAGTTTCCATGTGGAGATTTCAATCGCTTTGAGACCAAAGCTAGAAAAGGAAACATCTTCGTATAAAAACTAGACAGAATCTTTCACAGAAACTACTTTGTGATGTGTGTGTTCAACTCAAGGAGTTTAACCTTTCTTTTGATGGAGCAGTTTGGAAAAACTCTGTCTTTAAAGTCTGCAAGCAGATATTTGGACCTCTTTGAGGCCTTCGTTGGAAACGGGATTTCTTCATATAATGTTTGATAGGAGAAGTCTCAGTAACTTCTTTGTGCTGTGTGTATTCAACTCATAGAGTTGAACTTTCCTTTAGAAGAGCAGATGTTAAACACCCTTTTTGTGGAATTTGCAGCTGGAGATTTCAAGCGCTTTGAGTCCTACGGTAGAAAAGGAAACATCTTCTTATAAAATCTAGACAGAATCATTCACAGAAACTTCTTTTTGATGTGTGTGTTCAGCTCACAGAGTTTACCTTTCTTTTGATGGAGCAGTTTGGAAACACTCTGTTTGTAATATCTGCAAGTGAATATTTGGACCTGTTTGAGGCCTTCGTTGGAAACGGGATTTCTTCAAGTAATGTTCGACAGAAGAATTCTCAGTAACTTATTTGTGGTGTGTGTATTCAACTCACAGAGTTGAACCTTCCTTTAGAAAGAGCAGATTTGAAACACCCTATTTGTGCAGTTTCCAGTTGGAGATTTCAATCGCTTTGAGACCAAATGTAGAAAAGGAAACATCTTCGTATAAAAACTGGACAGAATCATTCTCAGAAACTACTTTGTGATGTGTGCGTTCAACTCAAGGAGTTTAAGCTTTCTTTTCATAGAGTAGTTTGGAAACACTCTGTCTGTAAAGTGTGCAAGCAGATATTTGGACCTCTTTGGGGCCTTCGTTGGAAACGGGATTTCTTCATAGAACGCAAGAAAGAAGAATACTGACTAAATTCTTTGTGTTGCCTCTATTCAACTCACAGAGGTGAACTGTCCTTTAGACAGAGCAGATGTGAAACCCTCTTTTTGTGATATTTGCAGGTGGAGATTTCAAGCGCTTTTAGGCCAAATGTAGAAAAGGAAATATCTTCGTATTAAAACTAGACAGAATCATTCTCAGAAACTATTTTGTGATGTGTGCGTTCAATTCACAGAGTATAACCTTTCTTTTGATGGACGAGTTTGGAGACACTGTCTTTGTAAAGTTTGCAAGTGGATATTTGGACCTCTTTGAGGCCTTCGTTGGAAACGGGATTTCCTCATATAATGTTACACAGAAGAATTCTCAGTAACTTATTTGTGGTGTGTGTATTCAACTCACAGAGTTGAACCTTCCTTCAGAAAGAGCAGATTTGAAACACTCTTTTTGTGGAGTTTCCATGTGGAGATTTCAATCGCTTTCAGACCAAAGGTAGAAAAGGGAACATCTTCGTATAAAAACTAGACAGAATCATTCACAGAAACTACTTTGTGATGTGTGTGTTCAACTCAAGGAGTTTAACCTTTCTTTTGATGGAGCAGTTTGGAAAAACTCTGTCTGTAAAGTCTGCAAGCAGATATTTGGACCTCTTTGAGGCCTTCGTTGGAAACGGGATTTCTTCATAGAATGCTAGAAAGAAGAATACTGAGTAAGTTCTTTGTGTTGCCTCTATTCAACTCACAGAGGTGAACTGTCCTTTAGACAGAGCAGATGTGAAACCCTCTTTTTGTGATATTTGCAGGTGGAGATTTCAAGCGCTTTTAGGCCAAATGTAGAAAAGGAAATATCTTCGTATAAAAACTAGACAGAATCATTCTCAGAAACTACTTTGTGATGTGTGCGTTCAATTCACAGAGTATAACCTTTCTTTGATGGAGGAGTTTGGAGACACTGTCTTTGTAAAGTCTGCAAGTGGATATTTGGACCTCTTTGAGGCCTTCGTTGGAAACGGGATTTCCTCATATAATGTTACACAGAAGAATTCTCAGTAACTTATTTGTGGTGTGTGTATTCAACTCACAGAGATGAAACTTCCTTCAGAAAGAGCAGATTTGAAACACTCTTTTTGTGGAGTTTCCATGTGGAGATTTCAATCGCTTTGAGACCAAAGGTAGAAAAGGAAACATCTTCGTATAAAAACTAGACAGAATCATTCACAGAAACTACTTTGTGATGTGTGTGTTCAACTCAAGGAGTTTAACCTTTCTTTTGATGGAGCAGTTTGGAAACACTCTGTCTGTAAAGTCTGCAAGTAGATATTTGGACCTCTTTGAGGCCTTCGTTGGAAACGGGATTTCTTCATATAATGTTTGATAGGAGAAGTCTCAGTAACTTCTTTGTGCTGTGTGTATTCAACTCATAGAGTTGAACTTTCCTTTAGAAGAGCAGATGTTAAACACCCTTTTTGTGGAATTTGCAGCTGGAGATTTCAAGCGCTTTGAGGCCTACGGTAGAAAAGGAAACATCTTCTTATAAAATCTAGACAGAATCATTCACAGAAACTTCTTTTTGATGTGTGTGTTCAGCTCACAGAGTTTAACCTTTCTTTTGATGGAGCAGTTTGGAAACACTCTGTTTGTAATGTCTGCAAGTGGATATTTGGACCTCTTTGAGGCCTTCGTTGGAAACGGGATTTCTTCCTGTAATGTTCGACAGAAGAATTCTCAGTAACTTATTTGTGGTGTGTGTATTCAACTCACAGAGTTGAACCTTCCTTTAGACAGAGCAGATTTGAAACAGCCTATTTGTGCAGTTTCCAGTTGGAGATTTCAATCGCTTTGAGACCAAATGTAGAAAAGGAAACATCTTCGTACAAAAACTAGACAGCATCATTCTCAGAAACTACTTTGTGATGTGTGCGTTCAACTCAAGGAGTTTAAGCTTTCTTTTCATAGAGTAGTTTGGAAACACTCTGTCTGTAAAGTCTGCAAGCAGATATTTGGACTTCATTGGGGTCTTCGTTGGAAACGGGATTTCTTCATAGAACGCTAGAAAGAAGAATACTGAGTAAGTTCTTTGTGTTGCCTCTATTCAACTCACAGAGGTGAACTGTCCTTTAGACAGAGCAGATGTGAAACCCTCTTTTTGTGATATTTGCAGGTGGAGATTTCAAGCGCTTTTAGGCCAAATGTAGAAAAGGAAATATCTTCGTATAAAAACTAGACAGAATCATTCTCAGAAACTACTTTGTGATGTGTGCGTTCAATTCACAGAGTATAACCTTTCTTTTGATGGAGGAGTTTGGAGACACTGTCTTTGTAAAGTCTGCAAGTGGATATTTGGACCTCTTTAAGGCCTTCGTTGGAAACGGGATTTCCTCATATAATGTTACACAGAAGAATTCTCAGTAACTTATTTGTGGTGTGTGTATTCAACTCACAGAGTTGAACCTTCCTTCAGAAAGAGCAGATTTGAAACACTCTTTTTGTGGAGTTTCCATGTGGAGATTTCAATCGCTTTGAGACCAAAGGTTGAAAAGGAAACATCTTCGTATAAAAACTAGACAGAATCATTCACAGAAACTACTTTGTGATGTGTGTGTTCAACTCAAGGAGTTTAACCTTTCTTTTGATGGAGCAGTTTGGAAACACTCTGTCTGTAAAGTCTGCAAGCAGATATTTGGACCTCTTTGAGGCCTTCGTTGGAAACGGGATTTCTTCATATAATGTTTGATAGGAGAAGTCTCAGTAACTTCTTTGTGCTGTGTGTATTCAACTCATAGAGTTGAACTTTCCTTTAGAAGAGCAGATGTTAAACACCCTTTTTGTGGAATTTGCAGCTGGAGATTTCAAGCGCTTTGAGGCCTACGGTAGAAAAGGAAACATCTTCTTATAAAATCTAGACAGAATCATTCACAGAAACTTCTTTTTGATGTGTGTGTTCAGCTCACAGAGTTTAACCTTTCTTTTGATGGAGCAGTTTGGAAACACTCTGTTTGTAATGTCTGCAAGTGGATATTTGGACCTCTTTGAGGCCTTCGTTGGAAACGGGATTTCTTCAAGTAATTTTCGACAGAAGAATTCTCAGTAACTTATTTGTGGTGTGTGTATTCAACTCACAGAGTTGAACCTTCCTTTAGACAGAGCAGATTTGAAACACCGTATTTGTGCAGTTTCCAGTTGGAGATTTCAATCGCTTTGAGACCAAATGTAGAAAAGGAAACATCTTCGTATAAACACTAGACAGCATCATTCTCAGAAACTACTTTGTGATGTGTGCGTTCAACTCAAGGAGTTTAAGCTTTCTTTTCATAGAGTAGTTTGGAAACACTCTGTCTGTAAAGTCTGCAAGCAGATATTTGGACCTCTTTGGGGCCTTCGTTGGAAACGGGATTTCTTCATAGAACGCTAGAAAGAAGAATACTGAGTAAGTTCTTTGTGTTGCCTCTATTCAACTCACAGAGGTGAACTGTCCTTTAGACAGAGCAGATGTGAAACCCTCTTTTTGTGATATTTGCAGGTGGAGATTTCAAGCGCTTTTAGGCCAAATGTAGAAAAGGAAATATCTTCGTATAAAAACTAGACAGAATCATTCTCAGAAACTATTTTGTGATGTGTGCGTTCAATTCACAGAGTATAACCTTTCTTTTGATGGAGGAGTTTGGAGACACTGTCTTTGTAAAGTCTGCAAGTGGATATTTGGACCTCTTTGAGGCCTTCGTTGGAAACGGGATTTCCTCATATAATGTTACACAGAAGAATTCTCAGTAACTTATTTGTGGTGTGTGTATTCAACTCACAGAGTTGAACCTTCCTTCAGAAAGAGCAGATTTGAAACACTCTTTTTGTGGAGTTTCCATGTGGAGATTTCAATCGCTTTGAGACCAAAGGTAGAAAAGGAAACATCTTCGTATAAAAACTAGACAGAATCATTCACAGAAACTACTTTGTGATGTGTGTGTTCAACTCAAGGAGTTTAACCTTTCTTTTGATGGAGCTGTTTGGAAAAACTCTGTCTGTAAAGTCTGCAAGCAGATATTTGGACCTCTTTGAGGCCTTCGTTGGAAACGGGATTTCTTCATATAATGTTTGATAGGAGAAGTCTCAGTAACTTCTTTCTGCTGTGTGTATTCAACGCATAGAGTTGAACTTTCCTTTAGAAGAGCAGATGTTAAAAACCCTTTTTGTGGAATTTGCAGCTGGAGATTTCAAGCGCTTTGAGTCCTACAGTAGAAAAGGAAACATCTTCTTATAAAATCTAGACAGAATCATTCACAGAAACTTCTTTTTGATGTGTGTGTTCAGCTCACAGAGTTTAACCTTTCTTTTGATGGAGCAGTTTGGAAACACTCTGTTTGTAATGTCTGCAAGAGGATATTTGGACCTCTTTGAGGCCTTCGTTGGAAACGGGATTTCTTCATAGAACGCTAGAAAGAAGAATACTGAGTAAGTTCTTTGTGTTGCCTCTATTCAACTCACAGAGGTGAACTGTCCTTTTGACAGAGCAGATCTGATACCCTCTTTTTGTGATATTTGCACGTGGAGATTTCAAGCGCTTTTAGGCCAAATGTAGAAAAGGAAATATCTTCGTATAAAAACTAGACAGAATCATTCTCAGAAACTACTTTGTGATGTGTGCGTTCAATTCAAAGAGTATAACCTTTCTTTTGATGGAGGAGTTTGGAGACACTGTCTTTGTAAAGTCTGCAAGTGGATATTTGGAACTCTTTGAGGCCTTCGTTGGAAACGGGATTTCCTCATATAATGTTACACAGAAGAATTCTCAGTAACTTATTTGTGGTGTGTGTATTCAACTCACAGAGTTGAAACTTCCTTCAGAAAGAGCAGATTTGAAACACTCTTTTTGTGGAGTTTCCATGTGGAGATTTCAATCGCTTTGAGACCAAAGATAGAAAAGGAAACATCTTCGTATAAAAACTAGACAGAATCATTCACAGAAACTACTTTGTGATGTGTGTGTTCAACTCAAGGAGTTTAACCTTTCTTTTGATGGAGCAGTTTGGAAACACTCTGTCTGTAAAGTCTGCAAGTGGATATTTGGACCTCTTTGAGGCCTTCGTTGGAAACGGGATTTCTTCATATAATGTTTGATAGGAGAAGTCTCAGTAACTTCTTTGTGCTGTGTGTATTCAACGCATAGAGTTGAACTTTCCTTTAGAAGAGCAGATGTTAAACACCCTTTTTGTGGAATTTGCAGCTGGAGATTTCAAGCGCTTTGTGGCCTACGGTAGAAAAGGAAATATCTTCTTATAAAATCTAGACAGAATCATTCACAGAAACTTCTTTTTGATGTGTGAGTTCAGCTCACAGAGTTTAACCTTTCTTTTGATGGAGCAGTTTGGAAACACTCTGTTTGTAATGTCTGCAAGTGGATATTTGGACCTCTTTGAGGCCTTCGTTGGAAACGGGATTTCTTCATGTAATGTTCGACAGAAGAATTCTCAGTAACTTATTTGTGGTGTGTGTATTCAACTCACAGAGTTGAACCTTCCTTTAGACAGAGCAGATTTGAAACACCCTATTTGTGCAGTTTCCAGTTGGAGATTTCAATCGCTTTGAGACCAAATGTAGAAAAGGAAACATCTTCGTATAAAAACTAGACAGAATCATTCTCAGAAACTACTTTGTGATGTGTGCGTTCAACTCAAGGAGTTTAAGCTTTCTTTTCATAGAGTAGTTTGGAAACACTCTGTCTGTAAAGTCTGCAAGCAGATATTTGGACCTCTTTGGGGCCTTCGTTGGAAACGGGATTTCTTCATAGAACGCTAGAAAGAAGAATACTGAGTAAGTTCTTTGTGTTGCCTCTATTCAACTCACAGAGGTGAACTGTCCTTTAGACAGAGCAGATGTGAAACCCTCTTTTTGTGATATTTGCAGGTGGAGATTTCAAGCGCTTTTAGGCCAAATGTAGAAAAGGAAATATCTTCGTATAAAAACTAGACAGAATCATTCTCAGAAACTACTTTGTGATGTGTGCGTTCAATTCACAGAGTATAACCTTTCTTTTGATGGAGGAGTTTGGAGACACTGTCTTTGTAAAGTCTGCAAGTGGATATTTGGACCTCTTTGAGGCCTTCGTTGGAATCGGGATTTCCTCATATAATGTTACACAGAAGAATTCTCAGTAACTTATTTGTGGTGTGTGTATTCAACTCACAGAGTTGAACCTTCCTTCAGAAAGAGCAGATTTGAAACACTCTTTTTGTGGAGTTTCCATGTGGAGATTTCAATCGCTTTGAGACCAAAGGTAGAAAAGGAAACATCTTCGTATAAAAACTAGACAGAATCATTCGCAGAAACTACTTTGTGATGTGTGTGTTCAACTCAAGGAGTTTAACCTTTCTTTTGATGGAGCAGTTTGGAAAAACTCTGTCTTTAAAGTCTGCAAGCAGATATTTGGACCTCTTTGAGGCCTTCGTTGGAAACGGGATTTCTTCATATAATGTTTGATAGGAGAAGTCTCAGTAACTTCTTTGTGCTGTGTGTATTCAACTCATAGAGTTGAACTTTCCTTTAGAAGAGCAGATGTTAAACACCCTTTTTGTGGAATTTGCAGCTGGAGATTTCAAGCGCTTTGAGGCCTACGGTAGAAAAGGAAACATCTTCTTATAAAATCTAGACAGAATCATTCACAGAAACTTCTTTTTGATGTGTGTGTTCAGCTCACAGAGTTTAACCTTTCTTTTGATGGAGCAGTTTGGAAACACTCTGTTTGTAATGCCTGCAAGTGGATATTTGGACCTCTTTGAGGCCTTCGTTGGAAACGGGAATTCTTCATGTAATGTTCGACAGAAGAATTCTCAGTAACTTATTTGTGGTGTGTGTATTCAACTCACAGAGTTGAACCTTCCTTTAGACAGAGCAGATTTGAAACACCCTATTTGTGCAGTTTCCAGTTGGAGATTTCAATCGCTTTGAGACCAAATGTAGAAAAGGAAACATCTTCGTATAAAAACTAGACAGAATCATTCTCAGAAACTACTTTGTGATGTGTGCGTTCAACTCAAGGAGTTTAAGCTTTCTTTTCATAGAGTAGTTTGGAAACACTCTGTCTGTAAAGTCTGCAAGCAGATATTTGGACCTCTTTGAGGCCTTCGTTGGAAACGGGATTTCTTCATAGAACGCTAGAAAGAAGAATACTGAGTAAGTTCTTTGTGTTGCCTCTATTCAACTCACAGAGGTGAACTGTCCTTTAGACAGAGCAGATGTGAAACCCTCTTTTTGTGATATTTGCAGGTGGAGATTTCAAGCGCTTTGAGGCCAAATGTAGAAAAGGAAATATCTTCGTATAAAAACTAGACAGAATCATTCTCAGAACCTACTTTGTGATGTGTGCGTTCAATTCACAGAGGATAACCTTTCTTTTGATGGAGGAGTTTGGAGACACTGTCTTTGTAAAGTCTGCAAGTGGATATTTGGATCTCTTTGAGGCCTTCGTAGGAAACGGGATTTCCTCATATAATGTTACACAGAAGAATTCTCAGTAACTTATTTGTGGTGTGTGTATTCAACTCACAGAGTTGAACCTTCCTTCAGAAAGAGCAGATTTGAAACACTCTTTTTGTGGAGTTTCCATGTGGAGATTTCAATCGCTTTGAGACCAAAGGTAGAAAAGGAAACATCTTCGTATAAAAACTAGACAGAATCATTCACAGAAACTACTTTGTGATGTGTGTGTTCAACTCAAGGAGTTTAACCTTTCTTTTGATGGAGCAGTTTGGGAACACTCTGTCTGTAAAGTCTGCAAGCAGATATTTGGACCTCTTTCAGGCCTTCGTTGGAAACGGGATTTCTTCATATAATGTTTGATAGGAGAAGTCTCAGTAACTTCTTTGTGCTGTGTGTATTCAACTCATAGAGTTGAACTTTCCTTTAGAAGAGCAGATGTTAAACACCCTTTTTGTGGAATTTGCAGCTGGAGATTTCAAGCGCTTTGAGGCCTACGGTAGAAAAGGAAACATCTTCTTATAAAATCTAGACAGAATCATTCACAGAAACTTCTTTTTGATGTGTGTGTTCAGCTCACAGAGTTTAACCTTTCTTTTGATGGAGCAGTTGGGAAACACACTGTTTGTAATGTCTGCAAGTGGATATTTGGACCTCTTTGAGGCCTTCGTTGGAAACGGGATTTCTTCCTGTAATGTTCGACAGAAGAATTCTCAGTAACTTATTTGTGGTGTGTGTATTCAACTCACAGAGTTGAACCTTCATTTAGACAGAGCAGATTTGAAACAGCCTATTTGTGCAGTTTCCAGTTGGAGATTTCAATCGCTTTGAGACCAAATGTAGAAAGGGAAACATCTTCGTATAAAAACTAGACAGAATCATTCTCAGAAACTACTTTGTGATGTGTGCGTTCAACTCAAGGAGTTTAAGCTTTCTTTTCATAGAGTAGTTTGGAAACACTCTGTCTGTAAAGTCTGCAAGCAGATATTTGACCTCTTTGAGGCCTTCGTTGGAAACGGGATTTCTTCATAGAACGCTAGAAAGAAGAATACTGAGTAAGTTCTTTGTGTTGCCTCTATTCAACTCACAGAGGTGAACTGTCCTTTAGACAGAGCAGATGTGAAACCCTCTTTTTGTGATATTTGCAGGAGGAGATTTCAAGCGCTTTTAGGCCAAATGTAGAAAAGGAAATATCTTCGTATAAAAACTAGACAGAATCATTCTCAGAAACTACTTTGTGATGTGTGCGTTCAATTCACAGAGTATAACCTTTCTTTTGATGGAGGAGTTTGGAGACACTGTCTTTGTAAAGTCTGCAAGTGGATATTTGGATCTCTTTGAGGCCTTCGTTGGAAACGGGATTTCCTCATATAATGTTACACAGAGAATTCTCAGTAACTTATTTGTGGTGTGTGTATTCAACTCACAGAGATGAACCGTCCTTCAGAAAGAGCAGATTTGAAACACTCTTTTTGTGGAGTTTCCATGTGGAGATTTCAATCGCTTTGAGACCAAAGGTAGAAAAGGATACATCTTTGTATAAAAACTAGACAGAATCATTCACAGAAACTACTTTGTGATGTGTGTGTTCAACTCAAGGAGTTTAACCTTTCTTTTGATGGAGCAGTTTGGAAAAACTCTGTCTGTAAAGTCTGCAAGCAGATATTTGGACCTCTTTGAGGCCTTCGTTGGAAACGGGATTTCTTCATATAATGTTTGATAGGAGAAGTCTCAGTAACTTCTTTGTGCTGTGTGTATTCAACTCACAGAGTTGAACTTTCCTTTAGAAGAGCAGATGTTAAACACCCTTTTTGTGGAATTTGCAGCTGGAGATTTCAAGCGCTTTGAGGCCTACGGTAGAAAAGGAAACATCTTCTTATAAAATCTAGACAGAATCATTCACAGAAACTTCTTTTTGATGTGTGTGTTCAGCTCACAGAGTTTAACCTTTCTTTTGATGGAGCAGTTGGGAAACACACTGTTTGTAATGTCTGCAAGTGGATATTTGGACCTCTTTGAGGCCTTCGTTGGAAACGGGATTTCTTCCTGTAATGTTCAACAGAAGAATTCTCAGTAACTTATTTGTGGTGTGTGTATTCAACTCACAGAGCTGAACCTTCCTTTAGACAGAGCAGATTTGAAACAGCCTATTTGTGCAGTTTCCAGTTGGAGATTTCAATCGCTTTGAGACCAAATGTAGAAAAGGAAACATCTTCGTATAAAAACTAGACAGAATCATTCTCAGAAACTACTTTGTGATGTGTGCGTTCAACTCAAGGAGTTTAAGCTTTCTTTTCATAGAGTAGTTTGGAAACACTCTGTCTGTAAAGTCTGCAAGCAGATATTTGACCTCTTTGAGGCCTTCGTTGGAAACGGGATTTCTTCATAGAACGCTAGAAAGAAGAATACTGAGTAAGTTCTTTGTGTTGCCTCTATTCAACTCACAGAGGTGAACTGTCCTTTAGACAGAGCAGATGTGAAACCCTCTTTTTGTGATATTTGCACGTGGAGATTTCAAGCGCTTTTAGGCCAAATGTAGAAAAGGAAATATCTTCGTATAAAAACTAGACAGAATCATTCTCAGAAACTACTTTGTGATGTGTGCGTTCAATTCACAGAGTATAACCTTTCTTTTGATGGAGGAGTTTGGAGACACTGTCTTTGTAAAGTCTGCAAGTGGATATTTGGACCTCTTTGAGGCCTTCGTTGGAAACGGGATTTCCTCATATAATGTTACACAGAAGAATTCTCAGTAACTTATTTGTGGTGTGTATATTCAACTCACAGAGATGAACCTTCCTTCAGAAAGAGCAGATTTGAAACACTCTTTTTGTGGAGTTTCCATGTGGAGATTTCAATCGCTTTGAGACCAAAGGTAGAAAAGGAAACATCTTCGTATAACAACTAGACAGAATCATTCACAGAAACTACTTTGTGATGTGTGTGTTCAACTCAAGGAGTTTAACCTTTCTTTTGATGGAGCAGTTTGGAAACACTCTGTCTGTAAAGTCTGCAAGCAGATATTTGGACCCCTTTGAGGCCTTCGTTGGAAACGGGATTTCTTCATATAATGTTAGATAGGAGAAGTCTCAGTAACTTCTTTGTGCTGTGTGTATTCAACTCATAGAGTTGAACTTTCCTTTAGAAGAGCAGATGTTAAACACCCTTTTTGTGGAATTTGCAGCTGGAGATTTCAAGCGCTTTGAGGCCTACGGTAGAAAAGGAAACATCTTCTTATAAAATCTAGACAGAATCATTCACAGAAACTTCTTTTTGATGTGTGTGTTCAGCTCACAGAGTTTAACCTTTCTTTTGATGGAGCAGTTTGGAAACACTCTGTTTGTAATGTCTGCAAGTGGATATTTGGACCTCTTTGGGGCCTTCGTTGGAAACGGGATTTCTTCAAGTAATGTTCGACAGAAGAATTCTCAGTAACTTATTTGTGGTGTGTGTATTCAACTCACAGAGTTGAACCTTCCTTTAGACAGAGCAGATTTGAAACCCCCTATTTGTGCAGTTTCCAGTTGGAGATTTCAATCGCTTTGAGACCAAATGTAGAAAAGGAAACATCTTCGTATAAAAACTAGACAGAATCATTCTCAGAAACTACTTTGTGATGTGTGCGTTCAACTCAAGGAGTTTAAGCTTTCTTTTCATAGAGTAGTTTGGAAACACTCTGTCTGTAAAGTCTGCAAGCAGATATTTGGACCTCTTTGGGGCCTTCGTTGGAAACGGGATTTCTTCATAGAACGCTAGAAAGAAGAATACTGAGTACGTTCTTTGTGTTGCCTCTATTCAACTCACAGAGGTGAACTGTCCTTTAGACAGAGCAGATGTGAAACCCTCTTTTTGTGATATTTGCAGGTGGAGATTTCAAGCGCTTTTAGGCCAAATGTAGAAAAGGAAATATCTTCGTATAAAAACTAGACAGAATCATTCTCAGAAACTACTTTGTGATGTGTGCGTTCAATTCACAGAGTATAACCTTTCTTTTGATGGAGGAGTTTGGAGACACTGTCTTTGTAAAGTCTGCAAGTGGATATTTGGACCTCTTTGAGGCCTTCGTTGGAAACGGGATTTCCTCATATAATGTTACCCAGAAGAATTCTCAGTAACTTATTTGTGGTGTGTGTATTCAACTCACAGAGTTGAACCTTCCTTCAGAAAGAGCAGATTTGAAACACTCTTTTTGTGGAGTTTCCATGTGGAGATTTCAATCGCATTGAGACCAAAGGTAGAAAAGGAAACATCTTCGTATAAAAACTAGACAGAATCATTCACAGAAACTACTTTGTGATGTGTGTGTTCAACTCAAGGAGTTTAACCTTTCTTTTGATGGAGCAGTTTGGAAATACTCTGTCTGTAAAGTCTGCAAGCAGATATTTGGACCTCTTTGAGGCCTTCGTTGGAAACGGGATTTCTTCATATAATGTTTGATAGGAGAAGTCTCAGTAACTTCTTTGTGCTGTGTGTATTCAACTCATAGAGTTGAACTTTCCTTTAGAAGAGCAGATGTTAAACACCCTTTTTGTGGAATTTGCAGCTGGAGATTTCAAGCGCTTTGAGGCCTACGGTAGAAAAGGAAACATCTTCTTATAAAATCTAGACAGAATCATTCACAGAAACTTCTTTTCGATGTGTGTGTTCAGCTCACAGAGTTTAACCTTTCTTTTGATGGAGCAGTTTGGAAACACTCTGTTTGTAATGTCTGCAAGTGGATATTTGGACCTCTTTGAGGCCTTCGTTGGAAACGGGATTTCTTCAAGTAATGGTCGACAGAAGAATTCTCAGTAACTTATTTGTGGTGTGTGTATTCAACTCACAGAGTTGAACCTTCCTTTAGACAGAGCAGATTTGAAACACCCTATTTGTGCAGTTTCCAGTTGGAGATTTCAATCGCTTTGAGACCAAATGTAGAAAAGGAAACATCTTCGTATAAAAACTAGACAGAACCATTCTCAGAAACTACTTTGCGATGTGTCCGTTCAACTCAAGGAGTTTAAGCTTTCTTTTCATAGAGTAGTTTGGAAACACTCTGTCTGTAAAGTCTGCAAGCAGATATTTGGACCTCTTTGAGGCCTTCGTTGGAAACGGGATTTCTTCATAAAACGCTAGAAAGAAGAATACTCAGTAACTTTTTGTGTTGCCTCTATTCAACTCACAGAGGTGAACTGTCCTTTAGACAGAGCAGATGTGAAACCCTCTTTTTGTGATATTTGCAGGTGGAGATTTCAAGCGCTTTTAGGCCAAATGTAGAAAAGGAAATATCTTCGTATAAAAACTAGACAGAATCATTCTCAGAAACTACTTTGTGATGTGTGCGTTCAATTCACAGAGTATAACCTTTCTTTTGATGGAGGAGTTTGGAGACACTGTCTTTGTAAAGTCTGCAAGTGGATATTTGGACCTCTTTGAGGCCTTCGTTGGAAACGGGATTTCCTCATATAATGTTACCCAGAAGAATTCTCTGTAACTTATTTGTGGTGTGTGTATTCAACTCACAGAGTTGAACCTTCCTTCAGAAAGAGCAGATTTGAAACACTCTTTTTGTGGAGTTTCCATGTGGAGATTTCAATCGCTTTGAGACCAAAGGTAGAAAAGGAAACATCTTCGTATAAAAACTAGACAGAATCATTCACAGAAACTACTTTGTGATGTGTGTGTTCAACTCAAGGAGTTTAACCTTTCTTTTGATGGAGCAGTTTGGAAAAACTCTGTCTGTAAAGTCTGCAAGCAGATATTTGGACCTCTTTGAGGCCTTCGTTGGAAACGGGATTTCTTCATATAATGTTTGATAGGAGAAGTCTCAGTAACTTCTTTGTGCTGTGTGTATTCAACTCATAGAGTTGAACTTTCCTTTAGAAGAGCAGATGTTAAACACCCTTTTTGTGGAATTTGCCGCTGGAGATTTCAAGCGCTTTGAGGCCTACGGTAGAAAAGGAAACATCTTCTTATAAAATCTAGACAGAATCATTCACAGAAACTTCTTTTTGATGTGTGTGTTCAGCTCACAGAGTTTAACCTTTCTTTTGATGGAGCAGTTGGGAAACACACTGTTTGTAATGTCCGCAAGTGGATATTTGGACCTCTTTGAGGCCTTCGTTGGAAACGGGATTTCTTCCTGTAATGTTCGACAGAAGAATACTCAGTAACTTATTTGTGGTGTGTGTATTCAACTCACAGAGTTGAACCTTCCTTTAGACAGAGCAGATTTGAAACACCCTATTTGTGCAGTTTCCAGTTGGAGATTTCAATCGCTTTGAGACCAAATGTAGAAAAGGAAACATCTTCGTATAAAAACTAGACAGCATCATTCTCAGAAACTACTTTGTGATGTGTGCGTTCAACTCAAGGAGTTTAAGCTTTCTTTTCATAGAGTAGTTTGGAAACACTCTGTCTGTAAAGTCTGCAAGCAGATATTTGGACCTCTTTGGGGCCTTCGTTGGAAACGGGATTTCTTCATAGAACGCTAGAAAGAAGAATACTGAGTAAGTTCTTTGTGTTGCCTCTATTCAACTCACAGAGGTGAACTGTCCTTTAGACAGAGCAGATGTGAAACCCTCTTTTTGTGATATTTGCACGTGGAGATTTCAAGCGCTTTTAGGCCAAATGTAGAAAAGGAAATATCTTCGTATAAAAACTAGACAGAATCATTCTCAGAAACTACTTTGTGATGTGTGCGTTCAATTCACAGAGTATAACCTTTCTTTTGATGGAGGAGTTTGGAGACACTGTCTTTGTAAAGTCTGCAAGTGGATATTTGGACCTCTTTGAGGCCTTCGTTGGAAACGGGATTTCCTCATATAATGTTACACAGAAGAATTCTCAGTAACTTATTAGTGGTGTGTGTATTCAACTCACAGAGTTGAACCTTCCTTCAGAAAGAGCAGATTTGAAACACTCTTTTTGTGGAGTTTCCATGTGGAGATTTCAATCGCATTGAGACCAAAGGTAGAAAAGGAAACATCTTCGTATAAAAACTAGACAGAATCATTCACAGAAACTACTTTGTGATGTGTGTGTTCAACTCAAGGAGTTTAAACTTTCTTTTGATGGAGCAGTTTGGAAACACTCTGTCTGTAAAGTCTGCAAGCAGATATTTGGACCTCTTTGAGGCCTTCGTTGGAAACGGGATTTCTTCATATAATGTTTGATAGGAGAAGTCTCAGTAACTTCTTTGTGCTGTGTGTATTCAACTCACAGAGCTGAACTTTACTTTAGACAGAGCGGATGTTAAACACATTTTTTGTGGAATTTGCAGCTGGAGATTTCTAGCGCTTTGAGGCCTATGGTAGAAAAGGAAACATCTTCTTATAAAATCTAGACAGAATCATTCACAGAAACTACTTTGTGATGTGAGTGTTCAGCTCACAGAGTTTAACCTTTCTTTTGATGGTGCAGTTTGGAAACACTCTGTTTGACAAGTCTGCAAGTGGATATTTGGACCTCTTTGAGGCCTTCGTTGGAAACGGGATTTCTTCATATAATGTTAGACAGAAGAATTCTCAGTAACTTATTTGTGGTGTGTGTATTCAACTCACAGAGTTGAACCTTCCTTTAGACAGAGCAGATTTGAAACACCCTATTTGTGCAGTTTCCAGTTGGAGATTTCAATCGCTTTGAGGCCAATCATAGAAACAGAAATAACTTTGTATAAAAACAAGACAGAATCATTCTCAGAAACTACTTTGTGATGTGTGCGTTCAACTCAAGGAGTTTAAGCTTTCTTTTCATAGAGTAGTTTGGAAACACTCTGTCTGTAAAGTCTGCAAGCAGATATTTGGACCTCTTCGAGGCCTTCGTTGGAAACGGGATTTCTTCATAGAACGCTAGAAAGAAGAATACTGAGTAAGTTCTTTGTGTTGCCTCTATTCAACTCACAGAGGTGAACTGTCCTTTAGACAGAGCAGATGTGAAACCCTCTTTTTGTGATATTTGCAGGTGGAGATTTCAAGCACTTTTAGGCCAAATGTAGAAAAGGAAATATCTTCGTATAAAAACTAGACAGAATCATTCTCAGAAACTACTTTGTGATGTGTGCGTTCAATTCACAGAGTATAACCTTTCTTTTGATGGAGGAGTTTGGAGACACTGTCTTTGTAAGGTCTGCAAGTGGATATTTGGACCTCTTTGAGGCCTTCGTTGGAAACGGGATTTCCTCATATAATGTTACACAGAAGAATTCTCAGTAACTTATTTGTGGTGTGTGTATTCAACTCACAGAGATGAACCTTCCTTCAGAAAGAGCAGATTTGAAACACTCTTTTTGTGGAGTTTCCATGTGGAGATTTCAATCGCTTTGAGACCAAAGGTAGAAAAGGAAACATCTTCGTATAAAAACTAGACAGAATCATTCACAGAAACTACTTTGTGATGTGTGTGTTCAACTCAAGGAGGTTAACCTTTCTTTTGATGGAGCAGTTTGGAAACACTCTGTCTGTAAAGTCTGCAAGCAGATATTTGGACCTCTTTGAGGCCTTCGTTGGAAACGGGATTTCTTCATATAATGTTTGATAGGAGAAGTCTCAGTAACTTCTTTGTGCTGTGTGTATTCAACTCATAGATTTGAACTTTCCTTTAGAAGAGCAGATGTTAAACACCCTTTTTGTGGAATTTGCAGCTGGAGATTTCAAGCGCTTTGAGGCCTATGGTAGAAAAGGAAACATCTTCTTATAAAATCTAGACAGAATCATTCACAGAAACTTCTTTTTGATGTGTGTGTTCAGCTCACAGAGTTTAACCTTTCTTTTGATGGAGCAGTTGGGAAACACACTGTTTGTAATGTCCGCAAGTGGATATTTGGACCTCTTTGAGGCCTTCGTTGGAAACGGGATTTCTTCCTGTAATGTTCGACAGAAGAATTCTCAGTAACTTATTTGTGGTGTGTGTATTCAACTCACAGAGTTGAACCTTCCTTTAGACAGAGCAGATTTGAAACACCCTATTTGTGCAGTTTCCAGTTGGAGATTTCAATCGCTTTGAGACCAAATGTAGAAAAGGAAACATCTTCGTATAAAAACTAGACAGAATCATTCTCAGAAACTACTTTGTGATGTGTGCGTTCAACTCAAGGAGTTTAAGCTTTCTTTTCATAGAGTAGTTTGGAAACACTCGGTCTGTAAAGTCTGCAAGCAGATATTTGGACCTCTTTGGGGCCTTCGTTGGAAACGGGATTTCTTCATAGAACGCTAGAAAGAAGAATACTGAGTAAGTTCTTTGTGTTGCCTCTATTCAACTCACAGAGGTGAACTGTCCTTTAGACAGAGCAGATGTGAAACCCTCTTTTTGTGATATTTGCAGGTGGAGATTTCAAGCGCTTTTAGGCCAAATGTAGAAAAGGAAATATCTTCGTATAAAAACTAGACAGAATCATTCTCAGAAACTACTTTGTGATGTGTGCGTTCAATTCACAGAGTATAACCTTTCTTTTGATGGAGGAGTTTGGAAACACTGTCTTTGTAAAGTCTGCAAGTGGATATTTGGACCTCTTTGAGGCCTTCGTTGGAAACGGGATTTCCTCATATAATGTTACACAGAAGAATTCTCAGTAACTTATTTGTGGTGTGTGTATTCAACTCACAGAGATGAACCTTCCTTCAGAAAGAGCAGATTTGAAACACTCTTTTTGTGGAGTTTCCATGTGGAGATTTCAATCGCTTTGAGACCAAAGGTAGAAAAGGAAACATCTTCGTATAAAAACTAGACAGAATCATTCACAGAAACTACTTTGTGATGTGTGTGTTCAACTCAAGGAGTTTAACCTTTCTTTTGATGGAGCAGTTTGGAAACACTCTGTCTGTAAAGTCTGCAAGCAGATATTTGGACCTCTTTGAGGCCTTCGTTGGAAACGGGATTTCTTCATATAATGTTTCATAGGAGAAGTCTCAGTAACTTCTTTGTGCTGTGTGTATTCAACTCATAGAGTTGAACTTTCCTTTAGAAGAGCAGATGTTAAACACCCTTTTTGAGGAATTTGCAGCTGGAGATTTCAAGCGCTTTGAGGCCTACGGTAGAAAAGGAAACATCTTCTTATAAAATCTAGACAGAATCATTCACAGAAACTTCTTTTTGATGTGTGTGTTCAGCTCACAGAGTTTAACATTTCTTTTGATGGAGTAGTTTGGAAACACTCTTTTTGCAATGTCTGCAAGTGGATATTTGGACCTCTTTCAGGCCTTCGTTGGAAACGCGATTTCTTCATGTAATGTTCGACAGAAGAATTCTCAGTAACTTATTTGTGGTGTGTGTATTCAACTCACAGAGTTGAACCTTCCTTTAGACAGAGCAGATTTGAAACACCCTATTTGTGCAGTTTCCAGTTGGAGATTTCAATCGCTTTGAGACCAAATGTAGAAAAGGAAACATCTTCGTATAAAAACTAGACAGAATCATTCTCAGAAACTACTTTGTGATGTGTGCGTTCAACTCAAGGAGTTTAAGCTTTCTTTTCGTAGAGTAGTTTGGAAACACTCTGTCTGTAAAGTCTGCAAGCAGATATTTGGACCTCTTTGGGGCCTTCGTTGGAAACGGGATTTCTTCATAGAACGCTAGAAAGAAGAATACTGAGTAAGTTCTTTGTGTTGCCTCTATTCAACTCACAAAGGTGATCTGTCCTTTAGACAGAGCAGATGTGAAACCCTCTTTTTGTGATATTTGCAGGTGGAGACTTCAAGCGCTTTTAGGCCAAATGTAGAAAAGGAAATATCTTCGTATAAAAACTAGACAGAATCGTTCTCAGAAACTACTTTGTGATGTGTGCGTTCAATTCACAGAGTATAACCTTTCTTTTGATGGAGGAGTTTGGAGACACTGTCTTTGTAAAGTCTGCAAGTGGATATTTGGACCTCTTTGAGGCCTTCGTTGGAAACGGGATTTCCTCATATAATGTTACACAGAAGAATTCTCAGTAACTTATTTGTGGTGTGTGTATTCAACTCACAGAGTTGAACCTTCCTTCAGAAAGAGCAGATTTGAAACACTCTTTTTGTGCAGTTTCCATGTGGAGATTTCAATCGCTTTGAGACCAAAGGTAGAAAAGGAAACATCGTCGTATAAAAACTAGACAGAATCATTCACAGAAACTACTTTGTGATGTGTGTGTTCAACTCAAGGAGTTTAACCTTTCTTTTGATGGAGCTGTTTGGAAAAACTCTGTCTGTAAAGTCTGCAAGCAGATATTTGGACCTCTTTGGGGCCTTCGTTGGAAACGGGATTTCTTCATATAATGTTTGATAGGAGAAGTCTCAGTAACTTCTTTCTGCTGTGTTTATTCAACGCATAGAGTTGAACTTTCCTTTAGAAGAGCAGATGTTAAATACCCTTTTTGTAGAATTTGCAGCTGGAGATTTCAAGCGCTTTGAGGCCTACGGTAGAAAAGGAAACATCTTCTTATAAAATCTAGACAGAATCATTCACAGAAACTTCTTTCTGATGTGTGTGTTCAGCTCACAGAGTTTAACCTTTCTTTTGATGGAGCAGTTTGGAAACACTCTGTTTGTAGTGTCTGCAAGTGGACATTTGGACCTCTTTGAGGCCTTCGTTGGAAACCGGATTTCTTCATGTAATGTTCGACAGAAAGAATTCTCAGTAACTTATTTGTGGTGTGTGTATTCAACTCACAGAGTTGAACCTTCCTTTAGACAGAGCAGATTTGAAACACCCTATTTGTGCAGTTTCCAGTTGGAGATTTCAATCGCTTTGAGACCAAATGTAGAAAAGGAAACATCTTCGTATAAAAACTAGACAGATCATTCTCAGAAACTACTTTGTGATGTGTGCGTTCAACTCAAGGAGTTTAAGCTTTCTTTTCATAGAGTAGTTTGGAAACACTCTGTCTGTAAAGTCTGCAAGCAGATATTTGGACCTCTTTGAGGCCTTCGTTGGAAACGGGATTTCTTCATAGAACGCTAGAAAGAAGAATACTGAGTAAGTTCTTTGTGTTGCCTCTATTCAACTCACAGAGGTGAACTGTCCTTTAGACAGAGCAGATGTGAAACCCTCTTTTTGTGATATTTGCAGGTGGAGATTTCAAGCGCTTTTAGGCCAAATGTAGAAAAGGAAATATCTTCGTATAAAAACTAGACAGAATCATTCTCAGAAACTACTTTGTGATGTGTGCGTTCAATTCACAGAGTATAACCTTTCTTTTGATGGCGGAGTTTGGAGACACTGTCTTTGTAAAGTCTGCAAGTGGATATTTGGACCTCTTTGAGGCCTTCGTTGGAAACGGGATTTCCTCATATAATGTTACACAGAAGAATTCTCAGTAACTTATTTGTGGTGTGTGTATTCAACTCACAGAGTTGAACCTTCCTTCTGAAAGAGCAGATTTGAAACACTCTTTTTGTGGAGTTTCCATGTGGAGATTTCAATCGCATTGAGACCAAAGGTAGAAAAGGAAACATCTTCGTATAAAAACTAGACAGAATCATTCACAGAAACTACTTTGTGATGTGTGTGTTCAACTCAAGGAGTTTAACCTTTCTTTTGATGGAGCAGTTTGGAAAAACTCTGTCTGTAAAGTCTGCAAGCAGATATTTGGACCTCTTTGAGGCCTTCGTTGGAAACGGGATTTCTTCATATAATGTTTGATAGGAGAAGTCTCAGTAACTTCTTTGTGCTGTGTGTATTCAACTCATAGAGTTGAACTTTCCTTTAGAAGAGCAGATGTTAAACACCCTTTTTGTGGAATTTGCAGCTGGAGATTTCAAGCGCTTTGAGGCCTACGGTAGAAAAGGAAACATCTTCTTATAAAATCTAGACAGAATCATTCACAGAAACTTCTTTTTGATGTGTGTGTTCAGCTCACAGAGTTTAACCTTTCTTTTGATGGAGCAGTTTGGAAACACTCTGTTTGTAATGTCTGCAAGTGGATATTTGGACCTCTTTGAGGCCTTCTTTGGAAACGGGATTTCTTCAAGTAATGTTCGACAGAAGAATTCTCAGTAACTTATTTGTGGTGTGTGTATTCAACTCACAGAGTTGAACCTTCCTTTAGACAGAGCAGATTTGAAACAGCCTATTTGTGCAGTTTCCAGTTGGAGATTTCAATCGCTTTGAGACCAAATGTAGAAAAGGAAACATACTTCGTATAAAAACTAGACAGAATCATTCACAAAAACTACTTTGTGATGTGTGTGTTCAACTCAAGGAGTTTAACCTTTCTTTTGATGGAGCAGTTTGGAAACACTCTGTCTGTAACGTCTGCAAGCAGATATTTGGACCTCTTTGGGGACTTCGTTAGAAACGGGATTTCTTCATAGAACGCTAGAAAGAAGAATACTGAGTAAGTTCTTTGTGTTGCCTCTATTCAACTCACAGAGGTGAACTGTCCTTTAGACAGAGCAGATGTGAAACAACCTTTTTGTGATATTTGCAGGTGGAGATTTCAAGCGCTTTTAGGCCAAATGTAGAAAAGGAAATATCTTCGTATAAAAACTAGACAGAATCATTCTCAGAAACTACTTTGTGATGTGTGCGTTCAATTCACAGAGTATAACCTTTCTTTTGATGGAGGAGTTTGGAGACACTGTCTTTGTAAAGTCTGCAAGTGGATATTTGGACCTCTTTGAGGCCTTCGTTGGAAACGGGATTTCCTCATATAATGTTACACAGAAGAATTCTCAGTAACTTATTTGTGGTGTGTGTATTCAACTCACAGAGTTGAACCTTCCTTCAGAAAGAGCAGATTTGAAACACTCTTTTTGTGGAGTTTCCATGTGGAGATTTCAATCGCTTTGAGACCAAAGGTAGAAAAGGAAACATCTTCGTATAAAAACTAGACAGAATCATTCACAGAAACTACTTTGTGATGTGTGTGTTCAACTCAAGGAGTTTAACCTTTCTTTTGATGGAGCAGTTTGGAAACACTCTGTCTGTAAAGTCTGCAAGCAGATATTTGGACCTCTTTGAGGCCTTCGTTGGAAACGGGATTTCTTCATATAATGTTTGATAGGAGAAGTCTCAGTAACTTCTTTGTGCTGTGTGTATTCAACTCATAGAGTTGAACTTTCCTTTAGAAGAGCAGATGTTAAACACCCTTTTTGTGGAATTTGCAGCTGGAGATTTCAAGCGCTTTGAGGCCTACGGTAGAAAAGGAAACATCTTCTTATAAAATCTAGACAGAATCATTCACAGAAACTTCTTTTTGATGTGTGTGTTCAGCTCACAGAGTTTAACCTTTCTTTTGATGGAGCAGTTTGGAAACACTCTGTTTGTAATGTCTGCAAGTGGATATTTGTACCTCTTTGAGGCCTTCGTTGGAAATGGGATTTCTTCATGTAATGTTCGACAGAAGAATTCTCAGTAACTTATTTGTGGTGTGTGTATTCAACTCACAGAGTTGAACCTTCCTTTAGACAGAGCAGATTTGAAACACCCTATTAGTGCAGTTTCCAGTTGGAGATTTCAATCGCTTTGAGGCCAATCATAGAAACGGAAATATCTTCGTATAAAAACAAGACAGAATCATTCTCAGAAACTACTTTGTGATGTGTGCGTTCAACTCAAGGAGTTTAAGCTTTCTTTTCATAGAGTAGTTTGGAAACACTCTGTCTGTAAAGTGTGCAAGCAGATATTTGGACCTCTTTGAAGCCTTCGTTGGAAACGGGATTTCTTCATATAACGCTAGAAAGAAGAATACTCAGTAACTTCTTTGTGTTGCCTCTATTCAACTCACAGAGGTGAACTGTCCTTTAGACAGAGCAGATGTGAAACCCTCTTTTTGTGATATTTGCAGGTGGAGATTTCAAGCGCTTTTAGGCCAAATGTGGAAAAGGACATATCTTCGTAGAAAAACTAGACAGAATCATTCTCAGAAACTACTTTGTGATGTGTGCGTTCAATTCACAGAGTATAACCTTTCTTTTGATGGAGGAGTTTGGAGACACTGTCTTTGTAAAGTCTGCAAGTGGATATTTGGACCTCTTTGAGGCCTTCGTTGGAAACGGGATTTCCTCATATAATGTTACACAGAAGAATTCTCAGTAACTTATTTGTGGTGTGTGTATTCAACTCACAAGAGTTGAACCTTCCTTCAGAAAGAGCAGATTTGAAACACTCTTTTTGTGGAGTTTCCATGTGGAGATTTCAATCGCTTTGAGACCAAAGGTAGAAAAGGAAACATCTTCGTATAAAAACTAGACAGAATCATTCTCAGAAACTACTTTGTGATGTGTGTGTTCAACTCAAGGAGTTTAACCTTTCTTTTGATGGAGCAGTTTGGAAACACACTGTCTGTAAAGTCTGCAAGCAGATATTTGGACCTCTTTGAGGCCTTCGTTGGAAACGGGATTTCTTCATATAATGTTTGATAGAAGAATACTGAGTAAGTTCTTTGTGTTGCCTCTATTCAACTCACAGTAGGTGAACTGTCCTTTAGACAGAGCAGATGTGAAACCCTCTTTTTGTGATATTTGCACGTGGAGATTTCAAGCGCTTTTAGGCCAAATGTAGAAAAGGAAATATCTTCGTATAAAAACTAGACAGAATCATTCTCAGAAACTATTTTGTGATGTGTGCGTTCAATTCACAGAGTATAACCTTTCTTTTGATGGAGGAGTTTGGAGACACTGTCTTTGTAAAGTCTGCAAGTGGATATTTGGACCTCTTTGAGGCCTTCGTTGGAAACGGGATTTCCTCATATAATGTTACACAGAAGAATTCTCAGTAACTTATTTGTGGTGTGTGTATTCAACTCACAGAGTTGAACCTTCCTTCAGAAAGAGCAGATTTGAAACACCCTTTTTGTGGAGTTTCCATGTGGAGATTTCAATCGCTTTGAGACCAAAGGTACAAAAGGAAACATCTTCGTATAAAAACTAGACAGAATCATTCACAGAAACTACTTTGTGATGTGTGTGTTCAACTCAAGGAGTTTAACCTTTCTTTTGATGGAGCAGTTTGGAAAAACTCTGTCTTTAAAGTCTGCAAGCAGATATTTGGACCTCTTTGAGGCCTTCGTTGGAAACGGGATTTCTTCATATAATGTTTGATAGGAGAAGTCTCAGTAACTTCTTTGTGCTGTGTGTATTCAACTCATAGAGTTGAACTTTCCTTTAGAAGAGCAGATGTTAAACACCCTTTTTGTGGAATTTGCAGCTGGAGATTTCAAGCGCTTTGAGGCCTACGGTAGAAAAGGAAACATCTTCTTATAAAATCTAGACAGAATCATTCACAGAAACTTCTTTTTGATGTGTGTGTTCAGCTCACAGAGTTTAACCTTTCTTTTGATGGAGCAGTTTGGAAACACTCTGTTTGTAATGTCTGCAAGAGGATATTTGGACCTCTTTGAGGCCTTAGTTGGAAACGGGATTTCTTCAAGTAATTTTCGACAGAAGAATTCTCAGTAACTTATTTGTGGTGTGTGTATTCAACTCACAGAGTTGAACCTTCCTTTAGACAGAGCAGATTTGAAACACCCTATTTGTGCAGTTTCCAGTTGGAGATTTCAATCGCTTTGAGACCAAATGTAGAAAAGGAAACATCTTCGTATAAAAACTAGACAGAATCATTCTCAGAAACTACTTTGTGATGTGTGCGTTCAACTCAAGGAGTTTAAGCTTTCTTTTCATAGAGTAGTTTGGAAACACTCTGTCTGTAAAGTCTGCAAGCAGATATTTGGACCTCTTTGGGGCCTTCGTTGGAAACGGGATTTCTTCATAGAACGCTAGAAAGAAGAATACTGAGTAAGTTCTTTGTGTTGCCTCTATTCAACTCACAGAGGTGAACTGTCCTTTAGACAGAGCAGATGTGAAACCCTCTTTTTGTGATATTTGCAGGTGGAGATTTCAAGCGCTTTTAGGCCAAATGTAGAAAAGGAAATATCTTCGTATAAAAACTAGACAGAATCATTCTCAGAAACTACTTTGTGATGTGTGCGTTCAATTCACAGAGTATAACCTTTCTTTTGATGGAGGAGTTTGGAGACACTGTCTTTGTAAAGTCTGCAAGTGGATATTTGGACCTCTTTGAGGCCTTCGTTGGAAACGGGATTTCCTCATATAATGTTACACAGAAGAATTCTCAGTAACTTATTTGTGGTGTGTGTATTCAACTCACAGAGTTGAACCTTCCTTCAGAAAGAGCAGATTTGAAACACTCTTTTTGTGGAGTTTCCATGTGGAGATTTCAATCGCTTTGAGACCAAAGGTAGAAAAGGAAACATCTTCGTATAAAAACTAGACAGAATCATTCACAGAAACTACTTTGTGATGTGTGTGTTCAACTCAAGGAGTTTAACCTTTCTTTTGATGGAGCAGTTTGGAAAAACTCTGTCTGTAAAGTCTGCAAGCAGATATTTGGACCTCTTTGAGGCCTTCGTTGGAAACGGGATTTCTTCATATAATGTTTGATAGGAGAAGTCTCAGTAACTTCTTTGTGCTGTGTGTATTCAACTCATAGAGTTGAACTTTCCTTTAGAAGAGCAGATGTTAAACACCCTTTTTGTGGAATTTGCAGCTGGAGATTTCAAGCGCTTTGAGGCCTACGGTAGAAAAGGAAACATCTTCTTATAAAATCTAGACAGAATCATTCACAGAAACTTCTTTTTGATGTGTGTGTTCAGCTCACAGAGTTTAACCTTTCTTTTGATGGAGCAGTTTGGAAACACTCTGTTTGTAATGTCTGCAAGTGGATATTTGGACCTCTTTGAGGCCTTCGTTGGAAACAGGATTTCTTCAAGTAATGTTCGACAGAAGAATTCTCAGTAACTTATTTGTGGTGTGTGTATTCAACTCACAGAGTTGAACCTTCCTTTAGACAGAGCAGATTTGAAACACCCTATTTGTGCAGTTTCCAGTTGGAGATTTCAATCGCTTTGAGACCAAATGTAGAAAAGGAAACATCTTCGTATAAAAACTAGACAGAATCATTCTCAGAAACTACTTTGTGATGTGTGCGTTCAACTCAAGGATTTTAAGCTTTCTTTTCATAGAGTAGTTTGGAAACACTCTGTCTGTAAAGTCTGCAATCAGATATTTGGACCTCTTTGAGGCCTTCGTTGGAAACGGGATTTCTTCATAGAACGGTAGAAAGAAGAATACTGAGTAAGTTCTTTGTGTTGCCTCTATTCAACTCACAGAGGTGAACTGTCCTTTAGACAGAGCAGATGTGAAACCCTCTTTTTGTGATATTTGCAGGTGAAGATTTCAAGCGCTTTTAGGCCAAATGTAGAAAAGGAAATATCTTCGTATAAAAACTAGACAGAATCATTCTCAGAAACTACTTTGTGATGTGTGCGTTCAATTCACAGAGTATAACCTTTCTTTTGATGGAGGAGTTTGGAGACACTGTCTTTGTAAAGTCTGCAAGTGGATATTTGGACCTCTTTGAGGCCTTCGTTGGAAACGGGATTTCCTCATATAATGTTACACAGAAGAATTCTCAGTAACTTATTTGTGGTGTGTGTATTCAACTCACAGAGTTGAACCTTCCTTCAGAAAGAGCAGATTTGAAACACTCTTTTTGTGCAGTTTCCATGTGGAGATTTCAATCGCTTTGAGACCAAAGGTAGAAAAGGAAACATCGTCGTATAAAAACTAGACAGAATCATTCACAGAAACTACTTTGTGATGTGTGTGTTCAACTCAAGGAGTTTAACCTTTCTTTTGATGGAGCTGTTTGGAAAAACTCTGTCTGTAAAGTCTGCAAGCAGATATTTGGACCTCTTTGGGGCCTTCGTTGGAAACGGGATTTCTTCATATAATGTTTGATAGGAGAAGTCTCAGTAACTTCTTTGTGCTGTGTGTATTCAACGCATAGAGTTGAACTTTCCTTTAGAAGAGCAGATG
Source organism: Homo sapiens (assembly GCF_000001405.40). Taxonomy (NCBI): domain Eukaryota; kingdom Metazoa; phylum Chordata; class Mammalia; order Primates; family Hominidae; genus Homo; species Homo sapiens. Next base: position 35,880,188 of record NC_000012.12, read on the forward strand.
TTAAACACCCTTTTTGTGGAATTTGCAGCTGGAGATTTCAAGCGCTTTGTGGCCTACGGTAGAAAAGGAAACATCTTCTTATAAAATCTAGACAGAATCATTCACAGAAACTTCTTTTTGATGTGTGTGTTCAGCTCACAGAGTTTAACCTTTCTTTTGATGGAGCAGTTTGGAAACACTCTGTTTGTAATGTCTGCAAGTGGATATTTGGACCTCTTTGAGGCCTTCGTTGGAAACGGGATTTCTTCAAGTAATTTTCGACAGAAGAATTCTCAGTAACTTATTTGTGGTGTGTGTATTCAACTCACAGAGTTGAACCTTCCTTTAGACAGAGCAGATTTGAAACACCCTATTTGTGCAGTTTCCAGTTGGAGATTTCAATCGCTTTGAGACCAAATGTAGAAAAGGAAACATCTTCGTATAAAAACTAGACAGCATCATTCTCAGAAACTACTTTGTGATGTGTGCATTCAACTCAAGGAGTTTAAGCTTTCTTTTCATAGAGTAGTTTGGAAACACTCTGTCTGTAAAGTCTGCAAGCAGATATTTGGACCTCTTTGGGGCCTTTGTTGGAAACGGGATTTCTTCATAGAACGCTAGAAAGATAAGAATACTGAGTAAGTTCTTTGTGTTGCCTCTATTCAACTCACAGTAGGTGAACTGTCCTTTAGACAGAGCAGATGTGAAACCCTCTTTTTGTGATATTTGCAGGTGGAGATTTCAAGCGCTTTTAGGCCAAATGTAGAAAAGGAAATATCTTCGTATGAAAACTAGACAGAATCATTCTCAGAAACTACTTTGTGATGTGTGCGTTCAATTCACAGAGTATAACCTTTCTTTTGATGGAGGAGTTTGGAGACACTGTCTTTGTAAAGTCTGCAAGTGGATATTTGGACCTCTTTGAGGCCTTCGTTGGAAACGGGATTTCCTCATATAATGTTACACAGAAGAATTCTCAGTAACTTATTTGTGGTGTGTGTATTCAACTCACAGAGTTGAACCTTCCTTTAGACAGAGCAGATTTGAAACACCCTATTTGTGCAGTTTCCAGTTGGAGATTTCAATCGCTTTGAGACCAAATGTAGAAAAGGAAACATCTTCGTATAAAAACTAGACAGAATCATTCTCAGAAACTACTTTGTGATGTGTGCGTTCAACTCAAGGAGTTTAAGCTTTCTTTTCATAGAGTAGTTTGGAAACACTCTGTCTGTAAAGTCTGCAAGCAGATATTTGGACCTCTTTGAGGCCTTCGTTGGAAACGGGATTTCTTCATAGAACGGTTGAAAGAAGAATACTGAGTAAGTTCTTTGTGTTGCCTCTATTCAACTCACAGAGGTGAACTGTCCTTTAGACAGAGCAGATGTGAAACCCTCTTTTTGTGATATTTGCAGGTGGAGATTTCAAGCGCTTTTAGGCCAAATGTAGAAAAGGAAATATCTTTGTATAAAAACTAGACAGAATCATTCTCAGAAAGCACTTTGTGATGTGTGCGTTCAATTCACAGAGTATAACCTTTCTTTTGATGAAGGAGTTTGGAGACACTGTCTTTGTAAAGTCTGCAAGTGGATATTTGGACCTCTTTGAGGCCTTCGTTGGAAACGGGATTTCCTCATATAATGTTACACAGAAGAATTCTCAGTAACTTATTTGTGGTGTGTGTATTCAACTCACAGAGTTGAACCTTCCTTCAGAAAGAGCAGATTTGAAACACTCTTTTTGTGGAGTTTCCATGTGGAGATTTCAATCGCTTTGAGACCAAAGGTAGAAAAGGAAACATCTTCGTATAAAAACTAGACAGAATCATTCACAGAAACTACTTTGTGATGTGTGTGTTCAACTCAAGGAGTTTAACCTTTCTTTTGATGGAGCAGTTTGGAAACACTCTGTCTGTAAAGTCTGCAAGCAGATATTTGGACCTCTTTGAGGCCTTCGTTGGAAACGGGATTTCTTCATATAATGTTTGATAGGAGAAGTCTCAGTAACTTCTTTGTGCTGTGTGTATTCAACTCATAGAGTTGAACTTTCCTTTAGAAGAGCAGATGTTAAACACCCTTTTTGTGGAATTTGCAGCTGGAGATTTCAAGCGCTTTGAGGCCTACGGTAGAAAAGGAAACATCTTCTTATAAAATCTAGACAGAATCATTCACAGAAACTTCTTTTTGATGTGTGTGTTCAGCTCACAGAGTTTAACCTTTCTTTTGATGGAGCAGTTGGGAAACACACTGTTTGTAATGTCTGTAAGTGGATATTTGGACCTCTTTGAGGCCTTCGTTGGAAACGGGATTTCTTCCTGTAAAGTTCGACAGAAGAATTCTCAGTAACTTATTTGTGGTGTGTGTATTCAACTCACAGAGTTGAACCTTCCTTTAGACAGAGCAGATTTGAAACACCCTATTTGTGCAGTTCCCAGTTGGAGATTTCAATCGCTTTGAGACCAAATGTAGAAAAGGAAACATCTTCGTATAAAAACTAGACAGAATCATTCTCATAAACTACTTTGTGATGTGTGCGTTCAACTCAAGGAGTTTAAGCTTTCTTTTCATAGAGTAGTTTGGAAACACTCTGTCTGTAAAGTCTGCAAGCAGATATTTGAACCTCTTTGAGGCCTTCGTTGGAAACGGGATTTCTTCATAGAACGCTAGAAAGAAGAATACTGAGTAAGTTCTTTGTGTTGTCTCTATTCAACTCACAGAGGTGAACTGTCCTTTAGACAGAGCAGATGTGAAACCCTCTTTTTGTGATATTTGCAGGTGGAGATTTCAAGCGCTTTTAGGCCAAAGGTAGAAAAGGAAACATCTTCGTATAAAAACTAGACAGAATCATTCTCAGAAACTACTTTGTGATGTGTGCGTTCAATTCACAGAGTATAACCTTTCTTTTGATGGAAGAGTTTGGAGACACTGTCTTTGTAAAGTCTGCAAGTGGATATTTGGACCTCTTTGAGGCCTTCGTTGGAAACGGGATTTCCTCATATAATGTTACACAGAAGAATTCTCAGTAACTTATTTGTGGTGTGTGTATTCAACTCACAGAGTTGAACCTTCCTTCAGAAAGAGCATATTTGAAACACTCTTTTTGTGGAGTTTCCATGTGGAGATTTCAATCGCTTTGAGACCAAAGGTAGAAAAGGAAACATCTTCGTATAAAAACTAGACAGAATCATTCACAGAAACTACTTTGAGATGTGTGTGTTCAACTCACAGAGTTTAACCTTTCTTTTGATGGAGCAGTTTGGAAACACTCTGTTTGTCACGTCTGCAAGTGGATATTTGGACCTCTTTGAGGCCTTCGTTGGAAACGGGATTTCTTCATATAATGTTTGATAGGAGAAGTCTCAGTAACTTCTTTGTGCTGTGTGTATTCAACTCATAGAGTTGAACTTTCCTTTAGAAGAGCAGATGTTAAACACCATTTTTGTGGAATTTGCAGCTGGAGATTTCAAGCGCTTTGTGGCCTACGGTAGAAAAGGAAATATGTTCTTATAAAATCTAGACAGAATCATTCTCAGAAACTACTTTGTGATGTGTGTGTTCAGCTCACAGAGTTTAACCTTTCTTTTGATGGAGCAGTTTGGAAACACTCTGTTTGTAATGTCTGCAAGTCGATAATTGGACCTCTTTGAGGCCTTCGTTGGAAACGGGATTTCTTCAAGTAATGTTCGACAGAAGAATTCTCAGTAACTTATTTGTGGTGTGTGTATTCAACTCAAAGAGTTGAACCTTCCTTTAGACAGAGCAGATTTGAAACACCCTATTTGTGCAGTTTCCAGTTGGAGATTTCAATCGCTTTGGGACCAAATGTAGAAAAGGAAACATCTTCGTATAAAAACTAGACAGAATCATTCTCAGAAACTACTTTGTGATGTGTGCGTTCAACTCAAGAAGTTTCAGCTTTCTTTTCATAGAGTAGTTTGGAAACACTCTGTCTGTAAAGTCTGCAAGCAGATATTTGGACCTCTTTGGGGCCTTCGTTGGAAACGTGATTTCTTCATAGAACGCTAGAAAGAAGAATACTGAGTAAGTTCTTTGTGTTGCCTCTACTCAACTCACAGAGGTGAACTGTCCTTTAGACAGAGCAGATGTGAAACCCTCTTTTTGTGATATTTGCAGGTGGAGATTTCAAGCGCTTTTAGGCCAAATGTAGAAAAGGAAATATCTTCGTATAAAAACTACACAGAATCATTCTCAGAAACTACTTTGTGATGTGTGCGTTCAATTCACAGAGTATAACCTTTCTTTTGATGGAGGAGTTTGGAGACACTGTCTTTGTAAAGTCTGCAAGTGGATATTTGGACCTCTTTGAGGCCTTCGTTGGAAACGGGATTTCCTCATATAATGTTACACAGAAGAATTCTCAGTAACTTATTTGTGGTGTGTGTATTCAACTCACAGAGTTGAACCTTCCTTCAGAAAGAGCAGATTTGAAACACTCTTTTTGTGGAGTTTCCATGTGGAGATTTCAATCGCTTTGAGACCAAAGGTAGAAAAGGAAACATCTTCGTATAAAAACTAGACAGAATCATTCACAGAAACTACTTTGTGATGTGTGTGTTCAACTCAAGGAGTTTAACCTTTCTTTTGATGGAGCTGTTTGGAAAAACTCTGTCTGTAAAGTCTGCAAGCAGATATTTGGACCTCTTTGGGGCCTTCGTTGGAAACGGGATTTCTTCATATAATGTTTGATAGGAGAAGTCTCAGTAACTTCTTTCTGCTGTGTTTATTCAACGCATAGAGTTGAACTTTCCTTTAGAAGAGCAGATGTTAAACACCCTTTTTGTAGAATTTGCAGCTGGAGATTTCAAGCGCTTTGAGGCCTACGGTAGAAAAGGAAACATCTTCTTATAAAATCTAGACAGAATCATTCACAGAAACTTCTTTTTGATGTGTGTGTTCAGCTCACAGAGTTTAACCTTTCTTTTGATGGAGCAGTTTGGAAACACTCTGTTTGTAATGTCTGCAAGTGGATATTTGGACCTCTTTGAGGCCTTCGTTGGAAACGGGATTTCTTCAAGTAATGTTCGACAGAAGAATTCTCAGTAACTTATTTGTGGTGTGTGTATTCAACTCACAGAGTTGAACCTTCCTTTAGACAGAGCAGATTTGAAACAGCCTATTTGTGCAGTTTCCAGTTGGAGATTTCAAGAGCTTTGAGACCAAATGTAGAAAAGGAAACATCTTCGTATAAAAACTAGACAGAATCATTCTCAGTAAACTACTTTGTGATGTGTGCGTTCAACTCAAGGAGTTTAAGCTTTCTTTTCATAGAGTAGTTTGGAAACACTCTGTCTGTAAAGTCTGCAAGCAGATATTTGAACCTCTTTGAGGCCTTCGTTGGAAACGGGATTTCTTCATAGAACGCTAGAAAGAAGAATACTGAGTAAGTTCTTTGTGTTGCCTCTATTCAACTCACAGAGGTGAACTGTCCTTTAGACAGAGCAGATGTGAAACCCTCTTTTTGTGATATTTGCAGGTGGAGATTTCAAGCGCTTTTAGGCCAAATGTAGAAAAGGAAATATCTTCGTATAAAAACTAGACAGAATCATTCTCAGAAACTACTTTGTGATGTGTGCGTTCAATTCACAGAGTATAACCTTTCTTTTGATGGAGGAGTTTGGAGACACTGTCCTTGTAAAGTCTGCAAGTGGATATTTGGACCTCTTTGAGGCCTTCGTTGGAAACGGGATTTCCTCATATAATGTTACACAGAAGAATTCTCAGTAACTTATTTGTGGTGTGTGTATTCAACTCACAGAGTTGAACCTTCCTTCAGAAAGAGCAGATTTCAAACACTCTTTTTGTGGAGTTTCCATGTGGAGATTTCAATCGCATTGAGACCAAAGGTAGAAAAGGAAACATCTTCGTATAAAAACTAGACAGAATCATTCACAGAAACTACTTTGTGATGTGTGTGTTCAACTCAAGGAGGTTAACCTTTCTTTTGATGGAGCAGTTGGGAAACACTCTGTCTGTAAAGTCTGCAAGCAGATATTTGGACCTCTTTGAGGCCTTCGTTGGAAACGGGATTGCTTCATATAATGTTTGATAGGAGAAGTCTCAGTAACTTCTTTGTGCTGTGTGTATTCAACTCATAGAGTTGAACTTTCCTTTAGAAGAGCAGATGTTAAACACCCTTTTTGTGGAATTTGCACCTGGAGATTTCAAGCGCTTTGAGGCCTACGGTAGAAAAGGAAACATCTTCTTATAAAATCTAGACAGAATCATTCACAGAAACTTCTTTTCGATGTGTGTATTCAGCTCACAGAGTTTAACCTTTCTTTTCATGGAGCAGTTTGGAAACACTCTGTTTGTAATGTCTGCAAGTGGATATTTGGACCTCTTTGCGGCCTTCGTTGGAAACGGGATTTCATCAAGTAATGGTCGACAGAAGAATTCTCAGTAACTTATTTGTGGTGTGTGTATTCACCTCACAGAGTTGAACCTTCCTTTAGACAGAGCAGATTTGAAACAGCCTATTTGTGCAGTTTCCAGTTGGAGATTTCAATCGCTTGGAGGCCAATCATAGAAACGGAAATATCTTCGTATAAAAACAAGACAGAATCATTCTCAGAAACTACTTTGTGATGTGTGCGTTCAACTCAAGGAGTTTAAGCTTTCTTTTCATAGAGTAGTTTGGAAACACTCTGTCTGTAAAGTCTGCAAGCAGATATTTGGACCTCTTTGAGGCCTTCGTTGGAAACGGGATTTCTTCATAGAACGCTAGAAAGAAGAATACTGAGTAAGTTCTTTGTGTTGCCTCTATTCAACTCACAGAGGTGAACTGTCCTTTAGACAGAGCAGATGTGAAACCCTCTTTTTGTGATATTTGCAGGTGGAGATTTCAAGCGCTTTTAGGCCAAATGTAGAAAAGGAAATATCTTCGTATAAAAACTAGACAGAATCATTCTCAGAAACTACTTTGTGATGTGTGCGTTCAATTCACAGAGTATAACCTTTCTTTTGATGGAGGAGTTTGGAGACACTGTCTTTGTAAAGTCTGCATGTGGATATTTGGACCTCTTTGAGGCCTTCGTTGGAAACGGGATTTCCTCATATAATGTTACACAGAAGAATTCTCATTAACTTATTTGTGATGTGTGTATTCAACTCACAGAGTTGAACCTTCCTTCAGAAAGAGCAGATTTGAAACACTCTTTTTGTGGAGTTTCCATGTGGAGATTTCAATCGCTTTGAGACCAAAGGTAGAAAAGGAAACATCTTCGTATAAAAACTAGACAGAATCATTCTCAGAAACTACTTTGTGATGTGTGCGTTCAACTCAAGGAGTTTAAGCTTTCTTTTCATAGAGCAGTTTGGAAACACTCTGTCTGTAAAGTCTGCAAGCAGATATTTGGACCTCTTTGGGGCCTTCGTTGGAAACGGGATTTCTTCATAGAACGCTAGAAAGAAGAATACTGAGTAAGTTCTTTGTGTTGCCTCTATTCAACTCACAGAGGTGAACTGTCCTTTAGACAGAGCAGATGTGAAACCCTCTTTTTGTGATATTTGCAGCTGGAGATTTCAAGCGCTTTTAGGCCAAATGTAGAAAAGGAAATATCTTCGTATAAAAACTATACAGAATCATTCTCAGAAACTACTTTGTGATGTGTGCGTTCAATTCACAGAGTATAACCTTTCTTTTGATGGAGGAGTTTGGAGACACTGTCTTTGTAAAGTCTGCAAGTGGATATTTGGACCTCTTTGAGGCCTTCGTTGGAAACGGGATTTCCTCATATAATGTTACACAGAAGAATTCTCAGTAACTTAATTGTGGTGTGTGTATTCAACTCACAGAGTTGAACCTTCCTTTAGACAGAGCAGATTTGAAACACTCTTTTTGTGGAGTTTCCATGTGGAGATTTCAATCGCATTGAGACCAAAGGTAGAAAAGGAAACATCTTCGTATAAAAACTAGACAGAATCATTCACAGAAACTACTTTGTGATGTGTGTGTTCAACTCAAGGAGGTTAACCTTTCTTTTGATGGAGCAGTTTGGAAACACTCTGTCTGTAAAGTCTGCAAGCAGATATTTGGACCTCTTTGAGGCCTTCGTTGGAAACGGGATTTCTTCATATAATGTTTGATAGGAGAAGTCTCAGTAACTTCTTTGTGCTGTGTGTATTCAACTCATAGAGTTGAACTTTCCTTTAGAAGAGCAGATGTTAAACACCCTTTTTGTGGAATTTGCAGCTGGAGATTTCAAGCGCTTTGAGGCCTACGGTAGAAAAGGAAACATCTTCTTATAAAATCTAGACAGAATCATTCACAGAAACTTCTTTTCGATGTGTGTGTTCAGCTCACAGAGTTTAACCTTTCTTTTGATGGAGCAGTTTGGAAACACTCTGTTTGTAATGTCTGCAAGTGGATATTTGGACCTCTTTGAGGCCTTCGTTGGAAACGGGATTTCATCAAGTAATGGTCGACAGAAGAATTCTCAGTAACTTATTTGTGGTGTGTGTATTCAACTCACAGAGTTGAACCTTCCTTTAGACAGAGCAGATTTGAAACACCCTATTTGTGCAGTTTCCAGTTGGAGATTTCAATCGCTTTGAGACCAAATGTAGAAAAGGAAACATCTTCGTATAAAAACTAGGCAGAATCATTCTCCGAAACTACTTTGTGATGTGTGCGTTCAACTCAAGGAGTTTAAGCTTTCTTTTCATAGAGTAGTTTGGAAACACTCTGTCTGTAAAGTCTGCAAGCAGATATTTGGACCTCTTTGGGGCCTTCGTTGGAAACGGGATTTCTTCATAGAACGCTAGAAAGAAGAATACTGAGTAAGTTCTTTGTGTTGCCTCTATTCAACTCACAGAGGTGAACTGTCCTTTAGACAGAGCAGATGTGAAACCCTCTTTTTGTGATATTTGCAGGTGGAGATTTCAAGCGCTTTTAGGCCAAATGTAGAAAAGGAAATATCTTCGTATAAAAACTAGACAGAATCATTCTCAGAAACTACTTTGTGATGTGTGCGTTCAATTCACAGAGTATAACCTTTCTTTTGATGGAGGAGTTTGGAGACACTGTCTTTGTAAAGTCTGCAAGTGGATATTTGGACCTCTTTGAGGCCTTCGTTGGAAACGGGATTTCCTCATATAATGTTACACAGAAGAATTCTCAGTAACTTATTTGTGGTGTGTGTATTCAACTCACAGAGATGAACCTTCCTTCAGAAAGAGCAGATTTGAAACACTCTTTTTGTGGAGTTTCCATGTGGAGATTTCAATCGCTTTGAGACCAAAGGTAGAAAAGGAAACATCTTCGTATAGCAACTAGACAGAATCATTCACAGAAACTACTTTGTGATGTGTGTGTTCAACTCAAGGAGTTTAACCTTTCTTTTGATGGAGCAGTTTGGAAACACTCTGTCTGTAAAGTCTGCAAGCAGATATTTGGACCTCTTTGAGGCCTTCGTTGGAAACGGGATTTCTTCATATAATGTTTGATAGGAGAAGTCTCAGTAACTTCTTTGTGCTGTGTGTATTCAACTCATAGAGTTGAACTTTCCTTTAGAAGAGCAGATGTTAAACACCCTTTTTGTGGAATTTGCAGCTGGAGATTTCAAGCGCTTTGAGGCCTATGGTAGAAAAGGAAACATCTTCTTATAAAATCTAGACAGAATCATTCACAGAAACTTCTTTTTGATGTGTGTGTTCAGCTGACAGAGTTTAACCTTTCTTTTGATGGAGCAGTTTGGAAACACACTGTTTGTAATGTCTGCAAGTGGATATTTGGACCTCTTTGAGGCCTTCGTTGGAAACGGGATTTCTTCAAGTAATGTTCGACAGAAGAATTCTCAGTAACTTATTTGTGGTGTGTGTATTCAACTCACAGAGTTGAACCTTCCTTTAGACAGAGCAGATTTGAAACACCCTATTTGTGCAGTTTCCAGTTGGAGATTTCAATCGCTTTGAGACCAAATGTAGAAAAGGAAACATCTTCGTATAAAAACTAGACAGAATCATTCTCAGAAACTACTTTGTGATGTGTGCGTTCAACTCAAGGAGTTTAAGCTTTCTTTTCATAGAGTAGTTTGGAAACACTCTGTCTGTAAAGTCTGCAAGCAGATATTTGGACCTATTTCAGGCCTTCGTTGGAAAAGGGATTTCTTCATAGAACGCTGGAAAGAAGAATACTGAGTAAGTTCTTTGTGTTGCCTCTATTCAACTCACAGAGGTGAACTGTCCTTTAGACAGAGCAGATGTGAAACCCTCTTTTTGTGATATTTGCACGTGGAGATTTCAAGCGCTTTTAGGCCAAATGTAGAAAAGGAAATATCTTCGTATAAAAACTAGACAGAATCATTCTCAGAAACTACTTTGTGATGTGTGCGTTCAATTCACAGAGTATAACCTTTCTTTTGATGGAGGAGTTTGGAGACACTGTCTTTGTAAAGTCTGCAAGTGGATATTTGGACCTCTTTGAGGCCTTCGTTGGAAACGGGATTTCCTCATATAATGTTACACAGAAGAATTCTCAGTAACTTATTTGTGGTGTGTGTATTCAACTCACAGAGATGAACCTTCCTTCAGAAAGAGCAGATTTGAAACACTCTTTTTGTGGAGTTTCCATGTGGAGATTTCAATCGCATTGAGACCAAAGGTAGAAAAGGAAACATCTTCGTATAAAAACTAGACAGAATCATTCACAGAAACTACTTTGTGATGTGTGTGTTCAACTCAAGGAGTTTAACCTTTCTTTTGATGGAGCAGTTTGGAAACACTCTGTCTGTAAAGTCTGCAAGCAGATATTTGGACCTCTTTGAGGCCTTCGTTGGAAACGGGATTTCTTCATATAATGTTTGATAGGAGAAGTCTCAGTAACTTCTTTGTGCTGTGTGTATTCAACTCATAGAGTTGAACTTTCCTTTAGAAGAGCAGATGTTAAACACCCTTTTTGTGGAATTTGCAGCTGGAGATTTCAAGCGCTTTGAGGCCTACGGTAGAAAAGGAAACATCTTCTTATAAAATCTAGACAGAATCATTCACAGAAACTTCTTTTCGATGTGTGTGTTCAGCTCACAGAGTTTAACCTTTCTTTTGATGGAGCCGTTTGGAAACACTCTGTTTGTAATGTCTGCAAGTGGATATTTGGACCTCTTTGAGGCCTTCGTTGGAAACGGGATTTCTTCAAGTAATGGTCGACAGAAGAATTCTCAGTAACTTATTTGTGGTGTGTGTATTCAACTCACAGAGTTGAACCTTCCTTTAGACAGAGCAGATTTGAAACACCCTATTTGTGCAGTTTCCAGTTGGAGATTTCAATCGCTTTGAGACCAAATGTAGAAAAGGAAACATCTTCGTATAAAAACTAGACAGAATCATTCTCAGAAACTACTTTGTGATGTGTGCGTTCAACTCAAGGAGTTTAAGCTTTCTTTTCATAGAGTAGTTTGGAAACACTCTGTCTGTAAAGTCTGCAAGCAGATATTTGACCTCTTTGAGGCCTTCGTTGGAAACGGGATTTCTTCATAGAACGCTAGAAAGAAGAATACTGAGTAAGTTCTTTGTGTTGCCTCTATTCAACTCACAGAGGTGAACTGTCCTTTAGACAGAGCAGATGTGAAACCCTCTTTTTGTGATATTTGCAGGTGGAGATTTCAAGCGCTTTTAGGCCAAATGTAGAAAAGGAAATATCTTCGTATAAAAACTAGACAGAATCATTCTCAGAAACTACTTTGTGATGTGTGCGTTCAATTCACAGAGTATAACCTTTCTTTTGATGGAGGAGTTTGGAGACACTGTCTTTGTAAAGTCTGCATGTGGATATTTGGACCTCTTTGAGGCCTTCGTTGGAAACGGGATTTGCTCATATAATGTTACACAGAAGAATTCTCATTAACTTATTTGTGATGTGTGTATTCAACTCACAGAGTTGAACCTTCCTTCAGAAAGAGCAGATTTGAAACACTCTTTTTGTGGAGTTTCCATGTGGAGATTTCAATCGCTTTGAGACCAAAGGTGGAAAAGGAAACATCTTCGTATAAAAACTAGACAGAATCATTCACAGAAACTACTTTGTGATGTGTGTGTTCAACTCAAGGAGTTTAACCTTTCTTTTGATGGAGCAGTTTGGAAACACTCTGTCTGTAAAGTCTGCAAGCAGATATTTGGACCTCTTTGAGGCCTTCGTTGGAAACGGGATTTCTTCATATAATGTTTGATAGGAGAAGTCTCAGTAACTTCTTTGTGCTGTGTGTATTCAACGCATAGAGTTGAACTTTCCTTTAGAAGAGCAGATGTTAAACACCCTTTTTGTGGAATTTGCAGCTGGAGATTTCAAGCGCTTTGAGGCCTACGGTAGAAAAGGAAACATCTTCTTATAAAATCTAGACAGAATCATTCACAGAAACTTCTTTTTGATGTGTGTGTTCAGCTCACAGAGTTTAACCTTTCTTTTGATGGAGCAGTTTGGAAACACTCTGTTTGTAATGTCTGCAAGTGGATATTTGGACCTCTTTGAGGCCTTCGTTGGAAACGGGATTTCTTCAAGTAATTTTCGACAGAAGAATTCTCAGTAACTTATTTGTGGTGTGTGTATTCAACTCACAGAGTTGAACCTTCCTTTAGACAGAGCAGATTTGAAACACCCTATTTGTGCAGTTTCCAGTTGGAGATTTCAATCGCTTTGAGACCAAATGTAGAAAAGGAAACATCTTCGTATAAAAACTAGACAGAATCATTCTCAGAAACTACTTTGTGATGTGTGCGTTCAACTCAAGGAGTTTAAGCTTTCTTTTCATAGAGTAGTTTGGAAACACTCTGTCTGTAAAGTCTGCAAGCAGATATTTGGACCTCTTTGGGGCCTTCGTTGGAAACGGGATTTCTTCATAGAACGCTAGAAAGAAGAATACTGAGTAAGTTCTTTGTGTTGCCTCTATTCAACTCACAGAGGTGAACTGTCCTTTAGACAGAGCAGATGTGAAACCCTCTTTTTGTGATATTTGCAGGTGGAGATTTCAAGCGCTTTTAGGCCAAATGTAGAAAAGCAAATATCTTCGTATAAAAACTAGACAGAATCATTCTCAGAAACTACTTTGTGATGTGTGCGTTCAATTCACAGAGTATAACCATTCTTTCGATGGAGGAGTTTGGAGACACTGTCTTTGTAAAGTCTGCAAGTGGATATTTGGACCTCTTTGAGGCCTTCGTTGGAAACGGGATTTCCTCATATAATGTTACACAGAAGAATTCTCAGTAACTTATTTGTGGTGTGTGTATTCAACTCACAGAGTTGAACCTTCCTTCAGAAAGAGCAGATTTGAAACACTCTTTTTGTGGAGTTTCCATGTGGAGATTTCAATCGCTTTGAGACCAAAGGTAGAAAAGGAAACATCTTCGTATAAAAACTAGACAGAATCATTCACAGAAACTACTTTGTGATGTGTGTGTTCAACTCAAGGAGTTTAACCTTTCTTTTGATGGAGCAGTTTGGAAATACTCTGTCTGTAAAGTCTGCAAGCAGATATTTGGACCTCTTTGAGGCCTTCGTTGGAAACGGGATTTCTTCATATAATGTTTGATAGGAGAAGTCTCAGTAACTTCTTTGTGCTGTGTGTAATCAACTCATAGAGTTGAACTTTCCTTTAGAAGAGCAGATGTTAAACACCCTTTTTGTGTAATTTGCAGCTGGAGATTTCAAGCGCTTTGAGGCCTACGGTAGAAAAGGAAACATCTTCTTATAAAATCTAGACAGAATCATTCACAGAAACTTCTTTTTGATGTGTGTGTTCAGCTCACAGAGTTTAACCTTTCTTTTGATGGAGCAGTTGGGAAACACACTGTTTGTAATGTCTGCAAGTGGATATTTGGACCTCTTTGAGGCCTTCGTTGGAAACGGGATTTCTTCCTGTAATGTTCGACAGAAGAATTCTCAGTAACTTATTTGTGGTGTGTGTATTCAACTCACAGAGCTGAACCTTCCTTTAGACAGAGCAGATTTGAAACAGCCTATTTGTGCAGTTTCCAGTTGGAGATTTCAATCGCTTTGAGACCAAATGTAGAAAAGCAAACATCTTCGTATAAACACTAGACAGAATCATTCTCAGAAACTACTTTGTGATGTGTGCGTTCAACTCAAGGAGTTTAAGCTTTCTTTTCATAGAGTAGTTTGGAAACACTCTGTCTGTAAAGTCTGCAAGCAGATATTTGACCTCTTTGAGGCCTTCGTTGGAAACGGGATTTCTTCATAGAACGCTAGAAAGAAGAATACTGAGTAAGTTCTTTGTGTTGCCTCTATTCAACTCACAGAGGTGAACTGTCCTTTAGACAGAGCAGATGTGAAACCCTCTTTTTGTGATATTTGCAGGTGGATATTTCAAGCGCTTTTAGGCCAAATGTAGAAAAGGAAATATCTTCGTATAAAAACTAGACAGAATCATTCTCAGAAACTACTTTGTGATGTGTGCGTTCAATTCACAGAGTATAACCTTTCTTTTGATGGAGGAGTTTGGAGACACTGTCTTTGTAAAGTCTGCAAGTGGATATTTGGACCTCTTTGAGGCCTTCGTTGGAAACGGGATTTCCTCATATAATGTTACACAGAAGAATTCTCAGTAACTTATTTGTGGTGTGTGTATTCAACTCACAGAGTTGAACCTTCCTTCAGAAAGAGCAGATTTGAAACACTCTTTTGGTGGAGTTTCCATGTGGAGATTTCAATCGCTTTGAGACCAAAGGTAGAAAAGGAAACATCTTCGTATAAAAACTAGACAGAATCATTCACAGAAACTACTTTGTGATGTGTGTGTTCAACTCAAGGAGTTTAACCTTTCTTTTGATGGAGAAGTTTGGAAACACTCTGTCTGTAAAGTCTGCAAGCAGATATTTGGACCTCTTTGAGGCCTTCGTTGGAAACGGGATTTCTTCATATAATGTTTGATAGGAGAAGTCTCAGTAACTTCTTTGTGCTGTGTGTATTCAACTCATAGAGTTGAACTTTCCTTTAGAAGAGCAGATGTTAAACACCCTATTTGTGGAATTTGCAGCTGGAGATTTCAAGCGCTTTGAGGCCTACGGTAGAAAAGGAAACATCTTCTTATAAAATCTAGACAGAATCATTCACAGAAACTTCTTTTTGATGTGTGTGTTCAGCTCACAGAGTTTAACCTTTCTTTTGATGGAGCAGTTGGGAAACACACTGTTTGTAATGTCTGCAAGTGGATATTTGGAGCTCTTTGAGGCCTTCGTTGGAAACGGGATTTCTTCATGTAATGTTCGACAGAAGAATTCTCAGTAACTTATTTGTGGTGTGTGTATTCAACTCACAGAGCTGAACCTTCCTTTAGACAGAGCAGATTTGAAACAGCCTATTTGTGCAGTTTCCAGTTGGAGATTTCAATCGCTTTGAGACCAAATGTAGAAAAGGAAACATCTTCGTATAAAAACTAGACAGAATCATTCTCAGAAACTACTTTGTGATGTGTGCGTTCAACTCAAGGAGTTTAAGCTTTCTTTTCATAGAGTAGTTTGGAAACACTCTGTCTGTAAAGTCTGCAAGCAGATATTTGACCTCTTTGAGGCCTTCGTTGGAAACGGGATTTCTTCATAGAACGCTAGAAAGAAGAATACTGAGTAAGTTCTTTGTGTTGCCTCTATTCAACTCACAGAGGTGAACTGTCCTTTAGACAGAGCAGATGTGAAACCCTCTTTTTGTGATATTTGCAGGTGGAGATTTCAAGCGCTTTTAGGCCAAATGTAGAAAAGGAAATATCTTCGTATAAAAACTAGACAGAATCATTCTCAGAAACTACTTTGTGATGTGTGCGTTCAATTCACAGAGTATAACCTTTCTTTTGATGGAGGAGTTTGGAGACACTGTCTTTGTAAAGTCTGCAAGTAGATATTTGGACCTCTTTGAGGCCTTCGTTGGAAACGGGATTTCCTCATATAATGTTACACAGAAGAATTCTCAGTAACTTATTTGTGGTGTGTGTATTCAACTCACAGAGTTGAACCTTCCTTCAGAAAGAGCAGATTTGAAACACTCTTTTGGTGGAGTTTCCATGTGGAGATTTCAATCGCTTTGAGACCAAAGGTAGAAAAGGAAACATCTTCGTATAAAAACTAGACAGAATCATTCACAGAAACTACTTTGTGATGTGTGTGTTCAACTCAAGGAGTTTAACCTTTCTTTTGATGGAGCAGTTTGGAAAAACTCTGTCTGTAAAGTCTGCAAGCAGATATTTGGACCTCTTTGAGGCCTTCGTTGGAAACGGGATTTCTTCATATAATGTTTGATAGGAGAAGTCTCAGTAACTTCTTTCTGCTGTGTTTATTCAACGCATAGAGTTGAACTTTCCTTTAGAAGAGCAGATGTTAAACACCCTTTTTGTAGAATTTGCAGCTGGAGATTTCAAGCGCTTTGCGGCCTACGGTAGAAAAGGAAACATCTTCTTATAAAATCTAGACAGAATCATTCACAGAAACTTCTTTTTGATGTGTGTGTTCAGCTCACAGAGTTTAACCTTTCTTTTGATGGAGCAGTTTTGAAACACTCTGTTTGTAATGTCTGCAAGTGGATATTTTGACCTCTTTGAGGCCTTCTTTGGAAACGGTATTTCTTCAAGTAATGTTCGACAGAAGGATTCTCAGTAACTTATTTGTGGTGTGTGTATTCAACTCACAGAGTTGAACCTTCCTTTAGACAGAGCAGATTTGAAACAGCCTATTTGTGCAGTTTCCAGTTGGAGATTTCAAGAGCTTTGAGACCAAATGTAGAAAAGGAAACATCTTCGTATAAAAACTAGACAGAATCATTCTCAGAAACTACTTTGTGATGTGTGCGTTCAACTCAAGGAGTTTAAGCTTTCTTTTCATAGAGTAGTTTGGAAACACTCTGTCTGTAAAGTCTGCAAGCAGATATTTGACCTCTTTGAGGCCTTCGTTGGAAACGGGATTTCTTCATAGAACGCTAGAAAGAATAATACTCAGTAACTTCTTTGTGTTGCCTCTATTCAACCCACAGAGGTGAACTGTCCTTTAGACAGAGCAGATGGGAAACCCTCTTTTTGTGATATTTGCAGGTGGAGATTTCAAGCGCTTTTAGGCCAAATGTAGAAAAGGAAATATCTTCATATAAAAACTAGACAGAATCATTCTCAGAAACTACTTTGTGATGTGTGCGTTCAATTCACAGAGTATAACCTTTCTTTTGATGGAGGAGTTTGGAGACACTGTCTTTGTAAAGTCTGCAAGTGGATATTTGGACCTCTTTGAGGCCTTCGTTGGAAACGGGATTTCCTCATATAATGTTACACAGAAGAATTCTCAGTAACTTATTTGTGGTGTGTGTATTCAACTCACAGAGTTGAACCTTCCTTCAGAGAGAGCAGATTTGAAACACACTTTTTGTGGAGTTTCCATGTGGAGATTTCAATCGCTTTGAGACCAAAGGTAGAAAAGGAAACATCTTCGTATAAAAACTAGACAGAATCATTCACAGAAACTACTTTGTGATGTGTGTGTTCAACTCAAGGAGTTTAACCTTTCTTTTGATGGAGCAGTTTAAAAACACTCTCTCTGTAAAGTCTGCAAGCAGATATTTGGACCTCTTTGAGGCCTTCGTTGGAAACGGGATTTCTTCATATAATGTTTGATAGGAGAAGTCTCAGTAACTTCTTTGTGCTGTGTGTATTCAACTCATACAGTTGAACTTTCCTTTAGAAGAGCTGATGTTAAACACCCTTTTTGTGGAATTTGCAGCTGGAGATTTCAAGCGCTTTGAGGCCTACGTTAGAAAAGGAAACATCTTCTTATAAAATCTAGACAGAATCATTCACAGAAACTTCTTTTTGATGTGTGTGTTCAGCTCACAGAGTTTAACCTTTCTTTTGATGGAGCAGTTTGGAAACACACTGTTTGTAATGTCTGCAAGTGGATATTTGGACCTCTTTGAGGCCTTCGTTGGAAACGGGATTTCTTCATATAATGTTTGATAGGAGAATTCTCAGTAACTTATCTGTGGTGTGTGTATTCAACTCACAGAGTTGAACCTTCTTTAGACAGAGCAGATTTGATACACCCTATTTGTGCAGTTTCCAGTTGCAGATTTCAATCGCTTTGAGACCAAATGTAGAAAAGGAAACATCTTCGTATAAAAACTAGACAGAATCATTCTCAGAAACTACTTTGCGATCTGTGCGTTCAACTCAAGGAGTTTAAGCTTTCTTTTCATAGAGTAGTTTGGAAACACTCTGTCTGTAAAGTCTGCAAGCAGATATTTGGACCTCTTTGAGGCCTTCGTTGGAAAAGAGATTTCTTCATAGAACGCTAGAAAGAAGAATACTGAGTAAGTTCTTTGTGTTGCCTCTATTCAACTCACAGAGGTGAACTGTCCTTTAGACAGAGCAGATGTGAAACCCTCTTTTTGTGATATTTGCAGGTGGAGATTTCAAGCGCTTTTAGGCCAAATGTAGAAAAGGAAATATCTTCGTATAAAAACTAGACAGAATCATTCTCAGAAACTACTTTGTGATGTGTGCGTTCAATTCACAGAGTATAACCTTTCTTTTGATGGAGGAGTTTGGAGACACTGTCTTTGTAAAGTCTGGAAGTGGATATTTGGACCTCTTTGAGGCCTTCGTTGGAAACGGGATTTCCTCATATAATGTTACACAGAAGAATTCTCAGTAACTTATTTGTGGTGTGTGTATTCAACTCACAGAGTTGAACCTTCCTTCAGAAAGAGCAGATTTGAAACACTCTTTTTGTGGAGTT
Source organism: Homo sapiens (assembly GCF_000001405.40). NCBI lineage: Eukaryota > Metazoa > Chordata > Mammalia > Primates > Hominidae > Homo > Homo sapiens. The sequence continues at coordinate 35,898,898 of NC_000012.12, forward strand.
TCCATGTGGAGATTTCAATCGCATTGAGACCAAAGGTAGAAAAGGAAACATCTTCGTATAAAAACTAGACAGAATCATTCACAGAAACTACTTTGTGATGTGTGTGTTCAACTCAAGGAGTTTAACCTTTCTTTTGATGGAGCAGTTTGGAAACACTCTGTCTGTAAAGTCTGCAAGCAGACATTTGGACCTCTTTGAGGCCTTCGTTGGAAACGGGATTTCTTCATATAATGTTTGATAGGAGAAGTCTCAGTAACTTCTTTGTGCTGTGTGTATTCAACTCATAGAGTTGAACTTTCCTTTAGAAGAGCAGATGTTAAACACCCTTTTTGTGGAATTTGCAGCTGGAGATTTCAAGCGCTTTGAGGCCTACGGTAGAAAAGGAAACATCTTCTTATAAAATCTAGACAGAATCATTCACAGAAACTTCTTTTTGATGTGTGTGTTCAGCTCACAGAGTTTAACCTTTCTTTTGATGGAGCAGTTGGGAAACACACTGTTTGTAATGTCCGCAAGTGGATATTTGGACCTCTTTGAGGCCTTCATTGGAAACGGGATTTCTTCCTGTAATGTTCGACAGAAGAATTCTCAGTAACTTATTTGTGGTGTGTGTATTCAACTCAAAGAGCTGAACCTTCCTTTAGACAGAGCAGATTTGAAACAGCCTATTTGTGCAGTTTCCAGTTGGAGATTTCAATCGCTTTCAGACCAAATGTAGAAAAGGAAACATCTTCGTATAAAAACTAGACAGAATCATTCTCAGAAACTACTTTGTGATGTGTGCGTTCAACTCAAGGAGTTTAAGCTTTCTTTTCATAGAGTAGTTTGGAAACACTCTGTCTGTAAAGTCTGCAAGCAGATATTTGACCTCTTTGAGGCCTTCGTTGGAAACGGGATTTCTTCATAGAATGCTAGAAAGAAGAATACTGAGTAAGTTCTTTGTGTTGCCTCTATTCAACTCACAGAGGTGAACTGTCCTTTAGACAGAGCAGATGTGAAACCCTCTTTTTGTGATATTTGCAGGTGGAGATTTCAAGCGCTTTTAGGCCAAATGTAGAAAAGGAAATATCTTCGTATAAAAACTAGACAGAATCATTCTCAGAAACTATTTTGTGATGTGTGCGTTCAATTCACAGTGTATAACCTTTCTTTTGATGGAGGAGTTTGGAGACACTGTCTTTGTAAAGTCTGCAAGTGGATATTTGGACCTCTTTGAGGCCTTCGTTGGAAACGGGATTTCTTCATATAATGTTTGATAGGAGAAGTCTCAGTAACTTCTTTGTGCTGTGTGTATTCAACTCATAGAGTTGAACTTTCCTTTAGAAGAGCAGATGTTAAACACCCTTTTTGTGGAATTTGCAGCTGGAGATTTCAAGCGCTTTGAGGCCTACGGTAGAAAAGGAAACATCTTCTTATAAAATCTAGACAGAATCATTCACAGAAACTTCTTTTTGATGTGTGTGTTCAGCTCACAGTGTTTAACCTTTCTTTTGTTGGAGCAGTTTGGAAACACACTGTTTGTAATGTCTGCAAGTGGATATTTGGACCTCTTTGAGGTCTTCGTTGGAAACGGGATTTCTTCATGTAATGTTCGACAGAAGAATTCTCAGTAACTTATTTGTGGTGTGTGTATTCAACTCACAGAGTTGAACCTTCCTTTAGACAGAGCAGATTTGAAACACCCTATTTGTGCAGTTTCCAGTTGGAGATTTCAATCGCTTTGAGACCAAATGTAGAAAAGGAAACATCTTCGTATAAAAACTAGACAGAATCATTCTCAGAAACTACTTTGTGATGTGTGCGTTCAACTCAAGGAGTTTAAGCTTTCTTTTCATAGAGTAGTTTGGAAACACTCTGTCTGTAAAGTCTGCAAGCAGATATTTGGACCTCATTGGGGCTTTCGTTGGAAACGGGATTTCTTCACTGAACGCTAGAAAGAAGAATACTGAGTAAGTTCTTTGTGTTGCCTCTATTCAACTCACAGAGGTGAACTGTCCTTTAGACAGAGCAGATGTGAAACCCTCTTTTTGTGATATTTGCAGGTGGAGATTTCAAGCGCTTTTAGGCCAAATGTAGAAAAGGAAATATCTTCGTATAAAAACTAGACAGAAATCATTCTCAGAAACTACTTTGTGATGTGTGCGTTCAATTCACAGAGTATAACCTTTCTTTTGATGGAAGAGTTTGGAGACACTGTCTTTGTAAAGTCTGCAAGTGGATATTTGGACCTCTTTGAGGCCTTCTTTGGAAACGGGATTTCCTCATATAATGTTACACAGAAGAATTCTCAGTAACTTATTTGTGGTGTGTGTACTCAACTCACAGAGTTGAACCTTCCTTCAGAAAGAGCAGATTTGGAACAGTCTTTTTGTGGAGTTTCCATGTGGAGATTTCAATCGCTTTGAGACCAAAGGTAGAAAAGGAAACATCTTCGTATAAAAACTAGACAGAATCATTCACAGAAACTACTTTGTGATGTGTGTGTTCAGCTCACAGAGTTTAACCTTTCTTTTGATGGTGCAGTTTGGAAACACTCCGTTTGACAAGTCTGCAAGTGGATATTTGGACCTCTTTGAGGCCTTCCTTGGAAGCGGGTTTCTTCATATAATGTTAGACAGAAGAAGTCTCAGTAACTTCTTTGTCCTGTGTGTATTCAACGCATAGAGTTGAACTTTCCTTTAGAAGAGCAGATGTAAAACACCCTTTTTGTGGAATTTGCAGGTGGAGATTTCAAGCGCTTTGAGGCCTACGGTAGAAAAGGAAACATCTTCTTACAAAATCTAGACAGAATCATTCACAGAAACTTCTTTTTGATGTGTGTGTTCAGCTCACAGAGTTTAACCTTTCTTTTGATGGAGCAGTTTGGAAACACTCTGTTTGTAATGTCTGCAAGTGGATATTTGGACCTCTTTGAGGCCTTCGTTGGAAACGGGATTTCTTCATGTAATGTTCGACAGAAGAATTCTCAGTAACTTATTTGTGGTGTGTGTATTCAACTCACAGAGTTGAACCTTCCTTTAGACAGAGCAGATTTGAAACACCCTATTTGTGCAGTTTCCAGTTGGAGATTTCAATCGCTTTGAGACCAAATGTAGAAAAGGAAACATCTTCGTATAAAAACTAGACAGAATCATTCTCAGAAACTACTTTGTGATGTGTGCGTTCAACTGAAGGAGTTTAAGCTTTCTTTTCATAGAGTAGTTTGGAAACACTCTGTCTGTAAAGTCTGCAAGCAGATATTTGGACCTCTTTGGGGCCTTCGTTGGAAACGGGATTTCTTCATAGAACGCTAGAAAGAAGAATACTGAGTAAGTTCTTTGTGTTGCCTCTATTCAACTCACAGAGGTGAACTCTCCTTTAGATAGAGCAGATGTGAAACCCTCTTTTTGTGATATTTGCAGGTGGAGATTTCAAGCGCTTTTAGGCCAAATGTAGAAAAGGAAATATCTTCGTATAAAAACTAGACAGAATCATTCTCAGAAACTACTTTGTGATGTGTGCGTTCAATTCACAGAGTATAACCTTTCTTTTGATGGAGGAGTTTGGAGACACTGTCTTTGTAAAGTCTGCAAGTGGATATTTGGACCTCTTTGAGGCCTTCGTTGGAAACGGGATTTCCTCATATAATGTTACACAGAAGAATTCTCAGTAACTTATTTGTGGTGTGTGTATTCAACTCACAGAGTTGAACCTTCCTTCAGAAAGAGCAGATTTGAAACACTCTTTTTTGTGGAGTTTCCATGTGGAGATTTCAATCGCTTTGAGACCAAAGGTAGAAAAGGAAACATCTTCGTATAAAAACTAGACAGAATCATTCACAGAAACTACTTTGTGATGTGTGTGTTCAACTCAAGGAGGTTAACCTTTCTTTTGATGGAGCAGTTTGGAAACACTCTGTCTGTAAAGTCTGCAAGCAGATATTTGGACCTCTTTGAGGCCTTCGTTGGAAACGGGATTTCTTCATATAATGTTTGATAGGAGAAGTCTCAGTAACTTCTTTGTGCTGTGTGTATTCAACTCATAGAGTTGAACTTTCCTTTAGAAGAGCAGATGTTAAACACCCTTTTTGTGGAATTTGCAGCTGGAGATTTCAAGCGCTTTGAGGCCTACGGTAGAAAAGGAAACATCTTCTTATAAAATCTAGACAGAATCATTCACAGAAACTTCTCTTTGATGTGTGTGTTCAGCTCACAGAGTTTAACCTTTCTTTTGATGGAGCAGTTTGGAAACACTCTGTTTGTAATGTCTGAAAGTGGATATTTGGACCTCTTTGAGGCCTTCGTTGGAAACGGGATTTCTTCATGTAATGTTCGACAGAAGAATTCTCAGTAACTTATTTGTGGTGTGTGTATTCAACTCACAGAGTTGAACCTTCCTTTAGACAGAGCAGATTTGAAACACCCTATTTGTGCAGTTTCCAGTTGGAGATTTCAATCGCTTTGAGACCAAATGTAGAAAAGGAAACATCTTCGTATAAAAACTAGACAGAATCATTCTCAGAAACTACTTTGTGATGTGTGCGTTCAATTCACAGAGTATAACCTTTCTTTTGATGGAGGAGTTTGGAGACACTGTCTTTGTAAAGTCTGCAAGTGGATATTTGGACCTCTTTGAGGCCTTCGTTGGAAACGGGATTTCCTCATATAATGTTACCCAGAAGAATTCTCAGTAACTTATTTGTGGTGTGTGTATTCAACTCACAGATTTGAACCTTCCTTCAGAAAGAGCAGATTTGAAACACTCTTTTTGTGGAGTTTCCATGTGGAGATTTCAATCACTTTGAGACCAAAGGTAGAAAAGGAAACATCTTCGTATAAAAACTAGACAGAATCATTCACAGAAACTACTTTGTGATGTGTGTGTTCAACTCAAGGAGTTTAACCTTTCTTTTGATGGAGCAGTTTGGAAACACTCTGTCTGTAAAGTCTGCAAGCAGATATTTGGACCTCTTTGAGGCCTTCGTTGGAAACGGGATTTCTTCATATAATGTTTGATAGGAGAAGTCTCAGTAACTTCTTTGTGCTGTGTGTATTCAACTCTTAGAGTTGAACTTTCCTTTAGAAGAGCAGATGTTAAACACCCTTTTTGTGGAATTTGCAGCTGGAGATTTCAAGCGCTTTGAGGCCTACGGTAGAAAAGGAAACATCTTCTTATAAAATCTAGACAGAATCATTCACAGAAACTTCTTTTTGATGTGTGTGTTCAGCTCACAGAGTTTAACCTTTCTTTTGATGGAGCAGTTTGGAAACACACTGTTTGTAATGTCTGCAAGTGGATATTTGGACCTCTTTGAGGCCTTCGTTGGAAACGGGATTTCTTCCTGTAATGTTCGACAGAAGAATTCTCAGTAACTTATTTGTGGTGTGTGTATTCAACTCACAGAGTTGAACCTTCCTTTAGACAGAGCAGATTTGAAACACCCTATTTGTGCAGTTTCCAGTTGGAGATTTCAATCGCTTTGAGACCAAATGTAGAAAAGGAAACATCTTCGTATAAAAACTAGACAGAATCATTCTCAGAAACTACTTTGTGATGTGTGCGTTCAACTCAAGGAGTTTAAGCTTTCTTTTCATAGAGTAGTTTGGAAACACTCTGTCTGTAAAGTCTGCAAGCAGATATTTGGACCTCTTTGAGGCCTTCGTTGGAAACGGGATTTCTTCATAGAACGCTAGAAAGAAGAATACTGAGTAAGTTCTTTGTGTTGCCTCTATTCAACTCACAGAGGGGAACTGTCCTTTAGACAGAGCAGATGTGAAACCCTCTTTTTGTCATATTTGCAGGTGGAGATTTCAAGCGCTTTTAGGCCAAATGTAGAAAAGGAAATATCTTCGTATAAAAACTAGACAGAATCATTCTCAGTAAACTACTTTGTGATGTGTGCGTTCAATTCACAGAGTATAACCTTTCTTTTGATGGAGGAGTTTGGAGACACTGTCTTTGTAAAGTCTGCAAGTGGATATTTGGACCTCTTTGAGGCCTTCGTTGGAAACGGGATTTCCTCCTATAATGTTACACAGAAGAATTCTCAGTAACTTATTTGTGGTGTGTGTATTCAACTCACAGAGTTGAACCTTCCTTCAGAAAGAGCAGATTTGAAACACTCTTTTTGTGGAGTTTCCACGTGGAGATTTCAATCGCTTTGAGACCAGAGGTAGAAAAGGAAACATCTTCGTATAAAAACTAGACAGAATCATTCACAGAAAGTACTTTGAGATGTGTGTGTTCAACTCACAGAGTTTAACCTTTGTTTTGATGGAGCAGTTTGGAAACACTCTGTTTTTCACGTCTGCAAGTGGATATTTGGACCTCTTTGAGGCCTTCGTTGTAAACGGGATTTCTTCATATAATGTTTGATAGGAGAAGTCTCAGTAACTTCTTTGTGCTGTGTGTATTCAACTCATAGAGTTGAACTTTCCTTTAGAAGAGCACATGTTAAACACCCTTTTTGTGGAATTTGCAGCCGGAGATTTCAAGCGCTTTGAGGCCTACGGTAGAAAAGGAAACATCTTCTTATAAAATCTAGACAGAATCATTCACAGAAACTTCTTTTTGATGTGTGTGTTCAGCTCACAGAGTTTAACCTTTCTTTTGATGGAGCAGTTTGGAAACACTCTGTTTGTAATGCCTGCAAGTGGATATTTGGACCTCTTTGAGGCCTTCGTTGGAAACGGGAATTCTTCATGTAATGTTCGACAGAAGAATTCTCAGTAACTTATTTGTGGTGTGTGTATTCAACTCACAGAGTTGAACCTTCCTTTAGACAGAGCAGATTTGAAACACCCTATTTGTGCAGTTTCCAGTTGGAGATTTCAATCGCTTTGAGGCCAATCATAGAAACGGAAATAACCTTGTATAAAAACAAGACAGAATCATTCTCAGAAACAACTTTGTGATGTGTGCGTTCAACTCAAGGAGTTTAAGCTTTCTTTTCATAGAGTAGTTTGGAAACACTCTGTCTGTAAAGTCGGCAAGCAGATATTTGGACCTCTTTGAGGCCTTCGTTGGAAACGGGATTTCTTCATACAACGCTAGAAAGAAGAATACTGAGTAAGTTCTTTGTGTTGCCTCTATTCAACTCACAGAGGTGAACTGTCCTTTAGACAGAGCAGATGTGAAACCCTCTTTTTGTGATATTTGCAGGTGGAGATTTCAAGCGCTTTTAGGCCAAATGTAGAAAAGGAAATATCTTCGTATAAAAACTAGACAGAATCATTCTCAGAAACTACTTTGTGATGTGTGCGTTCAATTCACAGAGTATAACCTTTCTTTTGATGGAGGAGTTTGGAGACACTGTCTTTGTAAAGTCTGCAAGTGGATATTTGGACCTCTTTGAGGCCTTCGTTGGAAACGGGATTTCCTCATATAATGTTACACAGAAGAATTCTCAGTAACTTATTTGTGGTGTGTGTATTCAACTCACAGAGTTGAACCTTCCTTCAGAAAGAGCAGATTTGAAACACTCTTTTTGTGGAGTTTCCATGTGGAGATTTCAATCGCTTTGAGACCAAAGGTAGAAAAGGAAACATCTTCGTATAAAAACTAGACAGAATCATTCACAGAAACTACTTTGTGATGTGTGTGTTCAACTCAAGGAGTTTAACCTTTCTTTTGATGGAGCAGTTTGGAAATACTCTGTCTGTAAAGTCTGCAAGCAGATATTTGGACCTCTTTGAGGCCTTCGTTGGAAACGGGATTTCTTCATATAATGTTTGATAGGAGAAGTCTCAGTAACTTCTTTGTGCTGTGTGTATTCAACTCATAGAGTTGAACTTTCCTTTAGAAGAGCAGATGTTAAACACCCTTTTTGTGGAATTTGCAGCTGGAGATTTCAAGCGCTTTGAGGCCTACGGTAGAAAAGGAAACATCTTCTTATAAAATCTAGACAGAATCATTCACAGAAACTTCTTTTTGATGTGTGTGTTCAGCTCACAGAGTTTAACCTTTCTTTTGATGGAGCAGTTTGGAAACACTCTGTTTGTAATGTCTGCAAGTGGATATTTGGACCTCTTTGAGGCCTTCGTTGGAAACGGGATTTCTTCATGTAATGTTCGACAGAAGAATTCTCAGTAACTTATTTGTGGTGTGTGTATTCAACTCACAGAGCTGAACCTTCCTTTAGACAGAGCAGATTTGAAACAGCCTATTTCTGCAGTTTCCAGTTGGAGATTTCAATCGCTTTGAGACCAAATGTAGAATAGGAAACATCTTCGTATAAAAACTAGACAGAATCATTCTCAGAAACTACTTTGTGATGTGTGCGTTCAACTCAAGGAGTTTAAGCTTTCTTTTCATAGAGTAGTTTGGAAACACTCTGTCTGTAAAGTCTGCAAGCAGATATTTGGACCTCTTTAGGGCCTTCGGTTGGAAACGGGATTTCTTCATAGAACGCTAGAAAGAAGAATACTGAGTAAGTTCTTTGTGTTGCCTCTATTCAACTCACAGAGGTGAACTGTCCTTTAGACAGAGCAGATGTGAAACCCTCTTTTTGTGATATTTGCAGGTGGAGATTTCAAGCGCTTTTAGGCCAAATGTAGAAAAGGAAATATCTTCGTATAAAAACTAGACAGAATCATTCTCAGAAACTACTTTGTGATGTGTGCGTTCAATTCACAGAGTATAACCTTTCTTTTGATGGAGGAGTTTGGAGACACTGTCTTTGTAAAGTCTGCAAGTAGATATTTGGACCTCTTTGAGGCCTTCGTTGGAAACGGGATTTCCTCATATAATGTTACACAGAAGAATTCTCAGTAACTTATTCGTGGTGTCTGTATTCAACTCACAGAGTTGAACCTTCCTTCAGAAAGAGCAGATTTGAAACACTCTTTTGGTGGAGTTTCCATGTGGAGATTTCAATCGCTTTGAGACCAAAGGTAGAAAAGGAAACATCTTCGTATAAAAACTAGACAGAATCATTCACAGAAACTACTTTGTGATGGGTGTGTTCAACTCAAGGAGTTTAACCTTTCTTTTGATGGAGCAGTTTGGAAACACTCTGTCTGTAAAGTCTGCAAGCAGATATTTGGACCTCTTTGAGGCCTTCGTTGGAAACGGGATTTCTTCACATAATGTTTGATAGGAGAAGTCTCAGTAACTTTTTTGTGCTGTGTGTATTCAACTCATAGAGTTGAAATTTCCTTTAGAAGAGCAGATGTTAAACACCCTTTTTGTGGAATTTGCAGCTGGAGATTTCAAGCGCTTTGAGGCCTACGGTAGAAAAGGAAACATCTTCTTATAAAATCTAGACAGAATCATTCACAGAAACTCCTTTTTGATGTGTGTGTTCAGCTCACAGAGTTTAACCTTTCTTTTGATGGAGCAGTTTGGAAACACACTGTTTGTAATGTCTGCAAGTGGATATTTGGACCTCTTTGAGGCCTTCGTTGGAAACGGGATTTCTTCATGTAATGTTCGACAGAAGAATTCTCCAGTAACTTATTTGTGGTGTGTGTATTCAACTCACAGAGTTGAACCTTCCTTTAGACAGAGCAGATTTGAAACACCCTATTTGTGCAGTTTCCAGTTGGAGATTTCAATCGCTTTGAGACCAAATGTAGAAAAGGAAACATCTTCGTATAAAAACTAGACAGAATCATTCTCAGCAACTATTTTGTGATGTGTGCGTTCAACTCAAGGAGTTTAAGCTTTCTTTTCATAGAGTAGTTTGGAAACACTCTGTCTGTAAAGTCTGCAAGCAGATATTTGGACCTCTTTGAGGCCTTAGTTGGAAACGGGATTTCTTCATATAACGCTAGAAAGAAGAATACTGAGTAAGTTCTTTGTGTTGCCTCTATTCAACTCACAGAGGTGAACTGTCCTTTAGACAGAGCAGATGTGAAACCCTCTTTTTGTGATATTTGCAGGTGGAGATTTCAAGCGCTTTTAGGCCAAATGTAGAAAAGGAAATATCTTCGTATAAAAACTAGACAGAATCATTCTCAGAAACTACTTTGTGATGTGTGCGTTCAATTCACAGAGTATAACCTTTCTTTTGATGGAGGAGTTTGGAGACACTGTCTTTGTAAAGTCTGCAAGTGGATATTTGGACCTCTTTGAGGCCTTCGTTGGAAACGGGATTTCCTCATATAATGTTACACAGAAGAATTCTCAGTAACTTATTTGTGGTGTGTGTATTCAACTCACAGAGTTGAACCTTCCTTCAGAAAGAGCAGATTTGAAACACTCTTTTTGTGGAGTTTCCATGTGGAGATTTCAATCGCTTTGAGACCAAAGGTAGAAAAGGAAACATCTTCGTATAAAAACTAGACAGAATCATTCACAGAAACTACTTTGTGATGTGTGTGTTCAACTCAAGGAGTTTAACCTTTCTTTTGATGGAGCAGTTTGGAAATACTCTGTCTGTAAAGTCTGCAAGCAGATATTTGGACCTCTTTGAGGCCTTCGTTGGAAACGGGATTTCTTCATATAATGTTTGATAGGAGAAGTCTCAGTAACTTCTTTGTGCTGTGTGTATTCAACTCATAGAGTTGAACTTTCCTTTAGAAGAGCAGATGTTAAACACCCTTTTTGTGGAATTTGCAGCTGGAGATTTCAAGCGCTTTGAGGCCTACGGTAGAAAAGGAAATATCTTCTTATAAAATCTAGACAGAATCATTCACAGAAACTTCTTTTTGATGTGTGTGTTCAGCTCACAGAGTTTAACCTTTCTTTTGATGGAGCAGTTTGGAAACACTCTGTTTGTAATGTCTGCAAGTGGATATTTGGACCTCTTTGAGGCCTTCGTTGGAAACGGGATTTCTTCAAGTAATGTTCGACAGAAGAATTCTCAGTAACTTATTTGTGGTGTGTGTATTCAACTCACAGAGTTGAACCTTCCTTTAGACAGAGCAGATTTGAAACACCCTATTTGTGCAGTTTCCAGTTGGAGATTTCAATCGCTTTGAGACCAAATGTAGAAAAGGAAACATCTTCGTATAAAAACTAGACAGAATCATTCTCAGAAACTACTTTGTGATGTGTGCGTTCAACTCAAGGAGTTTAAGCTTTCTTTTCATAGAGTAGTTTGGAAACACTCTGTCTGTAAAGTCTGCAAGCAGATATTTGGACCTCTTTGAGGCCTTCGTTGGAAACGGGATTTCTTCATAGAACGCTAGAAAGAAGAATACTGAGTAAGTTCTTTGTGTTGCCTCTATTCAACTCACAGAGGTGAACTGTCCTTTAGACAGAGCAGATGTGAAACCCTCTTTTTGTGATATTTGCAGGTGGAGATTTCAAGCGCTTTTAGGCCAAATGTAGAAAAGGAAATATCTTCGTATAAAAACTAGACAGAATCATTCTCAGAAACTACTTTGTGATATGTGCGTTCATTTCACAGAGTATAACCTTTCTTTTGATGGAGGAGTTTGGAGACACTGTGTTTCTAAAGTCTGCAAGTGGATATTTGGACCTCTTTGAGGCCTTCGTTGGAAACGGGATTTCCTCATATAATGTTACACAGAAGAATTCTCAGTAACTTATTTGTGGTGTGTTTATTCAACTCACAGAGGTGAACCTTCCTTCAGAAAGAGCAGATTTGAAACCCTCTTTTTGTGGAGTTTCCATGTGGAGATTTCAATCGCTTTGAGACCAAAGGTAGAAAAGGAAACATCTTCGTATAAAAACTAGACAGAATCATTCACAGAAACTACTTTGTGATGTGTGTGTTCAACTCAAGGAGTTTAACCTTTCTTTTGATGGAGCAGTTTGGAAACACTCTGTCTGTAAAGTCTGCAAGCAGATATTTGGACCTCTTTGAGGCCTTCGTTGGAAACGGGATTTCTTCATATAATGTTTGATAGGAGAAGTCTCAGTAACTTCTTTGTGCTGTGTGTATTCAACTCGTAGAGTTGAACTTTCCTTTAGAAGGGCAGATGTTAAACACCATTTTTGTGGAATTTGCAGCTGGAGATTTCAAGCGCTTTGAGGCCTACGGTAGAAAAGGAAACATCTTCTTATAAAATCTAGACAGAATCATTCACAGAAACTTCTTTTCGATGTGTGTGTTCAGCTCACAGAGTTTAACCTTTCTTTTGATGGAGCAGTTTGGAAACACTCTGTTTGTAATGTCTGCAAGTGGATATTTGGACCTCTTTGAGGCCTTCGTTGGAAACGGGATTTCTTCAAGTAATGTTCGACAGAAGAATTCTCAGTAACTTATTTGTGGTGTGTGTATTCAACTCACAGATTTGAACCTTCCTTTAGACAGAGCAGATTTGAAACACCCTATTTGTGCAGTTTCCAGTTGGAGATTTCAATCGCTTTGAGACCAAATGTAGAAAAGGAAACATCTTCGTATAAAAACTAGACAGAATCATTCTCCGAAACTACTTTGTGATGTGTGCGTTCAACTCAAGGAGTTTAAGCTTTCTTTTCATAGAGTAGTTTGGAAACACTCTGTCTGTAAAGTCTGCAAGCAGATATTTGGACCTCTTTGGGGCCTTCGTTGGAAACGGGATTTCTTCATAGAACGCTAGAAAGAAGAATACTGAGTAAGTTCTTTGTGTTGCCTCTATTCAACTCACAGAGGTGAACTGTCCTTTAGACAGAGCAGATGTGAAACCCTCTTTTTGTGATATTTGCAGGTGGAGATTTCAAGCGCTTTTAGGCCAAATGTAGAAAAGGAAATATCTTCGTATAAAAACTAGACAGAATCATTCTCAGAAACTACTTTGTGATGTGTGCGTTCAATTCACAGAGTATAACCTTTCTTTTGATGGAGGAGTTTGGAGACACTGTCTTTGTAAAGTCTGCAAGTGGATATTTGGACCTCTTTGAGGCCTTCGTTGGAAACGGGATTTCCTCATATAATGTTACACAGAAGAATTCTCAGTAACTTATTTGTGGTGTGTATATTCAACTCACAGAGATGAACCTTCCTTCAGAAAGAGCAGATTTGAAACACTCTTTTTGTGGAGTTTCCATGTGGAGATTTCAATCGCTTTGAGACCAAAGGTAGAAAAGGAAACATCTTCGTATAACAACTAGACAGAATCATTCACAGAAACTACTTTGTGATGTGTGTGTTCAACTCAAGGAGTTTAACCTTTCTTTTGATGGAGCAGTTTGGAAACACTCTGTCTGTAAAGTCTGCAAGCAGATATTTGGACCTCTTTGAGGCCTTCGTTGGAAACGGGATTTCTTCATATAATGTTTGATAGGAGAAGTCTCAGAAACTTCTTTGTGCTGTGTGTATTCAACTCATAGAGTTGAACTTTCCTTTAGAAGAGCAGATGTTAAACACCCTTTTTGTGGAATTTGCAGCTGGAGATTTCAAGCGCTTTGAGGCCTACGGTAGAAAAGGAAACATCTTCTTATAAAATCTAGACAGAATCATTCACAGAAACTTCTTTTTGATGTGTGTGTTCAGCTCACAGAGTTTAACCTTTCTTTTGATGGAGCAGTTTGCAAACACACTGTTTGTAATGTCTGCAAGTGGATATTTGGACCTCTTTGAGGCCTTCGTTGGTAACGGGATTTCTTCCTGTAATGTTCGACAGAAGAATTCTCAGTAACTTATTTGTGGTGTGTGTATTCAACTCACAGAGTTGAACCTTCCTTTAGACAGAGCAGATTTGAAACACCCTATTTGTGCAGTTTCCAGTTGGAGATTTCAATCGCTTTGAGGCCAATCGTAGAAACGGAAATATCTTCGTATAAATAAAAGACAGAATCATTCTCAGAAACTACTTTGTGATGTGTGCGTTCAACTCAAGGAGTTTAAGCTTTCTTTTCATAGAGTAGTTTGGAAACACTCTGTCTGTAAAGTCTGCAAGCAGATATTTGGACCTCTTTGGGGCCTTCGTTGGAAACGGGATTTCTTCATAGAACGCTAGAAAGAAGAATACTGAGTAAGTTCTTTGTGTTGCCTCTATTCAACTCACAGAGGTGAACTGTCCTTTAGACAGAACAGATGTGAAACCCTCTTTTTGTGATATTTGCAGGTGGAGATTTCAAGCGCTTTTAGGCCAAATGTAGAAAAGGAAATATCTTCGTATAAAAACTAGACAGAATCATTCTCAGAAACTACTTTGTGATGTGTGCGTTCAATTCACAGAGTATAACCTTTCTTTTGATGGAGGAGTTTGGAGACACTGTCTTTGTAAAGTCTGCAAGCGGATATTTGGACCTCTTTGAGGCCTTCGTTGGAAACGGGATTTCCTCATATAATGTTACACAGAAGAATTCTCAGTAACTTATTTGTGGTGTGTGTATTCAACTCACAGAGTTGAACCTTCCTTCAGAAAGAGCAGATTTGAAACACTCTTTTTGTGGAGTTTCCATGTGGAGATTTCAATCGCTTTGAGACCAAAGGTAGAAAAGGAAACATCTTCGTATAAAAACTAGACAGAATCATTCACAGAAACTACTTTGTGATGTGTGTGTTCAACTCAAGGAGTTTAACCTTTCTTTTGATGGAGCAGTTTGGAAAAACTCTGTCTTTAAAGTCTGCAAGCAGATATTTGGACCTCTTTGAGGCCTTCGTTGGAAACGGGATTTCTTCATATAATGTTTGATAGGAGAAGTCTCAGTAACTTCTTTGTGCTGTGTGTATTCAACTCATAGTAGTTGAACTTTCCTTTAGAAGAGCAGATGTTAAACACCCTTTTTGGGGAATTTGCAGCTGGAGGTTTCAAGCGCTTTGAGGCCTACTGTAGAAAAGGAAACATCTTCTTATAAAATCTAGACAGAATCATTCACAGAAACTTCTTTTTGATGTGTGTGTTCAGCTCACAGAGTTTAACCTTTCTTTTGATGGAGCAGTTTGGAAACACTCTGTTTGTAATGTCTGCAAGTGGATATTTGGACCTCTTTGAGGCCTTCGTTGGAAACGGGATTTCTTCATGTAATGTTCGACAGAAGAATTCTCAGTAACTTATTTGTGGTGTGTGTATTCAACTCACAGAGTTGAACCTTCCTTTAGACAGAGCAGATTTGAAACAGCCTATTTGTGCAGTTTCCAGTTGGAGATTTCAATCGCTTTGAGACCAAATGTAGAAAAGGAAACATCTTCGTATAAAAACTAGACAGAATCATTCTCAGAAACTACTTTGTGATGTGTGCGTTCAACTCAAGGAGTTTAAGCTTTCTTTTCATAGAGTAGTTTGGAAACACTCTGTCTGTAAAGTCTGCAAGCAGATATTTGACCTCTTTGAGGCCTTCGTTGGAAACGGGATTTCTTCATATAACGCTAGAAAGAAGAATACTGAGTAAGTTCTTTGTGTTGCCTCTATTCAACTCACAGAGGTGAACTGTCCTTTAGACAGAGCAGATGTGAAACCCTCTTTTTGTGATATTTGCAGGTGGAGATTTCAAGCGCTTTTAGGCCAAATGTAGAAAAGGAAATATCTTCGTATAAAAACTAGACAGAATCATTCTCAGAAACTACTTTGTGATGTGTGCGTTCAATTCACAGAGTATAACCTTTCTTTTGATGGAGGAGTTTGGAGACACTGTCTTTGTAAAGTCTGCAAGTGGATATTTGGATCTCTTTGAGGCCTTCGTTGGAAACGGGATTTCCTCATATAATGTTACACAGAAGAATTCTTAGTAACTTATTTGTGGTGTGTGTATTCAACTCACAGAGTTGAACCTTCCTTCAGAAAGAGCAGATTTGAAACACTCTTTTTGTGGAGTTTCCATGTGGAGATTTCAATCGCTTTGAGACCAAAGGTAGAAAAGGAAACATCTTCGTATAAAAACTAGACAGAATCATTCACAGAAACTACTTTGTGATGTGTGTGTTCAACTCAAGGAGTTTAACCTTTCTTTTGATGGAGCAGTTTGGAAACACTCTGTCTGTAAAGTCTGCAAGCAGATATTTGGACCTCTTTGAGGCCTTCGTTGGAAACGGGATTTCTTCATATAATGTTTGATGGGAGAAGTCTCAGTAACTTCTTTGTGCTGTGTGTATTCAACTCATAGAGTTGAACTTTCCTTTAGAAGAGCAGATGTTAAACACCCTTTTTGTGGAATTTGCAGCTGGAGATTTCAAGCGCTTTGAGGCCTACGGTAGAAAAGGAAACATCTTCTTATAAAATCTAGACAGAATCATTCACAGAAACTTCTTTTTGATGTGTGTGTTCAGCTCACAGAGTTTAACCTTTCTTTTGATGGAGCAGTTTGGAAACACTCTGTTTGTAATGTCTGCAAGTGGATATTTGGACCTCTTTGAGGCCTTCGTTGGAAACGGGATTTCTTCAAGTAATGTTCGACAGAAGAATTCTCAGTAACTTATCTGTGGTGTGTGTATTGAACTCACAGAGTTGAACCTTCGTTTAGACAGAGCAGATTTGAAACACCCTATTTGTGCAGTTTCCAGTTGGAGATTTCAATCGCTTTGAGACCAAATGTAGAAAAGGAAACATCTTCGTATAAAAACTAGACAGAATCATTCTCAGAAACTACTTTGTGATGTGTGCGTTCAACTCAAGGAGTTTAAGCTTTCTTTTCATAGAGTAGTTTGGAAACACTCTGTCTGTAAAGTCTGCAAGCAGATATTTGGACCTCTTTGGGGCCTTCGTTGGAAACGGGATTTCTACATAGAACGCTAGAAAGAAGAATACTGAGTAAGTTCTTTGTGTTGCCTCTATTCAACTCAAAGAGGTGAACTGTCCTTTAGACAGAGCAGATGTGAAACCCTCTTTTTGTGATATTTGCAGGTGGAGATTTCAAGCGCTTTTAGGCCAAATATAGAAAAGGAAATATCTTCGTATAAAAACTAGACAGAATCATTCTCAGAAACTACTTTGTGATGTGTGCGTTCAATTCACAGAGTATAACCTTTCTTTTGATGGAGGAGTTTGGAGACACTGTCTTTGTAAAGTCTGCAAGTGGATATTTGGACCTCTTTGAGGCCTTCGTTGGACACGGGATTTCTTCCTGTAATGTTCGACAGAAGAATTCTCAGTAACTTATTTGTGGTGTGTGTATTCAAGTCACAGAGTTGAACCTTCCTTTAGACAGAGCAGATTTGAAACAGCCTATTTGTGCAGTTTCCAGTTGGAGATTTCAATCGCTTTGAGACAAATGTAGAAAAGGAAACATCTTCGTATAAAAACTAGACAGAATCATTCTCAGAAGCTACTTTGTGATGTGTGCGTTCAATTCACAGAGTATAACCTTTCTTTTGACGGAGGAGTTTGGAGACACTGTCTTTGTAAAGTCTGCAAGTGGATATTTGGACCTCTTTGAGGCCTTCGTTGGAAATGGGATTTCCTCATATAATGTTACACAGAAGAATTCTCAGTAACTTATTTGTGGTGTGTGTATTCAACTCACAGAGTTGAACCTTCCTTCAGAAAGAGCAGATTTGAAACACTCTTTTTGTGGAGTTTCCATGTGGAGATTTCAATCGCATTGAGACCAAAGGTAGAAAAGGAAACATCTTCGTATAAAAACTAGACAGAATCATTCACAGAAACTACTTTGTGATGTGTGTGTTCAACTCAAGGAGTTTAACCTTTCTTTTGATGGAGCAGTTTGGAAACACTCTGTCTGTAAAGTCTGCAGGCAGATATTTGGACCTCTTTGAGGCCTTTGTTGGAATCGGGATTTCTTCATATAATGTTAGACAGAAGAAGTCTCAGTAACTTCTTTGTGCTGTGTGTATTCAACTCATAGAGTTGAACTTTCCTTTAGAAGAGCAGATGTTAAACACCCTTTTTGTGGAATTTGCAGCTGGAGATTTCAAGCGCTTTGAGGCCTACGGTAGAAAAGGAAACATCTTCTTATAAAATCTAGACAGAATCATTCACAGAAACTTCTTTTTGATGTGTGTGTTCAGCTCACAGAGTTTAACCTTTCTTTTCATGGAGCAGTTTGGAAACACTCTGTTTGTAATGTCTGCAAGTGGATATTTGGACCTCTTTGAGGCCTTCGTTGGAAACGGAATTTCTTCAAGTAATGTTCGACAGAAGAATTCTCAGTAACTTATTTGTGGTGTGTGTATTCAACTCACAGAGTTGAACCTTCCTTTAGACAGAGCAGATTTGAAACACCCTATTTGTGCAGTTTCCAGTTGGAGATTTCAATCGCTTTGAGACCAAATGTAGAAAAGGAAACATCTTCGTATAAAAACTAGACAGAATCATTCTCAGAAACTACTTTGTGATGTGTGCGTTCAACTCAAGGAGTTTAAGCTTTCTTTTCATAGAGTAGTTTGGAAACACTCTGTCTGTAAAGTCTGCAAGCAGATATTTGGACCTCTTTGGGGCCTTCGTTGGAAATGGGATTTCTTCATAGAACGCTAGAAAGAAGAATACTGAGTAAGTTCTTTGTGTTGCCTCTATTCAACTCACAGAGGTGAACTGTCCTTTAGACAGAGCAGATGTGAAACCCTCTTTTTGTGATATTTGCAGGTGGAGATTTCAAGCACTTTTAGGCCAAATGTAGAAAAGGAAATATCTTCGTATAAAAACTAGACAGAATCATTCTCAGAAACTACTTTGTGATGTGTGCGTTCAACTCAAGGAGTTTACGCTTTCTTTTCATAGAGTAGTTTGGAAACACTCTGTCTGTAAAGTCTGCAAGCAGATCTTTGACCTCTTTGAGGCCTTCGTTGGAAACGGGATTTCTTCATAGAACGCTAGAAAGAAGAATACTGAGTAAGTTCTTTGTGTTGCCTCTATTCAACTCACAGAGGTGAACTGTCCTTTAGACAGAGCAGATGTGAAACCCTCTTTTTGTGATATTTGCAGGTGGAGATTTCAAGCGCTTTTCGGCCAAATGTAGAAAAGGAAATATCTTCGTATAAAAACTAGACAGAATCATTCTCAGAAACTACTTTGTGATGTGTGCGTTCAATTCACAGAGTATAACCTTTCTTTTGATGGAGCAGTTTGGAGACACTGTCTTTTTAAAGTCTGCTAGTGGATATTTGGACCTCTTTGAGGCCTTCGTTGGAAACGGCATTTCCTCATATAATGTTACACAGAAGAATTCTCAGTAACTTATTTGTGGTGTGTGTATTCAACTCACAGAGTTGAACCTTCCTTCAGAAAGAGCAGATTTGAAACACTCTTTTTGTGGAGTTTCCATGTGGAGATTTCAATCGCTTTGAGACCAAAGGTAGAAAAGGAAACATCTTCGTATAAAAACTAGACAGAATCATTCACAGAAACTACTTTGTGATGTGTGTGTTCAACTCAAGGAGTTTAACCTTTCTTTTGATGGAGCAGTTTGGAAATACTCTGTCTGTAAAGTCTGCAAGCAGATATTTGGACCTCTTTGAGGCCTTCGTTGGAAACGGGATTTCTTCATATAATGTTTGATAGGAGAAGTCTCAGTAACTTCTTTGTGCTGTGTGTATTCAACTCATAGAGTTGAACTTTCCTTTAGAAGAGCAGATGTTAAACACCCTTTTTGTGGAATTTGCAGCTGGAGATTTCAAGCGCTTTGAGGCCTACGGTAGAAAAGGAAACATCTTCTTATAAAATCTAGACAGAATCATTCACAGAAACTTCTTTTTGATGTGTGTGTTCAGCTCACAGAGTTTAACCTTTCTTTTGATGGAGCAGTTTGGAAACACTCTGTTTGTAATGTCTGCAAGTGGATATTTGGACCTCTTTGAGGCCTTCGTTGGAAACGGGATTTCTTCCTGTAATGTTCGACAGAAGAATTCTCAGTAACTTATTTATGGTGTGTGTATTCAACTCACAGAGTTGAACCTTCCTTTAGACAGAGCAGATTTGAAACACCCTATTTGTGCAGTTTCCAGTTGGAGATTTCAATGGCTTTGAGACCAAATGTAGAAAAGGAAACATCTTCGTACAAAAACTAGACAGCATCATTCTCAGAAACTACTTTGTGATGTGTGCGTTCAACTCAAGGAGTTTAAGCTTTCTTTTCATAGAGTAGTTTGGAAACACTCTGTCTGTAAAGTCTGCAAGCAGATATTTGACCTCTTTGAGGCCTTCGTTGGAAACGGGATTTCTTCATATAACGCTAGAAAGAAGAATACTGAGTACGTTCTTTGTGTTGCCTCTATTCAACTCACAGAGGTGAACTGTCCTTTAGACAGAGCAGATGTGAAACCCTCTTTTTGTGATATTTGCAGGTGGAGATTTCAAGCGCTTTTAGGCCAAATGTAGAAAAGGAAATATCTTCGTATAAAAACTAGACAGAATCATTCTCAGAAACTACTTTGTGATGTGTGCGTTCAATTCACAGAGTATAACCTTTCTTTTGATGGAGGAGTTTGGAGACACTGTCTTTGTAAAGTCTGCAAGTGGATATTTGGACCTCTTTGAGGCCTTCGTTGGAAACGGGATTTCCTCATATAATGTTACACAGAAGAATTCTCAGTAACTTATTTGTGGTGTGTGTATTCAACTCACAGAGATGAACCTTCCTTCAGAAAGAGCAGATTTGAAAAACTCTTTTTGTGGAGTTTCCATGTGGAGATTTCAATCGCTTTGAGACCAAAGGTAGAAAAGGAAACATCTTCGTATAACAACTAGACAGAATCATTCACAGAAACTACTTTGTGATGTGTGTGTTCAACTCAAGGAGTTTAACCTTTCTTTTGATGGAGCAGTTTGGAAACACTCTGTCTGTAAAGTCTGCAAGCAGATATTTGGACCTCTTTGAGGCCTTCGTTGGAAACGGGATTTCTTCATATAATGTTTGATAGGAGAAGTCTCAGTAACTTCTTTGTGCTGTGTGTATTCAACTCATAGAGTTGAACTTTCCTTTAGAAGAGCAGATGTTAAACACCCTTTTTGTGGAATTTGCAGCTGGAGATTTCAAGCGCTTTGAGGCCTACGGTAGAAAAGGAAACATCTTCTTATAAAATCTAGACAGAATCATTCACAGAAACTTCTTTTTGATGTGTGTGTTCAGCTCACAGAGTTTAACCTTTCTTTTGATGGAGCAGTTGGGAAACACACTGTTTGTAATGTCTGCAAGTGGATATTTGGACCTCTTTGAGGCCTTCGTTGGAAACGGGATTTCTTCCTGTAATGTTCGACAGAAGAATTCTCAGTAACTTATTTGTGGTGTGTGTATTCAACTCACAGAGCTGAACCTTCCTTTAGACAGAGCAGATTTGAAACAGCTTATTTGTGCAGTTTCCAGTTGGAGATTTCAATCGCTTTGAGACCAAATGTAGAAAAGGAAACATCTTCGTATAAAAACTAGACAGAATCATTCTCAAAAACTACTTTGTGATGTGTGCGTTCAACTCAAGGAGTTTAAGCTTTCTTTTCATAGAGTAGTTTGGAAACACTCTGTCTGTAAAGTCTGCAAGCAGATATTTGACCTCTTTGAGGCCTTCGTTGGAAACGGGATTTCTTCATAGAACGCTAGAAAGAAGAATACTGAGTAAGTTCTTTGTGTTGCCTCTATTCAACTCACAGAGGTGAACTGTCCTTTAGACAGAGCAGATGTGAAACCCTCTTTTTGTGATATTTGCAGGTGGAGATTTCAAGCGCTTTTAGGCCAAATGTAGAAAAGGAAATATCTTCGTATAAAAACTAGACAGAATCATTCTCAGAAACTACTTTGTGATGTATGCGTTCAATTCACAGAGTATAACCTTTCTTTTGATGGAGGAGTTTGGAGACACTGTCTTTGTAAAGTCTGCAAGTGGATATTTGGACCTCTTTGAGGCCTTCGTTGGAAACGGGATTTCCTCATATAATGTTACACAGAAGAATTCTCAGTAACTTATTTGTGGTGTGTGTATTCAACTCACAGAGATGAACCTTCCTTCAGAAAGAGCAGATTTGAAACACTCTTTTTGTGGAGTTTCCATGTGGAGATTTCAATCGCTTTGAGACCAAAGGTAGAAAAGGAAACATCTTCGTATAAAAACTAGACAGAATCATTCACAGAAACTACTTTGTGATGTGTGTGTTCAACTCAAGGAGTTTAACCTTTCTTTTGATGGAGCAGTTTGGAAACACTCTGTCTGTAAAGTCTGCAAGTAGATATTTGGACCTCTTTGAGGCCTTCGTTGGAAACGGGATTTCTTCATATAATGTTTGATAGGAGAAGTCTCAGTAACTTCTTTGTGCTGTGTGTATTCAACTCATAGAGTTGAACTTTCCTTTAGAAGAGCAGATGTTAAACACCCTTTTTGTGGAATTTGCAGCTGGAGATTTCAAGCGCTTTGAGGCCTACGGTAGAAAAGGAAACATCTTCTTATAAAATCTAGACAGAATCATTCAGAGAAACTTCTTTTTGATGTGTGTGTTCAGCTCACAGAGTTTAACCTTTCCTTTGATGGAGCAGTTTGGAAACACTCTGTTTGTAATGTGTGCAAGTGGATATTTGGACCTCTTTGAGGCCTTCGTTGGAAACGGGATTTCTTCATGTAATATTCGACAGAAGAATTCTCAGTAACTTATTTGTGGTGTGTGTATTCAACTCAAAGAGTTGAACCTTCCTTTAGACAGAGCAGATTTGAAACACCCTATTTGTGCAGTTTCCAGTTGGAGATTTCAATCGCTTTGAGACCAAATGTAGAAAAGGAAACATCTTCGTATAAAAACTAGACAGAATCATTCTCAGAAACTACTTTGTGATGTGTGCGTTCAACTCAAGGAGTTTAAGCTTTCTTTTCATAGAGTAGTTTGGAAACACTCTGTCTGTAAAGTCTGCAAGCAGATATTTGGACCTCTTTGGGGCCTTCGTTGGAAACGGGATTTCTTCATAGAACGCTAGAAAGAAGAATACTGAGTAAGTTCTTTGTGTTGCCTCTATTCAACTCACAGAGGTGAACTGTCCTTTAGACAGAGCAGATGTGAAACCCTCTTTTTGTGATATTTGCAGGTGGAGATTTCAAGCGCTTTTAGGCCAAATGTAGAAAAGGAAATATCTTCGTATAAAAACTAGACAGAATCATTCTCAGAAACTACTTTGTGATGTGTGCCTTCATTTCACAGAGTATAACCTTTCTTTTGATGGAGGAGTTTGGAGACACTGTCTTTGTAAAGTCTGCAAGTGGATATTTGGACCTCTTTGAGGCCTTCGTTGGAAACGGGATTTCCTCATATAATATTACACAGAAGAATCCTCACTAACTTATTTGTGGTGTGTGTATTCAACTCACAGAGATGAACCTTCCTTCAGAAAGAGCAGATTTGAAACACTCTTTTTGTGGAGTTTCCATGTGGAGATTTCAATCGCTTTGAGACCAAAGGTAGAAAAGGAAACATCTTCGTATAACAACTAGACAGAATCATTCACAGAAACTACTTTGTGATGTGTGTGTTCAACTCAAGGAGTTTAACCTTTCTTTTGATGGAGCAGTTTGGAAACACTCTGTCTGTAAAGTCTGCAAGCAGATATTTGGACCTCTTTGAGGCCTTCGTTGGAAACGGGATTTCTTCATATAATGTTTGATAGGAGAAGTCTCAGTAACTTCTTTGTGCTGTGTGTATTGAACTCATAGAGTTGAACTTTCCTTTAGAAGAGCAGATGTTAAACACCCTTTTTGTGGAATTTGCAGCTGGAGATTTCAAGCGCTTTGAGGCCTACGGTAGAAAAGGAAACATCTTCTTATAAAATCTAGACAGAATCATTCACAGAAACTTCTTTTTGATGTGTGTGTTCAGCTCACAGAGTTTAACCTTTCTTTTGATGGAGCAGTTGGGAAACACACTGTTTGTAATGTCCGCAAGTGGATATTTGGACCTCTTTGAGGCCTTCATTGGAAACGGGATTTCTTCCTGTAATGTTCGACAGAAGAATTCTCAGTAACTTATTTGTGGTGTGTGTATTCAACTCACAGAGCTGAACCTTCCTTTAGACAGAGCAGATTTGAAACAGCCTATTTGTGCAGTTTCCAGTTGGAGATTTCAATCGCTTTCAGACCAAATGTAGAAAAGGAAACATCTTCGTATAAAAACTAGACAGAAATCATTCTCAGAAACTACTTTGTGATGTGTGCGTTCAACTCAAGGAGTTTAAGCTTTCTTTTCATAGAGTAGTTTGGAAACACTCTGTCTGTAAAGTCTGCAAGCAGATATTTGGACCTCATTGGGGTCTTCGTTGGAAACGGGATTTCTTCATAGAACGCTAGAAAGAAGAATACTCAGTAACTTCCTTGTGTTGCCTCTATTCAACTCACAGAGGTGAACTGTCCTTTAGACAGAGCAGATGTGAAACCCTCTTTTTGTGATATTTGCAGGTGGAGATTTCAAGCGCTTTTAGGCCAAATGTAGAAAAGGAAATATCTTCTTATAAAAAGTAGACAGAATCATTCTCAGAAACTACTTTGTGATGTCTGCATTCAATTCACAGAGTATAACCTTTCTTTTGATGGAGGAGTTTGGAGACACTGTCTTATAAAGTCTGCAAGTGGATATTTGGACCTCTTTGAGGCCTTCGTTGGAAACGGGATTTCCTCATATAATGTTACACAGAAGAATTCTCAGTAACTTATTTGTGGTGTGTGTATTCAACTCACAGAGTTGAACCTTCCTTCAGAAAGAGCAGATTTGAAACACTCTTTTTGTGGAGTTTCCACGTGGAGATTTCAATCGCTTTGAGGCCAATCGTAGAAACGGAAATATCTTCGTATAAAAACAAGACAGAATAATTCTCAGAAACTACTTTGTGATGTGTGCGTTCAACTCAAGGAGTTTAAGCTTTCTTTTCATAGAGTAGTTTGGAAACACTCTGTCTGTAAAGTCTGCAAGCAGATATTTGGACCTCTTTGAGGCCTTCGTTGGAAACGGGATTTCTTCATATAATGTTTGATAGGAGAAGTCTCAGTAACTTCTTTGTGCTGTGTGTATTCAACTCATAGAGTTGAACTTTCCTTTAGAAGAGCAGATGTTAAACACCCTTTTTGTGGAATTTGCAGCTGGAGATTTCAAGCGCTTTGAGGCCTACGGTAGAAAAGGAAACATCTTCTTATAAAATCTAGACAGAATCATTCACAGAAACTTCTTTTTGATGTGTGTGTTCAGCTCACAGAGTTTAACCTTTCTTTTGATGGAGCAGTTTGGAAACACACTATTTGTAATGTCTGCAAGTGGATATTTGGACCTCTTTGAGGCCTTCGTTGGAAAAGGGATTTCTTCATGTAATGTTTGACAGAAGAATTCTCAGTAACTTATTTGTGGTGTGTGTATTCAACTCACAGAGTTGAACCTTCCTTTACACAGTGCAGATTTGAAACACCCTATTTGTGCAGTTTCCAGTTGGAGATTTCAATCGCTTTGAGACCAAATGTAGAAAAGGAAACATCTTCGTATAAAAACTAGACAGAATCATTCTCAGAAACTACTTTGTGATGTGTGCGTTCAACTCAAGGAGTTTAAGCTTTCTTTTCATAGAGTAGTTTGGAAACACTCTGTCTGTAAAGTCTGCAAGCAGATATTTGGACCTCTTTGGGGCCTTCGTTGGAAACGGGATTTCTTCATATAATGTTTGATAGGAGAAGTCTCAGTAACTTCTTTGTGCTGTGTGTATTCAACGCATAGAGTTGAACTTTCCTTTAGAAGAGCACATGTTAAACACCCTTTTTGTGGAATTTGCAGCTGGAGATTTCAAGCGCTTTGAGGCCTACGGTAGAAAAGGAAACATCTTCTTATAAAATCTAGACAGAATCATTCACAGAAACTTCTTTTTGATGTGTGTGTTCAGCTCACAGAGTTTAACCTTTCTTTTGATGGAGCAGTTTGGAAACACTCTGTTTGTAATGTCTGCAAGTGGATATTTGGACCTTTTGAGGCCTTCGTTGGAAACGGGATTTCTTCATGTAATGTTCGACAGAAGAATTCTCAGTAACTTATTTGTGGTGTGTGTATTCAACTCAAAGAGTTGAACCTTCCTTTAGACAGAGCAGATTTGAAACACCCTATTTGTGCAGTTTCCAGTTGGAGATTTCAATCGCTTTGAGACCAAATGTAGAAAAGGAAACATCTTCGTATAAAAACTAGACAGAATCATTCTCAGAAACTACTTTGTGATGTGTGCGTTCAACTCAAGGAGTTTAAGCTTTCTTTTCATAGAGTAGTTTGGAAACACTCTGTCTGTAAAGTCTGCAAGCAGATATTTGGACCTCTTTGAGGCCTTCGTTGGAAACGGGATTTCTTCATAGAACGCTAGAAAGAAGAATACTGAGTAAGTTCTTTGTGTTGCCTCTATTCAACTCACAGAGGTGAACTGTCCTTTAGACAGAGCAGATGTGAAACCCTCTTTTTGTGATATTTGCACGTGGAGATTTCAAGCGCTTTTAGGCCAAATGTAGAAAAGGAAATATCTTCGTATAAAAACTAGACAGAATCATTCTCAGAAACTGCTTTGTGATGTGTGCGTTCAATTCACAGAGTATAACCTTTCTTTTGATGGAGGAGTTTGGAGACACTGTCTTTGTAATGTCTGCAAGTGGATATTTGGAACTCTTTGAGGCCTTCGTTGGAAACGGGATTTCCTCATATAATGTTACACAGAAGAATTCTCAGTAACTTATTTGTGGTGTGTGTATTCAACTCACAGAGTTGAACCTTCCTTCTGAAAGAGCAGATTTGAAACACTCTTTTTGTGGAGTTTCCATGTGGAGATTTCAATCGCTTTGAGACCAAAGGTAGAAAAGGAAACATCTTCGTATAAAAACTAGACAGAATCATACACAGAAACTACTTTTTGATGTGAGTGTTCAGCTCACAGAGTTTAACCTTTCTTTTGATGGAGCAGTTTGGAAACACTCTGTTTGTCAAGCCTGCAAGTGGATATTTGGACCTCTTTGAGGCCTTCTTTGGAAAAGGGATTTCTTCATATAATGTTAGACAGAAGAAGTCTCAGTAACTTATTTGTGCTGTGTGTATTCAACTCACAGAGGTGAACTTTACTTTAGACAGAGCACATGTGAAACACACTTTCTGTGGAATTTGCAGCTGGAGATTTCAAGCGCTTTGAGGCCTATGGTAGAAAACGAAACATCTTCGTATAAAATCTAGACAGAATCGTTCACAGAAACTACTTTTTGATGTGTGTGTTCAGCTCACAGAGTTTAACATTTCTTTTGATGGAGCAGTTTGGAAACACTGTGTTTGTCAAGTCTGCAAGTGGATATTGGGACCTCTTTGAGGCCTTCGTTGGAAACGGGATTTCTTCATGTAAAGTTCGACAGAAGAATTCTCAGTAACTTATTTATGGTGTGTGTATTCAACTCACAGAGTTGAAACTTCCTCGAGAGAGAGCAGATTTGAAACACCCTATTTGTGCAGTTTCCAGTTGGAGATTTCAATCGCTTTGAGGCCAATCGTAGAAACGGAAATATCTTCGTATAAAAACAAGACAGAATCATTCTCAGAAACTACTTTGTGATGTGTGCGTTCAACTCACGGAGTTTAAGCTTTCTTTTCATAGAGTAGTTTGGAAACACTCTGTTTTACAAGTCTGCAAGTGCATATTTGGACCTCTTTGAGGCCTTCGTTGGAAACGGAATTTCTTCATGTAATGTTCGAGAGACGAAATCTCAGTAACTTATTTGTGGTGTGTGTATTCAACTCACAGAGTTGAACCTTCCTTTAGACAGAGCAGATTTCAAACACACTATTTGTGCAGTTTCCAGTTGGAGATTTCAATCGCTTTGAGGCCAATCGTAGAAACGGAAATATCTTCGTATAAAAACTAGACAGAATCATTCTCAGAAACTACTTTGTGATGTGTGCGTTAAACTCACGGAGTTTAAGCTCTCTTTTCATAGAGTAGTTTGGAAACACTCTGTCTGTAAAGTCTGCAAGCAGATATTTGGACCTCTTTGAGGCCTTCGTTGGAAACGGGATTTCTTCATATAACGCTAGAAAGAAGAATACTCAGTAAGTTCTTTGTGTTGCCTCTATTCAACTCACAGAGGTGAACTGTCCTTTAGACAGAGCAGATGTGAAACCCTCTTTTTGTGATATTTGCAGGTGGAGACTTCAAGCGCTTTTAGGCCAAATGTAGAAAAGGAAATATCTTCGTATAAAAACTAGACAGAATCATTCTCAGAAACTACTTTGTGATGTGTGCGTTCAATTCACAGAGTATAACCTTTCTTTTGATGGAGGAGTTTGGAGACACTGTCTTTGTAAAGTCTGCAAGTGGATATTTGGACCTCTTTGAGGCCTTCGTTGGAAACGGGATTTCCTCATATAATGTTACACAGAAGAATTCTCAGTAACTTATTTGTGGTGTGTGTATTCAACTCACAGAGTTGAACCTTCCTTCAGAAAGAGCAGATTTGAAACACTCTTTTTGTGGAGTTTCCATGTGGAGATTTCAATCGCTTTGAGACCAAAGGTAGAAAAGGAAACATCTTCGTATAAAAACTAGACAGAATCATTCACAGAAACTACTTTGTGATGTGTGTGTTCAACTCAAGGAGTTTATCCTTTCTTTTGATGGAGCAGTTTGGAAACACTCTGTCTGTAAAGTCTGCAAGCAGATATTTGGACCTCTTTGAGGCCTTCGTTGGAAACGGGATTTCTTCATATAATGTTTGATAGGAGAAGTCTCAGTAACTTCTTTGTGCTGTGTGTATTCAACTCATAGAGTTGAACTTTCCTTTAGAAGAGCAGATGTTAATGACCCTTTTTGTGGAATTTGCAGCTGGAGATTTCAAGCGCTTTGAGGCCTACGGTAGAAAAGGAAACATCTTCTTATAAAATCTAGACAGAATCATTCACAGAAACTTATTTTTGATGTGTGTGTTCAGCTCACAGAGTTTAACCTTTCTTTTGATGGAGCAGTTTGGAAACACTCTGTTTGTAATGTCTGCAAGTGGATATTTGGACCTCTTTGAGGCCTTCGTTGGAAACGGGATTTCTTCAAGTAATGTTCGACAGAAGAATTCTCAGTAACTTATTTGTGGTGTGTGTATTCAACTCACAGAGTTGAACCTTCCTTTAGACAGAGCAGATTTGAAACACCCTATTTGTGCAGTTTCCAGTTGGAGATTTCAATCGCTTTGAGACCAAATGTAGAAAAGGAAACATCTTCGTATAAAAACTAGACAGAATCATTCTCAGAAACTACTTTGTGTTGTGTGCATTCAACTCAAGGAGTTTAAGCTTTCTTTTCATAGAGTAGTTTGGAAACACTCTGTCTGTAAAGTCTGCAAGCAGATATTTGGACCTCTTTGGGGCCTTCGTTGGAAACGGGATTTCTTCATACAACGCTAGAAAGAAGAATACTGAGTAAGTTCTTTGTGTTGCCTCTATTCAACTCACAGAGGTGAACTGTCCTTTAGACAGAGCAGATGTGAAACCCTCTTTTTGTGATATTTGCAGGTGGAGATTTCAAGCGTTTTCAGGCCAAATGTAGAAAAGGGAATATCTTCGTATAAAAACTAGACAGAATCATTCTCAGAAACTACTTTGTGATGTGTGCGTTCAATTCACAGAGTATAACCTTTCTTTTGATGGAGGAGTTTGGAGACACTGTCTTTGTAAAGTCTGCAAGTGGATATTTGGACCTCTTTGAGGCCTTCGTTGGAAACGGGATTTCCTCATATAATGTTACACAGAAGAATTCTCAGTAACTTATTTGTGGTGTGTGTATTCAACTCACAGAGTTGAACCTTCCTTCAGAAAGAGCAGATTTGAAACACTCTTTTTGTGGAGTTTCCATGTGGAGATTTCAATCGCTTTGAGACCATAGGTAGAAAAGGAAACATCTTCGTATAAAAACTAGACAGAATCATTCACAGAAACTACTTTGTGATGTGTGTGTTCAACTCAAGGAGTTTAACCTTTCTTTTGATGGAGCAGTTTGGAAACACTCTGTCTGTAAAGTCTGCAAGTAGATATTTGGACCTCTTTGAGGCCTTCGTTGGAAACGGGATTTCTTCATATAATGTTTGATAGGAGAAGTCTCAGTAACTTCTTTGTGATGTGTGTATTCAACGCATAGAGTTGAACTTTCCTTTAGAAGAGCAGATGTTAAACACCCTTTTTGTGGAATTTGCAGCTGGAGATTTCAAGCGCTTTGAGGCCTACGGTAGAAAAGGAAACATCTTCTTATAAAATCTAGACAGAATCATTCACAGAAACTACTTTTTGATGTGTGTGTTCAGCTCACAGAGTTTAACCTTTCTTTTGATGGAGCAGTTTGGAAACACTCTGTTTGTAATGTCTGCAAGTGGATATTTGGACCTCTTTGAGGCCTTCGTTGGAAACGGGATTTCTTCAAGTAATGTTCGACAGAAGAATTCTCAGTAACTTATTTGTGGTGTGTGTATTCAACTCAAAGAGTTGAACCTTCCTTTAGACAGAGCAGATTTGAAACACCCTATTTGTGCAGTTTCCAGTTGGAGATTTCAATCGCTTTGAGACCAAATGTAGAAAAGGAAACATCTTCGTATAAAAACTAGACAGAATCATTCTCAGAAACTACTTTGTGATGTGTGCGTTCAACTCAAGGAGTTTAAGCTTTCTTTTCATAGAGTAGTTTGGAAACACTCTGTCTGTAAAGTCTGCAAGCAGATATTTGGACCTCTTTGGGGCCTTCGTTGGAAACGGGATTTCTTCATAGAACGCTAGAAAGAAGAATACTGAGTAAGTTCTTTGTGTTGCCTCTATTCAACTCACAGAGGTGAACTGTCCTTTAGACAGAGCAGATGTGAAACCCTCTTTTTGTGATATTTGCAGGTGGAGATTTCAAGCGCTTTTAGGCCAAATGTAGAAAAGGAAATATCTTCGTATAAAAACTAGACAGAATCATTCTCAGAAACTACTTTGTGATGTGTGCGTTCAATTCACAGAGTATAACCTTTCTTTTGATGGAGGAGTTTGGAGACACTGTCTTTGTAAAGTCTGCAAGTGGATATTTGGACCTCTTTGAGGCCTTCGTTGGAAACGGGATTTCCTCATGTAATGTTACACAGAAGAATTCTCAGTAACTTATTTGTGGTGTGTGTATTCAACTCACAGAGATGAACCTTCCTTCAGAAAGAGCAGATTTGAAACACTCTTTTTGTGGAGTTTCCATGTGGAGATTTCAATCGCTTTGAGACCAAAGGTAGAAAAGGAAACATCTTCGTATAACAACTAGACAGAATCATTCACAGAAACTACTTTGTGATGTGTGTGTTCAACTCAAGGAGTTTAACCTTTCTTTTGATGGAGCAGTTTGGAAATACTCTGTCTGTAAAGTCTGCAAGCAGATATTTGGACCTCTTTGAGGCCTTCGTTGGAAACGGGATTTCTTCATATAATGTTTGATAGGAGAAGTCTCAGTAACTTCTTTGTGCTGTGTGTATTCAACTCATAGAGTTGAACTTTCCTTTAGAAGAGCAGATGTTAAACTCCCTTTTTGTGGAATTTGCAGCTGGAGATTTCAAGCGCTTTGAGGCCTACGGTAGAAAAGGAAACATCTTCTTATAAAATCTAGACAGAATCATTCACAGAAACTTCTTTTCGATGTGTGTGTTCAGCTCACAGAGTTTAACCTTTCTTTTGATGGAGCAGTTTGGAAACACTCTGTTTGTAATGTCTGCAAGTGGATATTTGGACCTCTTTGAGGCCTTCGTTGGAAACGGGATTTCTTCAAGTAATGTTCGACAGAAGAATTCTCAGTAACTTATTTGTGGTGTGTGTATTCAACTCACAGAGTTGAACCTTCCTTTAGACAGAGCAGATTTGAAACACCCTATTTGTGCAGTTTCCAGTTGGAGATTTCAATCGCTTTGAGACCAAATGTAGAAAAGGAAACATCTTCGTATAAAAACTAGACAGAATCATTCTCAGAAACTACTTTGTGATGTGTGCGTTCAACTCAAGGAGTTTAAGCTTTCTTTTCATAGAGTAGTTTGGAAACACTCTGTCTGTAAAGTCTGCAAGCAGATATTTGGACCTCTTTGGGGCCTTCGTTGGAAACGGGATTTCTTCATAGAACGCTAGAAAGAAGAATACTGAGTAAGTTCTTTGTGTTGCCTCTATTCAACTCACAAAGGTGAACTGTCCTTTAGACAGAGCAGATGTGAAACCCTCTTTTTGTGATATTTGCAGGTGGAGACTTCAAGCGCTTTTAGGCCAAATGTAGAAAAGGAAATATCTTCGTATAAAAATTAGACAGAATCATTCTCAGAAACTACTTTGTGATGTGTGCGTTCAATTCACAGAGTATAACCTTTCTTTTGATGGAGGAGTTTGGAGACACTGTCTTTGTAAAGTCTGCAAGCAGATATTTGGACCTCTTTGAGGCCTTCGTTGGAAACGGGATTTCTTCATATAATGTTTGATAGGAGAAGTCTCAGTAACTTCTTTGGGCTGTGTGTATTCAACTCATTGAGTTGAACTTTCCTTTAGAAGAGCAGATGTTAAACACCCTTTTTGTGGAATTTGCAGCTGGAGATTTCAAGCACTTTGTGGCCTACGGTAGAAAAGGAAACATCTTCTTATAAAATCTAGACAGAATCATTCACAGAAACTTCTTTTTGATGTGTGTGTTCAGCTCACAGAGTTTAACCTTTCTTTTGATGGAGCAGTTTGGAAACACTCTGTTTGTAATGTCTGCAAGTGGATATTTGGACCTCTTTGAGGCCTTCGTTGGAAACGGGATTTCTTCAAGTAATGTTCGACAGAAGAATTCTCAGTAACTTATTTGTGGTGTGTGTATTCAACTCACAGAGTTGAACCTTCCTTTACACAGAGCAGATTTGAAACACCCTATTTGTGCAGTTTCCAGTTGGAGATTTCAATCGCTTTGAGACCAAATGTAGAAAAGGAAACATCTTCGTATAAAAACTAGACAGAATCATTCTCAGAAACTACTTTGTGATGTGTGCGTTCAACTCAAGGAGTTTAAGCTTTCTTTTCATAGAGTAGTTTGGAAACACTCTGTCTGTAAAGTGTGCAAGCAGATATTTGGACCTCTTTGGGGCCTTCGTTGGAAACGGGATTTCTTCATAGAATGCAAGAAAGAAGAATACTGAGTAAGTTCTTTGTGTTGCCTCTATTCAACTCACAGAGGTGAACTGTCCTTTAGACAGAGCAGGTGTGAAACCCTCTTTTTGTGATATTTGCACGTGGAGATTTCAAGCGCTTTTAGGCCAAATGTAGAAAAGGAAATATCTTCGTATGAAAACTAGACAGAAATCATTCTCAGCAAACTACTTTGTGATGTGTGCGTTCAATTCACAGAGTATAACCTTTCTTTTGATGGAGGAGTTTGGAGACACTGTCTTTGTAAAGTCTGCAAGTGGATATTTGGACCTCTTTGAGGCCTTCGTTGGAAACGGGATTTCCTCATATAATGTTACACAGAAGAATTCTCAGTAACTTATTTGTGGTGTGTGTATTCAACTCACAGAGTTGAACCTTCCTTCAGAAAGAGCAGATTTGAAACACTCTTTTTGTGGAGTTTCCATGTGGAGATTTCAATCGCATTGAGACCAAAGGTAGAAAAGGAAACATCTTCGTATAAAAACTAGACAGAATCATTCACAGAAACTACTTTGTGATGTGTGTGTTCAACTCAAGGAGTTTAACCTTTCTTTTGATGGAGCAGTTTGGAAACACTCTGTCTGTAAAGTCTGCAAGCAGATATTTGGACCTCTTTGAGGCCTTCGTTGGAAACGGGATTTCTTCATATAATGTTTGATAGGAGAAGTCTCAGTAACGTCTTTGTGCTGTGTGTATTCAACTCACAGAGTTGAACTTTCCTTTAGAAGAGCAGATGTTAAACACCCTTTTTGTGGAATTTGCAGCTGGAGATTTCAAGCGCTTTGAGGCCTACGGTAGAAAAGGAATCATCTTCTTATAAAATCTAGACAGAATCATTCACAGAAACTTCTTTTTGATGTGTGTGTTCAGCTCACAGAGTTTAACCTTTCTTTTTATGGAGCAGTTTGGAAACACTCTGTTTGTAATGTCTGCAAGTAGATATTTGGACCCCTTGAGGCCTTCGTTGGAAACGGGATTTCTTCATGTAATGTTCGACAGAAGAATTCTCAGTAACTTATTTGTGGTGTGTGTATTCAACTCACAGAGTTGAACCTTCCTTTAGACAGAGCAGATTTGAAACACCCTATTTGTGCAGTTTCCAGTTGGAGATTTCAATCGCTTTGAGACCAAATGTAGAAAAGGAAACATCTTCGTATAAAAACTAGACAGAATCATTCTCAGAAACTACTTTGTGATGTGTGCATTCAACTCAAGGAGTTTAAGCTTTCTTTTCATAGAGTAGTTTGGAAACACTCTGTCTGTAAAGTCTGCAAGCAGATATTTGGACCTCTTTGAGGCCTTCGTTGGAAACGGGATTTCTTCATAGAACGCTAGAAAGAAGAATACTGAGTAAGTTCTTTGTGTTGCCTCTATTCAACTCACAGACGTGAACTGTCCTTTAGACAGAGCAGATGTGAAACCCTCTTTTTGTGATATTTGCACGTGGAGATTTCAAGCGCTTTTAGGCCAAATGTAGAAAAGGAAATATCTTCGAATAAAAACTAGACAGAATCATTCTCAGAAACTACTTTGTGATGAGTGCGTTCAATTCACAGTGTATAATATTTCTTCTGATGGAGGAGTTTGGAGACACTGTCTTTGTAAAGTCTGCAAGCAGATATTTGGACCTCTTTGGGGCCATCGTTGGAAACGGGATTTCTTCATATAATGTTTGATAGGAGAATTCTCAGTAACTCATTTGTGGTGTGTGTATTCAACTCACAGAGTTGAACCTTCCTTCAGAAAGAGCAGATTTGAAACACTCTTTTTGTGGAGTTTCCATGTGGAGATTTCAATCGCTTTGAGACCAAAGGTAGAAAAGGAAACATCTTCGTATAAAAACTAGACAGAATCATTCACAGAAACTACTTTGTGATGTGTGTGTTCAACTCAAGGAGTTTAACCTTTCTTTTGATGGAGCAGTTTGGAAACACTCTGTCTGTAAAGTCTGCAAGTAGATATTTGGACCTCTTTGAGGCCTTCGTTGGAAACGGGATTTCTTCATATAATGTTTGATAGGAGAAGTCTCAGTAACTTCTTTGTGCTGTGTGTATTCAACTCATAGAGTTGAACTTTCCTTTAGAAGAGCAGATGTTAAACACCCTTTTTGTGGAATTTGCAGCTGGAGATTTCAAGCGCTTTGAGGCCTACGGTAGAAAAGGAAACATCTTCTTATAAAATCTAGACAGAATCATTCACAGAAACTTCTTTTTGATGTGTGTGTTCAGCTCACAGAGTTTAACCTTTCTTTTGATGGAGCAGTTGGGAAACACACTGTTTGTAATGTCTGCAAGTGGATATTTGGACCTCTTTGAGGCCTTCGTTGGAAACGGGATTTCTTCCTGTAATGTTCGACAGAAGAATTCTCAGTAACTTATTTGTGGTGTGTGTATTCAACTCACAGAGTTGAACCTTCCTTTAGACAGAGCAGATTTGAAACACCCTATTTGTGCAGTTTCCAGTTGGAGATTTCAATCGCTTTGAGACCAAATGTAGAAAAGGAAACATCTTCGTATAAAAACTAGACAGAATCATTCTCAGAAACTACTTTGTGATGTGTGCGTTCAACTCAAGGAGTTTAAGCTTTCTTTTCATAGAGTAGTTTGGAAACACTCTGTCTGTTAAGTCTGCAAGCAGATATTTGGACCTCTTTGGGGCCTTCGTTGGAAACGGGATTTCTTCATAGAACGCTAGAAAGAAGAATACTGAGTAAGTTCTTTGTGTTGCCTCTATTCAACTCACAGAGGTGAACTGTCCTTTAGACAGAGCAGATGTGAAACCCTCTTTTTGTGATATTTGCAGGTGGAGATTTCAAGCGCTTTTAGGTCAAATGTAGAAAAGGAAATATCTTCGTATAAAAACTAGACAGAATCATTCTCAGAAACTACTTTGTGATGTGTGCGTTCAATTCACAGAGTATAACCTTTCTTTTGATGGAGGAGTTTGGAGACACTGTCTTTGTAAAGTCTGCAGGTGGATATTTGGACCTCTTTGAGGCCTTCGTTGGAAACGGGATTTCCTCATATAATTTTACACAGAAGAATTCTCAGTAACTTATTTGTGGTGTGTGTATTCAACTCACAGAGTTGAACCTTCCTTCAGAAAGAGCAGATTTGAAACACTCTTTTTGTGGAGTTTCCATGTGGAGATTTCAATCGCTTTGAGACCAAAGGTAGAAAAGGAAACATCTTCAGTATAGAAACTAGACAGAATCATTCACAGAAACTACTTTGTGATGTGTGTGTTCAACTCAAGGAGTTTATCCTTTCTTTTGATGGAGCAGTTTGGAAACACTCTGTCTGTAAAGTCTGCAAGCAGATATTTGGACCTCTTTGAGGCCTTCGTTGGAAACGGGATTTCTTCATATAATGTTTGATAGGAGAAGTCTCAGTAACTTCTTTGTGCTGTGTGTATTCAACTCATAGAGTTGAACTTTCCTTTAGAAGAGCAGATGTTAAACACCCTTTTTGTGGAATTTGCAGCTGGAGATTTCAAGCGCTTTGAGGCCTACGGTAGAAAAGGAAACATCTTCTTATAAAATCTAGACAGAATCATTCACAGAAACTTCTTTTTGATGTGTGTGTTCAGCTCACAGAGTTTAACCTTTCTTTTGATGGAGCAGTTTGGAAACACTCTGTTGTAATGTCTGCAAGTGGATATTTGGACCTCTTTGAGGCCTTCGTTGCAAACGGGATTTCTTCAAGTAATGTTCGACAGAAGAATTCTCTGTAACTTATTTGTGGTGTGTGTATTCAACTCACAGAGTTGAACCTTCCTTTAGACAGAGCAGATTTGAAACACCCTATTTGTGCAGTTTCCAGTTGGAGATTTCAATCGCTTTGAGACCAAAAGTAGAAAAGGAAACATCTTCGTATAAAAACTAGACAGAATCATTCTCAGAAACTACTTTGTGATGTGTGCGTTCAACTCAAGGAGTTTAAGCTTTCTTTTCATAGAGTAGTTTGGAAACACTCTGTCTGTAAAGTCTGCAAGCAGATATTTGGACCTCATTGGGGCCTTAGTTGGAAACGGGATTTCTTCATTGAACGCTAGAAAGAAGAATACTGAGTAAGTTCTTTGTGTTGCCTCTATTCAACTCACAGAGGTGAACTGTCCTTTAGACAGAGCAGATGTGAAACCCTCTTTTTGTGATATTTGCAGGTGGAGATTTCAAGCGCTTTTAGGCCAAATGTAGAAAAGGAAATATCTTCGTATAAAAACTAGACAGAATCATTCTCAGAAACTACTTTGTGATGTGTGCGTTCAATTCACAGAGTATAACCTTTCTTTTGATGGAGGAGTTTGGAGACACTGTCTTTGTAAAGTCTGCAAGTGGATATTTGGACCTCTTTGAGGCCTTCGTTGGAAACGGGATTTCCTCATATAATGTTACCCAGAAGAATTCTCAGTAACTTATTTGTGGTGTGTGTATTCAACTCACAGATTTGAACCTTCCTTCAGAAAGAGCAGATTTGAAACACTCTTTTTGTGGAGTTTCCATGTGGAGATTTCAATCACTTTGAGACCAAAGGTAGAAAAGGAAACATCTTCGTATAAAAACTAGACAGAATCATTCACAGAAACTACTTTGTGATGTGTGTGTTCAACTCAAGGAGTTTAACCTTTCTTTTGATGGAGCAGTTTGGAAACACTCTGTCTGTAAAGTCTGCAAGCAGATATTTGGACCTCTTTGAGGCCTTCGTTGGAAACGGGATTTCTTCATATAATGTTTGATAGGAGAAGTCTCAGTAACTTCTTTGTGCTGTGTGTATTCAACGCATAGAGTTGAACTTTCCTTTAGAAGAGCAGATGTAAAACACCCTTTTTGTGGAATTTGCAGCTGGAGATTTCAAGCGCTTTGAGGCCTACGGTAGAAAAGGAAACATCTTCTTATAAAATCTAGACAGAATCATTCACAGAAACTTCTTTTTGATGTGTGTGTTCAGCTCACCGAGTTTAACCTTTCTTTTGATGGAGCAGTTTGGAAACACTCTGCTTGTAATATCTGCAAGTGGATATTTGGACCTCTTTGAGGCCTTCGTTGGAAACGGGATTTCTTCAAGTAATGTTCGACAGAAGAATTCTCAGCAACTTATTTGTGGTGTGTGTATTCAACTCACAGAGTTGAACCTTCCTTTAGACAGAGCAGATTTGAAACACCCTATTTGTGCAGTTTCCAGTTGGAGATTTCAATTGCTTTGAGGCCATAGAAACGGAAATACATTTGTATAAAAAGAAGACAGAATCATTCTCAGAAACTACTTTGTGATGTGTGCGTTCAACTCAAGGAGTTTAAGCTTTCTTTTCATAGAGTAGTTTGGAAACACTCTGTCTGTAAAGTCTGCAAGCAGATATTTGGACCTCTTTGAGGCCTTCGTTGGAAACGGGATTTCTTCATAGAACGGTAGAAAGAAGAATACTGAGTAAGTTCTTTGTGTTGCCTCTATTCAACTCACAGAGGTGAACTGTCCTTTAGACAGAGCAGATGTGAAACCCTCTTTTTGTGATATTTGCAGGTGGAGATTTCAAGCACTTTTAGGCCAAATGTAGAAAAGGAAATATCTTCGTATAAAAACTAGACAGAATCATTCTCAGAAACTACTTTGTGATGTGTGCGTTCAATTCACAGAGTATAACCTTTCTTTTGATGGAGGAGTTTGGAGACACTGTCTTTGTAAGGTCTGCAAGTGGATATTTGGACCTCTTTGAGGCCTTCGTTGGAAACGGGATTTCCTCATATAATGTTACACAGAAGAATTCTCAGTAACTTATTTGTGGTGTGTGTATTCAACTCACAGAGATGAACCTTCCTTCAGAAAGAGCAGATTTGAAACACTCTTTTTGTGGAGTTTCCATGTGGAGATTTCAATCGCTTTGAGACCAAAGGTAGAAAAGGAAACATCTTCGTATAAAAACTAGACAGAATCATTCACAGAAACTTCTTTGTGACGTGTGTGTTCAACTCAAGGAGGTTAACCTTTCTTTTGATGGAGCAGTTTGGAAACACTCTGTCTGTAAAGTCTGCAAGCAGATATTTGGACCTCTTTGAGGCCTTCGTTGGAAACGGGATTTCTTCATATAATGTTTGATAGGACAAGTCTCAGTAACTTCTTTGTGCTGTGTGTATTCAACTCATAGAGTTGAACTTTCCTTTAGAAGAGCAGATGTTAAACACCCTTTTTGTGGAATTTGCAGCTGGAGATTTCAAGCGCTTTGAGGCCTACGGTAGAAAAGGAAACATCTTCTTATAAAATCTAGACAGAATCATTCACAGAAACTTCTTTTTGATGTGTGTGTTCAGCTCACAGAGTTTAACCTTTCTTTTCATGGAGCAGTTTGGAAACACTCTGTTTGTAATGTCTGCAAGTGGATATTTGGACCTCTTTGAGGCCTTCGTTGGAAACGGAATTTCTTCAAGTAATGTTCGACAGAAGAATTCTCAGTAACTTATTTGTGGTGTGTGTATTCAACTCACAGAGTTGAACCTTCCTTTAGACAGAGCAGATTTGAAACACCCTATTTGTGCAGTTTCCAGTTGGAGATTTCAATCGCTTTGAGACCAAATGTAGAAAAGGAAACATCTTCGTATAAAAACTAGACAGAATCATTCTCAGAAACTACTTTGTGATGTGTGCGTTCAACTCAAGGAGTTTAAGCTTTCTTTTCATAGAGTAGTTTGGAAACACTCTGTCTGTAAAGTCTGCAAGCAGATATTTGACCTCTTTAAGGCCTTCGTTGGAAACGGGATTTCTTCATAGAACGCTAGAAAGAAGAATACTGAGTAAGTTCTTTGTGTTGCCTCTATTCAACTCACAGAGGTGAACTGTCCTTTAGACAGAGCAGATGTGAAACCCTCTTTTTGTGATACTTGCAGGTGGAGATTTCAAGCGCTTTTAGGCCAAATGTAGAAAAGGAAATATCTTTGTATAAAAACTAGACAGAATCATTCTCAGAAACTACTTTGTGATGTGTGCGTTCAATTCACAGAGTATAACCTTTCTTTTGATGGAGGAGTTTGGAGACACTGTCTTTGTAAAGTCTGCAAGTGGATATTTGGACCTCTTTGAGGCCTTCGTTGGAAACGGGATTTCCTCATATAATGTTACACAGAACAATTCTCAGTAACTTATTTGTGGTGTCTGTATTCAACTCACAGAGTTGAACCTTCCTTCAGAAAGAGCAGATTTGAAACACTCTTTTGGTGGAGTTTCCATGTGGAGATTTCAATCGCTTTGAGACCAAAGGTAGAAAAGGAAACATCTTCGTATAAAAACTAGACAGAATCATTCACAGAAACTACTTTGTGATGTGTGTGTTCAACTCAAGGAGTTTAACCTTTCTTTTGATGGAGCAGTTTGGAAACACTCTGTCTGTAAAGTCTGCAAGCAGATATTTGGACCTCTTTGAGGCCTTCGTTGGAAACGGGATTTCTTCATATAATGTTTGATAGGAGAAGTCTCAGTAACTTCTTTGTGCTGTGTGTATTCAACTCATAGAGTTGAACTTTCCTTTAGAAGAGCAGATGTTAAACACCCTTTTTGTGGAATTTGCAGCTGGAGATTTCCAGCGCTTTGAGGCCTACGGTAGAAAAGGAAACATCTTCTTATAAAATCTAGACAGAATCATTCACAGAAACTTCTTTTCGATGTGTGTGTTCAGCTCACAGAGTTTAACCTTTCCTTTGATGGAGCAGTTTGGAAACACTCTGTTTGTAATGTCTGCAAGTGGATATTTGGACCTCTTTGAGGCCTTCGTTGGAAACGGGATTTCTTCATGTAATGTTCAACAGAAGAATTCTCAGTAACTTATTTGTGGTGTGTGTATTCAACTCACAGAGTTGAACCTTCCTTTAGACAGAGCAGATTTGAAACACCCTATTTGTGCAGTTTCCAGTTGGAGATTTCAATCGCTTTGAGACCAAATGTAGAAAAGGAAACATCTTCGTATAAAAACTTGACAGAATCATTCACAGAAACTACTTTGTGATGTGTGTGTTCAACTCAAGGAGTTTAACCTTTCTTTTGATGGAGCAGTTTGGAAAAACTCTGTCTGTAAAGTCTGCAAGCAGATATTTGGAACTCTTTGGGGCCTTCGTTGGAAACGGGATTTCTTCATAGAACGCTAGAAAGAAGAATACTGAGTAAGTTCTTTGTGTTGCCTCTATTCAACTCACAGAGGTGAACTGTCCTTTAGACAGAGCAGATGTGAAACCCTCTTTTTGTGATATTTGCAGGTGGAGATTTCAAGCGCTTTTAGGCCAAATGTAGAAAAGGAAATATCTTCGTATAAAAACTAGACAGAATCATTCTCAGAAACTACTTTGTGATGTGTGCGTTCAATTCACAGAGTATAACCTTTCTTTTGATGGAGGAGTTTGGAGACACTGTGTTTGTAAAGTCTGCAAGTGGATATTTGGACCTCTTTGAGGCCTTCGTTGGAAACGGGATTTCCTCATATAATGTTACACAGAAGAATTCTCAGTAACTTATTTGTGGTGTGTGTATTCAACTCACAGAGTTGAACCTTCCTTCAGAAAGAGCAGATTTGAAACACTCTTTTTGTGGAGTTTCCATGTGGAGATTTCAATCGCTTTGAGACCAAAGGTAGAAAAGGAAACATCTTCGTATAAAAACTAGACAGAATCATTCACAGAAACTACTTTGTGATGTGTGTGTTCAACTCAAGGAGTTTAACCTTTCTTTTGATGGAGCAGTTTGGAAACACTCTGTCTGTAAAGTCTGCAAGCAGATATTTGGACCT
Organism: Homo sapiens; assembly: GCF_000001405.40. Lineage (NCBI taxonomy): Eukaryota > Metazoa > Chordata > Mammalia > Primates > Hominidae > Homo > Homo sapiens. Next base: position 35,940,534 of record NC_000012.12, read on the forward strand.
CTTTGAGGCCTTCGTTGGAAACGGGATTTCTTCATATAATGTTTGATAGGAGAAGTCTCAGTAACTTCTTTGTGCTGTGTGTATTCAACTCATAGAGTTGAACTTTCCTTTAGAAGAGCAGATGTTAAACACCCTTTTTGTGGAATTTGCAGCTGGAGATTTCAAGCGCTTTGAGGCCTACGGTAGAAAAGGAAACATCTTCTTAGAAAATCTAGACAGAATCATTCACAGAAACTTCTTTTTGATGTGTGTGTTCAGCTCACAGAGTTTAACCTTTCTTTTGATGGAGCAGTTTGGAAACACACTGTTTGTAATGTCTGCAAGTGGATATTTGGACCTCTTTGAGGCCTTCGTTGGACACGGGATTTCTTCCTGTAATGTTCGACAGAAGAATTCTCAGTAACTTACTTGTGGTGTGTGTATTCAACTCACAGAGTTGAACCTTCCTTTAGACAGAGCAGATTTGAAACAGCCTATTTGTGCAGTTTCCAGTTGGAGATTTCAATCGCTTTGAGACAAATGTAGAAAAGGAAACATCTTCGTATAAAAACTAGACAGAATCATTCTCAGAAACTACTTTGTGATGTGTGCGTTCAACTCAAGGAGTTTAAGCTTTCTTTTCATAGAGTAGTTTGGAAACACTCTGTCTGTAAAGTCTGCAAGCAGATATTTGGACCTCTTTGAGGCCTTCGTTGGAAACGGGATTTCTTCATAGAACGGTAGAAAGAAAAATACTCAGTAACTTCTTTGTGCTGCCTCTATTCAACTCACAGAGGTGAACTGCCCTTTAGACAGAGCAGATGTGAAACCCTCTTTTTGTGATATTTGCAGGTGGAGATTTCAAGCGCTTTTAGGCCAAATGTAGAAAAGGAAATATCTTTGTATAAAAACTACACAGAATCATTCTCAGAAACTACTTTGTGATGTGTGCGTTCAATTCACAGAGGATAACCTTTCTTTTGATGGAGGAGTTTGGAGACACTGTCTTTGTAAAGTCTGCAAGTGGATATTTGGACCTCTTTGAGGCCTTCGTTGGAAACGGGATTTCCTCCTATAATGTTACACAGAAGAATTCTCAGTAACTTATTTGTGGTGTGTGTATTCAACTCACAGAGTTGAACCTTCCTTCAGAAAGAGCAGATTTGAAACCCTCTTTTTGTGGAGTTTCCATGTGGAGATTTCAATGGCTTTGAGACCAAAGGTAGAAAACGAAACATCTTCGTATGAAAACTAGACAGAATCATTCACAGAAACTACTTTGAGATGTGTGTGTTCAACTCAAGGAGTTTAACCTTTCTTTTGATGGAGCAGTTTGGAAAAACTCTGTCTTTAAAGTCTGCAAGCAGATATTTGGACCTCTTTGAGGCCTTCGTTGGAAACGGGATTTCTTCATATAATGTTTGATAGGAGAAGTCTCAGTAACTTCTTTGTGCTGTGTGTATTCAACTCATAGAGTTGAACTTTCCTTTAGAAGAGCAGATGTTAAACACCCTTTTTGTGGAATTTGCAGCTGGAGATTTCAAGCGCTTTGAGTCCTACGGTAGAAAAGGAAACATCTTATAAAATCTTGACAGAATCATTCACAGAAACTTCTTTTTGATGTGTGTGTTCAGCTCACAGAGTTTAACCTTTCTTTTGATGGAGCAGTTTGGAAACACTCTGTTTGTAATGTCTGCAAGTGGATATTTGGACCTCTTTGAGGCCTTCGTTGGAAACGGGATTTCTTCAAGTAATGTTCGACAGAAGAATTCTCAGTAACTTATTTGTGGTGTGTGTATTCAACTCACAGAGTTGAACCTTCCTTTAGACAGAGCAGATTTGAAACACCCTATTTGTGCAGTTTCCAGTTGGAGATTTCAATCGCTTTGAGACCAAATGTAGGAAAGGAAACATCTTCGTATAAAAACTAGACAGAATCATTCTCAGAAACTACTTTGTGATGTGTGCGTTCAACTCAAGGAGTTTAAGCTTTCTTTTCATAGAGTAGTTTGGAAACACTCTGTCTGTAAAGTCTGCCAGCAGATATTTGGACCTCTTTGGGGCCTTCGTTGGAAACGGGATTTCTTCATAGAACGCTAGAAAGAAGAATACTGAGTAAGTTCTTTGTGTTGCCTCTATTCAACTCACAAAGGTGAACTGTCCTTTAGACAGAGCAGATGTGAAACCCTCTTTTTGTGATATTTGCAGGTGGAGACTTCAAGCGCTTTTAGGCCAAATGTAGAAAAGGAAATATCTTCGTATAAAAACTAGACAGAATCATTCTCAGAAACTACTTTGTGATGTGTGCGTTCAATTCACAGAGTATAACCTTTCTTTTGATGGAGGAGTTTGGAGACACTGTCTTTGTAAAGTCTGCAAGCATATATTTGGACCTCTTTGAGGCCTTCGTTGGAAACGGGATTTCTTCATATAATGTTTGATAGGAGAAGTCTCAGTAACTTCTTTGGGCTGTGTGTATTCAACTCATTGAGTTGAACTTTCCTTTAGAAGAGCAGATGTTAAACACCCTTTTTGTGGAATTTGCAGCTGGAGATTTCAAGCACTTTGAGGCCTACGGTAGAAAAGGAAACATCTTCTTATAAAATCTAGACAGAATCATTCACAGAAACTTCTTTTTGATGTGTGTGTTCAGCTCACAGAGTTTAACCTTTCTTTTGATGGAGCAGTTTGGAAACACTCTGTTTGTAATGTCTGCAAGTCGATATTTGGACCTCTTTGAGGCCTTCGTTGGAAACGGGATTTCTTCAAGTAATGTTCGACAGAAGAATTCTCAGTAACTTATTTGTGGTGTGTTTATTCAACTCACAGAGTTGAACCTTCCTTTAGACAGAGCAGATTTGAAACACCCTATTTGTGCAGTTTCCAGTTGGAGATTTCAATCGCTTTGAGACCAAATGTAGAAAAGGAAACATCTTCGTATAAAAACTAGACAGAATCATTCTCAGAAACTACTTTGTGATGTGTGCGTTCAACTCAAGGAGTTTAAGCTTTCTTTTCATAGAGTAGTTTGGAAACACTCTGTCTGTAAAGTCTGCAAGCAGATATTTGGACCTCTTTGAGGCCTTCGTTGGAAACGGGATTTCTTCATAGAACGCTAGAAAGAAGAATACTGAGTAAGTTCTTTGTGTTGCCTCTATTCAACTCACAGAGGTGAACTGTCCTTTAGACAGAGCAGATGTGAAACCCTCTTTTTGTGATATTTGCACGTGGAGATTTCAAGCGCTTTTAGGCCAAATGTAGAAAAGGAAATATCTTCGTATAAAAACTAGACAGAATCATTCTCAGAAACTACTTTGTGATGTGTGCGTTCAATTCACAGAGTATAACCTTTCTTTTGATGGAGGAGTTTGGAGACACTGTCTTTGTAAAGTCTGCAAGTGGATATTTGGACCTCTTTGAGGCCTTCGTTGGAAACGGGATTTCCTCATATAATGTTACACAGAAGAATTCTCAGTAACTTATTTGTGGTGTGTGTATTCAACTCACAGATTTGAACCTTCCTTCAGAAAGAGCAGATTTGAAACACTCTTTTTGTGGAGTTTCCATGTGGAGATTTCAATCGCTTTGAGACCAAAGGTAGAAAAGGAAACATCTTTGTATAAAAACTAGACAGAATCATTCACAGAAACTACTTTGTGATGTGTGTGTTCAACTCAAGGAGTTTAACCTTTCTTTTGATGGAGCAGTTTGGAAACACTCTGTCTGTAAAGTCTGCAAGCAGATATTTGGACCTCTTTGAGGCCTTCGTTGGAAACGGGATTTCTTCATATAATGTTTGATAGGAGAAGTCTCAGTAACTTCTTTGTGCTGTGTGTATTCAACTCATAGAGTTGAACTTTCCTTTAGAAGAGCAGATGTTAAACACCCTTTTTGTGGAATTTGCAGCTGGAGATTTCAAGCGCTTTGAGGCCTACGGTAGAAAAGGAAACATCTTCTTATAAAATCTAGACAGAATCATTCACAGAAACTTCTTTTTGATGTGTGTGTTCAGCTCACAGAGTTTAACCTTTCTTTTGATGGAGCAGTTTGGAAACACTCTGTTTGTAATGTCTGCAAGTGGATATTTGGACCTCTTTGAGGCCTTCGTTGGAAACGGGATTTCTTCATGTAATGTTCGACAGAAGAATTCTCAGTAACTTATTTGTGGTGTGTGTATTCAACTCACAGAGTTGAAGCTTCCTTTAGACAGAGCAGATTTGAAACACCCTATTTGTGCAGTTTCCAGTTGGAGATTTCAATCGCTTTGAGTCAAATCATAGAAACGGAAATATCCTTCGTATAAAAACAAGACAGAATCATTCTCAGAAACTACTTTGTGATGTGTGCGTTCAATTCACAGAGTATAACCTTTCTTTTGATGGAGGAGTTTGGAGACACTGTCTTTGTAAAGTCTGTAAGTGGATATTTGGACCTCTTTGAGGACTTCGTTGGAAACGGGATTTCCTCATATAATGTTACACAGAAGAATTCTCAGTAACTTATTTGTGGTGTGTGTATTCAACTCACAGAGTTGAACCTTCCTTCAGAAAGAGCAGATTTGAAACACTCTTTTTGTGAAGTTTCCATGTGGAGATTTCAATCGCTTTGAGACCAAAGGTAGAAAAGGAAACATCTTCGTATAAAAACTAGACAGAATCATTCACAGAAACTACTTTGTGATGTGTGTGTTCAACTCAAGGAGTTTAACCTTTCTTTTGATGGAGCAGTTTGGAAACACTCTGTCTGTAAAGTCTGCAAGCAGATATTTGGACCTCTTTGAGGCCTTCGTTGGAAACGGGATTTCTTCATATAATGTTTGATAGGAGAAGTCTCAGTAACTTCTTTGTGCTGTGTGTATTCAACGCATAGAGTTGAACTTTCCTTTAGAAGAGCAGATGTTAAACACCCTTTTTGTGGAATTTGCAGCTGGAGATTTCAAGTGCTTTGAGGCCTACGGTAGAAAAGGAAACATCTTCTTATAAAATCTAGACAGAATCATTCACAGAAACTTCTTTTTGATGTGTGTGTTCAGCTCACAGAGTTTAACCTTTCTTTTGATGGAGCAGTTTGGAAACACTCTGTTTGTAATATCTGCAAGTGGATATTTGGACCTCTTTGAGGCCTTCGTTGGAAACGGGATTTCTTCAAGTAATGTTCGACAGAAGAATTCTCAGTAACTTATTTGTGGTGTGTGTATTCAACTCACAGAGTTGAACCTTCCTTTAGACAGAGCAGATTTGAAACACCCTATTTGTGCAGTTTCCAGTTGGAGATTTCAATCGCTTTGAGACCAAATGTAGAAAAGGAAACATCTTCGTATAAAAACTAGACAGAATCATTCTCAGAAACTACTTTGTGATGTGTGCGTTCAACTCAAGGAGTTTAAGCTTTCTTTTCATAGAGTAGTTTGGAAACACTCTGTCTGTAAAGTCTGCAAGCAGATATTTGGACCTCTTTGGGGCCTTTGTTGGAAACGGGATTTCTTCATAGAACGCTAGAAAGAAGAATACTGAGTAAGTTCTTTGTGTTGCCTCTATTCAACTCACAGAGGTGAACTGTCCTTTAGACAGAGCAGATGTGAAACCCTCTTTTTGTGATATTTGCAGGTGGAGATTTCAAGCGCTTTTAGGCCAAATGTAGAAAAGGAAATATCTTCGTATAAAAACTAGACAGAATCATTCTCAGAAACTACTTTGTGATGTGTGCCTTCATTTCACAGAGTATAACCTTTCTTTTGATGGAGGAGTTTGGAGACACTGTGTTTGTAAAGTCTGCAAGTGGATATTTGGACCTCTTTGAGGCCTTCGTTGGAAACGGGATTTCCTCATATAATGTTACACAGAAGAATTCTCAGTAACTTATTTGTGGTGTGTGTATTCAACTCACAGAGTTGAACCTTCCTTCAGAAACAGCAGATTTGAAACACTCTTTTTGTGGAGTTTCCAAGTGGAGATTTCAATCGCTTTGAGACCAAAGGTAGAAAAGGAAACATCTTCGTATAAAAACTAGACAGAATCATTCACAGAAACTACTTTGTGATGTGTGTGTTCAACTCAAGGAGTTTAACCTTTCTTTTGATGGAGCAGTTTGGAAAAACTCTGTCTGTAAAGTCTGCAAGCAGATATTTGGACCTCTTTGAGGCCTTCGTTGGAAACGGGATTTCTTCATATAATGTTTGATAGGAGAAGTCTCAGTAACTTCTTTGTGCTGTGTGTATTCAACGCATAGAGTTGAACTTTCCTTTAGAAGAGCAGATGTTAAACACCCTTTTTGTGGAATTTGCAGCTGGAGATTTCAAGCGCTTTGAGGCCTACGGTAGAAAAGGAAACATCTTCTTATAAAATCTAGACAGAATCATTCACAGAAACTTCTTTTTGATGTGTGTGTTCAGCTCACAGAGTTTAACCTTTCTTTTGATGGAGCAGTTTGGAAACACCCTGTTTGTAATGTCTGCAAGTGGATATTTGGACCTCTTTGAGGCCTTCGTTGGAAACGGGATTTCTTCAAGTAATATTCGACAGAAGAATTCTCAGTAACTTATTTGTGGTGTGTGTATTCAACTCACAGAGTTGAACCTTCCTTTAGACAGAGCAGATTTGAAACACCCTATTTGTGCAGTTTCCAGTTGGAGATTTCAATCGCTTTGAGACCAAATGTAGAAAAGGAAACATCTTCGTATAAAAACTAGACAGAATCATTCTCAGAAACTACTTTGTGATGTGTGCGTTCAACCCAAGGAGTTTAAGCTTTCTTTTCATAGAGTAGTTTGGAAACACTCTGTCTGTAAAGTCTGCAAGCAGATATTTGGACCTCTTTGGGGCCTTCGTTGGAAACGGGATTTCTTCATAGAACGCTAGAAAGAAGAATACTGAGTAAGTTCTTTGTGTTGCCTCTATTCAACTCACAGAGGTGAACTGTCCTTTAGACAGAGCAGATGTGAAACCCTCTTTTTGTGATATTTGCAGGTGGAGATTTCAAGCGCTTTTAGGCCAAATGTAGAAAAGGAAATATCTTCGTATAAAAACTAGACAGAATCATTCTCAGAAACTACTTTGTGATGTGTGCGTTCAATTCACAGAGTAAAACCTTTCTTTTGAGGGAGGAGTTTGGAGACACGGTCTTTGAAAAGTCTGCAAGTGGATATTTGGACTTCTTTGAGGCCTTCGTTGGAAACGGGATTTCCTCATATAATGTTACACAGAAGAATTGTCAGTAACTTATTTGTGCTGTGTGTATTCAACTCACAGAGTTGAACCTTCCTTCAGAAAGAGCAGATATGAAACACTGTTTTTGTGGAGATTCCATGTGGAGATTTTAATCGCTTTGAGACCAAAGGTAGAAAGGGAAACATCTTCGTATAAAAACTAGACAGAATCATTCACAGAAACTACTTTGTGATGTGTGTGTTCAACTCAAGGAGTTTAACCTTTCTTTTGATGGAGCAGTTTGGAAACACTCTGTCTGTAAAGTCTGCAAGCAGATATTTGGACCTCTTTGAGGCCTTCGTTGGAAACGGGATTTCTTCATATAATGTTTGATAGGAGAAGTCTCAGTAACTTCTTTGTGCTGTGTGTATTCAACTCATAGAGTTGAACTTTCCTTTAGAAGAGCAGATGTTAAACACCCTTTTTGTGGAATTTGCAGCTGGAGATTTCAAGCGCTTTGAGGCCTATGGTAGAAAAGGAAACATCTTCTTATAAAATCTAGACAGAATCATTCACAGAAACTTCTTTTTGATGTGTGTGTTCAGCTCACAGAGTATAACCTTTCTTTTGATGGAGCAGTTTGGAAACACTCTGTTTGTAATGTCTGCAAGTGGATATTTGGACCTCTTTGAGGCCTTCGTTGGAAACGGGATTTCTTCAAGTAATGTTCGACAGAAGAATTCTCAGTAACTTATTTGTGGTGTGTGTATTCAACTCACAGAGTTGAACCTTCCTTTAGACAGAGCAGATTTGAAACACCCTATTTGTGCAGTTTCCAGTTGGAGATTTCAATCGCTTTGAGACCAAATGTAGAAAAGGAAACATCTTCGTATAAAAACTAGACAGAATCATTCTCAGAAACTACTTTGTGATGTGTGCGTTCAACTCAAGGAGTTTAAGCTTTCTTTTCATAGAGTACTTTGGAAACACTCTGTCTCTGAAGTCTGCAAGCAGATATTTGGACCTCTTTGAGGCATTCGTTGGAAACGGGATTTCTTCATAGAGCGCTAGAAAGAAGAATACTGAGTAAGTTCTTTGTGTTGCCTCTATTCAACTCACAGAGGTGAACTGTCCTTTAGACAGAGCAGATGTGAAACCCTCTTTTTGTGATATTTGCAGGTGGAGATTTCAAGCGCTTTTAGGCCAAATGTAGAAAAGGAAATATCTTCGTGTAAAAACTAGACAGAATCATTCTCAGAAACTACTTTGTGATGTGTCCGTTCAATTCACAGAGTATAACCTTTCTTTTGATGGAGGAGTTTGGGGACACTGTCTTTGTAAAGTCTGCAAGTGGATATTTGGACCTCTTTGAGGCCTTCGTTGGAAACGGGATTTCCTCATATAATGTTACACAGAAGAATTCTCAGTAACTTATTTGTGGTGTGTGTATTCAACTCACAGAGTTGAACCTTCCTTCAGAAAGAGCAGATTTGAAACACTCTTTTTGTGGAGTTTCCATGTGGAGATTTCAATCGCTTTGAGACCAAAGGTAGAAAAGGAAACATCTTCGTATAAAAACTAGACAGAATCATTCACAGAAACTACTTTGTGATGTGTGTGTTCAACTCAAGGAGTTTAACTTTTCTTTTGATGGAGCAGTTTGGAAACACTCTGTCTGTAAAGTCTGCAAGCAGATATTTGGACCTCTTTGAGGCCTTCGTTGGAAACAGGGATTTCTTCATATAATGTTTGATAGGAGAAGTCTCAGTAACTTCTTTGTGCTGTGTGTATTCAACTCATAGAGTTGAACTTTCCTTTAGAAGAGTAGATGTTAAACACCCTTTTTGTGGAATTTGCAGCTGGAGATTTCAAGCGCCTTGAGGCCTACGGTAGAAAAGGAAACATCTTCTTATAAAATCTAGACAGAATCATTCACAGAAACTTCTTTTTGATGTGTGTGTTCAGCTCACAGAGTTTAACCTTTCTTTTGATGGAGCAGTTGGGAAACACACTGTTTGTAATGTCTGCAAGTGGATATTTGGACCTCTTTGAGGCCTTCGTTGGAAACGGGATTTCTTCCTGTAATGTTCGACAGAAGAATTCTCAGTAACTTATTTGTGGTGTGTGTATTCAACTCACAGAGCTGAACCTTCCTTTAGACAGAGCAGATTTGAAACAGCCTATTTGTGCAGTTTCCAGTTGGAGATTTCAATCGCTTTGAGACCAAATGTAGAAAAGGAAAACATCTTCGTATAAAAACTAGACAGAATCATTCTCAGAAACTACTTTGTGATGTGTGCGTTCAACACAAGGAGTTTAAGCTTTCTTTTCATAGAGTAGTTTGGAAACACTCTGTCTGTAAAGTCTGCAAGCAGATATTTGGACCTCATTGGGGTCTTCGTTGGAAACGGGATTTCTTCATAGAACGCTTGAAAGAAGAATACTGAGTACGTTCTTTGTGTTGCCTCTATTCAACTCACAGAGGTGAACTGTCCTTTAGACAGAGCAGATGTGAAACCCTCTTTTTGTGATATTTGCAGGTGGAGATTTCAAGCGCTTTTAGGCCAAATGTAGAAAAGGAAATATCTTCGTATAAAAACTAGACAGAATCATTCTCAGAAACTACTTTGTGATGTGTGCGTTCAATTCTCAGAGTATAACCTTTCTTTTGATGGAGGAGTTTGGAGACACTGTGTTTGTAAAGTCTGCAAGTGGATATTTGGACCTCTTTGAGGCCTTCGTTGGAAACAGGTTTTCCTCATATAATGTTACACAGAAGAATTCTCAGTAACTTATTTGTGGTGTGTGTATTCAACTCACAGAGTTGAACCTTCCTTCAGAAAGAGCAGATTTGAAACACTCTTTTTGTGGAGTTTCCATGTGGAGATTTCAATCGCTTTGAGACCAAAGGTAGAAAAGGAAACATCTTCGTATAAAAACTAGACAGAATCATTCACAGAAACTACTTTGTGATGTGTGTGTTCAACTCAAGGAGTTTAACCTTTCTTTTGATGGAGCAGTTTGGAAACACTCTGTCTGTAAAGTCTGCAAGCAGATATTTGGACCTCTTTGAGGCCTTCGTTGGAAACGGGATTTCTTCATATAATGTTTGATAGGAGAAGTCTCAGTAACTTCTTTGTGCTGTGTGTATTCAACTCATAGAGTTGAACTTTCCTTTAGAAGAGCAGATGTTAAACACCCTTTTTGTGGAATTTGCAGCTGGAGATTTCAAGCGCTTTGAGGCCTACGGTAGAAAAGGAAACATCTTCTTATAAAATCTAGACAGAATCATTCACAGAAACTTCTTTTTGATGTGTGTGTTCAGCTCACAGAGTTTAACCTTTCTTTTCATGGAGCAGCTCGGAAACACTCTGTTTGTAATGTCTGCAAGTGGATATTTGGACCTCTTTGAGGCCTTCGTTGGAAACGGGATTTCTTCATGTAATGTTCGACAGAAGAATTCTCAGTAACTTATTTGTGGTGTGTGTATTCAACTCACAGAGTTGAACCTTCCTTTAGACAGAGCAGATTTGAAACTCCCTATTTGTGCAGTTTCCAGTTGGAGATTTCAATCGCTTTGAGACCAAATGTAGAAAAGGAAACATCTTCGTATAAAAACTAGACAGAATCATTCTCAGAAACTACTTTGTGATGTGTGCGTTCAACTCAAGGAGTTTAAGCTTTCTTTTCATAGAGTAGTTTGGAAACACTCTGTCTGTAAAGTCTGCAAGCAGATATTTGGACCTCTTTGAGGCCTTCGTTGGAAACGGGATTTCTTCAAGTAATGTTCGACAGAAGAATACTGAGTAAGTTCTTTGTGTTGCCTCTATTCAACTCACAGAGGTGAACTGTCCTTTAGACAGAGCAGATGTGAAACCCTCTTTTTGTGATATTTGCAGGTGGAGATTTCAAGCGCTTTTAGGCCAAATGTAGAAAAGGAAATATCTTCGTATAAAAACTAGACAGAATCATTCTCAGAAACCACTTTGTGATGTGTGCGTTCAATTCACAGAGTATAACCTTTCTTTTGATGGAGGAGTTTGGAGACACTGTCTTTGTAAAGTCTGCAAGTGGATATTTGGACCTCTTTGAGGCCTTCGTTGGAAACGGGATTTCCTCATATAATGTTACACAGAAGAATTCTCAGTAACTTATTTGTGGTGTGTGTATTCAACTCACAGAGTTGAACATTCCTTCAGAAAGAGCAGATTTGAAACACTCTTCTTGTGGAGTTTCCATGTGGAGATTTCAATCGCTTTGAGACCAAAGGTAGAAAAGGAAACATCTTCGTATAAAAACTAGACAGAATCATTCACAGAAACTACTTTGTGATGTGTGTGTTCAACTCAAGGAGTTTAACCTTTCTTTTGATGGAGCTGTTTGGAAAAACTCTGTCTGTAAAGTCTGCAAGCAGATATTTGGACCTTTTGGGGCCTTCGTTGGAAACGGGATTTCTTCATATAATGTTTGATAGGAGAAGTCTCAGTAACTTCTTTCTGCTGTGTGTATTCAACGCATAGGGTTGAACTTTCCTTTAGAAGAGCAGATGTTAAACACCCTTTTTGTGGAATTTGCAGCTGGAGATTTCAAGCGCTTTGAGGCCTACGGTAGAAAAGGAAACATCTTCTTATAAAATCTAGACAGAATCATTCACAGAAACTTCTTTTTGATGTGTGTGTTCAGCTCACAGAGTTTAACCTTTCTTTTGATGGAGCAGTTTGGAAACACTCTGTTGTAATGTCTGCAAGTGGATATTTGGACCTCTTTGAGGCCTTCGTTGCAAACGGGATTTCTTCAAGTAATGTTCGACAGAAGAATTCTCTGTAACTTATTTGTGGTGTGTGTATTCAACTCACAGAGTTGAACCTTCCTTTAGACAGAGCAGATTTGAAACACCCTATTTGTGCAGTTTCCAGTTGGAGATTTCAATCGCTTTGAGACCAAAAGTAGAAAAGGAAACATCTTCGTATAAAAACTAGACAGAATCATTCTCAGAAACTACTTTGTGATGTGTGCGTTCAACTCAAGGAGTTTAAGCTTTCTTTTCATAGAGTAGTTTGGAAACACTCTGTCTGTAAAGTCTGCAGGCAGATATTTGGACCTCATTGGGGCCTTAGTTGGAAACGGGATTTCTTCATTGAACGCTAGAAAGAAGAATACTGAGTAAGTTCTTTGTGTTGCCTCTATTCAACTCACACAGGTGAACTGTCCTTTAGACAGAGCAGATGTGAAACCCTCTTTTTGTGATATTTGCAGGTGGAGATTTCAAGCGCTTTTAGGCCAAATGTAGAAAAGGAAATATCTTCGTATAAAAACTAGACAGAATCATTCTCAGAAACTACTTTGTGATGTGTGCGTTCAATTCACAGAGTATAACCTTTCTTTTGATGGAGGAGTTTGGAGACACTGTCTTTGTAAAGTCTGCAAGTGGATATTTGGACCTCTTTGAGGCCTTCGTTGGAAACGGGATTTCCTCATATAATGTTACACAGAAGAATTCTCAGTAACTTATTTGTGGTGTGTGTATTCAACTCACAGAGTTGAACCTTCCTTCAGAAAGAGCAGATTTGAAACACTCTTTTTGTGGAGTTTCCATGTGGAGATTTCAATTGCTTTGAGACCAAAGGTAGAAAAGGAAACATCTTCGTATAAAAACTAGACAGAATCATTCACAGAAACTACTTTGTGATGTGTGTGTTCAACTCAAGGAGTTTAACCTTTCTTTTGATGGAGCAGTTTGGAAACACTCTGTCTGTAAAGTCTGCAAGCAGATATTTGGACCTCTTTGAGGCCTTCGTTGGAAACGGGATTTCTTCATATAATGTTTGATAGGAGAAGTCTCAGTAACTTCTTTGTGCTATGTGTATTCAACTCATAGAGTTGAACTTTCCTTTAGAAGAGCAGATGTTAAACACCCTTTTTGTGGAATTTGCAGCTGGAGATTTCAAGCGCTTTGAGGCCTACGGTAGAAAAGGAAACATCTTCTTATAAAATCTAGACAGAATCATTCACAGAAACTTCTTTTCGATGTGTGTGTTCAGCTCACAGAGTTTAACCTTTCTTTTGATGGAGCAGTTTGGAAACACTCTGTTTGTAATGTCTGCAAGTGGATATTTGGACCTCTTTGAGGCCTTCGTTGGAAACGGGATTTCTTCAAGTAATGGTCGACAGAAGAATTCTCAGTAACTTATTTGTGGTGTGTGTATTCAACTCACAGAGTTGAACCTTCCTTTAGACAGAGCAGATTTGAAACACCCTATTTGTGCAGTTTCCAGTTGGAGATTTCAATCGCTTTGAGACCAAATGTAGAAAAGGAAACATCTTCGTATAAAAACTAGACAGAATCATTCTCAGAAACTACTTTGTGATGTGTGCGTTCAACTCAAGGAGTTTAAGCTTTCTTTTCATAGAGTAGTTTGGAAACACTCTGTCTGTAAAGTCTGCAAGCAGATATTTGGACCTCTTTGAGGCCTTCGTTGGAAACGGGATTTCTTCATAGAACGCTAGAAAGAAGAATACTGAGTAAGTTCTTTGTGTTGCCTCTATTCAACTCACAGAGGTGAACTGTCCTTTAGACAGAGCAGATGTGAAACCCTCTTTTTGTGATATTTGCAGGTGGAGATTTCAAGCGCTTTTAGGCCAAATGTAGAAAAGGAAATATCTTCGTATAAAAACTAGACAGAATCATTCTCAGAAACTACTTTGTGATGTGTGCGTTCAATTCACAGAGTATAACCTTTCTTTTGATGGAGGAGTTTGGAGACACTGTCTTTGTAAAGTCTGCAAGTGGATATTTGGACCTCTTTGAAGCCTTCGTTGGAAACGGGATTTCCTCATATAATGTTACACAGAAGAATTCTCAGTAACTTATTTGTGGTGTGTGTATTCAACTCACAGAGATGAACCTTCCTTCAGAAAGAGCAGATTTGAAACACTCTTTTTGTGGAGTTTCCATGTGGAGATTTCAATCGCTTTGAGACCAAAGGTAGAAAAGGAAACATCTTCGTATAACAACTAGACAGAATCATTCACAGAAACTACTTTGTGATGTGTGTGTTCAACTCAAGGAGTTTAACCTTTCTTTTGATGGAGCAGTTTGGAAACACTCTGTCTGTAAAGTCTGCAAGCAGATATTTGGACCTCTTTGAGGCCTTCGTTGGAAACGGGATTTCTTCATATAATGTTTGATAGGAGAAGTCTCAGTAACTTCTTTGTGCTGTGTGTATTCAACTCATAGAGTTGAACTTTCCTTTAGAAGAGCAGATGTTAAACACCCTTTTTGTGGAATTTGCAGCTGGAGATTTCAAGCGCTTTGAGGCCTACGGTAGAAAAGGAAACATCTTCTTATAAAATCTAGACAGAATCATTCACATAAACTTCTTTTTGATGTGTGTGTTCAGCTCACAGAGTTTAACCTTTCTTTTGATGGAGCAGTTTGGAAACACTCTGTTTGTAATGTCTGCAAGTGGATATTTGGACCTCTTTGAGGCCTTCGTTGGAAACGGTATTTCTTCCTGTAATGTTCGACAGAAGAATTCTCAGTAACTTATTTGTGGTGTGTGTGTTCAACTCACAGAGCTGAACCTTCCTTTAGACAGAGCAGATTTGAAACAGCCTATTTGTGCAGTTTCCAGTTGGAGATTTCAATCGCTTTGAGACCAAATGTAGAAAAGGAAACATCTTCGTATAAAAACTAGACAGAATCATTCTCAGAAACTACTTTGTGTTGTGTGCGTTCAACTCAAGGAGTTTAAGCTTTCTTTTCATAGAGTAGTTTGGAAACACTCTGTCTGTAAAGTCTGCAAGCAGATATTTGGACCTCTTTGATGCCTTCGTTGGAAACGGGATTTCTTCATAGAACGCTAGAAAGAAGAATACTGAGTAAGTTCTTTGTGTTGCCTCTATTCAACTCACAGAGGTGAACTGTCCTTTAGACAGAGCAGATGTGAAACCCTCTTTTTGTGATATTTGCACGTGGAGATTTCAAGCGCTTTTAGGCCAAATGTAGAAAAGGAAATATCTTCGTATAAAAACTAGACAGAATCATTCTCAGAAACTACTTTGTGATGTGTGCGTTCAATTCACAGAGTATAACCTTTCTTTTGATGGAGGAGTTTGGAGACACTGTCTTTGTAAAGTCTGCAAGTGGATATTTGGACCTCTTTGAGGCCTTCGTTGGAAACGGGATTTCCTCATATAATGTTACACAGAAGAATTCTCAGTAACTTATTTGTGGTGTGTTTATTCAACTCACAGAGTTGAACCTTCCTTCAGAAAGAGCAGATTTGAAACACTCTTTTTGTGGAGTTTCCATGTGGAGATTTCAATCGCTTTGAGACCAAAGGTAGAAAAGGAAACATCTTCGTATAAAAACTAGACAGAATCATTCACAGAAACTACTTTGTGATGTGTGTGTTCAACTCAAGGAGTTTAACCTTTCTTTTGATGGAGCAGTTTGGAAACACTCTGTCTGTAAAGTCTGCAAGCAGATATTTGGACCTCTTTGAGGCCTTCGTTGGAAATGGGATTTCTTCATATAATGTTTGATAGGAGAAGTCTCAGTAACTTCTTTGTGCTGTGTGTGTTCAACGCATAGAGTTGAACTTTCCTTTAGAAGAGCAGATGTTAAACACCCTTTTTGTGGAATTTGCAGCTGGAGATTTCAAGCGCTTTGAGGCCTACGGTAGAAAAGCAAACATCTTCTTATAAAATCTAGACAGAATCATTCACAGAAACTTCTTTTTGATGTGTGTGTTCAGCTCACAGAGTTTAACCTTTCTTTTGATGGAGCAGTTTGGAAACACTCTGTTTGTAATGTCTGCAAGTGGATATTTGGACCTCTTTGAGGCCTTCGTTGGAAACGGGATTTCTTCATGTAATGTTCGACAGAAGAATTCTCAGTAACTTATTTGTGGTGTGTGTATTCAACTCACAGAGTTGAACCTTCCTTTAGACAGAGCAGATTTGAAACACCCTATTTGTGCAGTTTCCAGTTGGAGATTTCAATCGCTTTGAGACCAAATGTAGAAAAGGAAACATCTTCGTATAAAAACTAGACAGAATCATTCTCAGAAACTACTTTGTGATGTGTGCGTTCAACTCAAGGAGTTTAAGCTTTCTTTTCATAGAGTAGTTTGGAAACACTCTGTCTGTAAAGTCTGCAAGCAGATATTTGGACCTCTTTGAGGCCTTCGTTGGAAAAGGGATTTCTTCATAGAACGCTGGAAAGAAGAATACTGGGTAAGTTCTTTGTGTTGCCTCTATTCAACTCACAGAGGTGAACTGTCCTTTAGACAGAGCAGATGTGAAACCCTCTTTTTGTGATATTTGCAGGTGGAGATTTCAAGCGCTTTTAGGCCAAATGTAGAAAAGGAAATATCTTCGTATAAAAACTAGACAGAATCGTTCTCAGAAACTACTTTGTGATGTGTGCGTTCAATTCACAGAGTATAACCTTTCTTTTGATGGAGGAGTTTGGAGACACTGTCTTTGTAAAGTCTGCAAGTGGATATTTGGACCTCTTTGAGGCCTTCGTTGGAAACGGGATTTCCTCATATAATGTTACACAGAAGAATTCTCAGTAACTTATTTGTGGTGTGTGTATTCAACTCACAGATTTGAACCTTCCTTCAGAAAGAGCAGATTTGAAACACTCTTTTTGTGGAGTTTCCATGTGGAGATTTCAATCACTTTGAGACCAAAGGTAGAAAAGGAAACATCTTCGTATAAAAACTAGACAGAATCATTCACAGAAACTACTTTGTGATGTGTGTGTTCAACTCAAGGAGTTTAACCTTTCTTTTGATGGAGCTGTTTGGAAAAACTCTGTCTGTAAAGTCTGCAAGCAGATATTTGGACCTCTTTGGGGCCTTCGTTGGAAACGGGATTTCTTCATATAATGTTTGATAGGAGAAGTCTCAGTAACTTCTTTGTGCTGTGTGTATTCAACTCATAGAGTTGAACTTTCCTTTAGAAGAGCAGATGTTAAACACCCTTTTTGTGGAATTTGCAGCTGGAGATTTCAAGCGCTTTGAGGCCTACGGTAGAAAAGGAAACATCTTCTTATAAAATCTAGACAGAATCATTCACAGAAACTTCTTTTTGATGTGTGTGTTCAGCTCACAGAGTTTAACCTTTCTTTTGATGGAGCAGGTGGGAAACACACTGTTTGTAATGTCTGCAAGTGGATATTTGGACCTCTTTGAGGCCTTCGTTGGAAACGGGATTTCTTCCTGTAATGTTCGACAGAAGAATTCTCAGTAACTTATTTGTGGTGTGTGTATTCAACTCACAGAGTTGAACCTTCCTTTAGACAGAGCAGATTTGAAACACCCTATTTGTGCAGTTTCCAGTTGGAGATTTCAATCGCTTTGAGACCAAATGTAGAAAAGGAAACATCTTCGTATAAAAACTAGACAGAATCATTCTCAGAAACTACTTTGTGATGTGTGCGTTCAACTCAAGGAGTTTAAGCTTTCTTTTCATAGAGTAGTTTGGAAACACTCTGTCTGTAAAGTCTGCAAGCAGATATTTGACCTCTTTGAGGCCTTCGTTGGAAACGGGATTTCTTCAAGTAATGTTCGACAGAAGAATTCTCAGTAACTTATTTGTGGTGTGTGTATTCAACTCACAGAGTTGAACCTTCTTTAGACAGAGCAGATTTGATACACCCTATTTGTGCAGTTTCCAGGTGGAGATTTCAATCGCTTTGAGACCAAATGTAGAAAAGGAAACATCTTCGTATAAAAACTAGACAGAATCATTCTCAGAAACTACTTTGTGATGTGTGCGTTCAACTCAAGGAGTTTAAGCTTTCTTTTCATAGAGTAGTTTGGAAACACTCTGTCTGTAAAGTCTGCAAGCAGATATTTGGACCTCTTTGGGGCCTTCGTTGGAAACGGGATTTCTTCATAGAATGCTAGAAAGAAGAATACTGAGTAAGTTCTTTGTGTTGCCTCTATTCAACTCACAGAGGTGAACTGTCCTTTAGACAGAGCAGATGTGAAACCCTCTTTTTGTGATATTTGCAGGTGGAGATTTCAAGCGCTTTTAGGCCAAATGTAGAAAAGGAAATATCTTCGTATAAAAACTAGACAGAATCATTCTCAGAAACTACTTTGTGATGTGTGCGTTCAATTCACAGAGTATAACCTTTCTTTTGATGGAGGAGTTTGGAGACACTGTCTTTGTAAAGTCTGCAAGTGGATATTTGGACCTCTTTGAGGCCTTCGTTGGAAACGGGATTTCCTCATATAATGTTACACAGAAGAATTCTCAGTAACTTATTTGTGGTGTGTGTATTCAACTCACAGAGATGAACCTTCCTTCAGAAAGAGCAGATTTGAAACACTCTTTTTGTGGAGTTTCCATGTGGAGATTTCAATCGCTTTGAGACCAAAGGTAGAAAAGGAAACATCTTCTGTATAACAACTAGACAGAATCATTCACAGAAACTACTTTGTGATGTGTGTGTTCAACTCAAGGAGTTTAACCTTTCTTTTGATGGAGCAGTTTGGAAACACTCTGTCTGTAAAGTCTGCAAGCAGATATTTGGACCTCTTTGAGGCCTTCGTTGGAAACGGGATTTCTTCATATAATGTTTGATAGGGAGAATTCTCAGTACCTTATTTGTGGTGTGTGTATTCAACTCACAGAGTTGAACCTTCCTTTAGACAGAGCAGATTTCAAACACCCTATTTCTGCAGTTTCCAGTTGGAGATTTCAATCGCTTTGAGACCAAATGTAGAAAAGGAAACATCTTCGTATAAAAATTAGACAGAATCATTCTCAGAAACTACTTTGTGATGTGTGCGTTCAACTCAAGGAGTTTAAGCTTTCTTTTCATAGAGTAGTTTGGAAACACTCTGTCTGTAAAGTCTGCAAGCAGATATTTGGACCTCTTTGAGGCCTTCGTTGGAAACGGGATTTCTTCATAGAACGGTAGAAAGAAGAATACTGAGTAAGTTCTTTGTGTTGCCTCTATTCAACTCACAGAGGTGAACTGTCCTTTAGACAGAGCAGATGTGAAACCCTCTTTTTGTGATATTTGCACGTGGAGATTTCAAGCGCTTTTAGGCCAAATGTAGAAAAGGAAATATCTTCGTATAAAAACTAGACAGAATCATTCTCAGAAACTACTTTGTGATGTGTGTGTTCAATTCACAGAGTATAACCTTTCTTTTGATGGAGGAGTTTGGAGACACTGTCTTTGTAAAGTCTGCAAGTGGATATTTGGACCTCTTTGAGGCCTTCGTTGGAAACGGGATTTCCTCATATAATATTACACAGAAGAATTCTCAGTAACTTATTTGTGGTGTGTGTATTCAACTCACAGAGTTGAACCTTCCTTCAGAAAGAGCAGATTTGAAACACTCTTTTTGTGGAGTTTCCATGTGGAGATTTCAATCGCTTTGAGACCAAAGGTAGAAAAGGAAACATCTTCGTATAAAAACTAGACAGAATCATTCACAGAAACTACTTTGTGATGTGTGTGTTCAACTCAAGGAGTTTAACCTTTCTTTTGATGGAGCAGTTTGGAAAAACTCTGTCTGTAAAGTCTGCAAGCAGATATTTGGACCTCTTTGAGGCCTTCGTTGGAAACGGGATTTCTTCATATAATGTTTGATAGGAGAAGTCTCAGTAACTTCTTTGTGCTGTGTGTATTCCACTCATAGAGTTGAACTTTCCTTTAGAAGAGCAGATGTTAAACACCCTTTTTGTGGAATTTGCAGCTGGAGATTTCAAGCGCTTTGAGGCCTACGGTAGAAAAGGAAACATCTTCTTATAAAATCTAGACAGAATCATTCACAGAAACTTCTTTTTGATGTGTGTGTTCAGCTCACAGAGTTTAACCTTTCTTTTGATGGAGCAGTTTGGAAACACACTGTTTGTAATCTCTGCAAGTGGATATTTGGACCTCTTTGAGGCCTTCGTTGGAAACGGGATTTCTTCATGTAATGTTCGACAGAAGAATTCTCAGTAACTTATTTGTGGTGTGTGTATTCAACTCACAGAGTTGAACCTTCCTTTAGACAGAGCAGATTTGAAACACCCTATTTGTGCAGTTTCCAGTTGGAGATTTCAATCGCTTTGAGACCAAATGTAGAAAAGGAAACATCTTCGTATAAAAACTAGACAGAATCATTCACAGAAACTACTTTGTGATGTGTGCGTTCAACTCAAGGAGTTTAAGCTTTCTTTTCATAGAGTAGTTTGGAAACACTCTGTCTGTAAAGTCTGCAAGCAGATATTTGGACCTCTTTGAGGCCTTCGTTGGAAACGGGATTTCTTCAAGTAATGTTCGACAGAAGAATTCTCAGTAACTTATTTGTGGTGTGTGTATTCAACTCACAGAGTTGAACCTTCTTTACACAGAGCAGATTTGATACACCCTATTTGTGCAGTTTCCAGTTGGAGATTTCAATCGCTTTGAGACCAAATGTAGAAAAGGAAACATCTTCGTATAAAAACTAGACAGAATCATTCTCAGAAACTACTTTGTGATGTGTGCGTTCAACTCAAGGAGTTTAAGCTTTCTTTTCATAGAGTAGTTTGGAAACACTCTGTCTGTAAAGTCTGCAAGCAGATATTTGGACCTCTTTGGGGCCTTCATTGGAAACGGGATTTCTTCATAGAATGCTAGAAAGAAGAATACTGAGTAAGTTCTTTGTGTTGCCTCTATTCAACTCACAGAGGTGAACTGTCCTTTAGACAGAGCAGATGTGAAACCCTCTTTTTGTGATATTTGCAGGTGGAGATTTCAAGCGCTTTGAGGCCAAATGTAGAAAAGGAAATATCTTCGTATAAAAACTAGACAGAATCATTCTCAGAACCTACTTTGTGATGTGTGCGTTCAATTCACAGAGGATAACCTTTCTTTTGATGGAGGAGTTTGGAGACACTGTCTTTGTAAAGTCTGCAAGTGGATATTTGGATCTCTTTGAGGCCTTCGTAGGAAACGGGATTTCCTCATATAATGTTACACAGAAGAATTCTCAGTAACTTATTTGCGGTGTGTGTATTCAACTCACAGAGATGAACCTTCCTTCAGAAAGAGCAGATTTGAAACACTCTTTTTGTGGAGTTTCCATGTGGAGATTTCAATCGCTTTGAGACCAAAGGTAGAAAAGGAAACATCTTCGTATAACAACTAGACAGAATCATTCACAGAAACTACTTTGTGATGTGTGTGTTCAACTCAAGGAGTTTAACCTTTCTTTTGATGGAGCAGTTTGGAAACACTCTGTCTGTAAAGACTGCAAGCAGATATTTGGACCTCTTTGAGGCCTTCGTTGGAAACGGGATTTCTTCATATAATGTTTGATAGGAGAAGTCTCAGTAACTTCTTTGTGCTGTGTGTATTCAACTCATAGAGTTGAACTTTCCTTTAGAAGAGCAGATGTTAAACACCCTTTTTGTGGAATTTGCAGCTGGAGATTTCAAGCGCTTTGAGGCCTATGGTAGAAAAGGAAACATCTTCTTATAAAATCTAGACAGAATCATTCACAGAAACTTCTTTTTGATGTGTGTGTTCAGCTCACAGAGTTTAACCTTTCTTTTGATGGAGCAGTTTGGAAACACTCTGTTTGTAATGTCTGCAAGTGGATATTTGGACCTCTTTGAGGCCTTCGTTGGAAACGGGATTTCTTCATGTAATGTTCGACAGAAGAATTCTCAGTAACTTATTTGTGGTGTGTGTATTCAACTCACAGAGTTGAACCTTCCTTTAGACAGAGCAGATTTGAAACACCCTATTTGTGCAGTTTCCAGTTGGAGATTTCAATCGCTTTGAGACCAAATGTAGAAAAGGAAACATCTTCGTATAAAAACTAGACAGAATCATTCTCAGAAACTACTTTGTGATGTGTGCGTTCAACTGAAGGAGTTTAAGCTTTCTTTTCATAGAGTAGTTTGGAAACACTCTGTCTGTAAAGTCTGCAAGCAGATATTTGACCTCTTTGAGGCCTTCGTTGGAAACGGGATTTCTTCATAGAACGCTAGAAAGAAGAATACTGAGTACGTTCTTTGTGTTGCCTCTATTCAACTCACAGAGGTGAACTGTCCTTTAGACAGAGCAGATGTGAAACCCTCTTTTTGTGATATTTGCAGGTGGAGATTTCAAGCGCTTTTAGGCCAAATGTAGAAAAGGAAATATCTTCGTATAAAAACTAGACAGAATCATTCTCAGAAACTACTTTGTGATGTATGCGTTCAATTCACAGAGTATAACCTTTCTTTTGATGGAGGAGTTTGGAGACACTGTCTTTGTAAAGTCTGCAAGTGGATATTTGGACCTCTTTGAGGCCTTCGTTGGAAACGGGATTTCCTCATATAATGTTACACAGAAGAATTCTCAGTAACTTATTTGTGGTGTGTGTATTCAACTCACAGAGATGAACCTTCCTTCAGAAAGAGCAGATTTGAAACACTCTCTTTGTGGAGTTTCCATGTGGAGATTTCAATCGCATTGAGACCAAAGGTAGAAAAGGAAACATCTTCGTATAAAAACTAGACAGAATCATTCACAAAAACTACTTTGTGATGTGTGTGTTCAACTCAAGGAGTTTAACCTTTCTTTTGATGGAGCAGTTTGGAAACACTCTGTCTGTAAAGTCTGCAAGCAGATATTTGGACCTCTTTGAGGCCTTCGTTGGAAACGGGATTTCTTCATATAATGTTTGATAGGAGAAGTCTCAGTAACTTCTTTGTCCTGTGTGTATTCAACGCATAGAGTTGAACTTTCCTTTAGAAGAGCAGATGTAAAACACCCTTTTTGTGGAATTTGCAGGTGGAGATTTCAAGCGCTTTGAGGCCTACGGTAGAAAAGGAAACATCTTCTTACAAAATCTAGACAGAATCATTCACAGAAACTTCTTTTTGATGTGTGTGTTCAGCTCACAGAGTTTAACCTTTCTTTTGATGGAGCAGTTTGGAAACACTCTGTTTGTAATGTCTGCAAGTGGATATTTGGACCTCTTTGAGGCCTTCGTTGGAAACGGGATTTCTTCATATAATGTTTGATAGGAGAAGTCTCAGTAACTTCTTTGTGCTGTGTGTATTCAACTCATAGAGTTGAACTTTCCTTTAGAAGAGCAGATGTTAAACACCCTTTTTGTGGAATTTGCAGCTGGAGATTTCAAGCGCTTTGAGGCCTACGGTAGAAAAGGAAACATCTTCTTATAAAATCTAGACAGAATCATTCACAGAAACTTCTTTTTGATGTGTGTGTTCAGCTCACAGAGTTTAACCTTTCTTTTGATGGAGCAGTTGGGAAACACACTGTTTGTAATGTCCGCAAGTGGATATTTGGACCTCTTTGAGGCCTTCGTTGGAAACGGGAATTCTTCCTGTAATGTTCGACAGAAGAATTCTCAGTAACTTATTTGTGGTGTGTGTATTCAACTCACGGAGTTGAACCTTCCTTTAGACAGAGCAGATTTGAAACACCCTGTTTGTGCAGTTTCCAGTTGGAGATTTCAATCGCTTTGAGGCCAATCGTAGAAACGGAAATATCTTCGTATAAAAACAAGACAGAAGCATTCTCAGAAACTACTTTGTGATGTGTGCGTTCAACTCACGGAGTTTAAGCTTTCTTTTCATAGAGTAGTTTGGAAACACTCTGTCTGTAAAGTCTGCAAGCAGATATTTGGACCTCTTTGAGGCCTTCGTTGGAAACGGGATTTCTTCATATAACGCTAGAAAGAAGAATACTCAGTAACTTCTTTGTGTTGAATCTATTCAACTCACAGAGGTGAACTGTCCTTTAGACAGAGCAGATGTGAAACCCTCTTTTTGTGATATTTGCAGGTGGAGATTTCAAGCGCTTTTTGGCCAAATGTAGAAAAGGAAATATCTTCGTATAAAAACTAGACAGAATCATTCTCAGAAACTACATTGTGATGTGTGCTCAATTCACAGAGTATAACCTTTCTTTTGATGGAGGAGTTTGGAGACACTGTCTTTGTAAAGTCTGCAAGTGGACATTTGGACCTCTTTGAGGCCTTCGTTGGAAACGGGATTTCCTCATATAATGTTACACAGAAGAATTCTCTGTAACTGATTTGTGGTGTGTGTATTCAACTCACAGAGTTGAACCTTCCTTCAGAAAGAGCAGATTTGAAACACTCTTTTTGTGGAGTTTCCATGTGGAGATTTCAATCGCTTTGAGACCAAAGGTAGAAAAGGAAACATCTTCGTATAAAAACTAGACAGAATCATTCACAGAAACTACTTTGTGATGTGTGTGTTCAACTCAAGGAGTTTAACCTTTCTTTTGATGGAGCAGTTTGGAAACACTCTGTCTGTAAAGTCTGCAAGTAGATATTTGGACCTCTTTGAGGCCTTCGTTGGAAACGGGATTTCTTCATATAATGTTTGATAGGAGAAGTCTCAGTAACTTCTTTGTGCTGTGTGTATTCAACTCATAGAGTTGAACTTTCCTTTAGAAGAGCAGATGTTAAACACCCTTTTTGTGGAATTTGCAGCTGGAGATTTCAAGCGCTTTGAGGCCTACGGTAGAAAAGGAAACATCTTCTTATAAAATCTAGACAGAATCATTCACAGAAACTTCTTTTTGATGTGTGTGTTCAGCTCACAGAGTTTAACCTTTCTTTTGATGGAGCAGTTTGGAAACACTCTCTTTGTAATGTCTGCAAGTGGATATTTGGACCTCTTTGAGGCCTTCGTTGGAAACGGGATTTCTTCAAGTAATGTTCGACAGAAGAATTCTCAGTAACTTATTTGTGGTGTGTGTATTCAACTCACAGGAGTTGAACCTTCCTTTAGACAGAGCAGATTTGAAACACCCTATTTGTGCAGTTTCCAGTTGGAGATTTCAATCGCTTTGAGACCAAATGTAGAAAAGGAAACATCTTCGTATAAAAACTAGACAGAAATCATTCTCAGAAACTACTTTGTGATGTGTGCGTTCAACTCAAGGAGTTTAAGCTTTCTTTTCATAGAGTAGTTTGGAAACACTCTGTCTGTAAAGTGTGCAAGCAGATATTTGGACCTCTTTGAGGCCTTCGTTGGAAACGGGATTTCTTCATAGAACGCTAGAAAGAAGAATACTGAGTAAGTTCTTTGTGTTGCCTCTATTCAACTCACAGAGGTGAACTGTCCTTTAGACAGAGCAGATGTGAAACCCTCTTTTTGTGATATTTGCAGGTGGAGATTTCAAGCGCTTTTAGGCCAAATGTAGAAAAGGAAATATCTTCGTATGAAAACTAGACAGAATCGTTCTCAGAAACTACTTTGTGATGTGTGCGTTCAATTCACAGAGTATAACCTTTCTTTTGATGGAGGAGTTTGGAGACACTGTCTTTGTAAAGTCTGCAAGTGGATATTTGGACCTCTTTGAGGCCTTCGTTGGAAACGGGATTTCCTCATATAATCTTCCACAGAAGAATTCTCAGTAACTTATTTGTGGTGTGTGTATTCAACTCACAGAGTTGAACCTTCCTTCAGAAAGAGCAGATTTGAAACACTCTTTTTGTGGAGTTTCCATGTGGAGATTTCAATCGCTTTGAGACCAAAGGTAGAAAAGGAAACATCTTCGTATAAAAACTAGACAGAATCATTCACAGAAACTACTTTGTGAAGTGTGTGTTCAACTCAAGGAGGTTAACCTTTCTTTTGATGGAGCAGTTTGGAAACACTCTGTCTGTTAAGTCTGCAAGCAGATATTTGGACCTCTTTGTGGCCTTCGTTGGAAACGGGATTTCTTCTTATAACGCTAGAAAGAATAATACTCAGTAACTTCTTTGTGTTGCCTCTATTCAACTCACAGAGGTGAACTGTCCTTTAGACAGAGCAGATGGGAAACCCTCTTTTTGTGATATTTGCAGGTGGAGATTTCAAGCGCTTTTAGGCCAAATGTAGAAAAGGAAATATCTTCATATAAAAACTAGACAGAATCATTCTCAGAAACTACTTTGTGATGTGTGCGTTCAATTCACAGAGGATAACCTTTCTTTTGATGGAGGAGTTTGGAGACACTGTCTTTGTAAAGTCTGCAAGTGGATATTTGGACCTCTTTGAGGCCTTCGTTGGAAACGGGATTTCCTCCTATAATGTTACACAGAAGAATTCTCAGTAACTTATTTGTGGTGTGTGTATTCAACTCACAGAGTATGAACCTTCCTTCAGAAAGAGCAGATTTGAAACACTCTTTTTGTGGAGTTTCCATTTGGAGATTTCAATCGCTTTGAGACCAAAGGTAGAAAAGGAAACATCTTCGTATAAAAACTAGACAGAATCATTCACAGAAACTATTTTGTGATGTGTGTGTTCAACTCACAGAGTTTAACCTTTCTTTGGATGGAGCAGTTTGGAAACACTCTGTTTGTCACGTCTGCAAGTGGATATTTGGACCTCTTTGAGGCCTTCGTTGGAAACGGGATTTCTTCATATAATGTTTGAAAGGAGAAGTCTCAGTAACTTCTTTGTGCTGTGTGTATTCAACTCATGGAGTTGAACTTTCCTTTAGAAGAGCAGATGCTAAACACCCTTTTTGTGGAATTTGCAGCTGGAGAATTCAAGAGCTTTGAGGCCTACAGTAAAAAAGGAAACATCTTCTTCTAAAATCTAGACAGAATAATTCACAGAAACTTCTTTTTGATGTGGGTGTTCAGCTCACAGAGTTTAACCTTTCTATTGATGGAGCAGTTTGGAAACACTCTGTTTGTAATGTCTGCAAGTGGATATTTGGACCTCTTTGAGGCCTTCGTTGGAAACCGGATTTCTTCATGTAATGTTCGACAGAAGAATTCTCAGTAACTTATTTGTGGTGTGTGTATTCAACTCACAGAGTTGAACCTTCCTTTAGACAGAGCAGATTTGAAACACCCTATTTGTGCAGTATCCAGTTGGAGATTTCAATCGCTTTGAGACCAAATGTAGAAAAGGAAACATCTTCGTATAAAAAGTAGACAGAATCATTCTCAGAAACTACTTTGTGATGTGTGCGTTCAACTCAAGGAGTTTAAGCTTTCTTTTCATAGAGTAGTTTGGAAACATTCTGTCTGTAAAGTCTGCAGGCAGATATTTGGACCTCTTTGGGCCTTCGTTGGAAACGGGATTTCTTCATAGAACGCCAGAAAGAAGAATACTGAGTAAGTTCTTTGTGTTGCCTCTATTCAACTCACAGAGGTGAACTGTCCTTTAGACAGAGCAGATGTGAAACCCTCTTTTTGGGATATTTGCAGGTGGAGATTTCAAGCGCTTTTAGGCCAAATGTAGAAAAGGAAATATCTTCGTATAAAAACTAGACAGAATCATTCTCAGAAACTACTTTGTGATGTGTGCGTTCAATTCACAGAGTATAACCTTTCTTTTGATGGAGGAGTTTGGAGACACTGTCTTTGTAAAGTCTGCAAGTGGATATTTGGACCTCTTTGAGGCTCTTCGTTGGAAACGGGATTTCCTCATATAATGTTACACAGAAGAATTCTCAGTAACTTATTTGTGGTGTGTGTATTCAACTCACAGGAGTTGAACCTTCCTTCAGAAAGAGCAGATATGAAACACTCTTTTTGTGGAGTTTCCATGTGGAGATTTCAATCGCTTTGAGACCAAAGGTAGAAAAGGAAACATCTTCGTATAAAAACTAGACAGAATCATTCACAGAAACTACTTTGTGATGTGTGTGTTCAACTCAAGGAGTTTAACCTTTCTTTTGATGGAGCAGTTTGGAAACACTCTGTCTGTAAAGTCTGCAAGCAGATATTTGGACCTCTTTGAGGCCTTCGTTGGAAACGGGATTTCTTCATATAATGTTTGATAGGAGAAGTCTCAGTAACTTCTTTGTGCTGTGTGTATTCAACTCATAGAGTTGAACTTTCCTTTAGAAGAGCAGATGTTAAACACCCTTTTTGTGGAATTTGCAGCTGGAGATTTCAAGCGCTTTGAGGCCTACGGTAGAAAAGGAAACATCTTCTTATAAAATCTAGACAGAATAATTCACAGAAACTTCTTTTTGATGTGTGTGTTCAGCTCACCGAGTTTAACCTTTCTTTTGATGGAGCAGTTTGGAAACACTCTGTTTGTAATATCTGCAAGTGGATATTTGGACCTCTTTGTGGCCTTCGTTGGAAACGGGATTTCTTCAAGTAATGTTCGACAGAAGAATTCTCAGTAACTTATTTGTGGTGTGTGTATTCAACTCACAGAGTTGAACCTTCCTTTAGACAGAGCAGATTTGAAACACCCTATTTGTGCAGTATCCAGTTGGAGATTTCAATCGCTTTGAGACCAAATGTAGAAAAGGAAACATCTTCGTATAAAAACTAGACAGAATCATTCTCAGAAACTAATTTGTGATGTGTGCGTTCAACTCAAGGAGTTTAAGCTTTCTTTTCATAGAGTAGTTTGGAAACATTCTGTCTGTAAAGTCTGCAGGCAGATATTTGGACCTCTTTGGGGCCTTCGTTGGAAACGGGATTTCTTCATAGAACGCCAGAAAGAAGAATACTGAGTACGTTCTTTGTGTTGCCTCTATTCAACTCACAGAGGTGAACTGTCCTTTAGACAGAGCAGATGTGAAACCCTCTTTTTGTGATATTTGCAGGTGGAGATTTCAAGCGCTTTTAGGCCAAATGTAGAAAAGGAAATATCTTCGTATAAAAACTAGACAGAATCATTCTCAGAAACTACTTTGTGATGTGTGCGTTCAATTCACAGAGTATAACCTTTCTTTTGATGGAGGAGTTTGGAGACACTGTCTTTGTAAAGTCTGCAAGTGGATATTTGGACCTCTTTGAGGCCTTCGTTGGAAACGGGATTTCCTCATATAATGTTACACAGAAGAATTCTCAGTAACTTATTTGTGGTGTGTGTATTCAACTCACAGAGTTGAACCTTCCTTTAGACAGAGCAGATTTGAAACACTCTTTTTGTGGAGTTTCCATGTGGAGATTTCAATCGCTTTGAGACCAAAGGTAGAAAAGGAAACATCTTCGTATAAAAACTAGACAGAATCATTCACAGAAACTACTTTGTGATGTGTGTGTTCAACTCAAGGAGTTTAACCTTTCTTTTGATGGAGCAGTTTGGAAAAACTCTGTCTGTAAAGTCTGCAAGCAGATATTTGGACCTCTTTGAGGCCTTCGTTGGAAACGGGATTTCTTCATATAATGTTTGATAGGAGAAGTCTCAGTAACTTCTTTGTGCTGTGTGTATTCAACTCATAGAGTTGAACTTTCCTTTAGAAGAGCAGATGTTAAACACCCTTTTTGTGGAATTTGCAGCTGGAGATTTCAAGCGCTTTGAGGCCTACGGTAAAAAAGGAAACATCTTCTTAGAAAATCTAGACAGAATCATTCACAGAAACTTCTTTTTGATGTGTGTGTTCAGCTCACAGAGTTTAACCTTTCTTTTGATGGAGCAGTTTGGAAACACTCTGTTTGTAATGTCTGCAGGTGGATATTTGGACCTCTTTGAGGCCTTGGTTGGAAACGGGATTTCTTCCTGTAATGTTCGACAGAAGAATTCTCAGTAACTTATTTGTGGTGTGTGTATTCAACTCACAGAGTTGAACCTTCCTTTAGACAGAGCAGATTTGAAACACCCTATTTGTGCAGTTTCCAGTTGGAGATTTCAATCGCTTTGAGACCAAATGTAGAAAAGGAAACATCTTCGTATAAAAACTAGACAGAATCATTCTCAGAAACTACTTTGTGATGTGTGCGTTCAACTCAAGGAGTTTAAGCTTTCTTTTCATAGAGTAGTTTGGAAACACTCTGTCTGTAAAGTCTGCAAGCAGATATTTGAACCTCTTTGAGGCCTTCTTTGGAAACGGGATTTCTTCATAGAACGCTAGAAAGAAGAATACTAAGTTCTTTGTGTTGCCTCTATTCTACTCACAGAGGTGAACTGTCCTTTAGACAGAGCAGATGTGAAACCCTCTTTTTGGGATATTTGCAGGTGGAGATTTCAAGTGCTTTTAGGCCAAATGTAGAAAAGGAAATATCTTCGTATAAAAACTAGACAGAATCATTCTCAGAAACTACTTTGTGATGTGTGCGTTCAATTCACAGAGTATAACCTTTCTTTTGATGGAGGAGTTTGGAGACACTGTCTTTGTAAAGTCTGCAAGTGGATATTTGGACCTCTTTGAGGCCTTCGTTGGAAACGGGATTTCCTCATATAATGTTACACAGAAGAATTCTCAGTAACTTATTTGTGGTGTGTGTATTCAACTCACAGAGTTGAACCTTCCTTCAGAAAGAGCAGATTTGAAACACTCTTTTTGGGGAGTTTCCATGCGGAGATTTCCATCGCTTTGAGACCAAAGGTAGAAAAGGAAACATCTTCGTATAAAAACTAGAGAGAATCATTCACAGAAACTACTTTGTGATGTGTGTGTTCAACTCAAGGAGTTTAACCTTTCTTTTGATGGAGGAGTTTGGAAACACTCTGTCTGTAAAGTCTGCAAGCAGATATTTGGACCTCTTTGAGGCCTTCGTTGGAAACGGGATTTCTTCATATAATGTTTGATAGGAGAAGTCTCAGTAACTTCTTTCTGCTGTGTGTATTCAATGCATAGAGTTGAACTTTCCTTTAGAAGAGCAGATGTTAAACACCCTTTTTGTGGAATTTGCAGCTGGAGATTTCAAGCGCTTTGAGGCCTACGGTAGAAAAGGAAACATCTTCTTATAAAATCTAGACAGAATCATTCACAGAAACTTCTTTTTGATGTGTGTGTTCAGCTCACAGAGTTTAACCTTTCCTTTGATGGAGCAGTTTGGAAACACTCTGTTTGTAATGTCTGCAAGTGGATATTTGGACCTCTTTGTGGCCTTCGTTGGAAACGGGATTTCTTCATGTAATGTTCGACAGAAGAATTTTCAGTAACTTATTTGTGGTGTGTGTATTCAACTCACAGAGTTGAGCCTTCCTTTAGACAGAGCAGATTTGAAACACCCTATTTGTGCAGTTTCCAGTTGGAGATTTCAATCGCTTTGAGACCAAATGTAGAAAAGGAAACATCTTCGTATAAAAACTAGACAGAATCATTCTCAGAAACTACTTTGTGATGTGTGCGTTCAACTCAAGGAGTTTAAGCTTTCTTTTCATAGAGTAGTTTGGAAACACTCTGTCTGTAAAGTCTGCAAGCAGATATTTGGACCTCTTTGGGGCCTTCGTTGGAAACGGGATTTCTTCATAGAACGCTAGAAAGAAGAATACTGAGTAAGTTCTTTGTGTTGCCTCTATTCAACTCACAGAGGTGAACTGTCCTTTAGACAGAGCAGATGTGAAACCCTCTTTTTGTGATATTTGCAGGTGGAGATTTCAAGCGCTTTTAGGCCAAATGTAGAAAAGGAAATATCTTCGTATAAAAACTAGACAGAATCATTCTCAGCAAACTACTTTGTGATGTGTGCGTTCAATTCACAGCAGTATAACCTTTCTTTTGATGGAGGAGTTTGGAGACACTGTCTTTGTAAAGTCTGCAAGTGGATATTTGGACCTCTTTGAGGCCTTCGTTGGAAACGGGATTTCCTCATATAATGTTACACAGAAGAATTCTCAGTAACTTATTTGTGGTGTGTGTATTCAACTCACAGAGTTGAACCTTCCTTCAGAAAGAGCAGATTTGAAACACTCTTTTTTGTGGAGTTTCCATGTGGAGATTTCAATCGCTTTGAGACCAAAGGTAGAAAAGGAAACATCTTCGTATAAAAACTAGACAGAATCATTCACAGAAACTACTTTGTGATGTGTGTGTTCAACTCAAGGAGTTTAACCTTTCTTTTGATGGAGCAGTTTGGAAAAACTCTGTCTGTAAAGTCTGCAAGCAGATATTTGGACCTCTTTGAGGCCTTCGTTGGAAACGGGATTTCTTCATATAATGTTTGATAGGAGAAGTCTCAGTAACTTCTTTGTGCTGTGTGTATTCAACTCATAGAGTTGAACTTTCCTTTAGAAGAGCAGATGTTAAACACCCTTTTTGTGGAATTTGCAGCTGGAGATTTCAAGCGCTTTGAGGCCTACGGTAGAAAAGGAAACATCTTCTTATAAAATCTAGACAGAATCATTCACAGAAACTTCTTTTTGATGTGTGTGTTCAGCTCACAGAGTTTAACCTTTCTTTTGATGGAGCAGTTGGGAAACACACTGTTTGTAATGTCTGCAAGTGGATATTTGGACCTCTTTGAGGCCTTCGTTGGAAACGGGATTTCTTCCTGTAATGTTCGACAGAAGAATTCTCAGTAACTTATTTGTGGTGTGTGTATTCAACTCACAGAGTTGAACCTTCCTTTAGACAGAGCAGATTTGAAACACCCTATTTGTGCAGTTTCCAGTTGGAGATTTCAATCGCTTTGAGACCAAATGTAGAAAAGGAAACATCTTCGTATAAAAACTAGACAGAATCATTCTCAGAAACTACTTTGTGTTATGTGCGTTCAATTCAAGGAGTTTAAGCTTTCTTTTCATAGAGTAGTTTGGAAACACTCTGTCTGTAAAGTCAGCAAGCAGATATTTGGACCTCATTGGGGTCTTCGTTGGAAACGGGATTTCTTCATAGAACGCTAGAAAGAAGAATACTGAGTAAGTTCTTTGTGTTGCCTCTATTCAACTCACAGAGGTGAACTGTCCTTTAGACAGAGCAGATGTGAAACCCTCTTTTTGTGATATTTGCAGGTGGAGATTTCAAGCGCTTTTAGGCCAAATGTAGAAAAGGAAATATCTTCGTATAAAAACTAGACAGAATCATTCTCAGAAACTACTTTGTGATGTGTGCGTACAATTCACAGAGTATAACCTTTCTTTTGATGGAGGAGTTTGGAGACACTGTCTTTGTAAAGTCTGCGTGTGGATATTTGGACCTCTTTGAGGCCTTCGTTGGAAACGGGATTTCCTCATATAATGTTACACAGAAGAATTCTCAGTAACTTATTTGTGGTGTGTGTATTCAACTCACAGAGTTGAACCTTCCTTCAGAAAGAGCAGATTTGAAACACTCTTTTTGTGGAGTTTCCATGTGGAGATTTCAATCGCTTTGAGGCCAAAGGTAGAAAAGCAAACATCTTCGTATAAAAACTAGACAGAATCATTCACAGAAACTACTTTGTGATGTGTGTGTTCAACTCAAGGAGTTTAACCTTTCTTTTGATGGAGCAGTTTGGAAACCCTCTGTCTGTAAAGTCTGCAGGCAGATATTTGGACCTCTTTGAGGCCTTCGTTGGAATCGGGATTTCTTCATATAATGTTAGACAGAAGAAGTCTCAGTAACTTCTTTGTGCTGTGTGTATTCAACTCATAGAGTTGAACTTTCCTTTAGAAGAGCAGATGTTAAACACCCTTTTTGTGGAATTTGCAGCTGGAGATTTCAGGCGCTTTGAGGCCTACGGTAGAAAAGGAAACATCTTATAAAATCTAGACAGAATCATTCACAGAAACTTCTTTTTGATGTGTGTGTTCATCTCACAGAGTTTAACCTTTCTTTTGACGGAGCAGTTTGCAAACACTGTGTTTGCCATGTCGGCAAGTGGATATTTGGACCTCTTTGAGGCCTTCGTTGGAAACGGGATTTCTTCATGTAATGTTCGAGAGAAGAATTCTCAGTAACTTATTTGTGTTGTGTGTATTCAACTCACAGAGTTGAACCTTCCTTTAGACAGAGCAGATTTGAAACACCCTATTTGTGCTGTTTCCAGTTGGAGATTTCAATCGCTTTGAGGCCAATCGTAGAAACGGAAATATCTTCGTATAAATACAAGACAGAATCATTCTCAGAAACTACTTTGTGATGTGTGCGTTCAACTCACGGAGTTTAAGCTTTCTTTTCATAGAGTAGTTTGGAAACACTCTGTCTGTAAAGTCTGCAAGCAGATATTTGGACCTCTTTGAGGCCTTCGTTGGAAACGGGATTTCTTCATATAACGCTAGAAAGAAGAATACTGAGTAAGTTCTTTGTGTTGCCTCTATTCAACTCACAGAGGTGAACTGTCCTTTAGACAGAGCAGATGTGAAACCCTCTTTTTGTGATATTTGCAGGTGGAGATTTCAAGCGCTTTTAGGCCAAATGTAGAAAAGGAAATATCTTCGTATAAAAACTAGACAGAATCATTCTCAGAAACTACTTTGTGATGTGTGCGTTCAATTCACAGAGTATAACCTTTCTTTTGATGGAGGAGTTTGGAGACACTGTCTTTGTAAAGTCTGCAAGTGGATATTTGGACCTCTTTGAGGCCTTCGTTGGAAACGGGATTTCCTCATATAATGTTACACACAAGAATTCTCAGTAACTTATTTGTTGTGTGTGTATTCAACTCACAGAGTTGAACCTTCCTTCAGAAAGAGCAGATTTGAAACACTCTTTTTGTGGAGTTTCCATGTGGAGATTTCAATCGCTTTGAGACCAAAGGTAGAAAAGGAAACATCTTCTTATAAAAACTAGACAGAATCATTCACAGAAACTACTTTGTGATGTGTGTGTTCAACTCAAGGAGTTTAACCTTTCTTTTGATGGAGCAGTTTGGAAACACTCTGTCTGTAAAGTCTGCAAGCAGATATTTGGACCTCTTTGAGGCCTTCGTTGGAAACGGGATTTCTTTCATATAATGTTTGATAGGAGAAGTCTCAGTAACTTCTTTGTGCTGTGTGTATTCAACGCATAGAGTTGAACTTTCCTTTAGAAGAGCAGATGTTAAACACCCTTTTTGTGGAATTTGCAGCTGGAGATTTCAAGCGCTTTGAGGCCTACGGTAGAAAAGGAAACATCTTCTTATAAAATCTAGACAGAATCATTCACAGAAACTTCTTTTTGATGTGTGTGTTCAGCTCACAGAGTTTAACCTTTCTTTTGATGGAGCAGTTTGGAAACACACTGTTTGTAATGTCTGCAAGTGGATATTTGGACCTCTTTGAGGCCTTCGTTGGAAACGGGATTTCTTCAAGTAATGTTCGACAGAAGAATTCTCAGTAATTTATTTGTGGTGTGTGTATTCAACTCACAGAGTTGAACCTTCCTTTAGACAGAGCAGATTTGAAACACCCTATTTGTGCAGTTTCCAGTTGGAGATTTCAATGGCTTTGAGGCCAATCATAGAAACGGAAATATCTTCGTATAAAAACAAGACAGAATCATTCTCAGAAACTACTTTGTGATGTGTGCGTTCAACTCACGGAGTTTAAGCTTTCTTTTCATAGAGTAGTTTGGAAACACTCTGTCTGTAAAGTGTGCAAGCAGATATTTGGACCTCTTTGAGGCCTTCGTTGGAAACGGGATTTCTTCATATAACGCTAGAAAGAAGAATACTGAGTAAGTTCTTTGTGTTGCCTCTATTCAACTCACAGAGGTGAACTGTCCTTTAGACAGAGCAGATGTGAAACCCTCTTTTTGTGATATTTGCAGGTGGAGATTTCAAGCGCTCTTAGGCCAAATGTAGAAAAGGAAATATCTTCGTATAAAAACTAGACAGAATCATTCTGAGAAACTACTTTGTGATGTGTGCGTTCAATTCACAGAGTATAACCTTTCTTTTGATGGAGGAGTTTGGAGACACTGTCTTTGTAAAGTCTGCAAGTGGATATTTGGACCTCTTAGAGGCCTTCGTTGGAAACGGGATTTCCTCATATAATGTTACACAGAAGAATTCTCAGTAACTTATTTGTGGTGTGTGTATTCAACTCACGGAGTTGAACCTTCCTTCAGAAAGAGCAGATTTGAAAAACTCTTTTTGTGGAGTTTCCATGTGGAGATTTCAATCGCTTTGAGACCAAAGGTGGAAAAGGATACATCTTCGTATAAAAACTAGACAGAATCATTCACAGAAACTACTTTGTGATGTGTGTGTTCAACTCAAGGAGTTTAACCTTTCTTTTGATGGAGCAGTTTGGAAAAACTCTGTCTGTAAAGTCTGCAAGAAGATATTTGGACCTCTTTGAGGCCTTCATTGGAAACGGGATTTCTTCATATAATGTTTGATAGGAGAAATCTCGGTAACTTCTTTGTGCTGTGTGTATTCAACTCATAGAGTTGAACTTTCCTTTAGAAGAGCAGATGTTAAACACGCTTTTTGTGGAATTTGCAGCTGGAGATTTCAAGCGCTTTGAGGCCTACGGTAGAAAAGGAAACATCTTCTTATAAAATCTAGACAGAATCATTCACAGAAACTTCTTTTTCATGTGTGTGTTCAGCTCACAGAGTTTAATCTTTCTTTTGATGGAACAGTTTGGAAACACTCTGTTTGTAATGTCTGCAAGTGGATATTTGGACCTCTTTGAGGCCTTCGTTGGAAACGGGATTTCTTCATATAATGTTTGATAGGAGAATTCTCAGTAACTTATTTGTGGTGTGTGTATTCAACTCACAGAGTTGAACCTTCCTTTAGACAGAGCAGATTTGAAACACCCTATTTGTGCAGTTTCCAGTTGGAGATTTCAATCGCTTTGAGGCCAATCGTAGAAACGGAAATATCTTCGTATAAATACAAGACAGATTCATTCTCAGAAACTACTTTGTGATGTGTGCGTTCAACTCAAGGAGTTTAACCTTTCTTTTCATAGAGTAGTTTGGAAACACTCTGTCTGTAAAGTCTGCAAGCAGATATTTGGACCTCTTTAGGGCCTTCGTTGGAAACGGGATTTCTTCATAGAACGCTAGAAAGAAGAATACTGAGTAAGTTCTTTGTGTTGCCTCTATTCAACTCACAGAGGTGAACTGTCCTTTAGACAGAGCAGATGTGAAACCCTCTTTTTGTGATATTTGCAGGTGGAGATTTCAAGCGCTTTTAGGCCAAATGTAGAAAAGGAAATATCTTCGTATAAAAACTAGACAGAATCATTCTCAGAAACTACTTTGTGATGTGTGCGTTCAATTCACAGAGTATAACCTTTCTTTTGATGGAGGAGTTTGGAGACACTGTCTTTGTAAAGTCTGCAAGTGGATATTTGGACCTCTTTGAGGCCTTCGTTGGAAACGGGATTTCCTCATATAATGTTACACAGAAGAATTCTCAGTAACTTATTTGTGGTGTGTGTATTCAACTCACAGAGTTGAACCTTCCTTCAGAAAGAGCAGATTTGAAACACTCTTTTTGTGGA
Source organism: Homo sapiens (assembly GCF_000001405.40). Taxonomy (NCBI): domain Eukaryota; kingdom Metazoa; phylum Chordata; class Mammalia; order Primates; family Hominidae; genus Homo; species Homo sapiens. Next base: position 35,977,706 of record NC_000012.12, read on the forward strand.
GTTTCCATGTGGAGATTTCAATCGCTTTGAGGCCAAAGGTAGAAAAGCAAACATCTTCGTATAAAAACTAGACAGAATCATTCACAGAAACTACTTTGTGATGTGTGTGTTCAACTCAAGAGTTTAACCTTTCTTTTGATGGAGCAGTTTGGAAACACTCTGTCTGTAAAGTCTGCAAGCAGATATCTGGACCTCTTTGAGGCCTTCGTTGGAAACGGGATTTCTTCATATAATGTTTGATAGGAGAAGTCTCAGTAACTTCTTTGTGCTGTGTGTATTCAACTCATAGAGTTGAACTTTCCTTTAGAAGAGCAGATGTTAAACACCCTTTTTGTGGAATTTGCAGCTGGAGATTTCAAGCGCTTTGAGGCCTACGGTAGAAAAGGAAACATCTTCTTATAAAATCTAGACAGAATCATTCACAGAAACTTCATTTTGATGTGTGTGTTCAGCTCACAGAGTTTAACCTTTCTTTTGATGGAGCAGTTTGGAAACACTCTGTTTGTAATGTCTGCAAGTGGATATTTGGACCTCTTTGAGGCCTTCGTTGGAAACGGGATTTCTTCAAGTAATGTTCGACAGAAGAATTCTCAGTAACTTCTTTGTGGTGTGTGTATTCAACTCACAGAGTTGAACCTTCCTTTAGACAGAGCAGATTTGAAACACCTTATTTGTGCAGTTTCCAGTTGGAGATTTCAATCGCTTTGAGACCAAATGTAGAAAAGGAAACATCTTCGTATAAAAACTAGACAGAATCATTCTCAGAAACTACTTTGTGATGTGTGCGTTCAACTCAAGGAGTTTAAGCTTTCTTTTCATAGAGTAGTTTGGAAACACTCTGTCTGTAAAGTCTGCAAGCAGATATTTGGACCTCTTTGGGGTCTTCGTTGGAAACGGGATTTCTTCATAGAACGCTAGAAAGAAGAATACTGAGTAAGTTCTTTGTGTTGCCTCTATTCAACTCATAGAGGTGAACTGTCCTTTAGACAGAGCAGATGTGAAACCCTCTTTTTGTGATATTTGCAGGTGGAGGTTTCAAGCGCTTTTAGGCCAAATGTAGAAAAGGAAATATCTTCGTATAAAAACTAGACAGAATCATTCTCAGAAACTACTTTGTGATGTGTGCGTTCAATTCACAGAGTATAACCTTTCTTTTGATGGAGGAGTTTGGAGACACTGTCTTTGTAAAGTCTGCAAGTGGATATTTGGACCTCTTTGAGGCCTTCGTTGGAAACGGGATTTCCTCATATAATGTTACACAGAAGAATTCTCAGTAACTTATTTGTGGTGTGTGTATTCAACTCACAGAGTTGAACCTTCCTTCAGAAAGAGCAGATTTGAAACACTCTTTTTGTGGAGTTTCCATGTGGAGATTTCAATCGCATTGAGACCAAAGGTAGAAAAGGAAACATCTTCGTATAAAAACTAGACAGAATCATTCACAGAAACTACTTTGTGATGTGTGTGTTCAACTCAAGGAGTTTAACCTTTCTTTTGATGGAGCAGTTTGGAAACACTCTGTCTGTAAAGTCTGCAAGCAGATATTTGGACCTCTTTGAGGCCTTCGTTGGAAACGGGATTTCTTCATATAATGTTTGATAGGAGAAGTCTCAGTAACTTCTTTGTGCTGTGTGTATTCACCTCATAGAGTTGAACTTTCCTTTAGAAGAGCAGATGTTAAACACCCTTTTTGTGGAATTTGCAGCTGGAGATTTCAAGCGCTTTGAGGCCTACGGTAGAAAAGGAAACATCTTCTTATAAAATCTAGACAGAATCATTCACAGAAACTTCTTTTTGATGTGTGTGTTCAGCTCACAGAGTTTAACCTTTCTTTTGATGGAGCAGTTTGGAAACACTCTGTTTGTAATGTCTGCAAGTGGATATTTGGACCTCTTTGAGGCCTTCGTTGGAAACGGGATTTCTTCATGTAATGTTCGACAGAAGAATTCTCAGTAACTTATTTGTGGTGTGTGTATTCAACTCACAGAGTTGAACCTTCCTTTAGACAGAGCAGATTTGAAACACCCTATTTGTGCAGTTTCCAGTTGGAGATTTCAATCGCTTTGAGACCAAATGTAGAAAAGGAAACATCTTCGTATAAAAACTAGACAGAATCATTCTCAGAAACTACTTTGTGATGTGTGCGTTCAACTCAAGGAGTTTAAGCTTTCTTTTCATAGAGTAGTTTGGAAACATTCTGTCTGTAAAGTCTGCAGGCAGATATTTGGACCTCTTTGGGGCCTTCGTTGGAAACGGGATTTCTTCATAGAACGCCAGAAAGAAGAATACTGAGTAAGTTCTTTGTGTTGCCTCTATTCAACTCACAGAGGTAAAGTGTCCTTTAGACAGAGCAGATGTGAAACCCTCTTTTTGTGATATTTGCAGGTGGAGATTTCAAGCGCTTTTATGCCAAATGTAGAAAAGGAAATATCTTCGTATAAAAACTAGACAGAATCATTCTCAGAAACAACTTTGTGATGTGTGCGTTCAATTCACAGAGTATAACCTTTCTTTTGATGGAGGAGTTTGGAGACACTGTCTTTGTAAAGTCTGCAAGTGGATATTTGCACCTCTTTGAGGCCTTCGTTGGAAACGGGATTTCCTCATATAATGTTACACAGAAGAATTCTCAGTAACTTATTTGTGGTGTGTGTATTCAACTCACAGAGTTGAACCTTCCTTCAGAAAGAGCAGATTTGAAACACTCTTTTTGTGGAGTTTCCATGTGGAGATTTCAATCGCTTTGAGACCAAAGGTAGAAAAGGAAACATCTTCGTATAAAAACTAGACAGAATCATTCACAGAAACTACTTTGTGATGTGTGTGTTCAACTCAAGGAGTTTAACCTTTCTTTTGATGGAGCAGTTTGGAAACACTCTGTCTGTAAAGTCTGCAAGCAGATATTTGGACCTCTTTGAGGCCTTCGTTGGAAACGGGATTTCTTCATATAATGTTTGATAGGAGAAGTCTCAGTAACTTCTTTGTGCTGTGTGTATTCAACTCATAGAGTTGAACTTTCCTTTAGAAGAGCAGATGTTAAACACCCTTTTTGTGGAATTTGCAGCTGGAGATTTCAAGCGCTTTGAGGCCTACGGTAGAAAAGGAAACATCTTCTTAGAAAATCTAGACAGAATCATTCACAGAAACTTCTTTTTGATGTGTGTGTTCAGCTCACAGAGTTTAACCTTTCTTTTGATGGAGCAGTTTGGAAACACTCTGTTTGTAATGTCTGCAAGTGGATATTTGGACCTCTTTGAGGCCTTCGCTGGAAACGGGATTTCTTCCTGTAATGTTCGACAGAAGAATTCTCAGTAACTTCTTTGTGGTGTGTGTATTCAACTCACAGAGTTGAACCTTCCTTTAGACAGAGCAGATTTGAAACAGCCTATTTGTGCAGTTTCCAGTTGGAGATTTCAATCGCTTTGAGACCAAATGTAGAAAAGGAAACATCTTCGTATAAAAACTAGACAGAATCATTCTCAGAAACTACTTTGTGATGTGTGCGTTCAACTCAAGGAGTTTAAGCTTTCTTTTCATAGAGTAGTTTGGAAACACTCTGTCTGTAAAGTCTGCAAGCAGATATTTGGACCTCTTTGGGGCCTTCGTTGGAAACGGGATTTCTTCATAGAACGCTAGAAAGAAGAATACTGAGTAAGTTCTTTGTGTTGCCTCTATTCAACTCACCGAGGTGAACTGTCCTTTAGACAGAGCAGATGTGAAACCCTCTTTTTGGGATATTTGCAGGTGGAGACTTCAAGCGCTTTCAGGCCAAATGTAGAAAAGGAAATATCTTCGTATAAAAACTAGACAGAATCATTCTCAGAAACTACTTTGTGATGTGTGCGTTCAATTCACAGAGTATAACTTTTCTTTTGATGGAGGAGTTTGGAGACACTGTCTTTGTAAAGTCTGCAAGTGGATATTTGGACCTCTTTGAGGCCTTCGTTGGAAACGGGATTTCCTCGTATAATGTTACACAGAAGAATTCTCAGTAACTTATTTGTGGTGTGTGTATTCAACTCACAGAGTTGACCCTTCCTTCAGAAAGAGCAGATTTGAAACACTCTTTTTGTGGAGTTTCCATATGGAGATTTCAATCACTTTGAGACCAAAGGTAGAAAAGGAAACATCTTCGTATAAAAACTAGACAGAATCATTCACAAAAACTACTTTGTGATGTGTGTGTTCAACTCAAGGAGTTTAACCTTTCTTTTGATGGAGCAGTTTAAAAACACTCTGTCTGTAAAGTCTGCAAGCAGATATTTGGACCTCTTTGAGGCCTTCGTTGGAAACGGGATTTCTTCATAGAACGCTAGAAAGAAGAAGTCTCAGTAACTTCTTTGTGCTGTGTGTATTCAACTCATAGAGTTGAACTTTCCTTTAGAAGAGCAGATGTTAAACACCCTTTTTGTGGAATTTGCAGCTGGAGATTTCAAGCGCTTTGAGGCCTACGGTAGAAAAGGAAACATCTTCTTATAAAATCTAGACAGAATCATTCACAGAAACTTCTTTTTGATGTGTGTGTTCAGCTCACAGAGTTTAACCTTTCTTTTGATGGAGCAGTTTGGAAACACTCTGTTTGTAATGTCTGCAAGTGGATATTTGGACCTCTTTGAGGCCTTCGTTGGAAACGGGATTTCTTCATGTAATGTTCGACAGAAGAATTCTCAGTAACTTATTTGTGGTGTGTGTATTCAACTCACAGAGTTGAACCTTCCTTTAGACAGAGCAGATTTGAAACACCCTATTTGTGCAGTTTCCAGTTGGAGATTTCAATCGCTTGGAGGCCAATCATAGAAACGGAAATATCTTCGTATAAAAACAAGACAGAATCATTCTCAGAAACTACTTTGTGATGTGTGCGTTCAACTCAAGGAGTTTAAGCTTTCTTTTCATAGAGTAGTTTGGAAACACTCTGTCTGTAAAGTCTGCAAGCAGATATTTGGACCTCTTTGAGGCCTTCGTTGGAAACGGGATTTCTTCATGTAACGCTAGAAAGAAGAATACTCAGTAACTTCTTTGTGCTGCCTCTATTCAACTCACAGAGGTGAACTGTCCTTTAGACAGAGCAGATGTGAAATCCTGTTTTTGTGATATTTGCAGGTGGAGATTTCAAGCGCTTTTAGGCCAAATGTAGAAAAGGAAATATCTTCGTATAAAAACTAGACAGAATCATTCTCAGAAACTACTTTGTGATGTGTGCGTTCAATTCACAGAGGATAAGCTTTCTTTTGATGGAGGAGTTTGGAGACACTGTCTTTGTAAAGTCTGCAAGTGGATATTTGGACCTCTTTGAGGCCTTCGTTGGAAACGGGATTTCCTCCTATAATGTTACACAGAAGAATTCTCAGTAACTTATTTGTGGTGTGTGTATTCAACTCACAGAGTTGAACCTTCCTTTAGACATAGCAGATTTGAAACACTCTTTTTGTGGAGTTTCCATGTGGAGATTTCAATCGCTTTGAGACCAAAGGTAGAAAAGGAAACATCTTCGTATAAAAACTAGACAGAATCATTCTCAGAAACTACTTTGTGATGTGTGTGTTCAACTCAAGGAGGTTAACCTTTCTTTTGATGGAGCAGTTTGGAAACACTCTGTCTGTAAAGTCTGCAAGCAGATATTTGGACCTCTTTGAGGCCTTCGTTGGAAACGGGATTGCTTCATTTAATGTTTGATAGGAGAAGTCTCAGTAACTTCTTTGTGCTGTGTGTATTCAACTCATAGAGTTGAACTTTCCTTTAGAAGAGCAGATGTTAAACACCCTTTTTGTGGAATTTGCAGCTGGAGATTTCAAGCGCTTTGAGGCCTACGGTAGAAAAGGAAACATCTTCTTATAAAATCTAGACAGAATCATTCACAGAAACTTCTTTTTGATGTGTGTGTTCAGCTCACAGAGTTTAACCTTTCTTTTGATGGAGCAGTTTGGAAACACACTGTTTGTAATGTCTGCAAGTGGATATTTGGACCTCTTTGAGGCCTTCGTTGGAAACGGGATTTCTTCCTGTAATGTTCGACAGAAGAATTCTCAGTAACTTATTTGTGGTGTGTGTATTCAACTCACAGAGCTGAACCTTCCTTTAGACAGAGCAGATTTGAAACAGCCTATTTGTGCAGTTTCCAGTTGGAGATTTCAATCGCTTTGAGACCAAATGTAGAAAAGGAAACATCTTCGTATAAAAACTAGACAGAATCATTCTCAGAAACTACTTTGTGATGTGTGCGTTCAACTCAAGGAGTTTAAGCTTTCTTTTCATAGAGTAGTTTGGAAAAACTCTGTCTGTAAAGTCTGCAAGCAGATATTTGGACCTCTTTGGGGTCTTCGTTGGAAACGGGATTTGTTCATAGAATGCTAGAAAGAAGAATACTGAGTAAGTTCTTTGTGTTGCCTCTATTCAACTCACAGAGGTGAACTGTCCTTTAGACAGAGCAGATGTGAAACCCTCTTTTTGTGATATTTGCAGGTGGAGATTTCAAGCGCTTTTAGGCCAAATGTAGAAAAGGAAATATCTTCGTATAAAAACTAGACAGAATCATTCTCAGAAACTACTTTGTGATGTGTGCGTTCAATTCACAGAGTATAACCTTTCTTTTGATGGAGGAGTTTGGAGACACTGTCTTTGTAAAGTCTGCAAGTGGATATTTGGACCTCTTTGAGGCCTTCGTTGGAAACGGGATTTCCTCATATAATGTTACACAGAAGAATTCTCAGTAACTTATTTGTGGTGTGTGTATTCAACTCACAGAGATGAACCTTCCTTCAGAAAGAGCAGATTTGAAACACTCTTTTTGTGGGGTTTCCATGTGGAGATTTCAATCGCTTTGAGACCAAAGGTAGAAAAGGAAACATCTTCGTATAAAAACTAGACAGAATCATTCACAGAAACTACTTTGTGATGTGTGTGTTCAACTCAAGGAGGTTAACCTTTCTTTTGATGGAGCAGTTTGGAAACACTCTGTCTGTAAAGTCTGCAGGCAGATATTTGGACCTCTTTGAGGCCTTCGTTGGAAACGGGATTTCTTCATATAATGTTTGATAGGAGAAGTCTCAGTAACTTCTTTGTGCTGTGTGTATTCAACTCATAGAGTTGAACTTTCCTTTAGAAGAGCAGATGTTAAACACCCTTTTTGTGGAATTTGCAGCTGGAGATTTCAAGCGCTTTGAGGCCTACGGTAGAAAAGGAAACATCTTCTTATAAAATCTAGACAGAATCATTCACAGAAACTTCTTTTTGATGTGTGTGTTCAGCTCACAGAGTTTAACCTTTCTTTTGATGGAGCAGTTTGGAAACACTCTGTTTGTAATGTCTGCAAGTGGATATTTGGACCTCTTTGAGGCCTTCGTTGGAAACGGGATTTCTTCAAGTAATGTTCGAGAGAAGAATTCTCAGTAACTTATTTGCGGTGTGTGTATTCAACTCACAGAGTTGAACCTTCCTTTAGACAGAGCAGATTTGAAACAGCCTATTTGTGCAGTTTCCAGTTGGAGATTTCTATCGCTTTGAGACCAAATGTAGAAAAGGAAACATCTTCGTATAAAAACTAGACAGAATCATTCTCAGAAACTACTTTGTGATGTGTGCGTTCAACTCAAGGAGTTTACGCTTTCTTTTCATAGAGTAGTTTGGAAACACTCTGTCTGTAAAGTCTGCAAGCAGATCTTTGACCTCTTTGAGGCCTTCGTTGGAAACGGGATTTCTTCATAGAACGCTAGAAAGAAGAATACTGAGTAAGTTCTTTGTGTTGCCTCTATTCAACTCACAGAGGTGAACCTGTCCTTTAGACAGAGCAGATGTGAAACCCTCTTTTTGTGATATTTGCAGGTGGAGATTTCAAGCGCTTTTAGGCCAAATGTAGAAAAGGAAATATCTTCGTATAAAAACTAGACAGAATCATTCTCAGAAACTACTTTGTGATGTGTGCGTTCATTTCACAGAGTATAACCTTTCTTTTGATGGAGGAGTTTGGAGACACTGTGTTTCTAAAGTCTGCAAGTGGATATTTGGACCTCTTTGAGGCCTTCGTTGGAAACGGGATTTCCTCATATAATGTTACACAGAAGAATTCTCAGTAACTTATTTGTGGTGTGTGTATTCAACTCACAGAGATGAACCTTCCTTCAGAAAGAGCAGATTTGAAACACTCTTTTTGTGGAGTTTCCATGTGGAGATTTCAATCGCTTTGAGACCAAAGGTAGAAAAGGAAACATCTTCGTATAACAACTAGACAGAATCATTCACAGAAACTACTTTGTGATGTGTGTGTTCAACTCAAGGAGTTTAACCTTTCTTTTGATGGAGCAGTTTGGAAACACTCTGTCTGTAATGTCTGCAAGCAGATATTTGGACCTCTTTGAGGCCTTCGTTGGAAACGGGATTTCTTCATATAATGTTTGATAGGAGAAGTCTCAGTAACTTCTTTGTGCTGTGTGTATTCAACTCATAGAGTTGAACTTTCCTTTAGAAGAGCAGATGTTAAACACCCTTTTTGTGGAATTTGCAGCTGGAGATTTCAAGCGCTTTGAGGCCTACGGTAGAAAAGGAAACATCTTCTTATAAAATCTAGACAGAATCATTCACAGAAACTTCTTTTTGATGTGTGTGTTCAGCTCACAGAGTTTAACCTTTCTTTTGATGGAGCAGTTTGGAAACACACTGTTTGTAATGGCTGCAAGTGGATATTTGGACCTCTTTGAGGCCTTTGTTGGAAAAGGGATTTCTTCATGTAGTGTTCGACAGAAGAATTCTCAGTAACTTATTTGTGGTGTGTGTATTCAACTCACAGAGTTGACCCTTCCTTTAGACAGAGCAGATTTGAAACTCCCTATTTGTGCAGTTTCCAGTTGGAGATTTCAATCGCTTTGAGACCAAATGTAGAAAAGGAAACATCTTCGTATAAAAACTAGACAGAATCATTCTCAGAAAGTACTTTGTGATGTGTGCATTCAACTCAAGGAGTTTAAGCTTTCTTTTCATAGAGTAGTTTGGAAACACTCTGTCTGTAAAGTCTGCAAGCAGATATTTGGACCTCTTTGAGGCCTTCGTTGGAAACGGGATTTCTTCATAGAACGCTAGAAAGAAGAATACTGAGTAAGTTCTTTGTGTTGCCTCTATTCAACTCACAAAGGTGAACTGTCCTTTAGACAGAGCAGATGTGAAACCCTCTTTTTGTGATATTTGCAGGTGGAGACTTCAAGCGCTTTTAGGCCAAATGTAGAAAAGGAAATATCTTCGTATAAAAACTAGACAGAATCATTCTCAGAAACTACTTTGTGATGTGTGCGTTCAATTCACAGAGTATAACCTTTCTTTTGATGGAGGAGTTTGGAGACACTGTCTTTGTAAAGTCTGCAAGTGGATATTTGGACCTCTTTGAGGCCTTCGTTGGAAACGGGATTTCCTCATATAATGTTACACAGAAGAATTCTCAGTAACTTATTTGTGGTGTGTGTATTCAACTCACAGAGTTGAACCTTCCTTTAGACAGAGCAGATTTGAAACACTCTTTTTGTGGAGTTTCCATGTGGAGATTTCAATCGCTTTGAGACCAAAGGTAGAAAAGGAAACATCTTCGTATAAAAACTAGACAGAATCATTCACAGAAACTACTTTGTGATGTGTGTGTTCAACTCAAGGAGTTTAACCTTTCTTTTGATGGAGCAGTTTGGAAACACTCTGTCTGTAAAGTCTGCAAGCAGATATTTGGACCTCTTTGAGGCCTTCGTTGGAAACGGGATTTCTTCATATAATGTTTGATAGGAGAAGTCTCAGCAACTTCTTTGTGCTGTGTGTATTCAACTCATAGAGTTGAACTTTCCTTTAGAAGAGCAGATGTTAAACACCCTTTTTGTGGAATTTGCAGCTGGAGATTTCAAGCGCTTTGAGGCCTACGGTAGAAAAGGAAACATCTTCTTATAAAATCTAGACAGAATCATTCACAGAAACTTCTTTTTGATGTGTGTGTTCAGCTCACAGAGTTTAACCTTTCTTTTGATGGAGCAGTTTGGAAACACTCTGTTTGTAATGTCTGCAAGTGGATATTTGGACCTCTTTGAGGCCTTCGCTGGAAACGGGATTTCTTCCTGTAATGTTCGACAGAAGAATTCTCAGTAATTTATTTGTGGTGTGTGTATTCAACTCACAGAGTTGAACCTTCCTTTAGAGAGAGCAGATTTGAAACACCCTATTTGTGCAGTTTCCAGTTGGAGATTTCAATGGCTTTGAGGCCAATCATAGAAACGGAAATATCTTCGTATAAAAACAAGACAGAATCATTCTCAGAAACTACTTTGTGATGTGTGCGTTCAACTCAAGGAGTTTAAGCTTTCTTTTCATAGAGTAGTTTGGAAACACTCTGTCTGTAAAATCTGCAAGCAGATATTTGGACCTCTTTGAGGCCTTCGTTGGAAACGGGATTTCTTCATATAACGCTAGAAAGAAGAATACTGAGTAAGTTCTTGGTGTTGCCTCTATTCAACTCACAGAGGTGAACTGTCCTTTAGACAGAGCAGATGTGAAACCCTCTTTTTGTGATATTTGCAGGTGGAGATTTCAAGCGCTTTTAGGCCAAATGAAGAAAAGGAAATATCTTCGTATAAAAACTAGACAGAATCATTCTCAGAAACTACTTTGTGATGTGTGCGTTCTATTCACAGAGTATAACCTTTCTTTTGATGGAGGAGTTTGGAGACACTGTCTTTGTATAGTCTGCAAGTGGATATTTGGACCTCTTTGAGGCCATCGTTGGAAACGGGATTTCCTCATATAATGTTACACAGAAGAATTCTCAGTAACTTATTTGTGGTGTGTGTATTCAACTCACAGAGTTGAACCTTCCTTCAGAAAGAGCAGATTTGAAGCACTCTTTTTCTGGAGTTTCCATGTGGAGATTTCAATCGCTTTGAGAACAAAGGTAGAAAAGGAAACATCCTCATATAAAAACTAGACAGAATCATTCACAGAAACTACTTAGTGATGTGTGTGTTCAACTCAAGGAGGTTAACCTTTCTTTTGATGGAGGAGTTTGGAGACACTGTTTTTGTAAAGTCTGCAAGTGGATATTTGGACCTCTTTCAGGCCTTCTTTGGAAACGGGATTTCCTCATATAATGTTACACAGAAGAATTCTCAGTAACTTATTTGTGGTGTGTGTATTCAACTCACAGAGTTGAACCTTCCTTCAGAAAGAGCAGATTTGAAACACTCTTTTTGTGGAGTTTCCATGTGGAGATTTCAATCGCTTTGAGACCAAAGGTAGAAAAGGAAACATCTTCCTATAAAAACTAGACAGAATCATTCACAGAAACTACTTTGTGATGTGTGTGTTCAACTCAAGGAGTTTAACCTTTCTTTTGATGGAGCAGTTTGGAAACACTCTGTCTGTAAAGTCTGCAAGCAGATATTTGGACCTCTTTGAGGCCTTCGTTGGAAACGGGATTTCTTCATATAATGTTAGACAGAAGAAGTCTCAGTAACTTCTTTGTGCTGTGTGTATTCAACTCATAGAGTTGAACTTTCCTTTAGAAGAGCAGATGTTAAACACCCTTTTTGTGGAATTTGCAGCTGGAGATTTCAAGCGCTTTGAGGCCTACGGTAGAAAAGGAAACATCTTCTTATAAAATCTAGACAGAATCATTCACAGAAACTTCTTTTTGATGTGTGTGTTCAGCTCACAGAGTTTAACCTTTCTTTTGATGGAGCAGTTTGGAAACACTCTGTTTGTAATGTCTGCAAGTGGATATTTGGACGTCTTTGAGGCCTTCGTTGGAAACGGGATTTCTTCATGTAATGTTCGACAGAAGAATTCTCAGTAACTTATTTGTGGTGTGTGTATTCAACTCACAGAGTTGAACCTTCCTTTAGACAGAGCAGATTTGAAACACCCTATTTGTGCAGTTTCCAGTTGGAGATTTCAATCGCTTTGAGACCAAATGTAGAAAAGGAAACATCTTCGTATAAAAACTAGACAGAATCATTCTCAGAAACTACTTTGTGATGTGTGCGTTCAACTCAAGGAGTTTAAGCTTTCTTTTCATAGAGTAGTTTGGAAACACTCTGTAAAGTCTGCAAGCAGATATTTGGACCTCCTTGAGGCCTTCGTTGGAAACGGGATTTCTTCATAGAACGCTAGAAAGAAGAATACTGAGTAAGTTCTTTGTGTTGCCTCTATTCAACTCACAGAGGTGAACTGTCCTTTAGACAGAGCAGATGTGAAACCCTCTTTTTGTGATATTTGCAGGTGGAGATTTCAAGCGCTTTTAGGCCAAATGTAGAAAAGGAAATATCTTCGTATAAAAACTAGACAGAATCATTCTCAGAAACTACTTTGTGATGTGTGCGTTCAATTCACAGAGTATAACCTTTCTTTTGGTGGAGGAGTTTGGAGACACTGTCTTTGTAAAGTCTGCAAGTGGATATTTGGAGCTCTTTGAGGCCTTCGTTGGAAACGGGATTTCCTCATATAATGTTACACAGAAGAATTCTCAGTAACTTATTTGTGGTGTGTGTATTCAACTCACAGAGATGAACCTTCCTTCAGAAAGAGCAGATTTGAAACACTCTTTTTGTGGAGTTTCCATGTGGAGATTTCAATCGCTTTGAGACCAAAGGTAGAAAAGGAAACATCTTCGTATAAAAACTAGACAGAATCATTCACAGAAACTACTTTGTGATGTGTGTGTTCAACTCAAGGAGTTTAACCTTTCTTTTGATGGAGCAGTTTGGAAACACTCTGTCTGTAAAGTCTGCAGGCAGATATTTGGACCTCTTTGAGGCCTTCGTTGGAATCGGGATTTCTTCATATAATGTTAGACAGAAGAAGTCTCAGTAACTTCTTTGTGCTGTGTGTATTCAACTCATAGAGTTGAACTTTCCTTTAGAAGAGCAGATGTTAAACACCCTTTTTGTGGAATTTGCAGCTGGAGATTTCAAGCGCTTTGAGGCCTACGGTAGAAAAGGAAACATCTTCTTATAAAATCTAGACAGAATCATTCACAGAAACTTCTTTTTGATGTGTGTGTTCAGCTCACAGAGTTTAACCTTTCTTTTGATGGAGCAGTTTGGAAACACTCTGTTTGTAATGTCTGCAAGTGGATATTTGGACGTCTTTGAGGCCTTCGTTGGAAACGGGATTTCTTCATGTAATGTTCGACAGAAGAATTCTCAGTAACTTATTTGTGGTGTGTGTATTCAACTCACAGAGTTGAACCTTCCTTTAGACAGAGCAGATTTGAAACACCCTATTTGTGCAGTTTCCAGTTGGAGATTTCAATCGCTTTGAGACCAAACGTAGAAAAGGAAACATCTTCGTATAAAAACTAGACAGAATCATTCTCAGAAACTACTTTGTGATGTGTGCGTTCAACTCAAGGAGTTTAAGCTTTCTTTTCATAGAGTAGTTTGGAAACACTCTGTCTGTAAAGTCTGCAAGCAGATATTTGGACCTCTTTGGGGCCTTCGTTGGAAACGGGATTTCTTCATAGAACGCTAGAAAGAAGAATACTGAGTAAGTTCTTTGTGTTGCCTCTATTCAACTCACAGAGGTGAACTGTCCTTTAGACAGAGCAGATGTGAAACCCTCTTTTTGTGATATTTGCAGGTGGAGATTTCAAGCGCTTTTAGGCCAAATGTAGAAAAGGAAATATCTTCGTATAAAAACTAGACAGAATCGTTCTCAGAAACTACTTTGTGATGTGTGCGTTCAATTCACAGAGTATAACCTTTCTTTTGATGGAGGAGTTTGGAGACACTGTCTTTGTAAAGTCTGCAAGTGGATATTTGGACCTCTTTGAGGCCTTCGTTGGAAACGGGATTTCCTCATATAATGTTACACAGAAGAATTCTCAGTAACTTATTTGTGGTGTGTGTATTCAACTCACAGAGTTGAACCTTCCTTCAGAAAGAGCAGATTTGAAACACTCTTTTTGTGGAGTTTCCATGTGGAGATTTCAATCGCTTTGAGACCAAAGGTAGAAAAGGAAACATCTTCGTATAAAAACTAGACAGAATCATTCACAGAAACTACTTTGTGATGTGTGTGTTCAACTCAAGGAGTTTAACCTTTCTTTTGATGGAGCAGTTTGGAAACACTCTGTCTGTAAAGTCTGCAAGCAGATATTTGCACCTCTTTGAGGCCTTCGTTGGAAACGGGATTTCTTCATATAATGTTTGATAGGAGAAGTCTCAGTAACTTCTTTGTGCTGTGTGTATTCAACTCATAGAGTTGAACTTTCCTTTAGAAGAGCAGATGTTAAACACCCTTTTTGTGGAATTTGCAGCTGGAGATTTCAAGCGCTTTGAGGCCTACTGTAGAAAAGGAAACATCTTCTTATAAAATCTAGACAGAATAATTCACAGAAACTTCTTTTTGATGTGGGTGTTCAGCTCACAGAGTTTAACCTTTCTATTGATGGAGCAGTTTGGAAACACTCTGTTTGTAATGTCTGCAAGTGGATATTTGGACCTCTTTGAGGCCTTCGTTGGAAACCGGATTTCTTCATGTAATGTTCGACAGAAGAATTCTCAGTAACTTATTTGTGGTGTGTGTATTCAACTCACAGAGTTGAACCTTCCTTTAGACAGAGCAGATTTGAAACACCCTATTTGTGCAGTTTCCAGTTGGAGATTTCAATCGCTTTGAGACCAAATGTAGAAAAGGAAACATCTTCGTATAAAAACTAGACAGAATCATTCTCAGAAACTACTTTGTGATGTGTGCGTTCAACTCAAGGAGTTTAAGCTTTCTTTTCATAGAGTAGTTTGGAAACACTCTGTCTGTAAAGTCTGCAAGCAGATATTTGGACCTCTTTGAGGCCTTCGTTGGAAACGGGATTTCTTCATAGAACGGTAGAAAGAAGAATACTGAGTAAGTTCTTTGTGTTGCCTCTATTCAACTCACAGAGGTGAACTGTCCTTTAGACAGAGCAGATGTGAAACCCTCTTTTTGTGATATTTGCAGGTGGAGATTTCAAGCACTTTTAGGCCAAATGTAGAAAAGGAAATATCTTCGTATAAAAACTAGACAGAATCATTCTCAGAAACTACTTTGTGATGTGTGCGTTCAATTCACAGAGTATAACCTTTCTTTTGATGGAGGAGTTTGGAGACACTGTCTTTGTAAAGTCTGCAAGTGGATATTTGGACCTCTTTGAGGCCTTCGTTGGAAACGTGATTTCCTCATATAATGTTACACAGAAGAATTCTCAGTAACTTATTTGTGGTGTGTGTATTCAACTCACAGAGTTGAACCTTCCTTCAGAAAGAGCAGATTTGAAACACTCTTTTTGTGGAGTTTCCATGTGGAGATTTCAATCGCTTTGAGACCAAAGGTAGAAAAGGATACATCTTTGTATAAAAACTAGACAGAATCATTCACAGAAACTACTTTGTGATGTGTGTGTTCAACTCAAGGAGTTTAACCTTTCTTTTGATGGAGCAGTTTGGAAAAACTCTGTCTGTAAAGTCTGCAAGCAGATATTTGGACCTCTTTGAGGCCTTCGTTGGAAACGGGATTTCTTCATATAATGTTTGATAGGAGAAGTCTCAGTAACTTCTTTGTGCTGTGTGTATTCAACTCATAGAGTTGAACTTTCCTTTAGAAGAGCAGATGTTAAACACCCTTTTTGTGGAATTTGCAGCTGGAGATTTCAAGCGCTTTGAGGCCTACGGTAGAAAAGGAAACATCTTCTTATAAAATCTAGACAGAATCATTCACAGAAACTTCTTTTTGATGTGTGTGTTCAGCTCACAGAGTTTAACCTTTCTTTTGATGGAGCAGTTTGGAAACACTCTGTTTGTAATGTCTGCAAGTGGTTATTTGGACCTCCTTGAGGCCTTCGTTGGAAACGGGATTTCTTCAAGTAATGTTCGACGGAAGAATTCTCAGTAACTTATTTGTGGTGTGTGTATTCAACTCACAGAGTTGAACCTTCCTTTAGACAGAGCAGATTTGAAACACCCTATTTGTGCAGTTTCCAGTTGGAGATTTCAATCGCTTTGAGACCAAATGTAGACAAGGAAACATCTTCGTATAAAAACTAGACAGAATCATTCTCAGAAACTACTTTGTGATGTGTGCGTTCAACTCAAGGAGTTTAAGCTTTCTTCTCATAGAGTAGTTTGGAAACACTCTGTCTGTAAAGTCTGCAAGCAGATATTTGGACCTCTTTGAGGCCTTCGTTGGAAACGAGATTTCTTCATAGAACGCTAGAAAGAAGAATACTGAGTAAGTTCTTAGTGTTGCCTCTATTCAACTCACAGAGGTGAACTGTCCTTTAGACAGAGCAGATGTGAAACCCTCTTTTTGTGATATTTGCAGGTGGAGATTTCAAGCGCTTTTAGGCCAAATGTAGAAAAGGAAATATCTTCGTATAAAAACTAGACAGAATCATTCTCAGAAACTACTTTGTGATGTGTGCGTTCAATTCACAGAGTATAACCTTTCTTTGATGGCGGAGTTTGGAGACACTGTCTTTGTAAAGTCTGCAAGTGGATATTTGGACCTCTTTGAGGCCTTCGTTGGAAACGGGATTTCCTCATATAATGTTACACAGAAGAATTCTCAGTAGCTTATTTGTGCTGTGTGTATTCAACTCACAGAGTTGAACCTTCCTTCAGAAAGATCAGATTTGAAAGACTCTTTTTGTGGAGTTTCCATGTGGAGATTTCAATCGCTTTGAGACCAAAGGTAGAAAAGGAAACATCTTCGTATAAAAACTAGACAGAATCATTCTCAGAAACTACTTTGTGATGTCTGTGTTCAACTCAAGGAGGTTAACCTTTCTTTTGATGGAGCAGTTTGGAAAAACTCTGTCTGTAAAGTCTGCAAGCAGAGATTTGGACGTTCTTTGAGGCCTTCGTTGGAAACGGGATTTCTTCACATAATGCTTGATAGGAGAAGTCTCAGTAACTTCTTTGTGCTGTGTCTATTCAACTCATAGAGTTGAACTTTCCTTTAGAAGAGCAGATGTTAAACACCCTTTTTGTGGAATTTGCAGCTGGAGATTTCAAGCGCTTTTAGGCCAAATGTAGAAAAGGAAATATCTTCGTATAAAAACTAGACAGAATCATTCACAGGAACTTCTTTTCGATGTGTGTGTTCAGCTCACAGAGTTTAACCTTTCTTTTGATGGAGCAGTTTGGAAACACTCTGTTTGTAATGTCTGCAAGTGGATATTTGGACCTCTTTGAGGCCTTCGTTGGAAACGGGATTTCTTCAAGTAATGTTCGACAGAAGAATTCTCAGTAACTTATTTGTGGTGTGTGTATTCAACTCACAGAGTTGAACCTTCCTTTAGACAGAGCAGATTTGAAACACCCTATTTGTGCAGTTTCCAGTTGGAGATTTCAATCGCTTTGAGACCAAATGTAGAAAAGGAAACATCTTCGTATAAAAACTAGACAGAATCATTCTCAGAAACTACTTTGTGATGTGTGCGTTCAACTCAAGGAGTTTAAGCTTTCTTTTCATAGAGTAGTTTGGAAACACTCTGTCTGTAAAGTCTGCAAGCAGATATTTGGACCTCTTTGGGGCCTTCGTTGGAAACGGGATTTCTTCATAGAACGCTAGAAAGAAGAATACTGAGTAAGTTCTTTGTGTTGCCTCTATTCAACTCACAGAGGTGAACTGTCCTTTAGACAGAGCAGATGTGAAACCCTCTTTTTGTGATATTTGCAGGTGGAGATTTCAAGCGCTTTTAGGCCAAATGTAGAAAAGGAAATATCTTCGTATAAAAACTAGACAGAATCATTCTCAGAAACTACTTTGTGATGTGTGCGTTCAATTCACAAAGTATAACCTTTCTTTTGATGGAGGAGTTTGGAGACACTGTCTTTGTAAAGTCTGCAAGTGGATATTTGGACCTCTTTGAGGCCTTCGTTGGAAACGGGATTTCCTCATATAATTTTACACAGAAGAATTCTCAGTAACTTATTTGCGGTGTGTGTATTCAACTCACAGAGTTGAACCTTCCTTCAGAAAGAGCAGATTTGAAACACTCTTTTTATGGAGTTTCCATGTGGAGATTTCAATCGCTTTGAGACCAAAGGTAGAAAAGGAAACATCTTCGTATAAAAACTAGACAGAATCATTCACAGAAACTACTTTGTCATGTGTGTGTTCAACTCACAGAGTTTAAACTTTCTTTTGATGCAGCAGTTTGGAAACACTCTGTTTGTCACGTCTGCAAGTGGATATTTGGACCTCTTTGAGGCCTTCATTGGAAACGGGATTTCTTCATATAATGTTTGATAGGAGAAGTCTCAGTAAATTCTTTGTGCTGTGTGTATTCAACTCATAGAGTTGAACTCTCCTTTAGAAGAGCAGATGTTAAACACCCTTTTTGTGGAATTTGCAGCTGGAGATTTCAAGCGCTTTGAGGCCTACGGTAGAAAAGGAAACATCTTCTTATAAAATCTAGACAGAATCATTCACAGAAACTTCTTTTTGATGTGTGTGTTCAGCTCACAGAGTTTAACGTTTCTTTTGATGGAGCAGTTTGGAAACACTCTGTTTGTAATGTCTGCAAGTGGATATTTGGACCTCTTTGAAGCCTTCGTTGGAAACGGGATTTCTTCATGTAATATTCGACAGAAGAATTCTCAGTAACTTATTTGTGGTGTGTGTATTCAACTCACAGAGTTGAACCTTCCTTTAGACAGAGCAGATTTGAAACACCCTATTTGTGCAGTTTCCAGTTGGAGATTTCAATGGTTTGAGGCCAATCATAGAAACGGAAATATCTTCGTATAAAAACAAGACAGAATCATTCTCAGAAACTACTTTGTGATGTGTGCATTCAACTCAAGGAGTTTAAGCTTTCTTTTCATAGAGTAGTTTGGAAACACTCTGTCTGTAAAGTCTGCAAGCAGATATTTGGACCTCTTTGAGGCCTTCGTTGGAAACGGGATTTCTTCATATAACGCTAGAAAGAAGAATACTGAGTAAGTTCTTGGTGTTGCCTCTATTCAACTCACAGAGGTGAACTGTCCTTTAGACAGAGCAGATGTGAAACCCTCTTTTTGTGATATTTGCAGGTGGAGGTTTCAAGCGCTTTTAGGCCAAATGTAGAAAAGGAAATATCTTTGTATAAAAACTAGACAGAATCATTCTCAGAAACTACTTTGTGATGTGTGCGTTCAATTCACAGAGTATAACCTTTCTTTTGATGGAGGAGTTTGGAGACACTGTCTTTGTAAAGTCTGCAAGTGGATATTTGGACCTCTTTGAGGCCTTCGTTGGAAACGGGATTTCCTCATATAATGTTACACAGAAGAATTCTCAGTAACTTATTTGTGGTGTGTGTATTCAACTCACAGAGTTGAACCTTCCTTCAGAAAGAGCAGATTTGAAACACTCTTTTTGTGGAGTTTCCATGTGGAGATTTCAATCGCTTTGAGACCAAAGGTAGAAAAGGAAACATCTTCGTATAAAAACTAGACAGAATCATTCACAGAAACTACTTTGTGATGTGTGTGTTCAACTCAAGGAGTTTAACCTTTCTTTTGATGGAGCAGTTTGGAAAAACTCTGTCTGTAAAGTCTGCAAGCAGATATTTGGACCTCTTTGAGGCCTTCGTTGGAAACGGGATTTCTTCATATAATGTTTGATAGGAGAAGTCTCAGTAACTTCTTTGTGCTGTGTGTATTCAACGCATGGAGTTGAACTTTCCTTTAGAAGAGCAGATGTTAAACACCCTTTTTGTGGAATTTGCAGCTGGAGATTTCAAGCGCTTTGTGGCCTACGGTAGAAAAGGAAACATCTTTTTATAAAATCTAGACAGAATCATTCACAGAAACTTCTTTTTCATGTGTGTGTTCAGCTCACAGAGTTTAACCTTTCTTTTGATGGAGCAGTTTTGAAACACTCTGTTTGTAATGTCTGCAAGTGGATATTTTGACCTCTTTGAGGCCTTCTTTGGAAACGGTATTTCTTCAAGTAATGTTCGACAGAAGAATTCTCAGTAACTTATTTGTGGTGTGTGTATTCAACTCACAGAGTTGAACCTTCCTTTAGACAGAGCAGATTTGAAACACCCTATTTGTGCAGTTTCCAGTTGGAGATTTCAATCGCTTTGAGACCAAATGTAGAAAAGGAAACATCTTCGTATAAAAACTAGACAGAATCATTCTCAGAAACTACTTTGTGATGTGTGCGTTCAACTCAAGGAGTTTAAGCTTTCTTTTCATAGAGTAGTTTGGAAACACTCTGTCTGTAAAGTCTGCAAGCAGATATTTGACCTCTTTGAGGCCTTCGTTGGAAACGGGATTTCTTCATAGAACGCTAGAAAGAAGAATATTGAGTAAGTTCTTTGTGTTGCCTCTATTCAACTCACAGAGGTGAACTGTCCTTTAGACAGAGTAGATGTGAAACCCTCTTTTTGTGATATTTGCAGGTGTAGATTTCAAGCGCTTTTAGGCCAAATGTAGAAAAGGAAATAACTTCGTATAAAAACTAGACAGAATCATTCTCAGAAACTACTTTGTGACGTGTGCATTCAATTCACAGAGTATAACCTTTCTTTTGATGGAGGAGTTTGGAGACACTGTCTTTGTAAAGTCTGCAAGTGGATATTTGGACCTCTTTGAGGCCTTCGTTGGAAACGGGATTTCCTCATATAATGTTACACAGAAGAATTCTCAGTAACTTATTTGTGGTGTGTGTATTCAACTCACAGAGATGAACCTTCCTTCAGAAAGAGCAGATTTGAAACACTCTTTTTGTGGAGTTTCCATGTGGAGATTTCAATCGCATTGAGACCAAAGGTAGAAAAGGAAACATCTTCGTATAACAACTAGACAGAATCATTCACAGAAACTACTTTGTGATGTGTGTGTTCAACTCAAGGAGTTTAACCTTTCTTTTGATGGAGCAGTTTGGAAACACTCTGTCTGTAAAGTCTGCAAGCAGATATTTGGACCTCTTTGAGGCCTTCGTTGGAAACGGGATTTCTTCATATAATGTTTGATAGGAGAAGTCTCAGTAACTTCTTTGTGCTGTGTGCATTCAACTCATAGAGTTGAACTTTCCTTTAGAAGAGCAGATGTTAAACACCCTTTTTGTGGAATTTTCAGCTGGAGATTTCAAGCGCTTTGAGGCCTACTGTAGAAAAGGAAACATCTTCTTATAAAATCTAGACAGAATCATTCACAGAAACTTCTTTTCGATGTGTGTGTTCAGCTCACAGAGTTTAACCTTTCTTTTGATGGAGCAGTTTGGAAACACTCTGTTTGTAATGTCTGCAAGTGGATATTTGGACCTCTTTGAGGCCTTCGTTGGAAACGGGATTTCTTCAAGTAATGTTCGACAGAAGAATTCTCAGTAACTTCTTTGTGGTGTGTGTATTCAACTCACAGAGTTGAACCTTCCTTTAGACAGAGCAGATTTGAAACAGCCTATTTGTGCAGTTTCCAGTTGGAGATTTCAATCGCTTTGAGACCAAATGTAGAAAAGGAAACATCTTCGTATAAAAACTAGACAGAATCATTCTCAGAAACTACTTTGTGCTGTGTGCGTTCAACTCAAGGAGTTTAAGCTTTCTTTTCATAGAGTAGTTTGGAAACACTCTGTCTGTAAAGTCTGCAAGCAGATATTTGGACCTCTTTGGGGCCTTCGTTGGAAACGGGATTTCTTCATAGAACGCTAGAAAGAAGAATACTGAGTAAGTTCTTTGTGTTGCCTCTATTCAACTCACAGAGGTGAACTGTCCTTTAGACAGAGCAGATGTGAAACCCTCTTTTTGTGATATTTGCACGTGGAGATTTCAAGCGCTTTTAGGCCAAATGTAGAAAAGGAAATATCTTCGTATAAAAACTAGACAGAATCATTCTCAGAAACTACTTTGTGATGTGTGCGTTCAATTCACAGAGTATAACCTTTCTTTTGATGGAGGAGTTTGGAGACACTGTCTTTGTAAAGTCTGCATGTGGATATTGGGACCTCTTTGAGGCCTTCGTTGGAAATGGGATTTCCTCATATAATGTTACACAGAAGAATTCTCAGTAACTTATTTGTGGTGTGTGTATTCAACTCACAGAGTTGAACCTTCCTTCAGAAAGAGCAGATTTGAAACACTCTTTTTGTGGAGTTTCCATGTGGAGATTTCAATCGCTTTGAGACCAAAGGTAGAAAAGGAAACATCTTCGTATAAAAACTAGACAGAATCATTCACAGAAACTACTTTGTGATGTGTGTGTTCAACTCAAGGAGTTTAACCTTTCTTTTGATGGAGCAGTTTGGAAACACTCTGTCTGTAAAGTCTGCAAGCAGATATTTGGACCTCTTTGAGGCCTTCGTTGGAAACGGGATTTCTTCATATAATGTTTGATAGGAGAAGTCTCAGTAACTTCTTTGTGCTGTGTGTATTCAACTCATAGAGTTGAACTTTCCTTTAGAAGAGCAGATGTTAAACACCCTTTTTGTGGAATTTGCAGCTGGAGATTTCAAGCGCTTTGAGGCCTACGGTAGAAAAGGAAACATCTTCTTATAAAATCTAGACAGAATCATTCACAGAAACTTCTTTTCGATGTGTGTGTTCAGCTCACAGAGTTTAACCTTTCTTTTGATGGAGCAGTTTGGAAACACTCTGTTTGTAATGTCTGCAAGTGGATATTTGGACCTCTTTGAGGCCTTCGTTGGAAACGGGATTTCTTCAAGTAATGTTCGACAGAAGAATTCTCAGTAACTTATTTGTGGTGTGTGTATTCAACTCACAGAGTTGAACCTTCCTTTAGACAGAGCAGATTTGAAACACCCTATTTGTGCAGTTTCCAGTTGGAGATTTCAATCGCTTTGAGACCAAATGTAGAAAAGGAAACATCTTCGTATAAAAACTAGACAGAATCATTCTCCGAAACTACTTTGTGATGTGTGCGTTCAACTCAAGGAGTTTAAGCTTTCTTTTCATAGAGTAGTTTGGAAACACTCTGTCTGTAAAGTCTGCAAGCAGATATTTGGACCTCTTTGGGGCCTTCGTTGGAAACGGGATTTCTTCATAGAACGCTAGAAAGAAGAATACTGAGTAAGTTCTTTGTGTTGCCTCTATTCAACTCACAGAGGTGAACTGTCCTTTAGACAGAGCAGATGTGAAACCCTCTTTTTGTGATATTTGCAGGTGGAGATTTCAAGCGCTTTTAGGCCAAATGTAGAAAAGGAAATATCTTCTGTATAAAAACTAGACAGAATCATTCTCAGAAACTACTTTGTGATGTGTGCGTTCAATTCACAGAGTATAACCTTTCTTTTGATGGAGGAGTTTGGAGACACTGTCTTTGTAAAGTCTGCAAGTGGATATTTGGACCTCTTTGAGGCCTTCGTTGGAAACGGGATTTCCTCATATAATGTTACCCAGAAGAATTCTCAGTAACTTATTTGTGGTGTGTGTATTCAACTCACAGAGATGAACCTTCCTTCAGAAAGAGCAGATTTGAAACACTCTTTTTGTGGAGTTTCCATGTGGAGATTTCAATCGCTTTGAGACCAAAGGTAGAAAAGGAAACATCTTCGTATAACAACTAGACAGAATCATTCACAGAAACTACTTTGTGATGTGTGTGTTCAACTCAAGGAGTTTAACCTTTCTTTTGATGGAGCAGTTTGGAAACACTCTGTCTGTAAAGTCTGCAAGCAGATATTTGGACCTCTTTGAGGCCTTCGTTGGAAACGGGATTTCTTCATATAATGTTTGATAGGAGAAGTCTCAGTAACTTCTTTGTGCTGTGTGTATTCAACTCATAGAGTTGAACTTTCCTTTAGAAGAGCAGATGTTAAACAACCTTTTTGTGGAATTTGCAGCTGGAGATTTCAAGCGCTTTGAGGCCTACGGTAGAAAAGGAAACATCTTCTTATAAAATCTAGACAGAATCATTCACAGAAACTTCTTTTTGATGTGTGTGTTCAGCTCACAGAGTTTAACCTTTCTTTTGATGGAGCAGTTTGGAAACACTCTGTTTGTAATGTCTGCAAGTGGATATTTGGACCTCTTTGAGGCCTTCGTTGGAAACGGGATTTCTTCAAGTAATGTTCGACAGAAGAATTCTCAGTAACTTATTTGTGGTGTGTGTATTCAACTCACAGAGTTGAACCTTCCTTTAGACAGAGCAGATTTGAAACACCCTATTTCTGCAGTTTCCAGTTGGAGATTTCAATCGCTTTGAGACC
The DNA here is from genome assembly GCF_000001405.40 of Homo sapiens. NCBI lineage: Eukaryota > Metazoa > Chordata > Mammalia > Primates > Hominidae > Homo > Homo sapiens. The sequence continues at coordinate 36,001,856 of NC_000012.12, forward strand.
AAATGTAGAAAAGGAAACATCTTCGTATAAAAACTAGACAGAATCATTCTCCGAAACTACTTTGTGATGTGTGCGTTCAACTCAAGGAGTTTAAGCTTTCTTTTCATAGAGTAGTTTGGAAACACTCTGTCTGTAAAGTCTGCAAGCAGATATTTGGACCTCTTTGGGGCCTTCGTTGGAAACGGGATTTCTTCATAGAACGCTAGAAAGAAGAATACTGAGTAAGTTCTTTGTGTTGCCTCTATTCAACTCACAGCAGGTGAACTGTCCTTTAGACAGAGCAGATGTGAAACCCTCTTTTTGTGATATTTGCAGGTGGAGATTTCAAGCGCTTTTAGGCCAAATGTAGAAAAGGAAATATCTTCGTATAAAAACTAGACAGAATCATTCTCAGAAACTACTTTGTGATGTGTGCGTTCAATTCACAGAGTATAACCTTTCTTTTGATGGAGGAGTTTGGAGACACTGTCTTTGTAAAGTCTGCAAGTGGATATTTGGACCTCTTTGAGGCCTTCGTTGGAAACGGGATTTCCTCATATAATGTTACACAGAAGAATTCTCAGTAACTTATTCGTGGTGTCTGTATTCAACTCACAGAGTTGAACCTTCCTTCAGAAAGAGCAGATTTGAAACACTCTTTTGGTGGAGTTTCCATGTGGAGATTTCAATCGCTTTGAGACCAAAGGTAGAAAAGGAAACATCTTCGTATAAAAACTAGACAGAATCATTCACAGAAACTACTTTGTGATGTGTGTGTTCAACTCAAGGAGTTTAACCTTTCTTTTGATGGAGCAGTTTGGAAACACTCTGTCGGTAAAGTCTGCAAGCAGATATTTGGACCTCTTTGAGGCCTTCGTTGAAAACGGGATTTCTTCATATAATGTTTGATAGGAGAAGTCTCAGTAACTTCTTTGTGCTGTGTGTATTCAACTCATAGAGTTGAACTTTCCTTTAGAAGAGCAGATGTTAAACACCCTTTTTGTGGAATTTGCAGCTGGAGATTTCAAGCGCTTTGAGGCCTACGGTAGAAAAGGAAACATCTTCTTATAAAATCTAGACAGAATCATTCACAGAAACTTCTTTTCGATGTGTGTGTTCAGCTCACAGAGTTTAACCTTTCTTTTGATGGAGCAGTTTGGAAACACTCTGTTTGTAATGTCTGCAAGTGGATATTTGGACCTCTTTGAGGCCTTCGTTGGAAACGGGATTTCTTCAAGTAATGGTCGACAGAAGAATTCTCAGTAACTTATTTGTGGTGTGTGTATTCAACTCACAGAGTTGAACCTTCCTTTAGACAGAGCAGATTTGAAACACCCTATTTGTGCTGTTTCCAGTTGGAGATTTCAATCGCTTTGAGACCAAATGTAGAAAAGGAAACATCTTCGTATAAAAACTAGACAGAATCATTCTCAGAAACTACTTTGTGATGTGTGCATTCAACTCAAGGAGTTTAAGCTTTCTTTTCATAGAGTAGTTTGGAAACACTCTGTCTGTAAAGTCTGCAAGCAGATATTTGGACCTCTTTGGGGCCTTTGTTGGAAACGGGATTTCTTCATAGAACGCTAGAAAGAAGAATACTGAGTAAGTTCTTTGTGTTGCCTCTATTCAACTCACAGAGGTGAACTGTCCTTTAGACAGAGCAGATGTGAAACCCTCTTTTTGTGATATTTGCACGTGGAGATTTCAAGCGCTTTTAGGCCAAATGTAGAAAAGGAAATATCTTCGTATAAAAACTAGACAGAATCATTCTCAGAAACTACTTTGTGATGTGTGCGTTCAATTCACAGAGTATAACCTTTCTTTTGATGGAGGAGTTTGGAGACACTGTCTTTGTAAAGTCTGCAAGTGGATATTTGGACCTCTTTGAGGCCTTCGTTGGAAACGGGATTTCCTCATATAATGTTACCCAGAAGAATTCTCAGTAACTTATTTGTGGTGTGTGTATTCAACTCACAGAGTTGAAACTTCCTTCAGAAAGAGCAGATTTGAAACACTCTTTTTGTGGAGTTTCCATGTGGAGATTTCAATCGCTTTGAGACCAAAGATAGAAAAGGAAACATCTTCGTATAAAAACTAGACAGAATCATTCACAGAAATTACTTTGTGATGTGTGTGTTCAACTCACAGAGTTTAACCTTTCTTTTGATGCAGCAGTTTGGAAACACTCTGTTTGTCACGTCTGCAAGTGGATATTTGGACCTCTTTGAGGCCTTCGTTAGAAACGGGATTTCTTCATATAATGTTTGATAGGAGAAGTCTCAGTAACTTCTTTGTGCTGTGTGTATTCAACTCATAGAGTTGAAATTTCCTTTAGAAGAGCAGATGTTAAACACCCTTTTTGTGGAATTTGCAGCTGGAGATTTCAAGCGCTTTGAGGCCTACGGTAGAAAAGGAAACATCTTCTTATAAAATCTAGACAGAATCATTCACAGAAACTTCTTTTTGATGTGTGTGTTCAGCTCACAGAGTTTAACCTTTCTTTTGATGGAGCAGTTTGGAAACACTCTGTGATGTCTGCAAGTGGATATTTGGACCTCTTTGAGGCCTTCGTTGGAAACGGGATTTCTTCATGTAATGTTCGACAGAAGAATTCTCAGTAACTTATTTGTGGTGTGTGTATTCAACTCACAGAGTTGACCCTTCCTTTAGACAGATCAGATTTGAAACTCCCTATTTGTGCAGTTTCCAGTTGGAGATTTCAATCGCTTTGAGACCAAATGTAGAAAAGGAAACATCTTCGTATAAAAACTAGACAGAATCATTCTCAGAAACTACTTTGTGATGTGTGCGTTCAACTCAAGGAGTTTAAGCTTTCTTTTCATAGAGTAGTTTGGAAACACTCTGTCTGTAAAGTCTGCAAGCAGATATTTGGACCTCTTTGAGGCCTTCGTTGGAAACGGGATTTCTTCATAGAACGCTAGAAAGAAGAATACTGAGTAAGTTCTTTGTGTTGCCTCTATTCAACTCACAAAGGTGAACTGTCCTTTAGACAGAGCAGATGTGAAACCCTCTTTTTGTGATATTTGCAGGTGGAGACTTCAAGCGCTTTTAGGCCAAATGTAGAAAAGGAAATATCTTCGTATAAAAACTAGACAGAATCATTCTCAGAAACTACTTTGTGATGTGTGCGTTCAATTCACAGAGTATAACCTTTCTTTTGATGGAGGAGTTTGGAGACACTGTCTTTGTAAAGTCTGCAAGTGGATATTTGGACCTCTTTGAGGCCTTCGTTGGAAACGGGATTTCCTCATATAATGTTACACAGAAGAATTCTCAGTAACTTATTTGTGGTGTGTGTATTCAACTCACAGAGTTGAACCTTCCTTCAGAAAGAGCAGATTTGAAACACTCTTTTTGTGGAGTTTCCATGTGGAGATTTCAATCGCTTTGAGACCAAAGGTAGAAAAGGAAACATCTTCGTATAAAAACTAGACAGAATCATTCACAGAAACTACTTTGTGATGTGTGTGTTCAACTCAAGGAGTTTAACCTTTCTTTTGATGGAGCAGTTTGGAAAAACTCTGTCTGTAAAGTCTGCAAGCGGATATTTGGACCTCTTTGAGGCCTTCGTTGGAAACGGGATTTCTTCATATAATGTTTGATAGGAGAAGTCTCAGTAACTTCTTTGTGCTGTGTGTATTCAACTCATAGAGTTGAACTTTCCTTTAGAAGTGCAGATGTTAAACACCCTTTTTGTGGAATTTGCAGCTGGAGATTTCAAGAACTTTGAGGCCTACGGTAGAAAAGGAAACATCTTCTTAGAAAATCTAGACAGAATCATTCACAGAAACTTCTTTTTGATGTGTGTGTTCAGCTCACAGAGTTTAACCTTTCTTTTGATGGAGCAGTTTGGAAACACACTATTTGTAATGTCTGCAAGTGGATATTTGGACCTCTTTGAGGCCTTCGTTGGAAACGGGATTTCTTCATGTAATGTTCGACAGAAGAATTCTCAGTAACTTCTTTGTGGTGTGTGTATTCAACTCACAGAGTTGAACCTTCCTTTAGACAGAGCAGATTTGAAACAGCCTATTTGTGCAGTTTCCAGTTGGAGATTTCAATCGCTTTGAGACCAAATGTAGAAAAGGAAACATCTTCGTATAAAAACTAGACAGAATCATTCTCCGAAACTACTTTGTGATGTGTGCGTTCAACTCAAGGAGTTTAAGCTTTCTTTTCATAGAGTAGTTTGGAAACACTCTGTCTGTAAAGTCTGCAAGCAGATATTTGGACCTCTTTGGGGCCTTCGTTGGAAACGGGATTTCTTCATAGAACGCTAGAAAGAAGAATACTGAGTAAGTTCTTGGTGTTGCCTCTATTCAACTCACAGAGGTGAACTGTCCTTTAGACACAGCAGATGTGAACCCCTCTTTTTTTGATATTTGCAGGTGGAGATTTCAACCGCTTTTAGGCCAAATGTAGAAAAGGAAATATCTTCGTATAAAAACTAGACAGAATCATTCTCAGAAACTACTTTGTGATGTGTGCATTCAATTCACAGAGTATAACCTTTCTTTTGATGGAGGAGTTTGGAGACACTGTCTTTGTAAAGTCTGCAAGTGGATATTTGGACCTCTTTGAGGCCTTCGTTGGAAACGGGATTTCCTCATATAATGTTACACAGAAGAATTCTCAGTAACTTATTTGTGGTGTGTGTATTCAACTCACAGGGTTGAACCTTCCTTCAGAAAGAGCAGATTTGAAACACTCTTTTTGTGGAGTTTCCATGTGGAGATTTCAATCGCTTTGAGACCAAAGGTAGAAAAGGAAAAATCTTCGTATAAAAACTAGACAGAATCATTCACAGAAACTACTTTGTGATGTGTGTGTTCAACTCAAGGAGTTTAACCTTTCTTTTGATGGAGCAGTTTGGAAAAACTCTGTCTGTAAAGTCTGCAAGCAGATATTTGGACCTCTTTGAGGCCTTCGTTGGAAACGGGATTTCTTCATATAATGTTTGATAGGAGAAGTCTCAGTAACTTCTTTGTGCTGTGTGTATTCAACTCATAGAGTTGAACTTTCCTTTAGAAGAGCAGATGTTAAACACCCTTTTTGTGGAATTTGCAGCTGGAGATTTCAAGCGCTTTGAGGCCTACGGTAGAAAAGGAAACATCTTCTTATAAAATCTAGACAGAATCATTCACAGAAACTTCTTTTCGATGTGTGTGTTCAGCTCACAGAGTTTAACCTTTCTTTTGATGGAGCAGTTTGGAAACACTCTGTTTGTAATGTCTGCAAGTGGATATTTGGACCTCTTTGAGGCCTTCGTTGGAAACGGGATTTCTTCAAGTAATGTTCGACAGAAGAATTCTCAGTAACTTATTTGTGGTGTGTGTATTCAACTCACAGAGTTGAACCTTCCTTTAGACAAAGCAGATTTGAAACACGCTATTTGTGCAGTTTCCAGTTGGAGATTTCAATCGCTTTGAGACCAAATGTAGAAAAGGAAACATCTTCGTATAAAAACTAGACAGAATCATTCTCAGAAACTACTTTGTGATGTGTGCGTTCAACTCTAGGAGTTTAAGCTTTCTTTTCATAGAGTACTTTGGAAACACTCTGTCTGTGAAGTCTGCAAGCAGATATTTGGACCTCTTTGAGGCCTTCGTTGGAAACGGGATTTCTTCATAGAGCGCTAGAAAGAAGAATACTGAGTAAGTTCTTTGTGTTGCCTCTATTCAACTCACAGAGGTGAACTGTCCTTTAGACAGAGCAGATGTGAAACCCTCTTTTTGTGATATTTGCAGGTGGAGATTTCAAGCACTTTTAGGCCAAATGTAGAAAAGGAAATATCTTCGTATAAAAACTAGACAGAATCATTCTCAGAAACTACTTTGTGATGTGTGCCGTTCAATTCACAGAGTATAACCTTTCTTTTGATGGAGGAGTTTGGAGACACTGTCTTTGTAAAGTCTGCAAGTGGATATTTGGATCTCTTTGAGGCCTTCGTTGGAAACGGGATTTCCTCATATAATGTTACACAGAAGAATTCTCACTAACTTATTTGTGCTGTGTGTATTCAACTCACAGAGATGAACCTTCCTTCAGAAAGAGCAGATTTGAAACACTCTTTTTGTGGAGTTTCCATGTGGAGATTTCAATCGCTTTGAGACCAAAGGTAGAAAAGGAAACATCTTCGTATAGCAACTAGACAGAATCATTCACAGAAACTACTTTGTGATGTGTGTGTTCAACTCAAGGAGTTTAACCTTTCTTTTGATGGAGCAGTTTGGAAACACTCTGTCTGTAAAGTCTGCAAGCAGATATTTGGACCTCTTTGAGGCCTTCGTTGGAAACGGGATTTCTTCATATAATGTTTGATAGGAGAAGTCTCAGTAACTTCTTTGTGCTGTGTGTATTCAACTCATAGAGTTGAACTTTCCTTTAGAAGAGCAGATGTTAAACACCCTTTTTGTGGAATTTGCAGCTGGAGATTTCAAGCGCTTTGAGGCCTACGGTAGAAAAGGAAACATCTTCTTATAAAATCTAGACAGAATCATTCACAGAAACTTCTTTTTGATGTGTGTGTTCAGCTCACAGAGTTTAACCTTTCTTTTGATGGAGCAGTTTGGAAACACTCTCTTTGTAATGTCTGCAAGTGGATATTTGGACGTCTTTGAGGCCTTCGTTGGAAACGGGATTTCTTCATGTAATGTTCGACAGAAGAATTCTCAGTAACTTATTTGTGGTGTGTGTATTCAACTCACAGAGTTGAACCTTCCTTTAGACAGAGCAGATTTGAAACACCCTATTTGTGCAGTTTCCAGTTGGAGATTTCAATCGCTTTGAGACCAAATGTAGAAAAGGAAACATCTTCGTATAAAAACTAGACAGAATCATTCTCAGAAACTACTTTGTGATGTGTGCGTTCAACTCAAGGAGTTTAAGCTTTCTTTTCGTAGAGTAGTTTGGAAACACTCTGTCTGTAAAGTCTGCAAGCAGATATTTGGACCTATTTGAGGCCTTCGTTGGAAAAGGGATTTCTTCATAGAACGCTGGAAAGAAGAATACTGAGTAAGTTCTTTGTGTTGCCTCTATTCAACTCACAGAGGTGAACTGTCCTTTAGACAGAGCAGATGTGAAACCCTCTTTTTGTGATATTTGCAGGTGGAGATTTCAAGCGCTTTTAGGCCAAATGTAGAAAAGGAAATATCTTCGTATAAAAACTAGACAGAATCATTCTCAGAAACTACTTTGTGATGTGTGCGTTCAATTCACAGAGTATAACCTTTCTTTTGATGGAGGAGTTTGGAGACACTGTCTTTGTAAAGTCTGCAAGTGGATATTTGGACCTCTTTGAGGCCTTCGTTGGAAACGGGATTTCCTCATATAATGTTACCCAGAAGAATTCTCAGTAACTTATTTGTGGTGTGTGTATTCAACTCACAGATTTGAACCTTCCTTCAGAAAGAGCAGATTTGAAACACTCTTTTTGTGGAGTTTCCATGTGGAGATTTCAATCACTTTGAGACCAAAGGTAGAAAAGGAAACATCTTCGTATAAAAACTAGACAGAATCATTCACAGAAACTACTTTGTGATGTGTGTGTTCAACTCAAGGAGTTTAACCTTTCTTTTGATGGAGCAGTTTGGAAACACTCTGTCTGTAAAGTCTGCAAGCAGATATTTGGACCTCTTTGAGGCCTTCGTTGGAAACGGGATTTCTTCATATAATGTTTGATAGGAGAAGTCTCAGTAACTTCTTTGTGCTGTGTGTATTCAACTCATAGAGTTGAACTTTCCTTTAGAAGAGCAGATGTTAAACACCCTTTTTGTGGAATTTGCAGCTGGAGATTTCAAGCGCTTTGAGGCCTACGGTAGAAAAGGAAACATCTTCTTATAAAATCTAGACAGAATCATTCACAGAAACTTCTTTTCAATGTGTGTGTTCAGCTCACAGAGTTTAACCTTTCTTTTGATGGAGCAGTTTGGAAACACTCTGTTTGTAATGTCTGCAAGTGGATATTTGGACCTCTTTGAGGCCTTCGTTGGAAACGGGATTTCTTCAAGTAATGGTCGACAGAAGAATTCTCAGTAACTTATTTGTGGTGTGTGTATTCAACTCACAGAGTTGAACCTTCCTTTAGACAGAGCAGATTTGAAACAGCCTATTTGTGCAGTTTCCAGTTGGAGATTTCAATCGCTTTGAGACCAAATGTAGAAAAGGAAACATCTTCGTATAAAAACTAGACAGAATCATTCTCAGAAACTACTTTGTGATGTGTGCGTTCAACTCAAGGAGTTTAAGCTTTCTTTTCATAGAGTAGTTTGGAAACACTCTGTCTGTAAAGTCTGCAAGCAGATATTTGGAACTCTTTGAGGCCTTCGTTGGAAACGGGATTTCTTCAGAGAACGCTAGAAAGAAGAATACTGAGTAAGTTCTTTGTGTTGCCTCTATTCAACTCACAGAGGTGAACTGTCCTTTAGACAGAGCAGATGTGAAACCCTCTTTTTGTGATATTTGCAGGTGGAGATTTCAAGCGCTTTTAGGCCAAATGTAGAAAAGGAAATATCTTCGTATAAAAACTAGACAGAATCATTCTCAGAAACTACTTTGTGATGTGTGCGTTCAATTCACAGAGTATAACCTTTCTTTTGATGGAGGAGTTTGGAGACACTGTCTTTGTAAAGTCTGCAAGTGGATATTTGGACCTCTTTGAGGCCTTCGTTGGAAACGGGATTTCCTCATATAATGTTACACAGAAGAATTCTCAGTAACTTATTTGTGGTGTGTGTATACAACTCACAGAGTTGAACCTTCCTTTAGACAGAGCAGATTTGAAACACTCTTTTTGTGGAGTTTCCATGTGGAGATTTCAATCGCTTTGAGACCAAAGGTAGAAAAGGAAACATCTTCGTATAAAAACTAGACAGAATCATTCTCAGAAACTACTTTGTGATGTCTGTGTTCAACTCAAGGAGGTTAACCTTTCTTTTGATGGAGCAGTTTGGAAAAACTCTGTCTGTAAAATCTGCAAGCAGAGATTTGGACGTCTTTGAGGCCTTTGTTGGAAACGGGATTTCTTCACATAATGCTTGATAGGAGAAGTCTCAGTAACTTCTTTGTGCTGTGTGTATTCAACTCATAGAGTTGAACTTTCCTTTAGAAGAGCAGATGTTAAACACCCTTTTTGTGGAATTTGCAGCTGGAGATTTCAAGCGCTTTGAGGCCTACGGTAGAAAAGGAAACATCTTCTTATAAAATCTAGACAGAATCATTCACAGAAACTTCTTTTTGATGTGTGTGTTCAGCTCACAGAGTTTAACCTTTCTTTTGATGGAGCAGTTTGGAAACACTCTGTTTGTAATGTCTGCAAGTGGATATTTGGACCTCTTTGAGGCCTTCGTTGGAAACGGGATTTCTTCCTGTAATATTCGACAGAAGAATTCTCAGTAACTTATTTGTGGTGTGTGTATTCAACTCACAGAGTTGAACCTTCCTTTAGACAGAGCAGATTTGAAACACCCTATTTGTGCAGTTTCCAGTTGGAGATTTCAATCGCTTTGAGACCAAATGTAGAAAAGGAAACATCTTCGTATAAAAACTAGACAGAATCATTCTCAGAAACTACTTTGTGATGTGTGCGTTCAATTCACAGAGTATAACCTTTCTTTTGATGGAGGAGTTTGGAGACACTGTCTTTGTAAAGTCTGTAAGTGGATATTTGGACCTCTTTGAGGACTTCGTTGGAAACGGGATTTCCTCATATAATGTTACACAGAAGAGTTCTCAGTAACTTATTTGTGGTGTGTGTATTCAACTCACAGAGTTGAACCTTCCTTCAGAAAGAGCAGATTTGAAACACTCTTTTTGTGAAGTTTCCATGTGGAGATTTCAATCGCTTTGAGACCAAAGGTAGAAAAGGAAACATCTTCGTATAAAAACTAGACAGAATCATTCACAGAAACTACTTTGTGATGTGTGTGTTCAACTCAAGGAGTTTAACCTTTCTTTTGATGGAGCAGTTTGGAAACACTCTGTCTGTAAAGTCTGCAAGCAGATATTTGGACCTCTTTGAGGCCTTCGTTGGAAACGGGATTTCTTCATATAATGTTTGATAGGAGAAGTCTCATTAACTTCTTTGTGCTGTGTGTATTCAACTCATTGAGTTGAACTTTCCTTTAGAAGACCAGATGTTAAACACCCTTTTTGTGGAATTTGCAGCTGGAGATTTCAAGCGCTTTGAGGCCTACGGTAGAACAGGAAACATCTTCTTATAAAATCTAGACAGAATCATTCACAGAAACTTCTTTTTGATGTGTGTGTTCAGCTCACAGAGTTTAACCTTTCTTTTGATGGAGCAGTTTGGAAACACACTATTTGTAATGTCTGCAAGTGGATATTTGGACCTCTTTGAGGCCTTCGTTGGAAACGGAATTTCTTCAAGGAATGTTTGACAGAAGAATTCTCAGTAACTTATTTGTGGTGTGTGTATTCAACTCAAAGAGTTGAACCTTCCTTTAGACAGAGCAGATTTGAAACACCCTATTTGTGCAGTTTCCAGTTGGAGATTTCAATCGCTTTGAGACCAAATGTAGAAAAGGAAACATCTTCGTATAAAAACTAGACAGAATCATTCTCAGAAACTACTTTGTGATGTGTGCGTTCAACTCAAGAAGTTTAAGCTTTCTTTTCATAGAGTAGTTTGGAAACACTCTGTCTGTAAAGTCTGCAAGCAGATATTTGGACCTCACTGGGGCCTTCGTTGGAAACGTGCTTTCTTCATAGAACGCTGGAAAGAAGAATACTGAGTAAGTTCTTTGTGTTGCCTCTACTCAACTCACAGAGGTGAACTGTCCTTTAGACAGAGCAGATGTGAAACCCTCTTTTTGTGATATTTGCAGGTGGAGATTTCAAGCGCTTTTAGGCCAAATGTAGAAAAGGAAATATCTTCGTATAAAAACTAGACAGAATCATTCTCAGAAACTACTTTGTGATGTGTGCGTTCAATTCACAGAGTATAACCTTTCTTTTGATGGAGGAGTTTGGAGACACTGTCTTTGTAAAGTCTGCAAGTGGATATTTGGACCTCTTTGAGGCCTTCGTTGGAAACGGGATTTCCTCATATAATGTTACACAGAAGAATTCTCAGTAACTTATTTGTGGTGTGTGTATTCAACTCACAGAGTTGAACCTTCCTTCAGAAAGAGCAGATTTGAAACACTCTTTTTGTGGAGTTTCCATGTGGAGATTTCAATCGCATTGAGACCAAAGGTAGAAAAGGAAACATCTTCGTATAAAAACTAGAAAGAATCATTCACAGAAACTACTTTGTGATGTGTGTGTTCAACTCAAGGAGTTTAACCTTTCTTTCGATGGAGCAGTTTGGAAAAACTCTGTCTGTAAAGTCTGCAAGCAGATATTTGGACCTCTTTGAGGCCTTCGTTGGAAACGGGATTTCTTCATATAATGTTTGATAGAAGAAGTCTCAGTAACTTCTTTGTGCTGTGTGTATTCAACTCATAGAGTTGAACTTTCCTTTAGAAGAGCAGATGTTAAACACCCTTTTTGTGGAATTTGCAGCTGGAGATTTCAAGCGCTTTGAGGCCTACGGTAGAAAAGGAAACATCTTCTTATAAAATCTAGACAGAATCATTCACAGAAACTTCTTTTCGATGTGTGTGTTCAGCTCACAGAGTTTAACCTTTCTTTTGATGGAGCAGTTTGGAAACACTCTGTTTGTAATGTCTGCAAGTGGATATTTGGACCTCTTTGAGGCCTTCGTTGGAAACGGGATTTCTTCAAGTAATGGTCGACAGAAGAATTCTCAGTAACTTATTTGTGGTGTGTGTATTCAACTCACAGAGTTGAACCTTCCTTTAGACAGAGCAGATTTGAAACACCCTATTTGTGCAGTTTCCAGTTGGAGATTTCAATCGCTTTGAGACCAAATGTAGAAAAGGAAACATCTTCGTATAAAAACTAGACAGAATCATTCTCAGAAACTACTTTGTGATGTGTGCGTTCAACTCAAGGAGTTTAAGCTTTCTTTTCATAGAGTAGTTTGGAAACACTCTGTCTGTAAAGTCTGCAAGCAGATATTTGGACCTCTTTGGGGCCTTCGTTGGAAACGGGATTTCTTCATAGAAAGCTAGAAAGAAGAATACTGAGTAAGTTCTTTGTGTTGCCTCTATTCAACTCACAGAGGTGAACTGTCCTTTAGACAGAGCAGATGTGAAACCCTCTTTTTGTGATATTTGCAGGTGGAGATTTCAAGCACTTTTAGGCCAAATGTAGAAAAGGAAATATCTTCGTATAAAAACTAGACAGAATCATTCTCAGAAACTACTTTGTGATGTGTGCGTTCAACTCAAGGAGTTTAAGCTTTCTTTTCATAGAGTAGTTTGGAAACACTCTGTCTGTAAAGTCTGCAAGCAGATATTTGACCTCTTTGAGGCCTTCGTTGGAAACGGGATTTCTTCATAGAACGCTAGAAAGAAGAATACTGAGTAAGTTCTTTGTGTTGCCTCTATTCAACTCACAGAGGTGAACTGTCCTTTAGACAGAGCAGATGTGAAACCCTCTTTTTGTGATATTTGCAGGTGGAGATTTCAAGCGCTTTTCGGCCAAATGTAGAAAAGGAAATATCTTCGTATAAAAACTAGACAGAATCATTCTCAGAAACTACTTTGTGATGTGTGCGTTCAATTCACAGAGTATAACCTTTCTTTTGATGGAGGAGTTTGGAGACACTGTCTTTGTAAAGTCTGCAAGTGGATATTTGGACCTCTTTGAGGCCTTCGTTGGAAACGGGATTTCCTCATATAATGTTACCCAGAAGAATTCTCAGTAACTTATTTGTGGTGTGTGTATTCAACTCACAGAGTTGAACCTTCCTTCAGAAAGAGCAGATATGAAACACTCTTTTTGTGGAGTTTCCATGTGGAGATTTCAATCGCTTTGAGACCAAAGGTAGAAAAGGAAACATCTTCGTATAAAAACTAGACAGAATCATTCACAGAAACTACTTTGTGATGTGTGTGTTCAACTCAAGGAGTTTAACCTTTCTTTTGATGGAGCAGTTTGGAAACACTCTGTCTGTAAAGTCTGCAAGCAGATATTTGGACCTCTTTGAGGCCTTCGTTGGAAACGGGATTTCTTCATATAATGTTTGATAGGAGAAGTCTCAGTAACTTCTTTGTGCTGTGTGTATTCAACTCATAGAGTTGAACTTTCCTTTAGAAGAGCAGATGTTAAACACCCTTTTTGTGGAATTTGCAGCTGGAGATTTCAAGCGCTTTGAGGCCTACGGTAGAAAAGGAAACATCTTCTTATAAAATCTAGACAGAATCATTCACAGAAACTTCTTTTCGATGTGTGTGTTCAGCTCACAGAGTTTAACCTTTCTTTTGATGGAGCAGTTTGGAAACACTCTGTTTGTAATGTCTGCAAGTGGATATTTGGACCTCTTTGAGGCCTTCGTTGGAAACGGGATTTCTTCAAGTAATGTTCGACAGAAGAATTCTCAGTAACTTATTTGTGGTGTGTGTATTCAACTCACAGAGTTGAACCTTCCTTTAGACAGAGCAGATTTGAAACACCCTATTTGTGCAGTTTCCAGTTGGAGATTTCAATCGCTTTGAGACCAAATGTAGAAAAGGAAACATCTTCGTATAAAAACTAGACAGAATCATTCTCAGAAACTACTTTGTGATGTGTGCGTTCAACTCAAGGAGTTTAAGCTTTCTTTTCATAGAGTAGTTTGGAAACACTCTGTCTGTAAAGTCTGCAAGCAGATATTTGGACCTCTTTGGGGCCTTCGTTGGAAACGGGATTTCTTCATAGAACGCTAGAAAGAAGAATACTGAGTAAGTTCTTTGTGTTGCCTCTACTCAACTCACAGAGGTGAACTGTCCTTTAGACAGAGCAGATGTGAAACCCTCTTTTTGTGATATTTGCAGGTGGAGATTTCAAGCGCTTTTAGGCCAAATGTAGAAAAGGAAATATCTTCGTATAAAAACTAGACAGAATCATTCTCAGAAACTACTTTGTGATGTGTGCGTTCAATTCACAGAGTATAACCTTTCTTTTGATGGAGGAGTTTGGAGACACTGTCTTTGTAAAGTCTGCAAGTGGATATTTGGACCTCTTTGAGGCCTTCGTTGGAAACGGGATTTCCTCGTATAATGTTACAGAGAAGAATTCTCAGTAACTTATTTGTGGTGTGTGTATTCAACTCACAGATTTGAACCTTCCTTCAGAAAGAGCAGATTTGAAACACTCTTTTTGTGGAGTTTCCATGTGGAGATTTCAATCACTTTGAGACCAAAGGTAGAAAAGGAAACATCTTCGTATAAAAACTAGACAGAATCATTCACAGAAACTACTTTGTGATGTGTGTGTTCAACTCAAGGAGTTTAACCTTTCTTTTGATGGAGCAGTTTGGAAAAACTCTGTCTGTAAAGTCTGCAAGCAGATATTTGGACCTCTTTGGGGCCTTCGTTGGAAACGGGATTTCTTCATAGAATGCTAGAAAGAAGAATACTGAGTAAGTTCTTTGTGTTGCCTCTATTCAACTCACAGAGGTGAACTGTCCTTTAGACAGAGCAGATGTGAAACCCTCTTTTTGTGATATTTGCAGGTGGAGATTTCAAGCGCTTTTAGGCCAAATGTAGAAAAGGAAATATCTTCGTATAAAAACTAGACAGAATCATTCTCAGAAACTACTTTGTGATGTGTGCGTTCAATTCACAGAGTATAACCTTTCTTTTGATGGAGGAGTTTGGAGACACTGTCTTTGTAAAGTCTGCAAGTGGATATTTGGACCTCTTTGAGGCCTTCGTTGGAAACGGGATTTCCTCATATAATGTTACACAGAAGAATTCTCAGTAACTTATTTGTGGTGTGTGTATTCAACTCACAGAGTTGAACCTTCCTTCAGAAAGAGCAGATTTGAAACACTCTTTTTGTGGAGTTTCCATGTGGAGATTTCAATCGCATTGAGACCAAAGGTAGAAAAGGAAACATCTTCGTATAAAAACTAGACAGAATCATTCACAGAAACTACTTTGTGATGTGTGTGTTCAACTCAAGGAGTTTAACCTTTCTTTTGATGGAGCAGTTTGGAAGCGCTCTGTCTGTAAAGTCTGCAAGCAGATATTTGGACCTCTTTGAGGCCTTCGTTGGAAACGGGATTTCTTCATATAATGTTTGATAGGAGAAGTCTCAGTAACTTCTTTGTGCTGTGTGTATTCAACTCATAGAGTTGAACTTTCCTTTAGAAGAGCAGATGTTAAACACCCTTTTTGTGGAATTTGCAGCTGGAGATTTCAAGCGCTTTGAGGCCTACGGTAGAAAAGGAAACATCTTCTTATAAAATCTAGACAGAATCATTCACAGAAACTTCTTTTTGATGTGTGTGTTCAGCTCACAGAGTTTAACCTTTCTTTTGATGGAGCAGTTGGGAAACCCACTGTTTGTAATGTCTGCAAGTGGATATTTGGACCTCTTTGAGGCCTTCGTTGGAAACGGGATTTCTTCCTGTAATGTTCGACAGAAGAATTCTCAGTAACTTATTTGTGGTGTGTGTATTCAACTCACAGAGTTGAACCTTCCTTTAGACAGAGCAGATTTGAAACACCCTATTTGTGCAGTTTCCAGTTGGAGATTTCAATCGCTTTGAGACCAAATGTAGAAAAGGAAACATCTTCGTATAAAAACTAGACAGAATCATTCTCAGAAACTACCTTGTGATGTGTGCGTTCAACTCAAGGAGTTTAAGCTTTCTTTTCATAGAGTAGTTTGGAAACACTCTGTCTGTAAAGTCTGCAAGCAGATATTTGGACCTCTTTGAGGCCTTCGTTGGAAACGGGATTTCTTCAGAGAACGCTGGAAAGAAGAATACTGGGTAAGTTCTTTGTGTTGCCTCTATTCAACTCACAGAGGTGAACTGTCCTTTAGACAGAGCAGATGTGAAACCCTCTTTTTGTGATATTTGCAGGTGGAGATTTCAAGCGCTTTTAGGCCAAATGTAGAAAAGGAAATATCTTCGTATAAAAACTAGACAGAATCATTCTCAGAAACTACTTTGTGATGTGTGCGTTCAATTCACAGAGTATAACCTTTCTTTTGATGGAGGAGTTTGGAGACACTGTCTTTGTAAAGTCTGCAAGTGGATATTTGGACCTCTTTGAGGCCTTCGTTGGAAACGGGATTTCCTCATATAATGTTACACAGAAGAATTCTCAGTAACTTATTTGTGGTGTCTGTATTCAACTCACAGAGTTGAACCTTCCTTCAGAAAGAGCAGATTTGAAACACTCTTTTGGTGGAGTTTCCATGTGGAGATTTCAATCGCTTTGAGACCAAAGGTAGAAAAGGAAACATCTTCGTATAAAAACTAGACAGAATCATTCACAGAAACTACTTTGTGATGTGTGTGTTCAACTCAAGGAGTTTAACCTTTCTTTTGATGGAGCAGTTTGGAAACACTCTGTCTGTAAAGTCTGCAAGTAGATATTTGGACCTCTTTGAGGCCTTCGTTGGAAACGGGATTTCTTCATATAATGTTTGATAGGAGAAGTCTCAGTAACTTCTTTGTGCTGTGTGTATTCAACTCATAGAGTTGAACTTTCCTTTAGAAGAGCAGATGTTAAACACCCTTTTTGTGGAATTTGCAGCTGGAGATTTCAAGCGCTTTGAGGCCTACGGTAGAAAAGGAAACATCTTCTTATAAAATCTAGACAGAATCATTCACAGAAACTTCTTTTTGATGTGTGTGTTCAGCTCACAGAATTTAACCTTTCTTTTGATGGAGCAGTTTGGAAACACACTGTTTGTAATGTCTGCAAGTGGATATTTGGACCTCTTTGAGGCCTTCGTTGGAAACGGGATTTCTTCCTGTAATGTTCGACAGAAGAATTCTCAGTAACTTATTTGTGGTGTGTGTATTCAACTCAAAGAGTTGAACCTTCCTTTAGACAGAGCAGATTTGAAACACCCTATTTGTGCAGTTTCCAGTTGGAGATTTCAATCGCTTTGAGACCAAATGTAGAAAAGGAAACATCTTCGTATAAAAACTAGACAGAATCATTCTCAGAAACTACTTTGTGATGTGTGCGTTCAACTCAAGGAGTTTAAGCTTTCTTTTCATAGAGTAGTTTGGAAACACTCTGTCTGTAAAGTCTGCAATCAGATATTTGACCTCTTTGAGGCCTTCGTTGGAAACGGGATTTCTTCATAGAACGCTAGAAAGAAGAATACTGAGTAAGTTCTTTGTGTTGCCTCTATTCAACTCACAGAGGTGAACTGTCCTTTAGACAGAGCAGATGTGAAACCCTCTTTTTGTGATATTTGCAGGTGGAGATTTCAAGCGCTTTTAGGCCAAATGTAGAAAAGGATATATCTTCGTATAAAAACTAGACAGAATCATTCTCAGAAACTACTTTGTGATGTGTGCGTTCAATTCACAGAGTATAACCTTTCTTTTGATGGAGGAGTTTGGAGACACTGTCTTTGTAAAGTCTGCAAGTGGATATTTGGACCTCTTTGAGGCCTTCGTTGGAAACGGGATTTCCTCATATAATGTTACACAGAAGAATTCTCAGTAACTTATTTGTGGTGTGTGTATTCAACTCACAGAGTTGAACCTTCCTTCAGAAAGAGCAGATTTGAAACACTCTTTTTGTGGAGTTTCCATGTGGAGATTTCAATCGCTTTGAGACCAAAGGTAGAAAAGGAAACATCTTCGTATAAAAACTAGACAGAAACATTCACAGAAACTACTTTGTGATGTGTGTGTTCAACTCAAGGAGTTTAACCTTTCTTTTGATGGAGCAGTTTGGAAACACTCTGTCTGTAAAGTCTGCAAGCAGATATTTGGACCTCTTTGAGGCCTTCGTTGGAAACGGGATTTCTTCATATAATGTTTGATAGGAGAAGTCTCAGTAACTTCTTTGTGCTGTGTGTATTCAACTCATAGAGTTGAACTTTCCTTTAGAAGAGCAGATGTTAAACACCCTTTTTGTGGAATTTGCAGCTGGAGATTTCAAGCGCTTTGAGGCCTACGGTAGAAAAGGAAACATCTTCTTATAAAATCTAGACAGAATCATTCACAGAAACTTCTTTTTGATGTGTGTGTTCAGCTCACAGAGTTTAACCTTTCTTTTGATGGAGCAGTTTGGAAACACACTGTTTGTAATCTCTGCAAGTGGATATTTGGACCTCTTTGAGGCCTTCGTTGGAAACGGGATTTCTTCATGTAATGTTCGACAGAAGAATTCTCAGTAACTTATTTGTGGTGTGTGTATTGAACTCACAGAGTTGAACCTTCCTTTAGACAGAGCAGATTTGAAACACCCTATTTGTGCAGTTTCCAGTTGGAGATTTCAATCGCTTTGAGACAAATGTAGAAAAGGAAACATCTTCGTATAAAAACTAGACAGAATCATTCTCAGAAACTACTTTGTGATGTGTGCGTTCAACTCAAGGAGTTTAAGCTTTCTTTTCATAGAGTAGTTTGGAAACACTCTGTCTGTAAAGTCTGCAAGCAGATATTTGGACCTCTTTGAGGCCTTCGTTGGAAACGGGATTTCTTCATAGAACGCTAGAAAGAAGAATACTGAGTAAGTTCTTTGTGTTGCCTCTATTCAACTCACAGAGGTGAACTGTCCTTTAGACAGAGCAGATGTGAAACCCTCTTTTTGTGATATTTGCAGGTGGAGATTTCAAGCGCTTTTAGGCCAAATGTAGAAAAGGAAATATCTTCGTATAAAAACTAGACAGAATCATTCTCAGAAACTAATTTGTGATGAGTGCGTTCAATTCACAGAGTATAACCTTTCTTTTGATGGAGGAGTTTGGAGACACTGTCTTTGTAAAGTCTGCAAGTGGATATTTGGACCTCTTTGAGGCCTTCGTTGGAAACGGGATTTCCTCATATAATGTTACACAGAAGAATTCTCAGTAACTTATTTGTGGTGTGTGTATTCAACTCACAGAGTTGAACCTTCCTTCAGAAAGAGCAGATTTGAAACACTCTTTTTGTGGAGTTTCCATGTGGAGATTTCAATCGCATTGAGACCAAAGGTAGAAAAGGAAACATCTTCGTATAAAAACTAGACAGAATCATTCACAGAAACTACTTTGTGATGTGTATGTTCAACTCAAGGAGTTTAACCTTTCTTTTGATGGAGCAGTTTGGAAACACTCTGTCTGTAAAGTCTGCAAGCAGATATTTGGACCTCTTTGAGGCCTTCGTTGGAAACGGGATTTCTTCATATAATGTTTGATAGGAGAAGTCTCAGTAACTTCTTTGTGCTGTGTGTATTCAACTCATAGAGTTGAACTTTCCTTTAGAAGAGCAGATGTTAAACACCCTTTTTGTGGAATTTGCAGCTGGAGATTTCAAGCGCTTTGAGGCCTACGGTAGAAAAGGAAACATCTTCTTATAAAATCTAGACAGAATCATTCACAGAAACTTCTTTTCGATGTGTGTGTTCAGCTCACAGAGTTTAACCTTTCTTTTGATGGAGCAGTTTGGAAACACTCTGTTTGTAATGTCTGCAAGTGGATATTTGGACCTCTTTGAGGCCTTCGTTGGAAACGGGATTTCTTCAAGTAATGGTCGACAGAAGAATTCTCAGTAACTTATTTGTGGTGTGTGTATTCAACTCACAGAGTTGAACCTTCCTTTAGACAGAGCAGATTTGAAACACCCTATTTGTGCAGTTTCCAGTTGGAGATTTCAATCGCTTTGAGACCAAATGTAGAAAAGGAAACATCTTCGTATAAAAACTAGACAGAATCATTCTCAGAAACTACTTTGTGATGTGTGCGTTCAACTCAAGGAGTTTAAGCTTTCTTTTCATAGAGTAGTTTGGAAACACTCTGTCTGTAAAGTCTGCAAGCAGATATTTGGACCTCTTTGAGGCCTTCGTTGGAAACGGGATTTCTTCATAGAACGCTAGAAAGAAGAATACTGAGTAAGTTCTTTGTGTTGCCTCTATTCAACTCACAGAGGTGAACTGTCCTTTAGACAGAGCAGATGTGAAACCCTCTTTTTGTGGTATTTGCAGGTGGAGATTTCAAGCGCTTTTAGGCCAAATGTAGAAAAGGAAATATCTTCGTATAAAAACTAGACAGAATCATTCTCAGAAACTACTTTGTGATGTGTGCGTTCAATTCACAGAGTATAACCTTTCTTTTGATGGAGGAGTTTGGAGACACTGTCTTTGTAAAGTCTGCAAGCAGATATTTGGACCTCTTTGAGGCCTTCGTTGGAAACGGGATTTCTTCATATAATGTTTGATAGGAGAAGTCTCAGTAACTTCTTTGTGCTGTGTGTATTCAACTCATAGAGTTGAACTTTCCTTTAGAAGAGCAGATGTTAAACACCCTTTTTGTGGAATTTGCAGCTGGAGATTTCAAGCGCTTTGAGGCCTACGGTAGAAAAGGAAACATCTTCTTATAAAATCTAGACAGAATCATTCACAGAAACTTCTTTTTGATGTGTGGGTTCAGCTCACAGAGTTTAACCTTTCTTTTGATGGAGCAGTTTGGAAACACACTGTT
This sequence comes from Homo sapiens, assembly GCF_000001405.40. Classification (NCBI taxonomy): domain Eukaryota; kingdom Metazoa; phylum Chordata; class Mammalia; order Primates; family Hominidae; genus Homo; species Homo sapiens. The sequence goes on from NC_000012.12 coordinate 36,022,367, forward strand.
TGTAATCTCTGCAAGTGGATATTTGGACCTCTTTGAGGCCTTCGTTGGAAACGGGATTTCTTCATGTAATGTTCGACAGAAGAATTCTCAGTAACTTATTTGTGGTGTGTGTATTGAACTCACAGAGTTGAACCTCCCTTCAGACAGAGCAGATTTGAAACACCCTATTTGTGCAGTTTCCAGTTGGAGATTTCAATCGCTTTGAGACAAATGTAGAAAAGGAAACATCTTCGTATAAAAACTAGACAGAATCATTCTCAGAAACTACTTTGTGATGTGTGCGTTCAACTCAAGGAGTTTAAGCTTTCTTTTCATAGAGTAGTTTGGAAACACTCTGTCTGTAAAGTCTGCAAGCAGATATTTGGACCTCTTTGAGGCCTTCGTTGGAAACGGGATTTCTTCATAGAACGCTAGAAAGAAGAATACTGAGTACGTTCTTTGTGTTGCCTCTATTCAACTCACAGAGGTGAACTGTCCTTTAGACAGAGCAGATGTGAAACCCTCTTTTTGTGATATTTGCAGGTGGAGATTTCAAGCGCTTTTAGGCCAAATGTAGAAAAGGAAATATCTTCGTATAAAAACTAGACAGAATCATTCTCAGAAACTACTTTGTGATGTGTGCGTTCAATTCACAGAGTATAACCTTTCTTTTGATGGAGGAGTTTGGAGACACTGTCTTTGTAAAGTCTGCAAGTGGATATTTGGACCTCTTTGAGGCCTTCGTTGGAAACGGGATTTCCTCATATAATGTTACACAGAAGAATTCTCAGTAACTTATTTGTGGTGTGTGTATTCAACTCACAGAGTTGAACCTTCCTTCAGAAAGAGCAGATTTGAAACACTCTTTTTGTGGAGTTTCCATGTGGAGATTTCAATCGCTTTGAGACCAAAGGTAGAAAAGGAAACATCTTCGTATAAAAACTGGACAGAATCATTCACAGAAACTACTTTGTGATGTGTGTGTTCAACTCAAGGAGTTTAACCTTTCTTTTGATGGAGCAGTTTGGAAACACTCTGTCTGTAAAGTCTGCAAGCAGATATTTGGACCTCTTTGAGGCCTTCGTTGGAAACGGGATTTCTTCATATAATGTTTGATAGGAGAAGTCTCAGTAACTTCTTTGTGCTGTGTGTATTCAACTCATAGAGTTGAACTTTCCTTTAGAAGAGCAGATGTTAAACACCCTTTTTGTGGAATTTGCAGCTGGAGATTTCAAGCGCTTTGAGGCCTACGGTAGAAAAGGAAACATCTTCTTATAAAATCTAGACAGAATCATTCACAGAAACTTCTTTTTGATGTGTGTGTTCAGCTCACAGAGTTTAACCTTTCTTTTGATGGAGCAGTTGGGAAACACACTGTTTGTAATGTCTGCAAGTGGATATTTGGACCTCTTTGAGGCCTTCGTTGGAAACGGGATTTCTTCCCGTAATGTTCGACAGAAGAATTCTCAGTAACTTATTTGTGGTGTGTGTATTCAACTCACAGAGTTGAACCTTCCTTTAGACAGAGCAGATTTGAAACACCCTATTTGTGCAGTTTCCAGTTGGAGATTTCAATCGCTTTGAGACCAAATGTAGAAAAGGAAACATCTTCGTATAAAAACTAGACAGAATCATTCTCAGTAACTACTTTGTGATGTGTGCGTTCAACTCAAGGAGTTTAAGCTTTCTTTTCATAGAGTAGTTTGGAAACACTCTGTCTGTAAAGTCTGCAAGCAGATATTTGGACCTCATTGGGGTCTTCGTTGGAAACGGGATTTCTTCATAGAACGCTAGAAAGAAGAATACTGAGTAAGTTCTTTGTGTTGCCTCTATTCAACTCACAAAGGTGAACTGTCCTTTAGACAGAGCAGATGTGAAACCCTCTTTTTGTGATATTTGCAGGTGGAGACTTCAAGCGCTTTTAGGCCAAATGTAGAAAAGGAAATATCTTCGTATAAAAACTAGACAGAATCATTCTCAGAAACTACTTTGTGATGTGTGCGTTCAATTCACAGAGTATAACCTTTCTTTTGATGGAGGAGTTTGGAGACACTGTCTTTGTAAAGTCTGCAAGTGGATATTTGGACCTCTTTGAGGCCTTCGTTGGAAACGGGATTTCCTCATATAATGTTACCCAGAAGAATTCTCAGTAACTTATTTGTGGTGTGTGTATTCAACTCACAGAGTTGAACCTTCCTTTAGACAGAGCAGATTTGAAACACTCTTTTTGTGGAGTTTCCATGTGGAGATTTCAATCGCTTTGAGACCAAAGGTAGAAAAGGAAACATCTTCGTATAAAAACTAGACAGAATCATTCTCAGAAACTACTTTGTGATGTGTGTGTTCAACTCAAGGAGGTTAACCTTTCTTTTGATGGAGCAGTTTGGAAACACTCTGTCTGCAAAGTCTGCAAACAGATATTTGGACCTCCTTTGAGGCCTTCGTTGGAAACGGGATTTCTTCATATAATGTTTGATAGGAGAAGTCTCAGTAACTTCTTTGTGCTGTGTGTATTCAAATCACAGAGCTGAACTTTACTTTAGAACGAGCAGATGTTAAACACACTTTTTGTTGAATTTGCTGCTGGAGATTTCTAGCGCTTTGAGGCCTATGGTAGAAAAGGAAACATCTTCTTATAAAATCTAGACACAATCATTCACAGAAACTTCTTTTCGATGTGTGTGTTCAGCTCACAGAGTTTAACCTTTCTTTTGATGGAGCAGTTTGGAAACACTCTGTTTGTAATGTCTGCAAGTGGATATTTGGACCTCTTTGAGGCCTTCGTTGGAAACGGGATTTCTTCAAGTAATGTTCGACAGAAGAATTCTCAGTAACTTATTTGTGGTGTGTGTATTCAACTCACAGAGTTGAACCTTCCTTTAGACAGAGCAGATTTGAAACACCCTATTTGTGCAGTTTCCAGTTGGAGATTTCAATCGCTTTGAGACCAAATGTAGAAAAGGAAACATCTTCGTATAAAAACTAGACAGAATCATTCTCAGAAACTACTTTGTGATGTGTGCGTTCAACTCAAGGAGTTTAAGCTTTCTTTTCATAGAGTAGTTTGGAAACACTCTGTCTGTAAAGTCTGCAAGCAGATATTTGGACCTCTTTGGGGCCTTCGTTGGAAACGGGATTTCTTCATGGAACGCTAGAAAGAAGAATACTGAGTAAGTTCTTTGTGTTGCCTCTATTCAACTCACAGAGGTGAACTGTCCTTTAGACAGAGCAGATGTGAAACCCTCTTTTTGTGATATTTGCAGGTGGAGATTTCAAGCGCTTTTAGGCCAAATGTAGAAAAGGAAATATCTTCGTATAAAAACTAGACAGAATCATTCTCAGAAACTACTTTGTGATGTGTGCGTTCAATTCACAGAGTATAACCTTTCTTTTGATGGAGGAGTTTGGAGACACTGTGTTTGTAAAGTCTGCAAGTGGATATTTGGACCTCTTTGAGGCCTTCGTTGGAAACGGGATTTCCTCATATAACGTTACACAGAAGAATTCTCAGTAACTTATTTGTGGTGTGTGTATTCAACTCACAGAGTTGAACCTTCCTTCAGAAAGAGCAGATTTGAAACACTCTTTTTGTGGAGTTTCCATGTGGAGATTTCAATCGCTTTGAGACCAAAGGTAGAAAAGGAAACATCTTCCTATAAAAACTAGACAGAATCATTCACAGAAACTACTTTGTGATGTGTGTGTTCAACTCAAGGAGTTTAACCTTTCTTTTGATGGAGCAGTTTGGAAACACTCTGTCTGTAAAGTCTGCAAGCAGATATCTGCACCTCTTTGAGGCCTTCGTTGGAAACGGGATTTCTTCATATAATGTTTGATAGGAGAAGTCTCAGTAACTTCTTTGTGCTGTGTGTATTCAACTCATAGAGTTGAACTTTCCTTTAGAAGAGCAGATGTTAAACACCCTTTTTGTGGAATTTGCAGCTGGAGATTTCAAGCGCTTTGAGGCCTACGGTAGAAAAGGAAATATCTTCTTATAAAATCTAGTCAGAATCATTCACAGAAACTTCTTTTTGATGTGTGTGTTCAGCTCACAGAGTTTAACCTTTCTTTTGATGGAGCAGGTTGGAAACAATCTGTTTGTAATGTCTGCAAGTGGATATTTGGACCTCTTTGAGGCCTTCGTTGGAAACGGGATTTCTTCAAGTAATGTTCGACAGAAGAATTCTCAGTAACTTATTTGTGGTGTGTGTATTCAACTCACAGAGTTGAACCTTCCTTTAGACAGAGCAGATTTGAAACAGCCTATTTGTGCAGTTTCCAGTTGGAGATTTCAATCGCTTTGAGACCAAACGTAGAAAAGGAAACATCTTCGTATAAAAACTAGACAGAATCATTCTCAGAAACTACTTTGTGATGTGTGCGTTCAACTCAAGGAGTTTAAGCTTTCTTTTCATAGAGTAGTTTGGAAACACTCTGTCTGTAAAGTCTGCAAGCAGATATTTGGACCTCTTTGGGGCCTTCGTTGGAAACGGGATTTCTTCATAGAACGCTAGAAAGAAGAATACTGAGTAAGTTCTTTGTGTTGCCTCTATTCAACTCACAGAGGTGAACTGTCCTTTAGACAGAGCAGATGTGAAACCCTCTTTTTGTGATATTTGCAGGTGGAGATTTCAAGCGCTTTTAGGCCAAATGTAGAAAAGGAAATATCTTCGTATAAAAACTAGACAGAATCATTCTCAGAAACTACTTTGTGATGTGTGCGTTCAATTCACAGAGTATAACCTTTCTTTTGATGGAGGAGTTTGGAGACACTGTCTTTGTAAAGTCTGCATGTGGATATTGGGACCTCTTTGAGGCCTTCGTTGGAAATGGGATTTCCTCATATAATGTTACACAGAAGAATTCTCAGTAACTTATTTGTGGTGTGTGTATTCAACTCACAGAGTTGAACCTTCCTTCAGAAAGAGCAGATTTGAAACACTCTTTTTGTGGAGTTTCCATGTGGAGATTTCAATCGCTTTGAGACCAAAGGTAGAAAAGGAAACATCTTCGTATAAAAACTAGACAGAATCATTCACAGAAACTACTTTGTGATGTGTGTGTTCAACTCAAGGAGTTTAACCTTTCTTTTGATGGAGCAGTTTGGAAACACTCTGTCTGTAAAGTCTGCAAGCAGATATTTGGACCTCTTTGAGGCCTTCGTTGGAAACGGGATTTCTTCATATAATGTTTGATAGGAGAAGTCTCAGTAACTTCTTTGTGCTGTGTGCATTCAACTCATAGAGTTGAACTTTCCTTTAGAAGAGCAGATGTTAAACACCCTTTTTGTGGAATTTGCAGGTGGAGATTTCAAGCGCTTTGAGGCCTACGGTAGAAAAGGAAATATCTTCTTATAATATCTAGACAGAATCATTCACAGAAACTTCTTTTTGATGTGTGTGTTCAGCTCACAGAGTTTAACCTTTCTTTTGATGGAGCAGTTTGGAAACACTCTGTTTGTAATGTCTGCAAGTGGATACTTGGACCTCTTTGAGGCCTTCGTTGGAAACGGGATTTCTTCAAGTAATGTTCGACAGAAGAATTCTCAGTAACTTATTTGTGGTGTGTGTATTCAACTCACAGAGTTGAACCTTCCTTTAGACAGAGCAGATTTGAAACACCCTATTTGTGCAGTTTCCAGTTGGAGATTTCAATCGCTTTGAGACCAAATGTAGAAAAGGAAACATCTTCGTATAAAAACTAGACAGAATCATTCTCAGAAACTACTTTGTGATGTGTGCGTTCAACTCAAGGCGTTTAAGCTTTCTTTTCATAGAGTAGTTTGGAAACACTCTGTCTGTAAAGTCTGCAAGCAGATATTTGGACCTCTTTGGGGCCTTCGTTGGAAACGGGATTTCTTCATAGAACGCTAGAAAGAAGAATACTGAGTAAGTTCTTTGTGTTGCCTCTATTCAACTCACAGAGGTGAACTGTCCTTTAGACAGAGCAGATGTGAAACCCTCTTTTTGTGATATTTGCAGGTGGAGATTTCAAGCGCTTTTAGGCCAAATGTAGAAAAGGAAATATCTTCGTATAAAAACTAGACAGAATCATTCTCAGAAACTACTTTGTGATGTGTGCGTTCAATTCACAGAGTATAACCTTTCTTTTGATGGAGGAGTTTGGAGACACTGTCTTTGTAAAGTCTGCAAGTGGATATTTGGACCTCTTTGAGGCCTTCGTTGGAAACGGGATTTCCTCATATAATGTTACCCAGAAGAATTCTCAGTAACTTATTTGTGGTGTGTGTATTCAACTCAGAGAGATGAACCTTCCTTCAGAAAGAGCAGATTTGAAACACTCTTTTTGTGGAGTTTCCATGTGGAGATTTCAATCGCTTTGAGACCAAAGGTAGAAAAGGAAACATCTTCGTATAACAACTAGACAGAATCATTCACAGAAACTACTTTGTGATGTGTGTGTTCAACTCAAGGAGTTTAACCTTTCTTTTGATGGAGCAGTTTGGAAACACTCTGTCTGTAAAGTCTGCAAGCAGATATTTGGACCTCTTTGAGGCCTTCGTTGGAAACGGGATTTCTTCATATAATGTTTGATAGGAGAAGTCTCAGTAACTTCTTTGTGCTGTGTGTATTCAACTCATAGAGTTGAACTTTCCTTTAGAAGAGCAGATGTTAAACACCCTTTTTGAGGAATTTGCAGCTGGAGATTTCAAGCGCTTTGAGGCCTACGGTAGAAAAGGAAACATCTTCTTATAAAATCTAGACAGAATCATTCACAGAAACTTCTTTTTGATGTGTGTGTTCAGCTCACAGAGTTTAACCTTTCTTTTGATGGAGCAGTTTGGAAACACTCTGTTTGTAATGTCTGCAAGTGGATATTTGGACCTCTTTGAGGCCTTCTTTGGAAACGGGATTTCTTCAAGTAATGTTCGACAGAAGAATTCTCAGTAACTTATTTGTGGTGTGTGTATTCAACTCACAGAGTTGAACCTTCCTTTAGACAGAGCAGATTTGAAACAGCCTATTTGTGCAGTTTCCAGTTGGAGATTTCAAGAGCTTTGAGACCAAATGTAGAAAAGGAAACATCTTCGTATAAAAACTAGACAGAATCATTCTCAGAAACTACTTTGTGATGTGTGCGTTCAACTCAAGGAGTTTAAGCTTTCTTTTCATAGAGTAGTTTGGAAACACTCTGTCTGTAAAGTCTGCAAGCAGATATTTGGACCTCTTTGGGGCCTTCGTTGGAAACGGGATTTCTTCATAGAACGCTAGAAAGAAGAATACTGAGTAAGTTCTTTGTGTTGCCTCTATTCAACTCACAGAGGTGAACTGTCCTTTAGACAGAGCAGATGTGAAACCCTCTTTTTGTGATATTTGCAGGTGGAGATTTCAAGCGCTTTTAGGCCAAATGTAGAAAAGGAAATATCTTCGTATAAAAACTAGACAGAATCATTCTCAGAAACTACTTTGTGATGTGTGCGTTCAATTCACAGAGTATAACCTTTCTTTTGATGGAGGAGTTTGGAGACACTGTCTTTGTAAAGTCTGCAATTGCATATTTGGACCTCTTTGAGGCCTTCGTTGGAAACGGGATTTCCCCATATAATGTTACACAGAAGAATTCTCAGTAACTTATTTGTGGTGTGTGTATTCAACTCACAGAGTTGAACCTTCCTTCAGAAAGAGCAGATTTGAAACACTCTTTTTGTGGAGTTTCCATGTGGAGATTTCAATCGCTTTGAGACCAAAGGTAGAAAAGGAAACATCTTCGTATAAAAACTAGACAGAATCATTCACAGAAACTACTTTGTGATGTGTGTGTTCAACTCACAGAGTTTAACCTTTCTTTTGATGGAGCAGTTTGGAAACACTCTGTTTGTCACGTCTGCAAGTGGATATTTGGACCTCTTTGAGGCCTTCGTTGGAAACGGGATTTCTTCATATAATGTTTGATAGGAGAAGTCTCAGTAACTTCTTTGTGCTGTGTGTATTCAACTCATAGAGTTGAACTTTCCTTTAGAAGAGCAGATGTTAAACACCCTTTTTGTGGAATTTGCAGCTGGAGATTTCAAGCGCTTTGAGGCCTACGGTAGAAAAGGAAACATCTTCTTATAAAATCTAGACAGAATCATTCACAGAAACTTCTTTTTGATGTGTGTGTTCAGCTCACAGAGTTTAACCTTTCTTTTGATGGAGCAGTTTGGAAACACACTGTTTGTAATGTCTGCAAGTGGATATTTGGACCTCTTTGAGGCCTTCGTTGGAAACGGGATTTCTTCCTGTAATGTTCGACAGAAGAATTCTCAGTAACTTATTTGTGGTGTGTGTATTCAACTCACAGAGTTGAACCTTCCTTTAGACAGAGCAGATTTGAAACACCCTATTTGTGCAGTTTCCAGTTGGAGATTTCAATCGCTTTGAGACCAAATGTAGAAAAGGAAACATCTTCGTATAAAAACTAGACAGAATCATTCTCAGAAACTACTTTGTGATGTGTGCGTTCAACTCAAGGAGTTTAAGCTTTCTTTTCATAGAGTAGTTTGGAAACACTCTGTCTGTAAAGTCTGCAAGCAGATATTTGGACCTCTTTGAGGCCTTCGTTGGAAACGGGATTTCTTCATAGAACGGTAGAAAGAAGAATACTGAGTAAGTTCTTTGTGTTGCCTCTATTCAACTCACAGAGGTGAACTGTCCTTTAGACAGAGCAGATGTGAAACCCTCTTTTTGTGATATTTGCAGGTGGAGATTTCCAGCGCTTTTAGGCCAAATGTAGAAAAGGAAATATCTTCGTATAAAAACTAGACAGAATCATTCTCAGAAACTACTTTGTGATGTGTGCGTTCAATTCACAGAGTATAACCTTTCTTTTGATGGAGGAGTTTGGAGACACTGTCTTTGTAAAGTCTGCAAGTGGATATTTGGACCTCTTTGAGGCCTTCGTTGGAAACGGGATTTCCTCATATAATGTTACACAGAAGAATTCTCAGTAACTTATTTGTGGTGTGTGTATTCAACTCACAGAGTTGAACCTTCCTTCAGAAAGAGCAGATTTGAAACACTCTTTTTGTGGAGTTTCCATGTGGAGATTTCAATCGCTTTGAGACCAAAGGTAGAAAAGGAAACATCTTCTTATAAAAACTAGACAGAATCATTCACAGAAACTACTTTGTGACGTGTGTGTTCAACTCAAGGAGTTTAACCTTTCTTTTGATGGAGCAGTTTGGAAAAACTCTGTCTGTAAAGTCTGCAAGCAGATATTTGGACGTCTTTGGGGTCTTCGTTGGAAAGGGGATTTCTTCATAGAACGCTAGATAGAAGAAGTCTCAGTAACTTCTTTGTGCTGTCTGTACTCAACGCATAGAGTTGAACTTTCCTTTAGAAGAGCAGATGTTAAACACCCTTTTTGTGGAATTTGCAGCTGGAGATTTCAAGCGCTTTGTGGCCTACGGTAGAAAAGGAAATATGTTCTTATAAAATCTAGACAGAATCATTCACAGAAACTTCTTTTCGATGTGTGTGTTCAGCTCACAGAGTTTAACCTTTCTTTTGATGGAGCAGTTTGGAAACACTCTGTTTGTAATGTCTGCAAGTGGATATTTGGACCTCTTTGAGGCCTTCGTTGGAAAAGGGATTTCTTCAAGTAATGTTCGACAGAAGAATTCTCAGTAACTTATTTGTGGAGTGTGTATTCAACTCACAGAGTTGAACCTTCCTTTAGACAGAGCAGATTTGAAACACCCTATTTGTGCAGTTTCCAGTTGGAGATTTCAATCGCTTTGAGACCAAATGTAGAAAAGGAAACATCTTCGTATAAAAACTAGACAGAATCATTCTCAGAAACTACTTTGTGTTGTGTGCGTTCAACTCAAGGAGTTTAAGCTTTCTTTTCATAGAGTAGTTTGGAAACACTCTGTCTGTAAAGTCTGCAAGCAGATATTTGGACCTCTTTGATGCCTTCGTTGGAAACGGGATTTCTTCATAGAACGCTAGAAAGAAGAATACTGAGTAAGTTCTTTGTGTTGCCTCTATTCAACTCACAGAGGTGAACTGTCCTTTAGACAGAGCAGATGTGAAACCCTCTTTTTGTGATATTTGCAGGTGGAGATTTCAAGCGCTTTTAGGCCAAATGTAGAAAAGGAAATATCTTCGTATAAAAACTAGACAGAATCATTCTCAGAAACTACTTTGTGATGTGTGCCTTCATTTCACAGAGTATAACCTTTCTTTTGATGGAGGAGTTTGGAGACACTGTCTTTGTAAAGTCTGCACGTGGATATTTGGACCTCTTTGAGGCCTTCATTGGAAACGGGATTTCCTCATATAATGTTACACAGAAGAATTCTCAGTAACTTATTTGTGGTGTGTGTATTCAACTCACAGAGTTGAACCTTACTTCAGAAAGAGCAGATTTGAAACACTCTTTTTGTGGAGTTTCCATGTGGAGATTTCAATCGCTTTGAGACCAAAGTTAGAAAAGGAAACATCTTCGTATAAAAACTAGACAGAATCATTCACAGAAACTACTTTGTGATGTGTGTGTTCAACTCAAGGAGTTTAACCTTTCTTTTGATGGAGCAGTTTGGAAACACTCTGTCTGTAAAGTCTGCAAGCAGATATTTGGACCTCTTTGAGGCCTTCGTTGGAAACGGGATTTCTTCATATAATGTTTGATAGGAGAAGTCTCAGTAACTTCTTTGTGCTGTGTGTATTCAACTCATAGAGTTGAACTTTCCTTTAGAAGAGCAGATGTTAAACACCCTTTTTGTGGAATTTGCAGCTGGAGATTTCAAGCGCTTTGAGGCCTACGGTAGAAAAGGAAACATCTTCTTATAAAATCTAGACAGAATCATTCACAGAAACTTCTCTTTGATGTGTGTGTTCAGCTCACAGAGTTTAACCTTTCTTTTGATGGAGCAGTTTGGAAACAATCTGTTTGTAATGTCTGAAAGTGGATACTTGGACCTCTTTGAGGCCTTCGTTGGAAACGGGATTTCTTCATGTAATGTTCGACAGAAGAATTCTCAGTAACTTATTTGTGGTGTGTGTATTCAACTCACAGAGTTGAACCTTCCTTTAGACAGAGCAGATTTGAAACACCCTATTTGTGCAGTTTCCAGTTGGAGATTTCAATCGCTTTGAGACCAAATGTAGAAAAGGAAACATCTTCGTATAAAAACTAGACAGAATCATTCTCAGAAACTACTTTGTGATGTGTGCGTTCAACTCAAGGAGTTTAAGCTTTCTTTTCATAGAGTAGTTTGGAAACACTCTGTCTGTAAAGTCTGCAAGCAGATATTTGGACCTCTTTGGGGCCTTCGTTGGAAACGGGATTTCTTCATAGAACGCTAGAAAGAAGAATACTGAGTAAGTTCTTTGTGTTGCCTCTATTCAACTCACAAAGGTGAACTGTCCTTTAGACAGAGCAGATGTGAAACCCTCTTTTTGTGATATTTGCAGGTGGAGACTTCAAGCGCTTTTAGGCCAAATGTAGAAAAGGAAATATCTTCGTATAAAAACTAGACAGAATCATTCTCAGAAACTACTTTGTGATGTGTGCGTTCAATTCACAGAGTATAACCTTTCTTTTGATGGAGGAGTTTGGAGACACTGTCTTTGTAAAGTCTGCAAGTGGATATTTGGACCTCTTTGAGGCCTTCGTTGGAAACGGGATTTCCTCATATAATGTTACCCAGAAGAATTCTCAGTAACTTATTTGTGGTGTGTGTATTCAACTCACAAAGATGAACCTTCCTTCAGAAAGAGCAGATTTGAAACACTCTTTTTGTGGAGTTTCCATGTGGAGATTTCAATCGCTTTGAGACCAAAGGTAGAAAAGGAAACATCTTCGTATAAAAACTAGACAGAATCATTCACAGAAACTACTTTGTGATGTGTGTGTTCAACTCAGGAGGTTAACCTTTCTTTTGATGGAGCAGTTTGGAAACACTCTGTCTGTAAAGTCTGCAAGCAGATATTTGGACCTCTTTGAGGCCTTCGTTGGAAATGGGATTTTTTCATATAATGTTTGATAGGAGAAGTCTCAGTAACTTCTTTGTGCTGTGTGTATTCAACTCATAGAGTTGAACTTTCCTTTAGAAGAGCAGATGTTAAACACCCTTTTTGTGGAATTTGACAGCTGGAGATTTCAAGCGCTTTGAGGCCTACGGTAGAAAAGGAACATCTTCTTATAAAATCTAGACAGAATCATTCACAGAAACTTCTTTTTGATGTGTGTGTTCAGCTCACAGAGTTTAACCTTTCTTTTGATGGAGCAGTTTGGAAACACTCTGTTTGTAATGTCTGCAAGTGGATATTTGGACCTCTTTGAGGCCTTCGTTGGAAACGGGATTTCTTCAAGTAATGTTCGACAGAAGAATTCTCAGTAACTTATTTGTGGTGTGTGTATTCAACTCACAGAGTTGAACCTTCCTTTAGACAGAGCAGATTTGAAACACCCTATTTGTGCAGTTTCCAGTTGGAGATTTCAATCGCTTTGAGACCAAATGTAGAAAAGGAAACATCTTCGTATAAAAACTAGACAGAATTATTCTCAGAAACTACTTTGTGATGTGTGCGTTCAACTCAAGGAGTTTAAGCTTTCTTTTCATAGAGTAGTTTGGAAACACTCTGTCTGTAAAGTCTGCAAGCAGATATTTGGACCTCTTTGGGGCCTTCGTTGGAAACGGGATTTCTTCATGGAATGCTAGAAAGAAGAATACTCAGTAACTTCTTTGTGTTGCCTCTATTCAACTCACAGAGGTGAACTGTCCTTTAGACAGAGCACATGTGAAACCTTCTTTTTGTGATATTCGCAGGTGCAGATTTCAAGCGCTTTTAGGCCAAATGTAGAAAAGGAAATATCTTCGTATAAAAATTAGTATCATTCTCAGAAACTACTTTGTGATGTGTGCGTTCAATTCACAGAGTATAACCTTTCTTTTGATGGAGGAGTTTGGAGACACTGTCTTTGTAAAGTCTGCAAGTGGATATTTGGACCTCTTTGAGGCCTTCGTTGGAAACGGGATTTCCTCATATAATGTTACACAGAAGAATTCTCAGTAACTTATTTGTGGTGTGTGTATTCAACTCACAGAGATGAACCTTCCTTCAGAAAGAGCAGATTTGAAACACTCTTTTTGTGGAGTTTCCATGTGGAGATTTCAATCGCTTTGAGACCAAAGGTAGAAAAGGAAACATCTTCGTATAACAACTAGACAGAATCATACACAGAAACTACTTTGTGATGTGTGTGTTCAACTCAAGGAGTTTAACCTTTCTTTTGGTGGAGCAGTTTGGAAACACTCTGTCTGTAAAGTCTGCAAGCAGATATTTGGACCTCTTTGAGGCCTTCGTTGGAAACGGGATTTCTTCATATAATGTTTGATAGGAGAAGTCTCAGTAACTTCTTTGTGCTGTGTGTATTCAACTCATAGAGTTGAACTTTCCTTTAGAAGAGCAGATGTTAAACACCCTTTTTGTGGAATTTGCAGCTGGAGATTTCAAGCGCTTTGAGGCCTACGGTAGAAAAGGAAACATCTTCTTATAAAATCTAGACAGAATCATTCACAGAAACTTGTTTTTGATGTGTGTGTTCAGCTCACAGAGTTTAACCTTTCTTTTGATGGAGCAGTTTGGAAACACTCTGTTTGTAATATCTGCAAGTGAATATTTGGACCTCTTTGAGGCCTTCGTTGGAAACGGGATTTCTTCAAGTAATGTTCGACACAAGAATTCTCAGTAACTTATTTGTGGTGTGTGCATTGAACTCACAGAGTTGAACCTTCCTTTAGACAGAGCAGATTTGAAACACCCTAATTGTGCAGTTTCCAGTTGGAGATTTCATTCGCTTTGAGGCCAATCGTAGAAACGGAAATATCTTCGTATAAATACAAGACAGAATCATTCTCAGAAACTATTTTGTGATGTGAGCATTCAAATCACGGAGTTCAAGCTTTCTTTTCATAGAGTAGTTTGGAAACACTCTGTCTGTAAAGTCTGCAAGCAGATATTTGGACCTCTTTGAGGCCTTCATTGGAAACGGGATTTCTTCATATAACGCTAGAAAGAAGAATACTCAGTAAGTTCTTTGTGTTGCCTCTATTCAACTCACAGAGGTGACCTGTCCTTTAGACAGAGCAGATGGGAAACCCTCTTTTTGTGATATTTGCAGGTGGAGATTTCAAGCGCTTTTAGGCCAAATGTAGAAAAGGAAATATCTTCGTATAAATACAAGACAGAATCATTCTCAGAAACTACTTTGTGATGTGTGCGTTCAATTCACATAGTATAACCTTTCTTTTGATGGAGGAGTTTGGAGACACTGTCTTTGTAAAGTCTGCAAGTGGATATTTGGACCTCTTTGAGGCCTTCGTTGGAAACGGGATTTCCTCATATAATGTTACACAGAAGAATTCTCAGTAACTTATTTGTGGTGTGTGTATTCAACTCACAGAGTTGAACCTTCCTTCAGAAAGAGCAGATTTGAAACACTCTTTTTGTGGAGTTTCCATGTGGAGATTTCAATCGCTTTGAGACCAAAGGTAGAAAAGGAAACATATTCGTATAAAAACTAGACAGAATCATTCACAGAAACTACTTTGTGACGTGTGTGTTCAACTCAAGGAGTTTAACCTTTCTTTTGATGGAGCAGTTTGGAAAAACTTTGTCTGTAAAGTCTGCAAGCAGATATTTGGATGTCTTTGGGGTCTTCTTTGGAAAGGGGATTTCTTCATAGAACGCTAGAAAGAAGAATACTGAGTAAGTTCTTTGTGTTGCCTCTATTCAACTCACAGAGGTGAACTGTCCTTTAGACAGAGCAGATGTGAAACCCTCTTTTTGTGATATTTGCAGGTGGAGATTTCAAGCGCTTTTAGGCCAAATGTAGAAAAGGAAATATCTTCGTATAAAAACTAGACAGAATCATTCTCAGAAACTACTTTGTGATGTGTGCGTTCAATTCACAGAGTATAACCTTTCTTTTGATGGAGGAGTTTGGAGACACTGTCTTTGTAAAGTCTGCAAGTGGATATTTGGACCTCTTTGAGGCCTTCGTTGGAAACGGGATTTCCTCATATAATGTTACACAGAAGAATTCTCAGTAACTTATTTGTGGTGTGTGTATTCAACTCACAGAGTTGAACCTTCCTTCAGAAAGAGCAGATTTGAAACACTCTTTTTGTGGAGTTTCCATGTGGAGATTTCAATCGCTTTGAGACCAAAGGTAGAAAAGCAAACATCTTCGTATAAAAACTAGACAGAATCATTCACAGAAACTACTTTGTGATGTGTGTGTTCAACTCAAGGAGTTTAACCTTTCTTTTGATGGAGCAGTTTGGAAAAACTCTGTCTGTAAAGTCTGCAAGCAGATATTTGGACCTCTTTGGGGCCTTCGTTGGATACGGGATTTCTTCATAGAATGCTAGAAAGAAGAAGTCTCAGTAACTTCTTTGTGCTGTGTGTATTCAACTCATAGAGTTGAACTTTCCTTTAGAAGAGCAGATGTTAAACACCCTTTTTGTGGAGTTTCCATGTGGAGATTTCAAGCGCTTTGAGGCCTACGGTAGAAAAGGAAGCATCTTCTTATAAAATCTAGACAGAATCATTCACAGAAACTTCTTTTTGATGTGTGTGTTCAGCTCACAGAGTTTAACCTTTCTTTTGATGGAGCAGTTGGGAAACACACTGTTTGTAATGTCTGCAAGTGGATATTTGGACCTCTTTGAGGCCTTCGTTGGAAACGGGATTTCTTCCTGTAATGTTCGACAGAAGAATTCTCAGTAACTTATTTGTGGTGTGTGTATTCAACTCACAGAGTTGAACCCTCTTTTAGACAGAGCAGATTTGAAACAGCCTATTTGTGCAGTTTCCAGTTGGAGATTTCAATCGCTTTGAGACCAATTGTAGAAAGGGAAACATCTTCGTATAAAAACTAGACAGAATGATTCTCAGAAACTACTTTGTGATGTGTGCCTTCAACTCAAGGAGTTTAAGCTTTCTTTTCATAGAGTAGTTTGGAAACACTCTGTCTGTAAAGTCTGCAAGCAGATATTTGACCTCTTTGAGGCCTTCGTTGGAAACGGGATTTCTTCATAGAACGCTAGAAAGAAGAATACTGAGTAAGTTCTTTGTGTTGCCTCTATTCAACTCACAGAGGTGAACTGTCCTTTAGACAGAGCAGATGTGAAACCCTCTTTTTGTGATATTTGCACGTGGAGATTTCAAGCGCTTTTAGGCCAAATGTAGAAAAGGAAATATCTTCGTATAAAAACTAGACAGAATCATTCTCAGAAACTACTTTGTGATGTGTGCGTTCAATTCACAGAGTATAACCTTTCTTTTGATGGAGGAGTTTGGAGACACTGTCTTTGTAAAGTCTGCAAGTGGATATTTGGACCTCTTTGAGGCCTTCGTTGGAAACGGGATTTCCTCATATAATGTTACACAGAAGAATTCTCAGTAACTTATTTGTGGTGTGTGTATTCAACTCACAGAGATGAACCTTCCTTCAGAAAGAGCAGATTTGAAACACTCTTTTTGTGGAGTTTCCATGTGGAGATTTCAATCGCTTTGAGGCCTACGGTAGAAAAGGAAACATCTTCTTATAAAATCTAGACAGAATCATTCACAGAAACTTCTTTTTGATGTGTGTGTTCAGCTCACAGAGTTTAACCTTTCTTTTGATGGAGCAGTTTGGCAACACTCTGTTTGTAATGTCTGCAAGTGGATATTTGGACGTCTTTGAGGCCTTCGTTGGAAACGGGATTTCTTCATGTAATGTTCGACAGAAGAATTCTCAGTAACTTATTTGTGGTGTGTGTATTCAACTCACAGAGTTGAACCTTCCTTTAGACAGAGCAGATTTGAAACACCCTATTTGTGCAGTTTCCAGTTGGAGATTTCAATCGCTTTGAGACCAAATGTAGAAAAGGAAACATCTTCGTATAAAAACTAGACAGAATTATTCTCAGAAACTACTTTGTGATGTGTGCGTTCAACTCAAGGAGTTTAAGCTTTCTTTTCATAGAGTAGTTTGGAAACACTCTGTCTGTAAAGTCTGCAAGCAGATATTTGGACCTCTTTGGGGCCTTCGTTGGAAACGGGATTTCTTCATGGAACGCTAGAAAGAAGAATACTGAGTAAGTTCTTTGTGTTGCCTCTATTCAACTCGCAGAGGTGAACTGTCCTTTAGACAGAGCAGATGTGAAACCCTCTTTTTGTGATATTTGCAGGTGGAGATTTCAAGCGCTTTTAGGCCAAATGTAGAAAAGGAAATATCTTCGTATAAAAACTAGACAGAATCATTCTCAGAAACTACTTTCTGATGTGTGCGTTCATTTCACAGAGTATAACCTTTCTTTTGATGGAGGAGTTTGGAGACACTGTGTTTCTAAAGTCTGCAAGTGGATATTTGGACCTCTTTGAGGCCTTCGTTGGAAACGGGATTTCCTCATATAATGTTACACAGAAGAATTCTCAGTAACTTATTTGTGGTGTGTTTATTCAACTCACAGAGGTGAACCTTCCTTCAGGAAGAGCAGATTTGAAACCCTCTTTTTGTGGAGTTTCCATGTGGAGATTTCAATCGCTTTGAGACCAAAGGTAGAAAAGGAAACATCTTCGTATAAAAACTAGACAGAATCATTCACAGAAACTACTTTGTGATGTGTGTGATCAACTCAAGGAGTTTAACCTTTCTTTTCATGGAGCAGTTTGGAAACACTCTATCTGTAAAGTCTGCAAACAGATATTTGGACCTCTTTGAGGCCTTCGTTGGAAACGGGATTTCTTCAAATAATGTTCGACAGAAGAAGTCTCAGTAACTTCTTTGTGCTGTGTGTATTCAACTCATAGAGTTGAACTTTCCTTTAGAAGAGCAGATGTTAAACACCCTTTTTGTGGAATTTGCAGCTGGAGATTTCAAGCGCTTTGAGGCCTACGGTAGAAAAGGAAACATCTTCTTATA
This sequence comes from Homo sapiens, assembly GCF_000001405.40. NCBI lineage: Eukaryota > Metazoa > Chordata > Mammalia > Primates > Hominidae > Homo > Homo sapiens. The sequence continues at coordinate 36,040,268 of NC_000012.12, forward strand.
AAATCTAGACAGAATCATTCACAGAAACTTCTTTTTGATGTGTGTGTTCAGCTCACAGAGTTTAACCTTTCTTTTGATGGAGCAGGTTGGAAACACTCTGTTTGTAATGTCTGCAAGTGGATATTTGGACCTCTTTGAGGCCTTCGTTGGAAACGGGATTTCTTCAAGTAATGTTCGACAGAAGAATTCTCAGTAACTTATTTGTGGTGTGTGTATTCAACTCACAGAGTTGAACCTTCCTTTAGACAGAGCAGATTTGAAACACCCTATTTGTGCAGTTTCCAGTTGGAGATTTTAATCGCTTTGAGACCAAATGTAGAAAAGGAAACATCTTCGTATAAAAACTAGACAGAATCATTCTCAGAAACTACTTTGTGATGTGTGCGTTCAACTCAAGGAGTTTAAGCTTTCTTTTCATAGAGTAGTTTGGAAACACTCTGTCTGTAAAGTCTGCAAGCAGATATTTGGACCTCTTTGGGGCCTTCGTTGGAAACGGGATTTCTTCATAGAACGCTAGAAAGAAGAATACTGAGTAAGTTCTTTGTGTTGCCTCTATTCAACTCACAGAGGTGAACTGTCCTTTAAACAGAGCAGATGTGAAACCCTCTTTTTGTGATATTTGCAGGTGGAGATTTCAAGCGCTTTTAGGCCAAATGTAGAAAAGGAAATATCTTCGTATAAAAACTAGACAGAATCATTCTCAGAAACTACTTTGTGATGTGTGCGTTCAATTCACAGAGTATAACCTTTCTTTTGATGGAGGAGTTTGGAGACACTGTCTTTGTAAAGTCTGCAAGTGGATATTTGGACCTCTTTGAGGCCTTCGTTGGAAACGGGATTTCCTCATATAATGTTACACAGAAGAATTCTCAGTAACTTATTTGTGGTGTGTGTATTCAACTCACAGAGTTGAACCTTCCTTCAGAAAGAGCAGATTTGAAACACTCTTTTTGTGGAGTTTCCATGTGGAGATTTCAATCGCATTGAGACCAAAGGTAGAAAAGGAAACATCTTCGTATAAAAACTAGACAGAATCATTCACAGAAACTACTTTGTGATGTGTGTGTTCAACTCAAGGAGTTTAACCTTTCTTTTGATGGAGCAGTTTGGAAACACTCTGTCTGTAAAGTCTGCAAGCAGATATTTGGACCTCTTTGAGGCCTTCGTTGGAAACGGGATTTCTTCATATAATGTTTGATAGGAGAAGTCTCAGTAACTTCTTTGTGCTGTGTGTATTCAACTCATAGAGTTGAACTTTCCTTTAGAAGAGCAGATGTTAAACACCCTTTTTGTGGAATTTGCAGCTGGAGATTTCAAGCGCTTTGAGGCCTACGGTAGAAAAGGAAACATCTTTTTATAAAATCTAGACAGAATCATTCACAGAAACTTCTTTTTGATGTGTGTGTTCAGCTCACAGAGTTTAACCTTTCTTTTGATGGAGCAGTTTGGAAACACACTGTTTGTAATGTCTGCAAGTGGATATTTGGACCTCTTTGAGGCCTTCGTTGGAAACGGGATTTCTTCCTGTAATGTTCGACAGAAGAATTCTCAGTAACTTATTTGTGGTGTGTGTATTCAACTCACAGAGCTGAACCTTCCTTTAGACAGAGCAGATTTGAAACAGCCTATTTGTGCAGTTTCCAGTTGGAGATTTCAATCGCTTTGAGACCAAATGTAGAAAAGGAAACATCTTCGTATAAAAACTAGACAGAATCATTCTCAGAAACTACTTTGTGATGTGTGCGTTCAACTCAAGGAGTTTAAGCTTTCTTTTCATAGAGTAGTTTGGAAACACTCTGTCTGTAAAGTCTTCAAGCAGATATTTGACCTCTTTGAGGCCTTCGTTGGAAACGGGATTTCTTCATAGAACGCTAGAAAGAAGAATACTGAGTAAGTTCTTTGTGTTGCCTCTATTCAACTCACAGAGGTGAACTGTCCTTTAGCACAGAGCAGATGTGAAACCCTCTTTTTGTGATATTTGCAGGTGGAGATTTCAAGCGCTTTTAGGCCAAATGTAGAAAAGGAAATATCTTCGTATAAAAACTAGACAGAATCATTCTCAGAAACTACTTTGTGATGTGTGCGTTCAATTCACAAAGTATAACCTTTCTTTTGATGGAGGAGTTTGGAGACACTGTCTTTGTAAAGTCTGCAAGTGGATATTTGGACCTCTTTGAGGCCTTCATTGGAAACGGGATTTCCTCATATAATGTTACACAGAAGAATTCTCAGTAACTTATTTGTGCTGTGTGTATTCAACTCACAGAGTTGAACCTTCCTTCAGAAAGAGCAGATATGAAACACTGTTTTTGTGGAGTTTCCATGTGGAGATTTTAATCGCTTTGAGACCAAAGGTAGAAAGGGAAACATCTTCGTATAAAAACTAGACAGAATCATTCACAGAAACTACTTTGTGATGTGTGTGTTCAACTCAAGGAGTTTAACCTTTCTTTTGATGGAGCAGTTTGGAAACACTCTGTCTGTAAAGTCTGCAAGCAGATATTTGGACCTCTTTGAGGCCTTCGTTGGAAACGGGATTTCTTCATATAATGTTTGATAGGAGAAGTCTCAGTAACTTCTTTGTGCTGTGTATATTCAACTCATAGAGTTGAACTTTCCTTTAGAAGAGCAGATGTTAAACACCCTTTTTGTGGAATTTGCAGCTGGAGATTTCAAGCGCTTTGAGGCCTACGGTAGAAAAGGAAACATCTTCTTATAAAATCTAGACAGAATCATTCACAGAAACTTCTTTTTGATGTGTGTGTTCAGCTCACAGAGTTTAACCTTTCTTTTGATGGAGCAGTTTGGAAACACTCTGTTTGTAATGTCTGCAAGTGGATATTTGGACCTCTTTGAGGCCTTCGTTGGAAACGGGATTTCTTCATGTAATGTTCGACAGAAGAATTCTCAGTAACTTATTTGTGGTGTGTGTATTCAACTCACAGAGTTGAACCTTCCTTTAGACAGAGCAGATTTGAAACACCCTATTTGTGCAGTTTCCAGTTGGAGATTTCAATCGCTTTGAGACCAAATGTAGACAAGGAAACATCTTCGTATAAAAACTAGACAGAATCATTCTCAGAAACTACTTTGTGACGTGTGCGTTCAACTCAAGGAGTTTAAGCTTTCTTCTCATAGAGTAGTTTGGAAACACTCTGTCTGTAAAGTCTGCAAGCAGATATTTTGACCTCTTTGAGGCCTTCGTTGGAAACGAGATTTCTTCATAGAACGCTAGAAAGAAGAATACTGAGTAAGTTCTTAGTGTTGCCTCTATTCAACTCACAGAGGTGAACTGTCCTTTAGACAGAGCAGATGTGAAACCCTCTTTTTGTGATATTTGCAGGTGGAGATTTCAAGCGCTTTTAGGCCAAATGTAGAAAAGGAAATATCTTCGTATAAAAACTAGACAGAATCATTCTCAGAAACTACTTTGTGATGTGTGCGTTCAATTCACAGAGTATAACCTTTCTTTTGATGGAGGAGTTTGGAGACACTGTCTTTCTAAAGTCTGCAAGTGGATATTTGGAACTCTTTGAGGCCTTCGTTGGAAACGGGATTTCCTCATATAATGTTACACAGAAGAATTCTCAGTAACTTATTTGTGGTGTGTGTATTCAACTCACAGAGTTGAACCTTCCTTCAGAAAGAGCAGATTTGAAACACTCTTTTTGTGGAGTTTCCATGTGGAGATTTCAATCGCTTTGAGACCAAAGGTAGAAAAGGAAACATCTTCTTATAAAAACTAGACAGAATCATTCACAGAAACTACTTTGTGACGTGTGTGTTCAACTCAAGGAGTTTAACCTTTCTTTTGATGGAGCAGTTTGGAAACACTCTGTCTGTAAAGTCTGCAAGCAGATATTTGGACCTCTTTGAGGGCTTCGTTGGAAACGGGATTTCTTCATATAATGTTTGATAGGAGAAGTCTCAGTAACTTCTTTGTGCTGTGTGTATTCAACTCATAGAGTTGAACTTTCCTTTAGAAGAGCAGATGTTAAACACCCTTTTTGTGGAATTTGCAGCTGGAGATTTCAAGCGCTTTGAGGCCTACGGTAGAAAAGGAAACATCTTCTTATAAAATCTAGACAGAATCATTCACAGAAACTTCTTTTTGATGTGTGTGTTCAGCTCACAGAGTTTAACCTTTCTTTTGATGGAGCAGTTTGGAAACACTCTGTTTGTAATGTCTGCAAGTCGATATTTGGACCTCTTTGAGGCCTTCGTTGGAAACGGGATTTCTTCAAGTAATGTTCGACAGAAGAATTCTCAGTAACTTATTTGTGGTGTGTGTATTCAACTCACAGAGTTGAACCTTCCTTTAGACAGAGCAGATTTGAAACAGCCTATTTGTGCAGTTTCCAGTTGGAGATTTCAATCGCTTTGAGACCAAACGTAGAAAAGGAAACATCTTCGTATAAAAACTAGACAGAATCATTCTCAGAAACTACTTTGTGATGTGTGCGTTCAACTCAAGGAGTTTAAGCTTTCTTTTCATAGAGTAGTTTGGAAACACTCTGTCTGTAAAGTCTGCAAGCAGATATTTGGACCTCTTTGGGGCCTTCGTTGGAAACGGGATTTCTTCATAGAACGCTAGAAAGAAGAATACTGAGTAAGTTCTTTGTGTTGCCTCTATTCAACTCACAGAGGTGAACTGTCCTTTAAACAGAGCAGATGTGAAACCCTCTTTTTGTGATATTTGCAGGTGGAGATTTCAAGCGCTTTTAGGCCAAATGTAGAAAAGGAAATATCTTCGTATAAAAACTAGACAGAATCATTCTCAGAAACTACTTTGTGATGTGTGCGTTCAATTCACAGAGTATAACCTTTCTTTTGATGGAGGAGTTTGGAGACACTGTCTTTGTAAAGTCTGCAAGTGGATATTTGGACCTCTTTGAGGCCTTCGTTGGAAACGGGATTTCCTCATATAATGTTACACAGAAGAATTCTCAGTAACTTATTTGTGGTGTGTTTATTCAACTCACAGAGTTGAACCTTCCTTCAGAAAGAGCAGATTTGAAACACACTTTTTGTGGAGTTTCCATGTGGAGATTTCAATCGCATTGAGACCAAAGGTAGAAAAGGAAACATCTTCGTATAAAATCTAGACAGAATCATTCACAGAAACTTCTTTTTCATGTGTGTGTTCAGCTCACAGAGTTTAATCTTTCTTTTGATGGAACAGTTTGGAAACACTCTGTTTGTAATGTCTGCAAGTGGATATTTGGACCTCTTTGGGGCCTTCGTTGGAAACGGGATTTCTTCATATAATGTTTGATAGGAGAATTCTCAGTAACTTATTTGTGGTGTGTGTATTCAACTCACAGAGTTGAACCTTCCTTTAGACAGAGCAGATTTGAAACACCCTATTTGTGCAGTTTCCAGTTGGAGATTTCAATCGCTTTGAGACCAAATGTAGAAAAGGAAACATCTTCGTATAAAAACTAGACAGAATCATTCTCAGAAACTACTTTGTGATGTGTGCGTTCAACTCAAGGAGTTTAAGCTTTCTTTTCATAGAGTAGTTTGGAAACACTCTGTCTGTAAAGTGTGCAAGCAGATATTTGGACCTCTTTGGGGCCTTCGTTGGAAACGGGATTTCTTCATAGAACGCTAGAAAGAAGAATACTGAGTAAGTTCTTTGTGTTGCCTCTATTCAACTCACAGAGGTGAACTGTCCTTTAGACAGAGCAGATGTGAAACCCTCTTTTTGTGATATTTGCAGGTGGAGATTTCAAGCGCTTTTAGGCCAAATGTAGAAAAGGAAATATCTTCGTATAAAAACCAGACAGAATCATTCTCAGAAACTACTTTGTGATGTGTGCGTTCAATTCACAGAGTATAACCTTTCTTTTGATGGAGGAGTTTGGAGACACTGTCTTTGTAAAGTCTGCAAGTGGATATTTGGACCTCTTTGAGGCCTTCGTTGGAAACGGGATTTCCTCATATAATGTTACACAGAAGAATTCTCAGTAACTTATTTGTGGTGTGTGTATTCAACTCACAGAGTTGAAACTTCCTTCAGAAAGAGCAGATTTGAAACACTCTTTTTGTGGAGTTTCCATGTGGAGATTTCAATCGCTTTGAGACCAAAGGTAGAAAAGGAAACATTCTTCGTATAAAAACTAGACAGAATCATTCACAGAAACTACTTTGTGATGTGTGTGTTCAGCTCACAGTGTTTAACTTTTCTTTTGATGGTGCAGTTTGGAAACACTCTGTTTGAAAAGTCTGCAAGTGGATATTTGGACCTCTTTGAGGCCTTCGTTGGAAACGGGTTTTCTCCATATAATGTTAGACAGAAGAATTCTCAGTAACTTATTTGTGGTGTGTGTATTCAACTCATAGAGTTGAACCTTCCTTTAGACAGAGCAGATTTGAAACACCCTATTTGTGCAGTTTCCATTTGGAGATTTCAATCGCTTTGAGACCAAATGTAGAAAAGGAAACATCTTCGTATAAAAACTAGACAGAATCATTCTCAGAAACTACTTTGTGATGTGTGCGTTCAACTCAAGGAGTTTAAGCTTTCTTTTCATAGAGTAGTTTGGAAACACTCTGTCTGTAAAGTCTGCAAGCAGATATTTGGACCTCTTTGAGGCCTTCGTTGGAAACGGGATTTCTTCATAGAACGCTAGAAAGAAGAATACTGAGTAAGTTCTTTGTGTTGCCTCTATTCAACTCACAGAGGTGAACTGTCCTTTAGACAGAGCAGATGTGAAACCCTCTTTTTGTGATATTTGCAGGTGGAGATTTCAAGCACTTTTAGGCCAAATGTAGAAAAGGAAATATCTTCGTATAAAAACTAGACAGAATCATTCTCAGAAACTACTTTGTGATGTGTGCGTTCAATTCACAGAGTATAACCTTTCTTTTGATGGAGGAGTTTGGAGACACTGTCTTTGTAAGGTCTGCAAGTGGATATTTGGACCTCTTTGAGGCCTTCGTTGGAAACGGGATTTCCTCATATAATGTTACACAGAAGAATTCTCAGTAACTTATTTGTGGTGTGTGTATTCAACTCACAGAGATGAACCTTCCTTCAGAAAGAGCAGATTTGAAACACTCTTTTTGTGGAGTTTCCATGTGGAGATTTCAATCGCTTTGAGACCAAAGGTAGAAAAGGAAACATCTTCGTATAAAAACTAGACAGAATCATTCACAGAAACTACTTTGTGATGTGTGTGTTCAACTCAAGGAGTTTAACCTTTCTTTTGATGGAGCAGTTTGGAAACACTCTGTCTGTAAAGTCTGCAGGCAGATATTTGGACCTCTTTGAGGCCTTCGTTGGAATCGGGATTTCTTCATATAATGTTAGACAGAAGAAGTCTCAGTAACTTCTTTGTGCTGTGTGTATTCAACTCATAGAGTTGAACTTTCCTTTAGAAGAGCAGATGTTAAACACCCTTTTTGTGGAATTTGCAGCTGGAGATTTCAAGCGCTTTGAGGCCTACGGTAGAAAAGGAAACATCTTCTTATAAAATCTAGACAGAATCATTCACAGAAACTTCCTTTTGATGTGTGTGTTCAGCTCACAGAGTTTAACCTTTCTTTTGATGGAGCAGTTTGGAAACACACTGTTTGTAATGTCTGCAAGTGGATATTTGGACCTCTTTGAGGCCTTCGTTGGTAACGGGATTTCTTCATGTAATGTTCGACAGAAGAATTCTCAGTAACTTATTTGTGGTGTGTGTATTGAACTCACAGAGTTGAACCTTCCTTTAGACAGAGCAGATTTGAAACACCCTATTTGTGCAGTTTCCAGTTGGAGATTTCAATCGCTTTGAGACCAAATGTAGAAAAGGAAACATCTTCGTATAAAAACTAGACAGAATCATTCTCAGAAACTACTTTGTGATGTGTGCGTTCAACTCAAGGAGTTTAAGCTTTCTTTTCATAGAGTAGTTTGGAAACACTCTGTCTGTAAAGTCTGCAAGCAGATATTTGGACCTCTTTGGGGCCTTCGTTGGAAACGGGATTTCTTCATACAACGCTAGAAAGAAGAATACTGAGTAAGTTCTTTGTGTTGCCTCTATTCAACTCACAGAGGTGAACTGTCCTTTAGACAGAGCAGATGTGAAACCCTCTTTTTGTGATATTTGCAGGTGGAGATTTCAAGCGCTTTTAGGCCAAATGTAGAAAAGGAAATATCTTCGTATAAAAACTAGACAGAATCATTCTCAGAAACTACTTTGTGATGTGTGCGTTCAATTCACAGAGTATAACCTTTCTTTTGATGGAGGAGTTTGGAGACACTGTCTTTGTAAAGTCTGCAAGTGGATATTTGGACCTCTTTGAGGCCTTCGTTGGAAACGGGATTTCCTCATATAATGTTACCCAGAAGAATTCTCAGTAACTTATTTGTGGTGTGTGTATTCAACTCAGAGAGATGAACCTTCCTTCAGAAAGAGCAGATTTGAAACACTCTTTTTGTGGAGTTTCCATGTGGAGATTTCAATCGCTTTGAGACCAAAGGTAGAAAAGGAAACATCTTCGTATAACAACTAGACAGAATCATTCACAGAAACTACTTTGTGATGTGTGTGTTCAACTCAAGGAGTTTAACCTTTCTTTTGATGGAGCAGTTTGGAAACACTCTGTCTGTAAAGTCTGCAAGCAGATATTTGGACCTCTTTGAGGCCTTCGTTGGAAACGGGATTTCTTCATATAATGTTTGATAGGAGAAGTCTCAGTAACTTCTTTGTGCTGTGTGTATTCAACTCATAGAGTTGAACTCTCCTTTAGAAGAGCAGATGTTAAACACCCTTCTTCTGGAATTTGCAGTTGGAGAATTCAAGCGCTTTGAGGCCTACAGAAGAAAAGGAAACATCTTCTTATAAAATCTAGACAGAATCATTCACAGAAACTTCTTTTTGATGTGTGTGTTCAGCTCACAGAGTTTAACCTTTCTTTTGATGGAGCAGTTTGGAAACACTCTGTTTGTCATGTCTGCAAGTGGATATTTGGACCTCTTTGAGGCCGTTCGTTGGAAACGGGATTTCTTCATGTAATGTTCGACAGAAGAATTCTCAGTAACTTATTTGTGGTGTGTGTATTCAACTCACAGAGTTGAACCTTCCTTTAGACAGAGCAGATTTGAAACAGCCTATTTGTGCAGTTTCCAGTTGGAGATTTCAATCGCTTTGAGACCAAATGTAGAAAAGGAAACATCTTCGTATAAAAACTAGACAGAATCATTCTCAGAAACTACTTTGTGATGTGTGCGTTCAACTCAAGGAGTTTAAGCTTTCTTTTCATAGAGTAGTTTGGAAACACTCTGTCTGTAAAGTCTGCAAGCAGATATTTGGACCTCTTTGGGGCCTTCGTTGGAAACGGGATTTCTTCATAGAACGCTAGAAAGAAGAATACTGAGTAAGTTCTTTGTGTTGCCTCTATTCAACTCACAGAGGTGAACTGTCCTTTAGACAGAGCAGATGTGAAACCCTCTTTTTGTGATATTTGCAGGTGGAGATTTCAAGCGCTTTTAGGCCAAATGTAGAAAAGGAAATATCTTCGTATAAAAACTAGACAGAATCATTCTCAGAAACTACTTTGTGATGTGTGCGTTCAATTCACAGAGTATAACCTTTCTTTTGATGGAGGAGTTTGGAGACACTGTCTTTGTAAAGTCTGCAAGTGGATATTTGGACCTCTTTGAGGCCTTCGTTGGAAACGGGATTTCCTCATATAATGTTACACAGAAGAATTCTCAGTAACTTATTTGTGGTGTGTGTATT